>NC_000016.10:78880682-79505682 GCF_000001405.40 Homo sapiens | reverse complement strand
CAACACTTAACAGCCCTGGTTTACCGTCAGGCCCAGAGACCAGTCGTGGCTCCCTCAGTGATGCATCCCTCGGGCCCTGAAATCTGCATTGTCTCCGGTCCCTGCGCCCTGGGAGTGGCTGTTTGTCTTAGTGCTATGCTTTGGACAGGAAGCAAGAGCTTCCGGACATACTGGTGATCAGAGGACTCTTCCCCTAGGAACAACGGGTCCCCTTTTCTGTGGCCTTTTTATAAATTTTAATCTTCCTCCTTTGACAAGCTTCCCCCCTGTCCCGTGACTGAGGGACAAGGACAAACCAGCCTCACAAAATATACAAAACCCTTCAAATTGTCACCTTGCAGTAGAAAAGCCCTTGTTACTTAGTTGCCCCTCACTCTGTAGAGGAACACTGGGGCAGGGAATGAAATCCATAATCAGGATTTCCAGATTACATTTTGAATTGTGTTTTTTGGCTGTTTTTCAGAAAAGAAAAATGTCAATGCTTTACAAAATTTTGTGAAGCAGCAATATCTTCCACCTGTTTTCCTCCTACTTGGAATTTTTAGTTTAAAAATGAGTTAATAAAATAACTTACCTTGTAGGTAAGATCTGTGTTTGAAAACGTAGCTGAAGACAAGGCTGTTCTCAGTCATCCTCAGGGTTTTGTTTTTCTAAAATGTGAAAAATGCTATAAATACTTGCAGATGAGGGCATACTCCAAAAGGGCAAATGTGGCAACCCCCAAACAGAATTGGACACCCCTGAGAAACAGAATAGTAACTCCACACTGTGTGTGTATGTGTTTGTGAATGTGTGTGTTCGTACAAGGCATTCATACAAGTCATAGTCTTGTAGTCAAGGGAAAAGAGATGAGGAAAATGTATATTGTCCCCTCCAAACTCTGGCAAGAAAATACAGAGAACAGCTTCTTTAGTCCAATGTATGAGATTGCCAGGTTTGAAGACATAGTTTCATTTTATATCCATCCATCATCCACTCATCCATCCATCTATCCGTCATCCATCCATCCATCAAACATACATTCATCCATTCATTTATTTATCCATCCATTCACCCATCCATCTTCCATCCTCTATCCATTTATCCATCCATCCATCCATCCATCCGTCCATCCATCCATTCAAGTAAGAATTATTGGGTAATTGTTTTATGCCACACATTATGTTACATGGGATTCCCACCTAATCTTCAGAGAAATCCCAATAAGATACTTGTTTTTGTCTCCAAAATAAGAAAGCATAGGCTCAAAGAAGTTAGTAACTTGTCGAAGTTATGCAGCTATAAGAAGCTGAACTGGAATTCATTCTTACTATCTCCAAAGCCTGAGTTCCTTCTGTTATATCATGCTTATCTGAGTGGTGGGGACAGGTAGTTGGTGTCAGGTGGAGGCTATCAGCTATAAGGGACAAAAGGGGAGGGAAACTGGATGACTCCTATTAGGCATTTTAGTTTGGTTCTCCTTCTTTCTAAAAATGGTTTCAAATATCTCAGCTTAAGTGTATTTAAACTCAGGCTACAGCATAACGGCCAAGTTAAGATGGCCCAAACAGAAGGTGAAAAGTCACATCTGAATATTTAATTTTAGATAACACCCTCTGATAGGCAGTATTTAAAAGAACATGAGTGGAAGAACTTATCCTTTCTTGAAAACTGTGAGGTTGGGAGAAATTTGGGGATATTTACTGAGCCCCTGCAATGTAACAGTTAACATGTTACAGACAGAAATTATGGATTTAATAGTTTTATTTATTAATATTTGGCCTAATTTTATAAGTGGTTTATAGGATATAGTGACAAATCAACACTTAAGAAATTACCAAAAAAGTAAAAATAAGATAATGACAGAATTACACATTATGAAAGAAGGTCAAGACTACGGAGTAACCATAAGGCAGAAACACGGACCAAGCAATTCAACACAGTTGCTCTGATTGGGCCACACAATTAGTTCTGAGCTTCCTGGTGACCAAAGTAAAAAGGGAAGCAGGAACACTCATGTGATTTTTCTTGTCCAAGAAAACTAAACAAAGCAGTTCCTCTGTAGGCAAAGATGAACAGGAGTTCACACTCTGGAGAGTAGAGTCAGAGAATCCAGCCACAATGAAATCCACAAAGAATGATCAAAAGAAGGCAGTATGATCATTGATTTCTGTCCAGTAGGGAGATGTATCTCAAAGAAAAGAGAAGAGATTTTAAACTGGGGATGATAGTGGCTTAAGTTCTCAGTCCTAAAGAATTTTATGTACTTTAATTTTGTAGTAAACTTTTTTAATTATCAAAATTTTTTATAAAGCTCTTAGAAAATGTGAGTCCTTGTAAATAAAAATTTTAACTTATCTAAATGATGGTCGCTTTGTGGTTGTGGCTAGTATATCAAGGGATTTAACTACTTAGCATCGTTTCTGGAGCAGTGTAGACACTCAATAAAAACGTGTTGAGTGAGTGAATAAAATAGAAACAAGGTGGTTGTTGAACAAAGAGAAACAAAGGACAAACTTAATAAAATCTTGGGCATTCTTCATTCAAATTCAGAAATAATTGATTTCTGAACTTGTGCCCAGCCCGTAAACCAAGCTGTCCTTCTTAGCAACTTAATATCTTGAATTTGAACCCCCAGGCTCTCCTGCAATGCTACTACTTGAGAATGTTAGATAGTTTACTGATTTTTACATACTTTGACCCAATTCCTTTGATAAAAGCTGATAGCTTTTTAATCCACATTATTGAGGCTTAATTATATTTACTAAGATGTGTGTAGTTTTAGTGTACTGTTTGATGAATTTGATGAGTGGATTATCCCATGTAACCACCACGTTAAAGAGAGTAAAGAATATTTCCATCACCCTACAGAGTTCCCTTGGGTTTTTTTTTATAATTAATCCCCTACCACTCTCCACAGGCAAACCCTCATTGAGCTAATGAGTCTTTATATATATATATATATATATATATATATATATATATATATATATATTTATATTTATATTTATATTTATATTTATATTTATTTATTTTTGGAGACAAGGTCTAACTCTGTTACCTAGGCTGGAGTGCAGTGGTGCAATCTCAGCTCACTGCAACCTCCACCTCCTGGGCTCAGGCTATCCTCTCACCCCAGCCTCCTGAGTAGCTGGGACTACAGGTGTGCACCACCACGCTCAGCTAATTTTTGTATGTTTTGTAGACACAGGGTTTAGCCATATTGCCCAGAGTGGTCTCGAATTTGTGACCTCAAGCCACCCACCCACCTTGGCCTCCCAAAGTGCTGGAGTTAGGCGCATGACCCACTGTGCCTAGCCTGATGAGTCTTTAGTCTGTTTTTCACGTTGTTCTTAAGGTTAAGAGTTCGGTAAAACAGAAGCTTTAAAAGTTTTCAGGCTACTTGTTAAGCCTAATGCTCTTATTTTAGCCATGGGTAACCTGAGGCCAGCAGGCTTGTGCTTGGCTAGTCAATGGTGAGGCTGATGGAAGTAGCCGGGCCTCAGGAGCCATGCTCCTTCCACCGTATGTACCTTTCTGAGTCCTTCTGGCTGTCACGACAAGGGGCTCTTGAGAGGGTACTCGGCTGGGAGAAATAGATGACACGTATTCACTGAAGTTAAAAATTGCAGCGGTGGTGAAAATTATTCTGAATTATCCTCAGAATTATTAAGAAATTGATACCCTTAAATAAATGGTTGAAAGAAATAAGTTTTGTTGGGAATAATACCTCACAGCCACTTCTCAGAAGTCCAAAAAGAGAAGCAAGTTAAGAGATGCCCTTCAAGCCGCTGGCGGGGGAAAAATACAGAGTTCCTAATAAATATCTCACCAATCCAATTATAACATTCAAATCAAGGAGAGAAAATACGTATCAAATATAATGGAAGTTTTCTTTTCCATTTAAAACACAGCCTGCTTCTCATTGTCCGGTGCCGAAGGGGATTTCAAAGTCAGCTTTTCTAGGTGAGGGGGAAGAATGCCGTGTAAATCAAAGTGAAATAATCAATTTTTTTCTGGTGGAAATAACTTCAGTTGTTTGATGTAATTTTGACAGTCAGCATAATTTCAGCATCAACACTGAAGTTAGGGGATCAGGGTGTCTCTGTGAGATTTGTGTAGTAAGAATTTACCAATCAGGAAAATTAACTTAGACTTTGAATGCAATGTGGCCTCAAGCATTTTGACATAAAATAAAGACTTCTGCTAGATTAACTGCCAATGGAAAGGCAGACAAGACCTACTGCCTGTTCTGGTGGCTTGACTGGTGTCCCCCCAGAGTTTATGTCCACCCAGAACCCCAGAATGTGAACTTATTTGGAAATAAAGTTGTTGCAGATGTAATTAATTAAGGTGAGGTTATACTGGATTAGGGAGGATCCTAAATCCAATGACTGGTGCCCTTATAAGAAGAGGAGCAAACACAAAGACAGATACAGAGGGAAAAGAAGGATCTGACAACCCTTCAAGGAGGCAGATGCTGGAGTGTTGTAGACAGAACCCAAAGAGCACCAAGACTTGCTGGCAGTCACCAGAAGCTAGGACAGATGCTTGGGGCAGTTTCTCAGGGTCTCCAGAGGGAGTGTGGTGACACCTTGATTTAGGACTTCTAGAACTGGGAGGGAATACATTTCTGTTGATGTAACCCACCTGTTACAGGATCCCTTTATGGAAGCCCTAGGCAACAAATGCACTAGCGGTGGGTCAGATCTTTTCTGCTTAGAGAAACAAGAGCCAGCCCATGATCAGGATATAGCAACACCAAAAAATATGGCGGTGAATTTTCCCTAACAGAGAAACTGGGCTTGCAGTATTTTGAGTCAGCAGTCAAGATTCTTCCATACACTCTCTGAGAAGGTCTAGCTATATGTCTCATCCAGTAAGTGAGAGGCAGACACCTCCATGAGTCCCAAAGTTTCCAGCAGGAAGTCAGTCTGCATCTCTACTGGTACTTTTTTTACTCTTCTAGTAAAAAATCACTGTGATGCTGATGCAGTGTACCTTTCCCAGAGACGAGTCCTAGAATGCTTCCCAGGGAGCATACTCTGAGCCATGGAGAGATTAGATGAACAGAACTTTGTGTACTTTTTCTGCCTACAGCCACCCAGCCTCTGGGTGGGACCAGTCAAGCTCATAATCTCTACCGTGGTGTGAAGAAACAGTGGCTTAGAGAGAAGAAGGAGTAGGATGGCTGGGGACAGAGGAAGTTTCATGACAAGCAACTACTGGGGTATGACACATGGTGTCTGCGCTTCTGCAGACAGAGGTCTTGTGGAGACTTTTGTCTAGGTTACTATAAGCTGGAAGGCTGTTGTGCAGACAGAGGTTTGCCTAACCCCAAAGAGCACATACCACCTAGTAGGCAACAACATAACACCATCCCATGAAGAATGTTGGTGGAGATGGCAGATGGGATTATTGTTCACTGTTCCTTTCTCCCTCTCTCTCTGTGTGTGTGTCAGATTTAGCTTCTGCATTAATTTCTGGTGGCTGTTGTAACAAAATACTACAAACTGGGTGGCCTAAGCCAACAGTAATTTATTCTCTCAAAGTCCTGGAGGCCAGACCGTCTGAAACTGAGGTGTCAGCGGGGTCATGGTTCTTCTGGAGGCTCCAGGCAAAGGTCCGGTGCTTGCCTCTTCCAGCTCTGTTGGCATTCCTTGGCTTGCTGCTGCATCTCTCTCTACTGTCTTTATATAACCTCTCTATGTGTCTGCCCTTAAACTCCCTCTGCCTCTTTCTTACAATAATAGATATGACTGCATTTATGGTCAACCAGAATAATCCAGGACAAACTCTTCCAGGTCTGTAACTAAATCACAAATGTTGACCTATAAGGTAATATTCACAGATTGTAGGGATTAGGACATGGACATATGTTTTTGGGGAAGTGTCTTTGTCTTTTGAGGCTACTGAAACAAAATATTGGGTAGCTTATAAACAACAGAAATTTATTTTGCACAGTTCTGGAGCTGGGAAATCTATAATCAAGGTGCCAGCCCATTTGGTGTCTGGTTAGGGTCCACTTCCTAGTTCGTGGATGGTGCCTTCTACCTGTGTCTTCATATGGGGGAAGGGACAAGGCAGCTCTTTGGGGCCTCTTTTTATAAAGGCACTAACCCCATTCATGATGACCCCATTCTCGTGACTTAATCACCTTTCAAATCTCCACCTCTTAATACCATCACATTGATGATTGGATTTCAACATATGAATTTTAGGGAAACATGAACATTCAGATCCTAGCAGGAAGCCACCGTTCCGCCTACTATAGCTTCTATGCCATGGGCTTTTGCAGTGCCTCTCCCTATGGAGGGTGGAGTTGTCATTGAGAGTCCATACATCTCTGTTCACTCCTGACACCTTGCCATGAGATGACTGTGTCCCAGATGGTGCTTACTCCTTCATTCTGTGATGAGCATGAGACCCAAAAGGAACAGATCCAACTTGACCTGCAGGTTGGAGCACAGCTGATGCAGCCCAGCCACAAAAGAGGGTGCTAGCAATATATGCTTGCTGTCATACTTCACAGAGATCTGGGGACTGCTTGTTACTGCAGCAAAGATGACTAATACAATGGAGATTGCAAGTTGGCTTCGAGTAGGCCTGTGAAATACTTCTGTGCCTTTCATTGATAATCCTCCTGAAATGTCTGTGCTACCTTGTCTATCTGGGGAGGGCTTCCTACTCTCCTCTCTAAAAAGGCTTAAAAAATCCAGATGGAGAATCTTGGAAGTATCTTTCTGTAATTCCTTGCTACACATCTGCCTTGCCCACTAGACTCTCCTAAGAGTCAGGGATGGTGCTGAAGTGTCTCTGTATACTCCACACCTGAGGAGAGGTTTTAAGAATGGATGGATAAAAAAATGAATAAGTAAATTACCAGAGTATCCTTAGCTTTCAAGGGCTGTAAGAGAAGAAAGCACTTGCTTACTGGGCTAGGATAGTATAGAGGTTATGTTATATACAAGGATTCCAGAAACAAACTCATGGATTTGAATCCCAGCTCTTCCACTAACCAGGCATATGAACTTCAGCTAGGTACTTAACCTCTCTGTTTCTGTTCCTATATGCATAATGGGCGTACTAATAGCCTCCATCTCAAGGAGCTGGTGTGAGTTGTAAACAACCAAACACTTGGCACAGTGGTGGGCACCAGGTAAGCACGATCTAAGCCAGGAGCAGGCAAAGTGAAGCCCATGGGCCAAAGCTAGCCTGAAGCCTGTTTTCCCATTGCTGACAAGCTAAGAATGGCTTTTGAGTTTTTCAACTGTTGAAAACAAATTTCTTCTAAGGATATTCCTTCATCACACATACAGATTATATGAAATTTAAATTTTAGTGCCCATAAGTAAGGTGTTGTTGGAACCAGCCATACCCACTCATTGGCACATTGTCTATGGCTGCTAACCTGCTACAACGACCAGAGCCGAGAAGTTGCAATGGAGACCACGTGGCCCTTTACAAATAAAGTTTGCTGCCTCTTGATCTAAGTTGTTATAATCTATGGTTATACTTAGCAAGTGTGCCCAAGTACTGGAGCTAAGATACCACCACTTCCTCTCTGCCTGACCACACCTCAGGTTTAATGATGATTTCTGCAAAAGAGTCCCACAGATGAGCAGTCCTGCTGATTTCATCTGGGTGCAAGGGCAGGAGGGAATGGAAAGTCCTACCTTCTTCAGCTCCTGTCCCTTTAGTTTTATAGTCTCTGTGCATATCTTGTTACTCTCAGAGTGGTGTCTTCTGGTCTCTAGAACTGGGAGAGCTCAGAGGAGAGGTTATGCTAGAAGACTGGTGAAATACATGAGTCAATAGGGAACAACAGATAGGTGAGCAAGGCATTGCAGGAATCAGCGCTGCTGTATCCACCACAGTCTGAGCTTTCTCTCATTTGCTGGGAAAAATTCAGAGGCTTCCTCTTTTCTCCTTCCTTGTCTCTTCCAATTACTTCATTAATCCACTCAGCAATTCATGACTATGCATTTCTTGAGTGTTCATTATATGCCAAGGATTGTGCCAGGTGCTGGGGTTCAAAGCATGACAAGGATGAACCCACGGGTCTAGACCTCACCAGATTCCTCGTCTTGGGGTCACTGTAGACCCACATGAGGCCTGTGAGGTGAATTAGATAAAGGCATCCCTTCCTCCTGGCAGAGTTTGTGGCAAGGCAAATTAAAAAAGAGCTAGGTATAGGCCTAGTTTATTTCCTAGGCCAGTGACCTTGGGCAGTGCACAGCCAGCACAACTGTACATAGCAGCGCTGCTGGGTCTCCTGGGAGGCACTCACAGCTAACAGGGGCAGAGGAAGCAGGCGGGTGGAGTGGGGTGAGGAGAGTTGAGGGGCATACATGGCAGCATCTGATCCATCCTGGTAAAAAAGGGTGCCTTCTAAGGGGAGACTAGTACCTGTCTATAGCAGTGAAAACAGCCTTACAATAAGCCTTTTTTTCTTCTGTATTATTGCTTGTTTTAAATATGAGGATTCGGAGGCAAGGAGAGGTCAATTAATCCTTTGCAAATTTCTGAAACTTCCTTTGTAGAAGAGAGTGAGAATTTATGTGCCACCATTTAAGCTGTTTCAACACAGTCACTGGCATTGCATTTTGGTGGAGACACTAAATGACTTAAGAGAGTTGGGAGATGGAGAAAAGATGTTTTTATTATTATTATTATTCAGAAGCTTTTATTTGATCATATAAATTGTTACACTCACTTAAGTTTCTGCCTCAACCAAGACCAAGAATTACATCAACCAATATTCTCAGGCCCACTGCTACTGTGTAGAACCTTAAATTGTAACTTGCAAGGAAAAAAATAATAATCAGAGGGATTTGTCATGATTGGATGATCAGATTCTAGAAAATCAAAACCTACTTTGTTATAGAGATGAATTTGCATATTTGAAGAACACTAGATATCATGGGCAAGCTCAGCTACTCTTTCCACTGGTGTGTTTATTTTCATAGCCCCATTGTTTATTAAATGTGCTTGCATTGAAGCATCTCTAGATCCTGCCATCTGCATTATGAAGAGAAGAATTTCCTTATGTGAACTCCCTCCTTTGAAAACTATATCCATATGGAATTCTCGATTTATATAGATGAAGGCAGATATCTGAGGTATGTTATATAATACCACGGCAAGAAACTGCTCTGTTAATAAGACTCAGGGAATTTCTAGTAGCAGCTGTGATAACAGAACCTGAGGAGTGTCATGCAGGGAGAGTAATAAAGTACAGTAAAAGAATTTAGGTTGTGTCTTTGAAATTCACTGTGTACGACAGTTCTAAGCCTGCTGATTTTGCTAGTCAATGCCAGAAAACCTCACCCTACTCTGAAATGATGGCTGCCTAGAAGCCCTTTTTGAGTCTTTTATTTGTTACAATACCATCTGCAATCTTCCGAAATGACCCTTTTCCAAAATGCAGCCAAACTCTTCTCTGGAATTCCCTATTCTCTTTCTTTGCTCTATTTTTTTTAAAGTTAAGACTTATTTCCATCTGACATGACACGTACTAGTTAGCTACTGCTGCATAACAAATACTCCTACACTTAGTGGCTTTAAAATAGCAACATTTTTATCTCATAATTTTTGTGGGTCAGGAAGTTGGGCATAGCTTAGCTAACTCCTCTAGCTCAGGGTCTCGCACAAGGCTGCAAGAAAAATGGTGGCCAAGACTATGGTTATCTCATGGGTCAGCTGGGGAAATCTGCTGGAGTCATTTTAGAAAACATCTATCAAGCCATTTATTTTAATTATTTTGTGTGTGTGTTATCTCCATCACACTATAATAGAAACTCCATAAAGGCAGAGATATTTCTGATTTGTTCCTTCCCGTGTCCATGGTGCCCAGAAGTAAGCTTGACGTGTGGCTGGTGCTCAAATATTTGTTGAACGAATGGACCAGTGTAGAGACTGTTTCTGCTCCTTGCAGAAGTCCCATGCATGTCTTAATTCTTTTTCTTCATCAGCACAAGGGAAGCTGGAGAATTTTGAGCATCAAAATTCTGAGATAGTATAAAAACTAGGAGAAAAGTTTCATTTTAACAGTCGCGGCAGGCAGAATAATATTCATGCCCTAATCTCTGGAACCTGTGAATGTTACATTACCTGGCAAAAAGAAACTGTGGCATAAGAAGAAATCTATATGTGGTCTCTGACCCTGGTTTCTGGCATGAGAGCTTCTAAAACTCTCAGAATTTCCTGAGTGATAGAAGTAAGGTGAGCATCTTTTATTTATTTTTTAAGACAGTTCTGTCACCTAGTCTGGAGTGTGGTGGTGTGATCAGGGTTCACTGCAACCTTGACCTCCTGGGCTCAAGTGATCCTCCTACCTCAGCTTCCTGAGTAGCTGGTACTACAGGTGAAAGACACTATGTCCCATTTAAAAAAAAATGTTTTTTTAGGGATGGGGTCTCACTATGTTGTCTAGGCTGGTCTCCAACTGCTGGTTTCAAGCAATCCTCTCACCTTGGCCTCCCAAAGTGCTGGGATTACAGGCATGAGCCACCGAGTTTGGCCACATCTTTTGCTATTCTATCACCAATAACCAATGATTTAATCAATCACGCCTACCAAATAGAGCCTCTGTAAAAACTGTAAACTACCTGGTTTAGAGAACTTCTAGGTTGGTGAACACACCAGGGTGTCTGGGGGGGTGACACGCCTGGAGAGGAAAATGGAAGCTCCATACCCTACTCACCATACCTGTCCTTATGCGTTGCTTCCATTTGGCTGTTCCTAAGTTGCACCCTTTACAATAAACTGGTGAATGTAAATAAATATTTCTCTGACTTTTTGTGAGGCACCCTAGCAAATTATAGAACCCAAGGAGGGAGTCTTGGGAACCCCCAATTTATAGCCAGTTTGTCAGATGTCCCAGAGGCCCAGACTTATGACTGATGTCTGAAATGGGACCAGTCTCATGGGACTGAGCCCTTCATCTACGGGATCTGCATAACTCCAGGCGGTTACCGGGACACTCAGTCAGTGTCTGCTGAGAATTAGAGGATTGGTTAGTGTGGGAAAACTCCTACACATTTGGTGTCAGAAGTGTGGTGTGAGTACTATGTGGAGAAATAGTGGGGTTTTTTTCCCCTAGGAACTTTGCAGATGTGATTGAGGTTATAGACCTTGAGGTGGGAGATTATCCTGGATTCTCTGGGGTGGGAATACAATCGGATCACATGAGTCTTTAAAAGTGGAGAAACTGTCTTGGGTGTGGTCCCAGAGATGGAAGCTTGAGAATGATTTGACTCCCTGTGGCTACTTCTGAGATATAGGAAGCTTTATACAAGGAGAAGAGAGAGGCCTCTGGGAGGTGAGAGCCACTCCTGCTGACAGCCAGCAAGGAAACAGAGACCTCAGTCCTACAACTGCATGGAGCTAAATTCTGCCAACCCTGTGAATGGGCAAACCCAATTTTTTCCCAGTGCCTCCAGGAAGAAACATAGCTTGCTAATTCCCTGGCTTTCATTAGGTGAGAGTCATACTGGACTTCTGACCCGTGGAACTGTAATATAATAAATCTGTGTTGCTTTTCACCACAAAGTTCATGGTCATTTGTTATGGCAGCAATGGAAAACCAATACAACTGTGTTCAACAGCTCTGGATTCCTGGCTAGGCTAAACATGATAGAAGGCTTTGGAAATAGCAGTGGAGAGATTTCTCATTTGCTGTCACCATGGAAATGACCCAAGGATCATAAATCGTGGGTTTTTTGAAAGAGCCTGATTTTCAGGGAAATCCTTATGTAACCTGGGATTGTAGCCCTCAAGGAAAAAAAAAAAAAACCAGTTCCATGAATACACATCCACCAAGAATAGAGACTAAGGGGCAGGTCTTTGCTCTTGATAAGGCTTTGGGGGAAGCAAAGTCTTTCCTTGGAACTTGTTTTCTCAGGAAGTATTGATGTCTTCTTTCCAGCAAAGAAAATGTTTTCATGATGCTCATAATGCACATACTCATAATGCAAGCTGAGGTGGCTGTCATTAGCTCCACCCTTTTATCAACTCTTTTGTCTTCTTAGTGAAATAAAAGACCACAGGTCAATGGATTTTCATTTTGTGAAAACTTCCATGTAACCGAGACTGGGCACAGTGGCTCATGCCTGTAATCCCAGCACTTGGGAGACCAAGGCAGGAGAATCACTTGAAATCAGGAGTTCAACAGCAGCCTGGCCAACATGGTAAAACCTGTCTCTACTAAAAATACAAAAAGAGGCCAGGTGCGGTGGCTCATTCCTGTAATCCCAGCACTTTCGGATGCTGAGGTGGGTGGATCATGAGGTCAGGAGTTCAAGAGCAGCCTGGCCAAGATAGTGAAACCCCATCTCTACTAAAAATACAAAAATTAGCTGGGCGTGGTGGCAGGCACCTGTAATCCCGGCTACTCGGGAGGCTGAGGCCCAGAATTGCTTCAACCCAGGAGGCAAAGGTTGTAGTGAGTCGAGATCATGCCACTGTCCTCCAGCCTGGACAACAGAGTGAGACTCCGTCTCAAAAAAACAAAAACAAAAAAACAAACAAAAAACAAAACAAAACAAGACAAAACAAAACAAAAAAAAAACAGAAAGATTAGCTGAGCATGGTAGTGCACACCTGTAATCCCAAGTACTCAGGAGGCTGAAGCAGGAGAATTGCTTGAACCCTTGAGATGAGGTTGCAGTGAGCTGAGGTTGTGCCACTGCACTCCAGCCTGGATGACAGAGTGAGTCTCTACCTCCAAAAAAAAAAGAAAAAGAAAACATCCATGTAACCAGCACCTATGTTAAGATATAGATCATAACCAGTTCTGCAGACCCCCTTCATAGCCCTCCCAATCACTAACCTCCTAGTATGATCTCATATCTCTCTTAACTTCTAACACCAAAGAATAATATTGCCAGTTTTTTGAATTTTATGTAAATGGACTTAAAGAATGTTCCCTTTTGGGTCTGGCCTCTTTCTCCCATGAGTATGTTTATGAGATTCGCTGCATGTTGCATATAGCAATAGTTGTTTTTTTTTTCTTGCTGAACGGCAGTTGTGTGAGTAGACTACAATTTACTTAACCTTTTCATGATTGATGGACATTGTATTCATTTAAGCTTTGGGGCTATGGTAAGGTGCTGCTATAAAGTTCCCATATGTGTCTTTTGGTGACACTGTTATCTATGCATTTCTGTTGGGTTTAGACCTGGGATGGGGGATTGCTGAGTCAAAAGCATTTTTTTTTTCTTTTGCTATATATAGAACAAATGGGCTGGGGTAAGGGTGAGCTGAGCCATGTAAATTGCCCAAATACAGGGTCAGATCCGGTCTTTCTTTAAAATTCGGATACGTTGCACATCATGGATTGTTTTGCATTTGTTTTGACTTTTTGTATTAATTATAGTGTTGAATTTTGGTTGGTGCTCCCTTAAATTTTGCACCCGGAATGAATGCGTCGCTCACCTCACCCTAATCCCAGCCCCAGGCGGGTCTCATAAATGCCTCCCTGCCTGCATTCTTCATGTGTGGTCTGAGAGGTCCACTGGGCCTCTTGGCTTGAGCAGACCGTTAGGCACCCGGTCCTCAACTCTCATGCCCGTGCCTGCTCTATCTCATGGAGGCACTTTGTTTTATTATTAGATAGGCTCTTTTTATTCACAGAGATCTTTGCAATATGGTCTTGGGGGAAAATATTTTGAGCTTGACTTTGAATTAATTAATTAATAGCTTGGACTGGGGTCTTCTCAGGCCCTCATTGTCAGTTCCGGGTACGTAGAAAAGAAGTGGGAGAGGAGACCTGTTGTTTATGAAGGCCTGGCTGGGCAGAGGGGCTGCACTCACAGCCGGAGTAGGTCTAAATTCTTCTCACTAAAATCCCCCTTTCCTCCATTTCTTTAAGAGGAAGAGATTCTCAATCACCTACTTCCTATCTGTCTAGCCAGTGCTATCCCAAGGCTCATAGGAAGAGACTTTTCAGGGCTTGGTTTATTAGATTTGGGTAAGCACATCTTCTCAAGAAAAATTGTTCATCAGTTGGCGTAATTTACTTGTCTGGAGCAGAATATTTTTTATTTTGTTACATGTTAGTCGCTGGGCATTCTGGGCATAGCAGCAGTGCATGCAAATCCAGGCTTATTTACCACCGGGAGGCAGGGGATACCAGGACTTAGAAACCAAGGTTCTACCTGGGATGTTGGTGATTGATTTCACTATGGGGAAATGGGGCAGTGGTGTGACAGCTTCAGAATTGACTGGGACTCGAGACTGCGAAGCTGGCTCTCTGCCTGTTTCTTGTGTTCAACAAAGAAGAACCTGCATGAAGAATGCAATCAGATGCCACAGGAGAAGACTTTTGTTTGCTGGTTTGTTTGGCAGACCAAGGGTTCTATCCACATCTAAGTTCTGGTTAATTTCATGAGGCAGCTACTACCTCCCAATCTCTCGGTTCCTCTAACTGCCCACTCAGGTTGGTGTTTGCCCCATTTGTAATATTACTGATGTGCCTTTGAGTCTGGTCCTCACTGCTGTTTTCAGCCGTCAGGCCTGCCCTGAAAGCACATAGTAAGCTCCACGGGATATCAGGCTGCTGGGTCTCAATAACCCCATCCTATCTCGAACTGCTTACCCTCCCCTTCTCACCTTCCCTTTCCGTTCTATCCTTTCGGAATTCAGACTATCTGTGACTTGTTTCCATTTATTGATTCTCATCACCATTTTCTCTGATTCTCAACGTGATTTCCCTAGCTTGTGTTTGTGGTTCCCTTGGTTATCACACTTTGGGCGTCTCATCTGATCATAATGCCAGAAAACATCCTCAGTAAATCACCCCGCCTCTTCCTTCTCCATTCATCTCTGACATCACAGAGCCCATTTCTGGGGAACATGACAGCCCAAGAGTGAGACCTGGACAGTTAGAAATAGCAGAATTGTGTTACCTTCACTGCATTATGGTCACTGTTTTGTTCTCAGTACAAAACAAATATTTATCTGTATTTCTTAATGCATAGAACTTTGAGAGTGAAAGTACTATGTACCACTTTCCAATCTCTGTAACAGTCTGGCATACATTTTTCTAAGTCTTATAATATATTTATGCATGTGTGAGTGTGTGTGTCTGTGTATGTGTGCATGCATATACTTCTATATTCATTTAACCATATATCTGAGGTATCTGTTTATGTCAGTGCATATAGATCTGTCTCTTTCTTTTTAAAGGCTGCAGTGAGTTGCATTGTATGAGTGTATCATAATTTATTTATCTAATTAAAACCAGAGACTCTTAAAGCTCAGCTAGTGCTTTCAGGCAGAGGAATCCCCTCTACAGCATCTCCACAGGCTGCTCGCCCAGCCCACACAGGTCTTGGGTTTCCTTGGGTATAGAAAGTTTTGATGGATCTCAGTCTCTGGGGTGATGTTTTTATTCCTGCCTCGTTTGAAAGGCTGGCTATTCTATCAAGACGAAGGGAGATTTCCAGCCGTGCCTGTGTCCAGGATATTTTAAAGACGCACAGCAGTTCAGGCAGATCACCTGCAGAATCACTGCCATTTCAACATTAGGGTTCCCTGATGGGTCATCGTTGGCCCTTTTTATCTTTTCACTCTATCTGCTTTTGATTTGAAATATAACTGCCTCCTGGACCACTCTACCTTGCCACACACAGGTGTAGACACTTAGACACACCCGTTCCAAACCAACTTGTCTTTCCTCATGAGATGATGGCTTTCATCCTTGTTAGCTTTTTTCCATCTACCTTATGCTCTACCTCCTGAGCATTTCTAGGGTGCCTGCCCTCCTCTTCAGGCCTTCATCACTGCTCAGCTTCTGGACATTGCCGGGGCCCTGACCACCCTTGTCTCTTTCCAACCTGCCCAGAGTCACCGTTAGAAAAGCTAAGCTGGCTGCGTTTCACACAGACCCATTCCACCTGGCCCTCTGTCTCCTACCAGATAAACCACAAGGACTTTTGTCAGAGCAGAACACTTTCCGTACCCTGAAGCTTTGCCTTCTATTTTGCCCTCATCTTCTGCCCTGCAAGGAAGTTTAACATTCAGCTTCTCGGGCCATCTCTTTGGCCATGTTGTCTTTTCTCTCTGGATCTCCTCTCCACCACTTTCTTTCAGTCTGAGATGTTTCCTCCTCTAAGGAGCTTCCCTGATCACTTAGACTGAATTAGGTACTTCTGTTCCCCAACAGGGAAGTTCCTCCCTCTACTGTTGCCCTTCCCTCATGCAGTAAGATTGCTTGTCTGCTCTCTTTCTGAGAATTTCCCCCAGGGAATCAACTCCTCTTACTCAGCTTTATATCCCCAACTCTTATCACGGGAACTGATGCAAAACACATATTCAGTACACAAAGGATGGATGGATAGATGGATGGATGGATAAATAGATGAATGGGTGGATGGATGAATGAATAAATGGATGGATAAATAGATGGATGTGTGAGTGGGTGGATGAATGAATAAATTGCTGGATAAATAGATGGATGAGTAGATGGATGGGCAAATGGATGGATAGATAGAGGAATAGATGGATGGATAAATGGATGTGTGGATAGGTGGATGGATGTGTGGGGATGGGTGGATGGATGGATGAGTGGATGGATGGGTAAGTGGATGGATAGATGGATGGATGGGTAGAGAGATGAATAAATGATTTTGAATAGTTGCCACGTTTCTCTAGTTTCAGGCATCAACAAATTAAGTTGAGTAGTTGAGGTAGTTCATCTCTCCCTCTGGCTTCATGGCACTATGTTCTCTGCCCTGAAAGGCCAACAGGGCAGTAGAAAAGTCTGGAAGGAGAGATGATCCTGCCTTATTCTTGCCTAGGGCATGACACTAGAGCCTCCTTTCAGTCATTTCAGTTCTTCTTAATTAACTTTTTAATTGAGGTGACGTTCAAGGGAATATTAGTCCTCATGATATGCTCCCGGAAGGTTGATGAACGAGAGGTAAGAAAGCTGCTTTGTGCACTGCATTCTCTAAGGGTGCCTCTGACATAGCAAGACACAGGATAAATTAACTTATAAATGGCTGAGATGCATTGTCCCCTTGAAAGCTGCCTAACTTGAAGACTGACTCCTTCAGTCTCTCTAATAATGGTAATAATATTAATAATAAAATAATTCTAGCAGCCTACAATGTGAGGAGCACCATCTGTGATCCAGATAGCATGTTCGACCCGTTCCTTGTTTTGTTAATGCCATCCTCAGAGTAAACCTGGGTGTTGGTGGAATGTTACATTATAGACTTCCATTTACATAGAGTGATTATGTGGGCTCCAGAACTTGCCACCCAAGGTCACCAGTGTACTAGGTGGCAGGACCAAGCTCCAATCCCAAGCAGTCTCGCCCCAGAGCCTCCTACCTGCACCTGGAGAGTAAGGGGGTGAGAGGAGAGGACCTAACATTTCTGGACACCCAACACGAGGTGTTTTTCTCCTTCCTGGTCCCCTAAAGTCCTCACAAGGTTTGATTTTCTTCATTAATTGGAGGAAAAGGCAGGTTCACAAGGGGTACCCTGGCTGGCTGGCACAAGACAGAACCCAGCTCTCTCCCTCTGCGTGCTCTTCTAACTCAAAATGAGCAGGATGAGTTATCCGTGGTGGCAGCGCCAGGCGTGCCAATGCGTCACTCCAGGTCTCCAGGGACAGATTTTTTAAGTCTTGAGACTTCTACTTTTCGATGCTTGATGCAAATAGTTCTTCCACTGATTTGTAACCACATCCCTTTCAGATAAATGGATTGACAGGCTGTCTAATTTCCTTGTAGTTTCTTAACCTGAGCATTGTGAGCACAGGGCCTTATCCCCTGCGTGGAAAGATTCTCATTTAAAATGCAGGCTGGAAATCTTCATCCATACGCAGAGATGAAAGCAGAGCTGTTTACCATCAAGAGCAAGGGGGAGGGATTCTTAGCAACCACGGGGATTCCCAACAACTTGGGGTGCTCCAGAGTCACCCAGGGTCCTGGCCAAGGATGTAGTCTCCGAAGTTGAGAAGCATTAGGTCTATGTGGACAGTGAGCCATCTTTTCCTCTGCCTTCCCTTCACATTAACCTTTTGCATATTGGGTAATAAAATAGGATTTTTTCCCCGAAGGGTATATGAGAATTATTCATATCTTTGGAGTGGATCCAAACGGACAACGGGGCTTTTTCTTCCTGTTCTTTTTCTTCATTTTAAAAACCATTTCAGGATTGCCCCCAAACAGAAAAAATGCCTTCTTTCAATCATTTAGGTTCTTTTACTTAATTTTTTAATTGAGATTAAATAATACAATAAGATGTGCAATTCTTAAGTGCATGATAGGCCCACGAATTTGTATAGGCACATATACCCATATATCCACCACTCAGATCAAAATATAGAATATTCTCAACACCCAAGAGGGCTCCCTCAGGCTGCTTTCCGTCGATGCCTCCCTTAAAAAACCACTACTCTGACTATTATCATCATAGATTAGTTTTGCCTGACGTTGAACTTCACGAAACTGGAGTCACATGGGAATTTTTTTTTTTTTTTTTGCACTAGTTCATCATTAGAGACAATGTTCTTAGCATTAAAATCTGGAGGTTCTATAACTGAATGGGTCCTACTTACCTAATTAAAAGGTCTTTGTGAAAGTATATAAAACAGTGTTTTGGAGGAGATTTCAATAGATGTTCTTTGCAAAAAGGAGTGGAACTTTAGGCCTCCCCAACCTCTCTCACCTCGACCACCAAGTCAAAACCACTGACTTAAGCTGTACAAAATCTGGGCAGCAGATTTAGGATGGACTGCTTAGAATTTGTTGACTAGTCTACTCAAAATCCACCTTGTAGGAGGTGGAGGGGGACCTCCACAAGTCAGAAGGCCATGGAGTAGCTACGAGTATGATCTGCAATAAACTTTATTTCTCAAACACGTAGCTCTATCCCACCCAAGGTGAAAAGCAACAGGATTGATTTCTTTTAGGATAGTTAATTATTCTTCCAAGTAATGTTACAGAGGAAAGCTAGTGGTCAAATGAATTTAAGAAATATTTTATGCTCTCTCTCTGTCTCGGAGACTCATAAAGCCAATTATTAATTAGCACATTAAAGGCACTGGTAAGTCCTGCTCTAAAGATAGCTGCGTAACTTGGGTTGAATGAGCAATAACCAAACAGCATTTTCTGCAGAACCTTCTTATGCGGGAGAATCTTTTTGTCTCACAGAACTTATTTCCTAGAACCTAGGTACTGAAATCAGGGTGATATGAAATCAGTCTTTGGGTAAAATATTGTTATGTTTATGTTTTAGATGTGAAAAACACATGGCTTACATCTGTATTTTCTCAGATTGTCCTAAGAGTTAAAAATAAAATAAAATAAAATGACCAGGGCGAATCTAAGATCACTTTCAAAACTTTTTCAAAATGTGAGTGAAAATAACCATTTTGAAAAAGTTGGTTTTCTTTATTTTACATAAATTTCATTTTCTCATTCTGCAGCTACTAATTTGGAACTATAGGGGAACCAGAAATGCTTCTCTTGCCTATCACTATATTTCTGCCTCTAACAATCAAGGGAGATGAGCCCCACATGAAAAGAGGGGTTCCTGAGCTGGCAGGGAAAGTTATGGGTGAGCATGGAAGCGATAGTTATTGGAGAGTCATGCGAGACACTCCGTAATCAGGTTTATTATCTCTTTTGACCTTTTATTTTCTCTGTGATGTGTGTTGAAGCAATCAATAAGTGCTCCCAAAATTCCTCCCATTATCCACAGTGGTCCAGATTTTTTGTCTGCAAGATCCTTATAGAGTTCCATCAGTTAAAAATCTATCCCATTATTGGTTGGATGCTTTATTAGTTTTTCAGCAGAAGTCCTTTCTGCTAATTTGCTAATTCATTCATATGCTCTCTGCCAGCCGCTGGCCGCCCCTGGGCCATTTGTAGCTTACTTCTGTTTGGCAAGACACCGAGTCTGTGTGCTGCTTTTAGTTGTATTAAATCTTTTGGACAGAAGGAAGATTCAGGAGGAACCCGACAGATCTTCCTGCTCAGAGAAGACACATTGCAAGTGTAATAGTGGTGCTTTTAAATCACCTGATCTTAAGGTTTTCAAGAGATATTTTTAAAAAAACCTTTTTCTTATAAACTTTTGTTGTCTCAGATTGTCAGTTTGTGCTCATGGACTTACTACAACTAAATTCAATGTGTACTTCATGTACAGTTGTAGGACTGTTGTTATGTGCTGGGCTCAGAGACGGTTATCAGAATGATAAAACTCAGCTCTGGTCCTCAAGGAGCATTCAGCCTGTTTGGAGAGTCAGAGCATCTGTGTAAAAAATAAATAAATAAATACAAATAACTGGTCATAAAATCACAACAAATGGGTGACAGAGAAGGAAAGAGCAGTACTTCCTGTGTGCCAATCGCTGTCGTATGACTTTGAGTATCTTAACATATTTACTCCTCAAACAACCCTATGAGGCAAGTAGTATTATTATTTCTGTTTAAAGGTGAGAAAACTGAGGCACAGAGAGGTCAAAACACTTGCCCAGGGTCACACAGCAAGTAGTGGCAGGGGTGGGGTTTGAACACAGCCTTTAAAGAGATCACTGTTCCTGGAGGAAACTGGCTTTTATCTGGTATCTATACCACGTCTCATGCTAAATTCTTTGACTTATTTATCAGGTTAATTTTCATAAAAGTCTAATCAGGCAATCAGGCCAAGAAGCATGATGTCCATTTTTATAGATAATAAATTGAGGCAGGAAAGTTGAGCAGCTTACCTGGGGCCACAGAACTTCTAATGGCAGGTCCAAGGTGCAAAGCCAGATCTGCCTGGTTCTAAATCCTGTTCAGCTGTACCATGCTTGATGCTGCTGGGAGGCCAGACCTTCAGGTCCTTTCTCTGGTTAAGTAGCTTTTAGTGAAAATGCATTCACACACATGCACACACACACACGTGCACATGCACACATGTCACCCCTTTTCCGCAGCTGCCAGCTGCTCCACCGGCTCTAGCTGTGGAGTATCATCACCAGCAGGCCAGTGTGAGCAGCTCCCACCCTGGCCCTTTTGTGAGAACTGAGCCCAAAGCTGGACCAACGAGGGGTATCATAACTCCACCTGACCCAGGCTGCCATCTGGAATATGCCCTGGGCCTTTTCCAAGGGAGGCTGTCTCCTGTTCCCCTTGTTAAAGTGAAGGGCTGAGCCCTTCCCTCCCACCATAGCAGGGACCAAAGACTATGAAAAGTGAACCTGGCTGACCCCTGGTAAGGACTCAGCCCTGTGATTGCCCGGTGGACGTGTCTGTGGCCAGAAAGGCTGAGTCACCTCTGAGGTCATCTGCAGATACACTGGCTCTGCTCCTTCTTCGGCCACCATGGCCTGGGTCACTTGAGCCCTCTGGTTCCTGGGTGGGGAGGTAGTGGTCAACGAAATCCAAGTTGGGAGGCATTGTCACACCAGCCTTGTCACGCCAGCCTCGTCATCACCAGTTGACTAAGAAGACGGAGGGCATTCAGTGGATTCTCAGGGGACCTGGACGGTTGCCTTGGTTCTGATGTTTGTTTGATAGGTGACTGTCGGCAGGTCCCTTAACTCTGTGCAAGACTTATTGTCTTCCAGGTGGTCCAACAATAGACCCCATCAAGGGGTGCTGTGCCATTCAGTTAGAGAGAGAATGGGAGGAAGCTCTCAAAGGAAATACCTGGCACCTGCTGGTTGCTATCACTAGCCTGATCCCTTGCCCTCACTCCATCTAACACACTTTTTCCATCCCTACCACCACTGGTATTTGTCAAGTTGGCCACTCTACCAGGAGGGGTAACACATTCCTGCCTTGCCTCTCAGGAGCCAGCCAGAGAAGGGGACAGAAGGCGAAGATGACCATATCACTCTGCCTGTCGAATAAGACCACCATCACATTGCTTATTTGCTCACAGGATGGAGACCTTATTCTTTCTCAGGGTCTCAAAGATCTTTCTGCTTATCCAGCCCCAGAAGCTTGCCTGGCTTCCCCTCTCTCTCTATGCCTGCCATACAGCCCTGTGAGCTACATGATTTGAGCTACATGAACCCTTAACCTCCCTCTTCTAGCAGGATCTTTGCATCTGCTGCTACCTCTGCTAGAACAGACAGACATACTTATTCTCATTCTCAATTGTCACTTCCTCAAAGAAGCTTCATGACCTGGTCAATCTTGCCCATTCTATTCTCTTCTAATTCCGTGCACCTCTTCCTCTTAGCACTTCACGTTAATTTAACATTGCTTCCCCTCCGGGCCTGTCCACTCCATGCCAGCATGGACAATGGCTTTGGGTCTTCCCTTCACTTCCCTTCCTATCTTCCTTCCTCTGTTTTCTTTCCTTTCCTTTGCTGTCCTGTTCTATTCTGTCCTGTCCCTTCTCTGCCATTGTATCCCTATTTCCTCACACAGTGTTTGTTCACAGAGGTCTTAATGCATAGTTTTTGATTAATGGAAGGAAGGAGATAGGGAGGGACGGGGGAGGGGAGAGGAGAGAGGGAGGGAGGGGGAGGGGAGGGAGGGAAGGAGGGACAGAAGGAGGGAGGGGAGGGGAGAGAGGGAGGGGATGGAGGGAGTGGAAGGGGGGAGGGAGGGAGGGAAGGAGGGAGGGAGGGGAGGGAGGGAAGTAGGGACAGAGGGAGGAAGGGAGATAGGGAGGGATGGAGGGGAGAGGAGGATGGGATGGAGGGAGGGGAGGGAGGGAGGGGAGGGAAGAGACAGAGGGAGGGAAGGAGGGAGTGAGGGGAGGGGAGGGAGGGAAGGAGGGACAGAGGGAGGGAGGGAGATAGGGAAGGAGGGGAGAGGAGAGGGAGGGAGGGAAGGAAGGAGGTAGGGAGGGAAGGAAGGAGGGAGGGAGAGGAGGAGAGGGAGGGAGGGAGGGGAGGGGAGGGGATGGAGGGGGGTATGATGTATGCCCTACTGAGTCTGGCATCTGCTGCAAGAAGCTGCCAGATTCCCCACTCCTTGAACCCCTCATTGGGTGCATGGTTAGAGGCAGCCCTGCTCAGCGGGGCACTGGGAGACTGGTGATTACCTCCAGCAGCCACCACCCCATCCTGGGGCAGGGCCACGCTGTGAGCATGCTCCGTGCTTCACTGCTGCATGGAAATGATCACTGAAAGTTTGATGATGTGTGGGAAGGAGCAGGTGGTGATGAAGTTGGTGAACTCCTCATTCTGTAATGGACTGGAGACTTCCTCATCAGATTGTGCTCCTTCTTATCAAGCAGGAAGCTGGCAGGCTGTGTTTTAATCAATTGATAGCATCACTTGGCATCCAGCAGCCAGCTCAGGTTTTGTAAAAGACCAGGTCGCTGATTTGACAATCTCTCCACCCTTGCAGAGATTTCAGGTTGGGGCAGAAGGCGGTGGTAAGCCTTCTCCTGGAACACTGGAGAGGTGCCAAAGCTTTGCTCTCCACACTTCCCCAACAGAAGGAAATGAACCCCCAGAAAGATGGGAAAAAGAGAAGAAGGAAAGTGCCAAGAATGTTTTGAGGGAAATGAAACTGTCATATGACTGTGGTCTCCCCTTATTAGGAGGACAGGCTGTTAGAAACCAGGATAGGTTCTGCTCAAAACTGAAGTCAGTTGAGTCTCTTTAATAAGGATCTTGTCAATGCGTCCAACCCTCTGCAGTTACAAACACTTTTCACATCTCTTTTTCTTTTCTTGCCTGCCCCCGAACCCCTGCAGGCCTCATCCCATGACCCAGCAGTTTTTGCTTTCATCATCCATCCTTTGTCTGCAGTCTCTCCCAATTCCAGGGTGACCTCCAGTCTTGTGTCTGACAAATTTTCTCTAAGTCTGAGCAGGTCGCACCTGCTTCGATGGTGGCCTTTCTTATGTGCTGTTGAAGTAACACCTTCCTGTGACTGTCTCCCCTACCCAGATGGAGGCTTCTCAAGGTGGCATTGCTCTCCATTCTAGTGCCAGGGCTAGTACTGGGTCTGGGATGCAGAAGGAGCTCAAAACATATTAATGAATAAGTGAGTACCTGCATGGATGTATAGATGGATGGATGGGTGGGTGGATGGCTGAATGGGTGGATAGGTAAATTGGTGGATGAATGCATAGGTGGATGAGTGGATGGGTGGGTGGATGGGTAGATGGATGGATGGGTGAATGGATACCTGGGTTGATGGATGGGCGAATAGATTGATGGGTAGATGAATGGATTAAAAGGTAGTCAATGGGTGGATGAATTTGAGGATGGATGGGACTGTTAGGGGCATGGAGAGGTAACGTCTAGGGGGTGTAGGCAAATCTATAGAGACGGGAAGTAGATGAGTAGTGGCCTAGGGTTTGGAGGCAGAGAAATCACTATTCATGGGGTATGTGGTTTGCAGTTGTGGTGGTAAAAATGTTCTAAATTTAGAGTAGGGTGATGGTCGCACAACTCTATAAATAACTTAGAGCCCATTAAACTTCTCACTTTAAATGGGTGAATTTTATGATACATATATAAGTTGTATCTCAATAACAGTGTTAAAAAAAAAAAACTGTTGTGGAAAGAGAACAAAGAGTAAAGGAGTGTGAGTTCCCGTCCTGGAGAGATTTGGGTAGTAAGTGATTGAACAGGTGTGTACTGAGGCCAAGCAACACATGGGCTGTCAGCCAGTGGGAACAGAACAGAATTCTGTCCTATGGAGCTTACATTCTGGTGGTTAGGACTGATACTAAGTGAATAAACATACACACTACAGGTTGTGTTAAGGGTAATGAAGAAAAGTAAAGTGGAGCGAGGGGACGTGGAGTTGGGGGTGCTTTTTTGATGGTGTCACAGAGCAGAGATGTGCACCAAGCACAACTGCCCACCCATCTCCTCATCCACATCTCTGGCTTGCAGTTTTGAACTGCCCAGTCCCACGGTCCTATCCAAACAGATGTTGGGAAATGTCATCCAACTGTTTTCCCAGAGGAAGGGAATGGGGTTTGATGAACACATCATTATCTATTCTACACTCACCTTCCATGTCTGTCTTTTGCTGGGACATAGCCTTTGGTTCATGGTACTCTGACCCCACACCTCCAGGCCATCCCTGTCCAATGCCAGCTCTGTTCCTGGCTTCTGAGATCCCATCTCAGATAGAGATACCTCTCCCCAACCCTTCTACCCTCCCTCCATAGTGAGAACTGATAAAACATCTGAATGCCAGGTACCAAATAGAGCACTGCACTTGGATGTTGGGAAGCCCAGCTCGAATGGCCTTTGGACAGTTTTTCTCCTACATGCTGATTTCCACACTTCTGAGCTGTGGCTTAGAGGAAGACTCGTCTCCCTTCTTTGCCCCTTCTTCCCTTGCTTGTCTCAATCTGGGTCACACTAGTTTGTGCTTGGAATTGGCTTTTTTTATTTTAAAATCCAAACGAATTAAAAATGTATTTTGCAAAAGAATGAAAAAAAAAATTGTATTTCAACTCAGCTGAGAATTCTGCCTGCCCAGTTTCACCCGGAAAATAATTGAAACCGACAACGTGTTACTAATTGGGGAATTTGAGCAGTCCTTTCCGTGTGCCATGGGTTTTCAACAGACTAGCTCCAACGAGTGGATACTCACGCGTTTACTGTGTTGGAAACAGAGGTTCTGAGAGGTGGTATCTCAGCCAGACCAAGCAAAGCAGTCAAGGAGTATCTGGGTACAGGCCAAAGATTCTATTAATCTTACACCCTGGAGCTTGACCTAAGGGAGAGAGTAGAATGGGTGTCTATGAAATCCTTCAATTGTAGAGCTGCCGGTATCCTTTTTCACCAGCAGCTTATTTCCTAATCAGCTGACCATTGAAAACCTGCTGGAAGTAGTGTAGGACTGTGGACACTTGGGCTGTAAAGGCCTGGTTCAAATCCCAGCCCTGTCACTAATTAACCCTGTGATTTGACCCAAGTGACAATTTATTGAACCACCAGTTTTCTCATCTTAACATGAGGTCAACAATGCCAACAAGATACAGAATTAAAGCATGGATATAGAGTACCAGCACAGACCTTAGCACGTAGTAGTCTGGTTCCTTCCTTTCTCTCCTGTGGGAAATACCAAATTCTGCCTAGCATATAAGGTAGGAAGAGTTTTCACATACTCAGTACTGTGATCCGCATAACTGGCCTGATTACCCTTCAGATACAGGCAAGTTGGCTTGGCTCGGCTCTAGAGAGGGGGACGAAGGATTCCCGCTGTCAGCAGGGAGTCAATCCCTTGCAAATGCAGTTATCGAAGCTTGCAGTGATGGCCCCGCCCTGACAAATTCCATTCAAGTACAGAACCACAGAAATGAACTACTGGAGTGCCAAGGCAGGTCTTAAAACGGATGCTCAGTCAAACATTTGAAATTGATCATTCACTTGTTCAGAAAACACATATCCGGGAAAAGGTATGATAGTGGATTTTATGGCGCCTACATGGGGATGGTACACTGCTACATTGTCATGGAACATAGGTATGCCATGATGGTACAACAGGATGGTAGAAAGGTATGATGGTACAAAGGTATGACACAGGTAGGCTGGGGTTGTGCATGGGTGCACTAAGATATGATATAGGTATGCTGGGGTGGTGCACGAGCACATTAAGATGGGATACGGGTATGCTGGGGTGGTGCACAGGTGCACCAGAATGGTATACAGATATGCTGGGGTGGTGCACGGGTGCACTAGAATGCTATACCAATGTGCTAGAGTGGTGCACAGGCACACTAGGATACTATAAATATACGCTGGGGTGGTGCACAGGTGCACTAGGATGCTATACAGGTATGCTGAGGTGGTGCACGGGTGCATTAAGATGGTGTACAGGTGTGCTGGGGTGGTACACAGGTGCACTAAGATATAGAAGTATACTGGAGTGGTGCACAGATGCACTAAGATGGTATATAGGTATGCTGGTGTGGTGCAAAGGTGTCCCATGATGGGATACAGGTATGCCAGGGTGGTGCACAGGTATCGTAGGATGGTATACGGGTATGCTGGGGTGGTGCCCAAGTGGACTAGGATGACATCCAGGTATGCTGGGATGATGCACTGGTGCACTAGAATGAACCCTGGGATGCTACACAAAGATGCAGGCATTTGGCATTGGGATGGAACACTAGGAGAGAACACTGGAATGACACACGGGGATAGTACACAAGTGATTGTGTGGTATACAGGGGTGGTTCTCTGGGATGGTACAAGATCCTATAAATAAAGAGTCAAAATAGACTCTCACAGGGGTCCCAGCATTGCCACATCTAAGACCTATCCCACTGCTAGTGATTGTGGCTGACAGTGGTGATTGTGTTCTTCTCTGTTGGAACCCGGTAGCCATGGATGACTGTAGGCTTTGGAAACAAACTGCCTGGACTCCCATTCTGGTCCCACCACTCTTGGCCATTTGACCTTGAGCAGCTTCCTGAGCTCCTGTAGACTCTACCACATCTATAAAATGAGAAAATAGGAAACTTTCTTTGTAGCCCTGTAAAGTGTGGACACAGGAATGTGTGAAAAGCAAATCACAAGGCCTCGCTCAAGGCTAACTGTGATTGAGGATTGGCCATTGTAACCTGTAGCACAGGATGACGGGGAAGGGAGTTTGGAAATATTGACAAAGTTTGACATTTGAGTTTCACTACTCAGTAGTCTGGAGGCTGTGGGCAAGGTGCTCTCTAAGCTTTAGTCTTCTTATTTATAAAAGAGTTAATCATACCCAGCTCTGAGTATTTGTTTATTACCTTAAAAGTCACGGCCAGGCGCAGTGGCTCACACCTGTAATCCCAGCCGTTGGGAGGCTGAGGCAGGAGGATCACGAGGTCAGGAGTTCGAGACCAGCCTGGCCAACATAGTGAAACCCCGTCTCTACTAAAAATACAAAAATTAGCTGGCCTGGTGGCACGCGCCTGTAGTCCCAGCTACTAGGGAGGCTGAGGCAGGAGAACTTCTTGAGCCCAGGAGGCGGAGGTTGTGGTGAGCCAAGATCACACCACTGCACTCCAGCCTGGGCAACAGAGCGAGACTCCATATCAAAAAAAAATTTAAAAAAAAAATGTCACTTAATTCCACAATGAATTTCAAGCAGCTTGCAGAATCTCACAGAATAAATAAGATACGAATACATGGATAATTCAGGTGAAGAGAAAACCAGGGTTGATTAAGGAAACAAAAGCAGCTATAGGAATGTTAAGGCTCTAAGTGTTCATAAGGCAACTGTGACCATGCTTGTCATGTGGTACAAACTCAGTAAATACTTAGTTCCTCTCCTACTGTGAACACAGGCTTTCAAGGTGGTTTTCTCATGCTGGAAGAGAATATGAGGCAAATGATGTTTCCTACGCAAGACAGCCAGGCTCGTGGAGGCTGGCCTTCTTTATTCTGTGCAAAGCTGATCCGTCTGGCCCTACCCACTGGGCGACTGAACAGCCACTTCAATTTCTCTGTTCAGCAAATCTGTGCCCATCCTCAAACCCATGCTCCAGGGTCCTGCTTCTCTTGAAGTGGCATCTTTTGGCCACAAAGCATGACAGAGGCTCTGGTGGTCATTAAAATGATCCAGTGGCACCTTTTCCCCAAGAAGAGGAGTGTCATTGACAGCTTCAGCCATTGCCAAGTTCAAATTAACGTAATTGTATCAGTTCCCACTCTGGGTCCTTTCAACCATTGCTTTGCTAGCATCCTTGTTCCCCTCTTGCCCTGGAGTGTTCTGGGGACTTCTATTGGCCTTGTCAGAAATGCCTGATGTCCCTGAGGTGGGACTCATCACCTGTGGCAGGTGTGGATGGCACTTGACCTTCTGGAGCAAGATGCCCAGAAAAGACCTATAAGATGGCCGTGGATGATAACGCGACTCTCAAAGGCCACTCTCCTCAGACCTGCACACAGGAGCTCCCGCAGGAAATGACATTTTTTAAAAAATGTCAGTGATGGAGACACCAAGGCACAGAGATGACAGGCTTCATTGCCTAAGGTTACCCAGGTAATGGGTGACAGCAGCCTGGTACCATGTGACTCCAAGTCTACTCACTCACTGTCATCTTGTCAGCCTTCTCACCACAGTTGTCTCTGCCTTCCCCCCTAACATAGGTAGGCACTTTGAATATCCAGATGCTCCTTTTCGCCCTCACAACTTTCTTAGGAGTGAATCCTCCTTTCCCTCTCATTTGGAAGATGAAAAATCTGAGGGTCAGAGAGAACATGTAAATTTGCCAAGACCACAATGCAAGAAAGGAGCAGAGTTGGGAGTCAAATCCAGGTCTATGTCCCAATCTTAAGAAATGCACTTCACTCTTTCAAATGTCGATGCACACTTCATTTCATTGTTTGAACTTTCTATTGCAGAAAAATTTAAACATATGTAAAGTATTGTATCAGTTGCCTATTGCTGTGTAGCAAATCACCATCAATTCAGCAGCTAACATTTATTTATCTCACAGTATATTATCCCACAGTTTTATCTCACTTGTTATCTCAAAGTTTCCATGAGTCAGGGGCCTGGGCATGACTTACCTGTGTTCCCTGGCCAGGGACTCACAAGGTTGCAATCAAGAGGGTCTCATCTCTGGCTCCAGGTCTTTTTCTAAGCTCACGTGGTTATTGACAGAACTCCCTTCCAGCTAAAAACTCATGGAGGCTTAATTCTTTGAGGCCAGCAAGAGAAAGTTTCTGCTGCTTTGAGTCTCAGAGTTCGGGGAAGCTTAAATTCTCTTCCAAGCCATCACCTGGTTAGGTCAGGCCCACCTAGGATCATCTCCCTTTTGATTAAGTCGAACTGATTAGGGACCTTGATTACATTTGAAAAATATCCCTGCACCTTTTCTATCTAATGTAACATAATCACAGGAATAATATCCCATCATATTCACAGGCCCTGACCCCACTCAAGGGAAAGAGATTTTACAAGAGCACAGGCCACACAGGGGTCGTCTTAGGATTCTGCCTGCAACAAGTGTAACAAACCCTCATGAACTCATCACACAGCTTTAAGAATGGTTGTCATTCTGCCATTCTTGCTTCACTCCACACCCCCACTTAATCCTTATTCATTTTTACAGATTTTAAGGTGAAATTTATATACATTGAAATGCACAAATCTTAGCTGCCCAATTTTGACAAAGAAATGAGCCCCACATAACCCACACCCTTATGAATAGTTAAAATATTTCCATCTCCATCTCCCCCAGGAAATTCTTTCATGTTCCTTCCTACTCAGAGCCATATAGACAGACAGACAGATGGATAGATAGATCGATAGACAGGCAGAAAATATACACAGACATTTGAAAATATATAAAGTGTACATGGATATTTGAAAGAGTGAAGTGCATTGTTCGTTTAAGATCCTGGACATAGACCTGGATTTGCCTCCCAAATCTACTTCTTTCTTGCATACACACACACACACACACACATATATATACATACATATATATATATATCTCCATATATATATGCACATATATATGTGGGTCTGAGAATTAATTAATAATATATATATTTTTTCTTATTTTATTTTAAAGCTAATTCTAGGAAGTACCTAGGACCATACCTGGCAGAGTGTTAGCAACGGATAATTGTTAATCTTCCTTCCAATTCTTCTAAACTCGAGTTTGTGTTTATTATGAGATGCCACAAAGGCAAAGAGAAGGGACACTGCTGAGCTGCACAAGCCCTGGAGAGGAGGCTTCCAGAAGCGCTTTGGTCGGGATGCCTGGTGAGGCCAAGGCCATGTGTGCACTGCCTTACTGTTAGCGATAGACAGAATGAACATCTTCTGCTACCAGCACAGTGTCTACAAAGCATGGGAGGTTCTTTGATCTCTGTTGGATTAATGCACACATTTCTAGTTGCTAGGATGTGTATTTGAATTAGATGATGGTGAATCACACTCCTTTGCTTTTAGATCTCTCCTGATACAGTGATGGCAACAGGCTCTAGACATGGCTCAGAATGGGGGTGAGGAGGAATCTTATCCTTGATTTCCTGACATGGGATGGTCCCTTCTTGCCTCCAAAAAGTAGGTCTGGGTCATGCTCATGCTCAAGGATTTCCTCCTTCACCAGCAAAAAATAAATATTCAACAAGAAGGAGTGTGGCATCCAGATGGGACAAAAAAAGAAAAAGAATGAGGTATCAGACAGACAGATTCCAACGCTGTGATTTGAACCCATTTATATTAACACCTGAGGCTCTCCCTGCACGTCTCCTAGCCCAACCTTATCAGCCTTTTATGGGGATCGAAAGCAAGCATGCTGGGCTTGGCAGAAAGCACCTGAGCCCACACCATTCCCTTCCCCTTGCCTCGGATTTTAACATCCACCCTTGCTGGCTTGTCTGTCTGCCCAGCCAGCCAGGCACTTGCTCAGCCATCTCTCACCATTTAATACATATGAGGGATAGAAATATGTGGATTCATCAAGCATGATTTCTGCCCTTTGCAGGGGAGATAGGCATTTTTATAAATGGTAATAGTACAACCAGGCAAGGATAATTTCCCCCAAAGAGGCGAATACAAAATGCGTTAAGGTTTCCAGCAGGATCATTTTCTTCTATGCCATGTAGAGAGATTTGGAGGAGGGGGTAGCCCTTGAGCTTTAATTTAAAGACCACAAATAATTCTAGGTTATCCCTCCACCTCCTTCTATTCCTTCTCCTATTTCCTCATCATTTCTTCCTCTCCCCTGCCTCTTTCCTTCTAGGAGATTATCCATCTTCCTCTCTCCTGTGCCCTCTGTCTTTTGCCCTCTCCCTTTCCTTATAGACATAAGAATGCTCATCCCTACTAAATAAACTACCTGCCGTAATTCCTCCCCACTCGACCACTTTATAAACCATAACCCCCAATCCCTTGAGCCTGGAGACGTTATGAGAAGAATCCCACAAAGGGCAACACTGATGATTTCTCATTTAATTTTTCCAAAGATTTGATTTTTTTTAAATTTAAAACTCAAAAGTGCCATTAAAGCCCTCACCCAGATCAGCTGTATCTTTAAGTGTAAAATCCATTTCAGTCGGCAGAGCTTGCGATACGGTTAAGTACTTATTTTTATTGTCTGTCTGGGCATGGTTTTTAACTGCAGGTGGAGAATAAATCAATAATGTCATAAAGACATGCTCACCCCGTGCCCTTTCCACAGCCTGCTCTGGAGTGCTGAACTCAGGAGAGAGGCTGAGGTCTGCATGCCCTGAATCGTGCAGTGGGTAGGAGGCTGGTAGATGTGTCCTCTCTCCATGCCATTTTATCTGACATTGTTTGGCAAAGGCTGTGCATTTTTTATGGTTTTCCCAACTGTTTGCAAAGGGCAACATCCGCTTGCTGTTTGCACCCATGAGAGGCTATGATTGTGTCCTTCCTGCTGCAAGAGGCCCAGAGGTAGCCCCACTCCTCTAGGACGGACCCTGAATTGTTAAAAGGAGTGAAGTTCCTGGAACAATCATTGTTATATTAAATGCCTGGGTTGCCACCGTGGATTTTGGCATCTTGAGAGAGTTCCTCCATTCATTCCTTTTGTGGGCATGCAGACATCTGGGACCTGCAAAGAGAAATGAGGACTCCCTCCCCCTCCACAGAGGATATGACTGCCTGTGGCTGTTCCTCCCACGATGTGTCTGGACTATCCCTACGCTGAGCCAGGGGTGTGAACGACCAGATGGCCATCGACACCATCAAAAAAGGCATCCCCAGTTCCATGTCCCCTCACTCTACTTTTCTTCGTTCCCCTTATCACAACCTGTAGTCTGTACATTTATTTGCTTAGCGTCAGTCCTTCCCACCAGAATGTAAGCTCCATAGGACAGAATTGTGTTGTGTTCACACTGGCTGGTGCGCCATATGGTACCGGGCCTCGGTACACACCCATTCAATCACTGACTACCCAAATCTCTCCAGGACAGGAACTCATGCTCTTTTACTGCTTGTTCCCTCTCCATGGCAGGGTTTTTTCTTTCTTTCTCTCTTTCTTTCCTTCTTTTCTAACATTATTGACGTACAATTTATATACATTACTATAAAATTCACCAATTTAAAGTGTGACATTTAATGGGCTTTTGTATATGTATAGAGTTGTACAACCATCGCCCTACTCTAATTTTAGAACATTTCTACACCCTAGAAGGAAACTCCATACCCATGAACAGTCACTCCCCATTTCTTCTCTGCCTCCAAGCCCTAGGCAACCACTCATCTACTTCCTGTCTGTATAAATTTGCCTACAGTGGACATTTTAAAGAGATGGAATCATACAACATTGCTCTTTGTACCTGGCTTCTTTCACTTAGTATATCTTTTCGAGGTTTCCCCCTGATGTGGCATGCATTTGTATTTTGTTCTTTTGATTATGGAATAGTATTCCATTGTATGGATAGAACATATCTTGGGTATCCCTTTAGTAGTTGATGGACATTCGGGATATTTCTACTTTTTGATTATTATGAATAATGTCTTTATGAGTGAATTCACATAGAAGTCTTTATGTAGACACGAATCTTCATTTCTCTTGGGTAGATTCCCAGGAGTGGAATTGCTGGGTCTCTAATGGCATTTTGTCAATTTAGCCCTGTAATATATTTATTCTTCTCTCCATTATCAGCCTTTGAGCTGCTTGAGGGTTGACTGGGGATTTGAGTCATCTAAATATTTCCATAAAATCTGATCTAGATGCTTACATATGGTGGCTCCTTGTAAACCATTCCAGAGCAAAGGAAAGAGAGGGAAAGAGAGGTCAGGCTGAAGCCAAGGCCTGCAGCATTAGGGGAGAAGCAAGGAAAAATTGCTGTGGAGTCTTTCCTAACTAGAAAGCTACACTTTGTCTTACGCATGAGGGAGAAAGCATGTCTGCACTTAGCAAGGCCATTTTCCCCAAAGTTGTCAGTGATGTCACTCATATCACCTGGTAAAAGTTTTTTCTTCTAACAATAATTGTTATTGTACCCATTATGGAAAATTTGATAATACAGATCAATAAAGAAGAAATTGGATTACCTATATAGTGACATTCCTGACATGACCACTTATCAGCTGTCCTAGGCAAACACTATGACATCAGCAAACCTCAGGGCTTTTTTACTTGTTTGGGTTTTTTTGTTTGTTTGCATTTCTGAGACAGTGCCTTGCCGTGATGCCCAGGCTGGAGTGCAATGGCATGATCTCAGCTCACTGCAACCTCTGCTTCCAGGGCTGGAGCCATCCTCCTACCTCAGCCGCCCTAGCACCTGGAACTACAGGTGTGCACCACCATGCCCAACTAATTTTTGTGGGTTTTTTTCTAGAGACAGGAGTTAGCCTGTCTTTACAAAAGACATGTTGCCCAGCCTGAGCTGTAACTCCTGGGCTCAAGCAATCTGCCTGCCTTGGCCTCCCAAAGTGCTGAGATTATAGGCATGAGCCATTGTGCTCTGCCTAAACCTTAGTTTTTTACATCTGGAAAGTGTGAAAAAATAACAGGGAGTGCTGAGAATTTGGAGTTGAGGGTTCTGTCGTGCTCTTCATGACTGCTTAGATGTTTTGTATCTGTAAGATAAGGAAAAAAGTAAGCAGATTAATGGGTAGAGAAGCTCTGCTGTAAAGCACAGGAACTTGCTCCTTCTGCCTCTCCATCTTACCCTGCAGGTATGCCTCCTTCCTCCACAGGCGTGGGAGTGGTCAGCAGGAAGGCAGGCCAGGTAGGAAAGTCCAGCAAATGTGTACCTAAAAGATGGCATGGACCTGGTAATTAAACACACATCTGCAAGAATGATGGTGAAGACTAGGGTGGGAGGTGATGTGATATGAACATGACGATGATGGTAGCTTTCATTGCTACCATCTTCCATGCATTATATAAGATACTTTATTCATTCTTTTCCAGTTAACTGAATAATTTGAGTGCCTCTCACTGCATCAGGTTCTTGGGATACAGAGATGGATGAGAAATGGTGACAAATAGCAGTAAAACACACTAGTTCTGGCGTCAGCTAAACTTCAGTCATCCATTCATCCGTTCACCCATCCATCCACCCATTCAACAGATTCAAGAGGGAGTGCCTTCTATGGCCCCAGCATCGTGTTGGACAATGGAATCCTGGCTGTCTTTCCTGTAGTACATGAAGCCAATTCTTAAACTCTTTAAGTCTCAGTTTTCTCAGCTGATAAATGGGAAGAATAATACCCAGTAAGTTCCACTGGGTTGCTATGAGAACTAAATAAAATATGCTTAGCACAGTACCTGAATGAGTTGGCTGCTGTTGTTTAGTAATAGTATTTGTATTTGCATTGGAAGATATGGACCTGCCCTCCAGGAACTTGTGGTGGGGGCTGGTACATGGCCTTTTGCTTCCCTAGCTGTTTCTCTAGCCCACAGTGGAGTGGGCAGCTCTTTCTGCCATGCCCTAGTTGCCATCCTGGTCCCCTGGGCCCTCTGAGCTGAGCCCCTGGGGGGGCTCAGTAACATGACCTGCCCTGGACCCATCCCCTAACTTTGCCAGGAAAGGGCGGATGGGCGTCCTCATTGGCAAGGATCCGAGCAGGGCAAGTGTTGGGGTTCAGAGGACAAAGGAAAGGGACATTTCAAGGAAGTTCCCACTTCCTCAGAACCAGAGTTCCTATCTCCGCCGCTCATGTGATCTATTGGGACATTTTTCATGTTCCAAATGTAAGCACATCCCGGAAAAATGCCAGTGTTGGTCTTGTGATGAAATGTCTTTCTTTACAAATGCCTGACATGGCCTGAGAGCCTGGAGGATGGCGAGCAGAAGGAGCAGACCGCACGTTTCTGAGCGAGGTAGAGATTATATGTTCCCATCCTTATTCACTTTTCTAAACTTAAGATAACTTATGTCTGTAAAATGGGAACAAAATGTGCCCTGTCATGAGGTGGTTTATGAGTTTAAATGAGACCCTGTAGGCCAGGCGCGGTGGCTCAAGCCTGTAATCTCAGCACTTTGGGAGGCCGAGGTGGGTGGATCACGAGGTCAGGAGTTCGAGACCAGCCTGACCAACACTGTGAAACCCTGTCTCTACTAAAAATACAAAAATTAGCCAGACAAGGTGGCGGGCACCTGTAATCCCAGCTACTCAGGAGGCTGAGGCAGGAGAATCACTTGAACCTGGGAGGTAGAGGTTGCAGTGAGCTGAGATCACGCCACTGCACTCCAGTCTGGGCAACAGAGTGAGACTCTGTCTCAGAAAAAAATAAAAATTAAAAATAAATAAATAAATAAATGAGACCTTGCATATAAAAATACCTAGCTCTGCAATGACCATTTTTTCAGTTGTAATTTGTTTCATCTTCATACTGTTCAATGAAGTAGACAATTTTATCATCTCTACTTATAGAGGAGGAAATTGAGATCAGAGAGGTAACTACTTGCTTAAAGCCACCCAGGTAATAGGCGGGAGAGTTGGTCATCAAACAAGATCTGTCTGAATCCCGAGCTTATGTTTTTAACCACTCACCATTTATTTAGTGTAAGAATCAGCAAACTTTTTCTGTAAAGGGACAGATATTAAATATTTTTGGCTTTGTGGTCCAGACTGTCTGTTGCAACCGCTCAACTCTGCCATTGAGGAATGAAAGCAGCCATATACAATGTAAATGAACGGTCATGGCTATGTTCCAATAAAACTGTATTTACAAAAATGGGCAGTGGGCTGGATGGGGCTTGCAGGGCTCCAGTTTGCAACCTCTGCTTTAGAGGAACGCATGAGTTGGGCCCTTGGGCACTTGGGACACATGATTGGGTGTGGGGTGGCTAAGGAATAAATGCCTGCTAGCATAAGGACAGCTTGTAGCCTCTACAAAACATCTGCTTGTCAAACAACATCACTCTTTATATGGAAGATGGCTATTAAAAAGGAAGTGTGAGCCCACGATTGATTGAAGGCAATCAAAGCAAGCAGGAGGATTAAGTACAAGAGGTCGCCATTAGAAGGGTCTCCTGCATGTAGCCTTCCTGACCAAGGACAAGAATAGCCCGGGTGATTTATAATGCTCCATGGAGCTTCTCTGGCTTCTCTGGTTTCTTTTCTGCCCCCTGGATTATCTTATCCTCAGCCACCCCCTTCCTCTACCCCAAAGGATTTGAAACTTCCCAGGCATGGGGGCCACGTTACCACTGTCTGCACCATCCTGGCAGACTCTGACTGCCCCTCAATGCCAACACCCCTGGCCTGCCCAGGGTGAGCTGGGGCTGAGCAGGTTAAGGCCAGGTTTGCCCTGAGGCTGCAGCATGCTGGGGCTGCTCCAGACCTGTTTCTGGGACAGCAGGTGCAGTCGTTCACTGACACCAAAATACATTCTTGAGGCAAGAGCAGACGGGCCAAACAAGAGCAGGTCTCCCACCCTCCACGGACTTGGCTCCCTCCAGAGGACACATTTGCCATGAGGACACCCCAAGTGCTAATCCTCTCACCCAGGAGATCTAAGCAGAGTCAGCATTTTAGTTGAGGGCTGGACACAGGCAGGGGCATCCCCCCAGTGCCGTCTGGCCGGCCCAGGGCAGCAGTAAATCACACAGGGGAAGGCACTTCTTGGACGCCTGGGCTGCTGGGGACTCCGTGGGTGTCATAAATCAGGAGCTCACCCCATTTCACCTGTACCTTCTCGTGAGTATGTGCAGGGCCCTCTGCAGCCCGGGAAGAGAAAATGGCGGAGAATAAATTCAGCCAACCCAGGCACCAATGGCTGCTGTCTCTTTGTCAACTTATTACCTGAGATTTATGCATGATGCACCCAGGTCTGCTCAGTGACACATTCTAATTTAATTAAATTTCTGTTGGATTGATGTCTGATCAATCAATAATGTTAATGTTTTTGCAATTTGGAGATTAAAGCATGGTCAAGCCACAACCACCCCCCCACGACCACCACCCCCAAAGCATCATGCACTTACTTGAGAATATTATTTGAGAGGAGGTTTGCCTGCCTGCATCCTTTCTCCCCCTCTCCCTTCCTCCCCTCCATATTTAAACATTTATTAAGTGCCTAGTATGTGGAGCTATAACAAGAAGGGAATAACACTTAGAGCAGTGGTTCACAAACTTGAGCATACACTGGCATCACTGGGGGGCTTGTTAGGACGCAGACTGCAGGGCCCCAGCCCCAGAGTTTCCGATTCACGAGGTCCAGGGTGGGCCCTGAGAATCTGCATTTCTATCAAGGCCCAAGTAATGTTGATGCTGCTGCTCTCAGGGACCCCATTCTGAGAACCACTGACTTGGAGGTTAAGGGCACGAGCTCTGGAATCACCTGGGTTCACATCCTACTTACACACTGTATGGTTTCGGACAAATTACTCGATTTCTCTATGCCTCAGTTTCCTAATTCATAAGATCACTGCCTGCAATAAGGGAGATTCTTTCATGCCTGCAAAACACCCAGCACAGTACCTGATATACAATAAGCACTCAATGCATGCCATTGGAGAGCAAAGCAGCTGCGTGCCTGCCCCCTTGCAGATTCCCATCTAGAAGGGTGTGAGGCAGTACACATGTAAGGGTGACTGTATGATTGAGGCAGTGAGAGACTGTAATAGGGGTGTTTTATTTAACTGGGGAGGTCAGAGAGGACCCCCTAATGAAATTGAGCTGGAATTTGAAGGAGGGAGGAACAAGTAAGAAGGGAATGATGAATTTGGGAGGGACCCTTGGAGGCCACTGTAAGGGGTTTGATCAGCATCCTGGGCCCAATGGAAAGACAAAATAATGTTTTAAACAGGGGTGACAACAAGATCATATTCTAATATTGAAAAGATCTTTCCAGTTTCAGCTTAGGGGCATGGCTTGGAGGCGGCCAGGAGTGAATGTAGGAATAGCAGAGACTGAATTAGGCAGGCCTCAAGCTCCAAGATTCTGTTCCCCTCTGGAAACCTGATTCCTCCGTGGTCCCCTCTTCCACACTGGTAAAAGCCACAGATCCGTGTCCATATGGAACACTGCAGCTATCACTTTGGTGTCGCGGGCAGGGGAAAAGATGAACATGAGTAATAATGGATCTTAAATACCCGGTGTCTGTTGCATGAGATAATTATTCCCCATGGCATAAAAGGTACCACATTAGGTGGTCTTCTAAGATTCCAAATAATTCAACACACACAGTCTTCTCTTAAGGTTTTTGCTGTCAAGCATCACACACATTATTTATGTGCAGAACATTTGAAAATCAGTACATGCATTCCAAAAATCTTTGCTGACCACCAGGTGTGTAGACAGCATCATGCAGCTGAAGGTGCCAACCTGAGGAAGATCCAAAGTTTGCCTCCGGGATCTCCTTGATGAGTATAAGACGGTGGATCTAATTCAGGATTCTTTTTATTATTTAATCCCAGGACTGCTACTCAAGATGCTTGAATATTTTCTTTGCTCGTTTCAACACAAAGCCCTAACCAGTCTGCCAAGATGAAACCTGAAGAACACCATTACTGAGAGTGAGGCAATTTCATTTTCAGGATGGCATTAATGGACATCATTTAAACCCATGAGTCATCCTTCATTCACACAGATTTCAGAGCATGTCACCCTGCAGCCTGCCAGGTGCCCTTCAGTTACCTGTGCTGAGACAAGTCTGAGAGGGTGGGTCTAGAGGGAGTGAGGTCCAGAGGAATTCCGAGCCTCATTGATTCAGGGAAAGTAACCCTGTGTTTCATCAGTGATTGTAGAAGGCCAGGTAGTAAGGCTGGACTTGTCTGGAGATCCCTAAAAGCGAGAAAAACTGTCCAGCCCTGTTACTTTATCTTCTAAGCTTGAAATTCTCACTGTGGGTAACAGAGTCACTCATTCATTCATTCATCCTTTTATTCAACAATGAAGGAATTACAGATGAATACAAGTTTGCCAAGCCCAAGAGATCTGCAAAAAGATTTAATATTTGCAAATGTATCCATCATAATCATAATAACAATGATCATTAAGCCTGCTGACATATATTAGGCACTTTTCCCAAGGGAGGTGACATATGAAGCTCTTTTCCTGTACCACCCCATTTATTCCTCACAATACCTATTGGAGATAGACCCTACTACAGCTCCCTCTTTGCTGGAGAGGATATTGAAGGTCAGAGAGATTAAGTAATGCAGCCAAGGACACAAAGCTCATGATGGTGAAGGTGAAACGTACACACAGATCAGTCTGATTTAAAAAAATAATAATATGTGTTTACAAGTATGTTTCTTTTCTTTATTTTTATTTTTGTGTTTGTTTTTGAAACAGGGTCTCGCTCTGTCACCCGGGCTGGAGTGTGGTGGTGCGATCACGGGATCACGGCTCACTGCAACTCCACCTCTGGGGCTCAAGAGATCCTCCCAGCTCAGCCTCCCGAGTAGCCGGGACTACAGGCACACATCACCACACCCAATTAATTTTTTGTATTTTTTGTAGAGACTGGTCTTGCCATGTTGCCCAGTCTTGTCTCAAACTCCTGGGCTCAAGCGATCTGCCCGCCTCAGCCTCCCAAAGTGCTGGGATTACAGGCATAAGCCACCACGCCCTGCCCTTAAATATGTTTTTAAGACCTACTCTGCCATCAGTTCTTCATCCAGAAAGGTAATGAAAATACAGTTGGCCCTCTGTATCCATGGGTTCCAAGTTGCCATTTCATATAAAGGATTTGAGCATCCATGGATTTTGGTATTGTCAGCATTGAGGGGAGCCCTGGAACCAATTCCCCATAGATACCCAGGGACAACTATTCTTAAAATGTTGAACCCTCATAGGATGGTTGCTCAGGACCTTCTCCCTGGTGGCTGTTGGTCCATTAACCAACATGTTTGAGATCTGGATGACTATCCACCTAGAAGTTCATCTAAAATGACTATATACTCAGCCACATTTCTCATTGCTGAGATACTGTCACATTCTTTTGAGGTCATTTCTGTATCATCTCCTTGAACTTCTAGTCTAGTGGCCCTTTTTAAAAGTACTTAATCTTACACAAGCCATGGTGGGAAACAGGTCCCATGACTTACTTTCTTGTCATATTCGCCATCTGCTGTAACCTGTCCTGGAATTTTCTGGAATCAGGGTCAGGGACGTGTCTAATTTTGGGAATCGACCTTGACCCTCTCAGAAACCTTGAACAGCAGTCCCCTCTGACCCATGGTGTAGCTTGTTTTCTACTACCAGTTGTCATGGTTTTCAGTTATGTCATTTGCCAGGTACCCTGAAGAGCTGAATTTATTTTGAGCAGAATTTCCAAAATGGCAGCCTTGGGCTGAGTCTACTCTGCAGACAGGTGTTCTTTGGGTCTGTACAGCATTTCGAAAAATTCTGAGTTCCTTACTGACATTTAAAAATCTGGGCAGGGCAAGCATGAAATCATTCAAGGTGTTGACTTGTGTTGAAAAAGAATCAAAGATTGGACAGCATTGTCCAATCTTTGGACAGCCCATCATATATTCTTGGACAACATTCTCTATGTCTTCACGGCTACTGTGGTGGGCTAGAGTGGGCAGTAGCTGAGGTCCTCAGGCCCCTACTCCCTCGGTCCTCTCAGTTATCTCTACACAGTCAGATCTACGCACACTTCATGCTTGCATTTACCTGTCTGGCCTCTGGAGTCATCTGAGTCATTATCCCTGGTGTCTGCAAAAGCCCTGTACTCCTATTCCAAAATTAATGTTTAAATTTGTTCTGCACAATGCATGATTGATTCTTTCCAGCCTTAAGACCTTGTTCCTCAAGGGAGAAGGTAGAAGCAAAATAAGAGTGGAGAACTTCTGCTTTCTTACTGTCATCTGTTCGAGTTGCATCATCTGCTCCCGATCCCTTCCTTTTCCTTCTCCGTCCAAACATAGCTCAAAAAGCCCTTTTTATCGTCCGTATTTTTTTTTTTGCAAGCCTCAGCTCTTTCCAGGGTTTTGTCTCCTAACACTCTTCTTACAGAAGCAGTGTCAGTTTCCATTTGTTTTAGGGTGGGATGGTGCATCAAAGAACACCACACCTGCAAAAAACAACTAAATTAGAAAGAAGCCATGTTTCACAGTTCACAGGGGGATCTACTACCTCAAGAAAAAAAAAAGTCGATGCATGTTTTTTTAAAATGTTATAAACAAATTTTTAAGAGATTTTTAAAAAGTGGCTTAAAGTTTTTGAGAAATTTACCTATTTACACGTCCAATGCCAACCTAGGTGTCAAATGGGCTCACCTGCTCTGACTTAAAACAGGTCCAGCAGGGTTTGACTTGACCTAGAGACTGGATGCCAAACTTAGTCCCACTCAGACCCTTACAAAATGCTCATTTCCAATTTCCAAAATATACTCAGGACTAGTGCATCTGTTTGCTGTGGTGGCTGGATTATATTGTTGTCATCTATAGCACAGGTTTGCCACAGTTTATATGAGACATGGAATTTTAAAATCAAATTGTCATTGTGTGTTTATGCTATCTTAAAACAGGGCTGGAAGGGAAACTTTCAGGGCATCAAGGTAAGCTGGCATTTAAAAAGAGCAGCAAGAGTGATCTTATTAAAATGTAAATCAGGTCATGTCATTATGTGACTTAAAACCATCCAGTACCTACCATGGTGTGTGGGGGTGAAAGCCCAACTCCTACCATAGCTTTCATGGCTCTATGTGACCCGGACCCATCTGCAACCACTTCTGCTTTGCTCTTTTCTTTCCAGCTACATGGGCCTGATCTCTGTTCCATAAACAGGCCAAGCTCATCTCCACCTCAAGCCTTTGCATTTGCTTTTCCTTCTGCCTCGGCTGGGTTTTCTTCCCCAGCTTTATGGGGCCACCATTCTTATTGCAGTGGAGATTCCCATTGACTGAAATATTCACTCCCTAGAGTGGGCCTTCTCTGAGCACCCTGATTAAAACAGGCCCATCCTTTACCACCCTCTAATCCCCTATCCTGATTTATGTAACTTCATAATGCTAAGCAATACCCCAAAATACGAACTTCTATTTCATTTGTTTATTACCTATTTCCCCCGTAAAAATACAGACTTTATAAAGGCAAATTATTGACTTGTCCTGTTTACTTTGACATCCCTAGCACCTAGCAGAGTGCCTGGCATTTAGTAGGTGCCCAATATGTATGTGTAGGTATAGGTCCAAAGGCCAGAGAGCATGGGTCACAAGAGGAAATGAAATGTTAACATGGCCCAAGTGGACGAAATTCCCTTTGTGTGTAGGTGCACATCTATATGTGAGTGTGTTTGTATACATGTGTGTGAACATGTATGTTTGCACATGTACAAATGTATTTGTGTGTGTGTGCATGTTTGTGCACATGTATATGTGCATATATGTGTGTGAACACCCTTGGCAAGAGGTGAGTCCAGAAAGAAAATCAGAGACCAGATGAGGAGGGAATTGTTAGGTGGGGTAAGAAGTTTAGACATTAAACTCAGAGCAATGGGGAGCACTTCTAAACTCGTTGCTGTAGTCATTCATATTGAGGAGTCTGCAGGCAGATTGGACCTAGTGTTCAAATCTTGTCTACTACCAATTGGTGGACTTAAGTAGGTTACTCATCCTGTTGGGTTAGACCTCAGTTTCCTCACCTAAAAATGGGAGTAATAAAAGTGCCTCCCTCATAGAACTGGTGGGAAGAAATGAAATCAGTGCAGAGTATGTTTGCACGGTGCCTGGTATGGCATAAGGAATCAGCAACGGTTAGCCATTGTGGCCATTATTATCGGTATCACTTTTCCAAAACTGAGGTAAGCCAGAGAATTCCCATGGGGAGGAATTGCTGATGGGCCCAGATAGGCGAGGGGAGGCGGGGAAAACAGAGAGAGCCAGTGGCACTTTGGTTGTGGAGAAAGTAGAGACTCCATTTGCAGGGAAACTCCTGGAATGGGTGGCAGGTGCCTTCTCATAAACTGGAGCAATACACTGGGCTTCTGCCCTGTTGTCCTCCAACCTCCTATTAGACAGGGTTAAAAAACAATCCAAAAAATCATGGTAGGGCTGGTTTTGCTAAAAATAAACCATAGGTCACCCAGTTCATGAAGAAAAGGAAGTGGAAAACTGGCATAGGAGGATGGGTCTCGCTTACATAGGGATCCTCTCCATTTTCCTGGACTGTTTTCAGACCAACCACATGGGCACATGTGGTCTCTCTCCTCTCTCCAAACAGTAACCACATGGACATGAGCGCCCTCTCCCATTTCTCCAAATAGTACGTATGGCAGAGACTGCTCCCTACTTAACAAAACTAGTTCTTCTCCCAGGCACATCACCAGGAGATATTTCCCAGAATCCTCTGCAGTTAGACGTACCATGTGAGTGTGTTCAAGCCAGCAGAAGAGAGGGGAGATGACAAAGAGCCTTTTTGGCCTGGCGCGTGAGGGCTTCCTAGGCAATACTCCATGGTCTTTCTTTCCCATCTGCTGGCTGAGCTGACATGGCCCGAGGATGCAGACAAGTATGGAGCCATCGGGTAAAGGAGACTGGGTTCCCAAGTTGTCCCTTGGAGGAGAGCTGCCGTAGAGAGACAGCTGAGCAGAAATACTCACAATAGACTGGTTATAAGCAAAAAATGCATTTTATTGTGTTAACCCACTGAAATTTGGAGGCTGTTTGTATAGTAACTAACCTACTTAAGTAAATATATCACCTCTAAGAAAGTATCATGTGAGTGTTCTTACAAAATCCTACAGCCATCTGCATTCAAAAAGTGATGAATGACATTCAACACAGATAAACAAAACACACATAAGCTCTAATTTTTATAAAAGTTACTAAACAGTTACTGTTATGCCTACTTTATAGACAACAAACCAAAAGTTCAAAAAGTTCACAAATACATGTGTTTTTGGTACCAAATTTCACATCCTTTCTGCCATGTGCCTATAAGTACATCAGTAGAAGGCAGCCAGGGAGACTCAGATTACTACAAGTTTGGAGAGCTGAAAAAGAAAGAAAGAAAAAGAATAAAATGTTTTTATGTTGTGAAATCGATCATCTACATATCAACAAAAAGTTGGAAAATGTTGTGAAGGAAGAGCCACTCACCATAAAAAGCAAAGCTTTAAAATGCCTTTGGATAAGGTTAGCAAGAAATGTAGAAGAAAATTTATTATAATTTTTTAATGTTTTAAAGTAAGACTTGGAGAAACATATCAAGGTCTTAGAAGGTAGGTTCAAAATATAACCCTACCCCAATTAAACTGTAGATTCCAAGGAACTTCAATCAAGATTCTAAATGATTTTTAAATGAAAAGTTGAATCCAAACATTGCATGGAAGAATTAATAAGCAAAAGAGCAAATGGATTTTTTTATCCCTAATTGATAGGGAGAGAGGCTACTGGCTTACTCTATTAAATATAAAAACATATTCCTTAAAAATATCATAATGTTGCAGGAATGGACAAATAGAGTAATAGAGTTCCAAGTGGAATGGGTTATACATGAGAGTTTAGTATATTATGAAGGTAACATTTCAAATTAGGTTGGAAAAGAGAGCTTATTTAATACATATTGTCGGGACAATTGGTTATCCATTTTTCGTTAGTTTCCTTCAGCACTTTTATAGACAAACGTACATGAGATCTTTTACATCTCAGTAGAGGATCTTTCTAAGCATAATGCCCAATCCGGAAAAAATAAAGAAATAGATCGATACGGTCAGTTACCAAACACTGTAAAACTTTTGCATGGTAAAAGGCATATAAACAAAATTCAAAATAAAAATGATAAACAGAAAATATTTGCAACACTTTCGAAAATGAAAGTGTTAGTATTCACAGAATACAAAGATCTGTTCTGAGGCAATAATAAAAAGATAAAAAGCCGTATTAAAACGGACAAAAAGCAGAATGAGCCTTTTTGGAGGTTAACCTGGTGAAAGGGATGAATATTTTAAATGCACATACCCACTGACCCAGCAAATACGCTTCCTTGATTTTAAGAATGTAATCCATCCAAGTGCTCACAGATATATTTATGAGAATGTTCTTTGTAATACTGGTGAAAAGAGTGAGAATAGGCCAGGCACAGTGGCTCATGCCTGTAATCCCAGCATGTTAAGAGGCCAAGGCAGGCAGATCACTTGAGTCCAGGAGATCAAGACCAACCTGGGCAACATGGCAAAACCCTGTCTCTGCAAAAATTAGCCAGGCATGGTGGTGCGCACCTGTAGTCCCAGCTAGTCGGGAGGCTGAGGTAGGAGAATCACCTGAGCCCAGGAAGTCGAGGCTGCAATGAGCCATGATCACACCACTGCCTTCTATCTCGGTTGTTAGAATGACACCCTGTCTTTAAAAAAAAAAAGTGAGAATAAGTAAGAACTTATTGAAATAAAGAGCAATGGGAAGTGACTTTTCCTTCTAGATGTTAAAATGTATTCTGAAGCTTACGATAGAAAAACAGCATGGTACTGATAGAGGACTAGATAATTGAACAAAGAAACAATCCAGAAATAGTACTTGGTACATAATACGACTCTCCCAGAGCATGTGGGCTCCACAAGGGCAGCATTTTTAATGTTGTGATCGCTGCAGTCACCCCAGCCCCTAGAACAAAGCCTTTCACATGGGAGGTAGGAAAAAGGACTGAAAGAATATATGCCAAAATGGAATCAGGATTCTTGTATCTTTTGTTTTTTGCTTTCTTCTAATTATGTATGTATGTCATCGTGGTTAAGAGGATGAACTTTTATGTGAGACAAATCTGTAGTTGACCCCAGCTCTGCCTCTGATCAACTGCTCCTTGTCTTCTATCCTAAATGTTGGAAAGAAGAATGGTGCCTACCTTACTGAGTAATGGAGATAGATGAGATTGCATACATGAAGCACTTAGCTCAGTAAATGGTAACTGCTGTTTAAAATGTTCCACAACTCATTTTCTTCCCAGGAAATCTGGGAAAGAAAAAAGAAGTAATATATATGTTTAAGTAACCAAAACAAATGAAAAGTACATCTTTCCCTGCATTTTCCTGTAGCTTGTTTAGCATCTCTGCAGAAATCTCTGAACAGTGAGACCTCCTCAGGGAGAAACTTTTCTCAGTGATTCTAACCCTAGACAAGTCCCAAGAAAGGAAAGGGTGACATCTCCCTTTTGACCTTTGGCAAATGCAAAGGGTTACATTACGTACTTCATGATACATTTTTTAGCCAACACACTAAACGTAACAACAAACAACCTAACAACAAAAAACATGCCTATTATTTTTACCATTATTACCACTTTTTTATGTAAAAGGACAATTCATGCTTATTGTTGAACTCTGGAAAATACAGAAATGCACAAAGAGTAGACTTTCACCTCTTCCACCTCCATGAGCTGGTCGTCACTGATATTTTGGTTCACGTAGTTAAGTCAAGTTGGCATCTGTTTGGCAAACTTGTTTTTCACCTCATTGTAAATTGTAAATATTTTCCTATGCTGTTAAATAATCAAACATATAAAAATGACTCCTCATGAAATAAAAACACTCTGTCTCTGAGGGCCACATGGTTTCTGACGTTGGCAAAGTAGTCTTCTGTTGGTAATAGAGAGTGACTGAAAAATCCACTTGTCCTTGTCCCCAACCATGCACAGAGAGACACATGCCTTCTCAGGACTGATGAGACACGAGGAAGAAACTCAGGTGTCCCAGGCTCTCTAATATTATAGCTAATTGAGAAGCTTTAGGGAGAGAAGTGATTTGGAAGTCATGAGCTCTTTCTCTTTGCTAGTTAGCTGAGTAGTCACACAGCAAAGACACACACACACACACACACACACACACACACACACACTTATACATACCAAAATCTTAGTTGAAATCTTTGGATGGTGGGATGATGGACAATTTTTATTTTCTTCTTTTCGATCATCCATATTGAAAAAAAAATATCTCTAATGAGCAGTTAAAGGAAAGATAAGAAAGGTTGTGAGTTTCTTTTAAAGTCTAAAAATGTTCTACAGTCAACATTTTGGGATAAGGAAATCATATGGCCTCTAGAGCACACCTGAGTCATTTTCTTTCTCATACTGTGGGAGGCAGCTGTGGATAATGTTAGTCCTGATTTCCAATTGCGATGGCATTTCAGGTCCTGATGAAAGATACCATGACCTTCTTGGGGTGCCTTGATCACTCTGGGGTGCCTGCCCCACCACAAAATATTAAGCTTAATCCTCATTTGAGGAGCACAGAGTGTAGGGTGTAAACTAACTGATTCTGTAACATGTCTTCCTAGAGTCCCCTCACCCCTGTCTCTTACTTCTGGGTGAAGTACATACAAATGTATATGTACACATGTATAATTTATTGGACGGCTGGCTCATCAAGTATATTGGTTTTCATAGCTCCACTATTGTCAGCATATTTCAGATTGGATTTGCTGCTGACATGGTTGAATGAAAAAATACTGACATTTTTCAGTATTGCTCTTGACACTTTTAGTATTATTATTAGTCGTTTCATTCCTTGTAGTAACATTGTCCGAATGGGATCATGCTCAAAAAAAAAAAAAAAACCAAAGTGCTACTCAATTCTAAGGAGGTGCCTGGCTTTGGGCTGCTGCTGTTTTACATCTCCCATGAAGCTGGGAGGGCAGCCATGTCAAAGTATGGTGCAAATTCTTTTACATCTCCCATGAAACGAGGAGGGCAGCCATGTCAACCTATGGTGAAAATTGCAAGTGACACCTGTTGCATGGAAAATACCTGCAAAGCTAATTTGGAAATTTTTTCATGGAGACATTTTTTTCTTGGAGAGAACAGTCCCTTTCAACCTTATCCCAATGAGGAAGACAAATCAACACTTGTGATTCTGAGTATGTTTTTTCTTCAACAGCAATGACCACCATCTCTATTAATCTTCAATGAGTCCCTACAAGGTTACATTTACCCAAATTTCTTATAAGCCCTTATACACACACCAAAGCAAATACATAGGCTCCAAGGGTGTGTGTGTGTGTGTGTGTGTGTAAAAACATGGCTTTGTAGGAAGAAATAAACAAATGTATTTAATGCTTCTATGCTACAAAGGACCCACATGTGTTTGCATATAAATAGGGTTGTTACATATTCAAGGTTTAATTTTTAGCAAAATGTCCCAAAAAGAAGAGGAGACTCCAGGAATAGACCACTTCACTGAGAGGCAGAACTTGAGTTCTATCCTTGTAAAGGGCTGTTTCTAGGGTGTGAAGAACTGGGTAGGCACACTCAGGTCATGTTGCAGAAGACACTTGCTCAGCTCAAGATGACTTCTGTCATCTGTTAGCTTACAGTTGTAAAGAACGGCTTTCTCTAATTGAGCCAGCTTAGTAGCTCATCCTTCTCCCATACTCTGAGCATGGTTTAAAGTTGAGAGTTCTGGAGTAATCTATGCTCATTCAGCAAACCAATGTAGTGAGCATTTCTTGAATGTAAGGGGATCCCACTGGATTATGTGGACCCCTGAGGCTCTAATTCCTTGGACCTGTTAAGAAGGAGATATGTTTATATCTTGCCAGGTGCTTTACCAAACAGAATGGGCGTATTTCTATCCATAAAACACTGGTCTGACAATTTGTCCCTGGAGATAAATGGCCTTTTCCATAGAGGCTTTAAATAGGGGGCATAATGGGAGTGAGTGGAATGGAGTGGAATAATTAGATCGCTCCCCATAAATCCTGTGGGGAAGTTTTCTGCACAGGATGCTTTCCAGGACTGTATGTTAGCAGGCAGGCTCTGTGCGGGGTGGATGCAGCTGTGCACCATGCTAGGATAGTAGGCAAGCACATTGCAGATGGTAGAGACATGGGCAGCGTTTAACTCCCTGTTTTCCCTGTAGAATTTGTCTCATTCACCAAAGGAATGTCCACATTAATTTGTTTTTATTTATTTTTTTAATATTTATTTATTTTGAGAGAGTCTTGCTGTGTCACCCAGGCTGGAGTGCAGTGGCAAGATCTTGGCTCACTGCAACCTCCGTCTCCTGGGTTCAAGCAATTCTCCCGTCTCAGTCTCCCAAATAGCTGAGATTACAGGAATGCGCCTCCACACCCGGCTAACTTTTGTATTTTTGTCAGAGACAGAGTTTCACCGTGTTGGCCAGGCTGGTCTCAACCTCCTGACCTCAGGCAGTCTGCCCACCTTGGTCCCCCAAAGTGTTGGGATTACAGGCATGAGCCGCCATGCCCAGCCTTAATTTGTTTTTATTGCTAAAAATACAACATTTTCAGGGCTAATATTTGCTCACTTGATTCAAAATCAATTTTTTAATGTAAATATATCTGACATATCTTGATTATGACAGGTGGGAATAAAAACCGCCCCATTAAGATGGGAGAAAAAACAAGTTATTTACTGGTAAATTTGGAAGATGTCTTCTTGAGGTATGTTGGCTGGAAGACTAGAGGAGTTGAAGGTGTCTCATCCTTGCCATTTGTGCGCTTCTCAATCTCCAAACCCGAGATAATGTAGCATCCACTATATGTATGTACTAGTCTACTGGGTTTAGACTAGGGCTGGGGACATGTTTCAGTTCATTTTTTATTCAGAGCACCTAATAATTCATGGCACAAAATAAATCAAAGAGCATCGTTTTTAAAGGGCCATTTATTTATTTATTTATTTACCCCAAAGAGAAACCCTCTTGAGCCATTAACATATACTAAGCTTTCTTCTGAAATTAGCTTGGAATATACCATGGCTTCACTTTGAGGATACTGATAGTCTAGGTATGATGATCTAGGAAATGTTGTTGAGTTGACCTTTAAGAGGAATAGGTGACATGGGAAATGGACAAAGGGTGGAGGGAATTCTTTCTTTTTTTTTTTTTTTAAGACGGAGTTTCGCTCTTGTTGCCCAGGCTGTAGTGCAATGGTGCGATCTCGGCTCACAGCAACCTCCACCTCCCGGGTCCAAGTGATTCTCCTGCCTCAGCCTCCAGAGTAGCTAGGATTACAGGCACGTGCCACCATGCATGGCTTATTTTGTATTTTTAGTAAAGATGGGGTTTCTCCATGTTGGTCAGGCTGGTCTCGAACTCCCGACCTCAGGTGATCCACCTGCCTCGGCCTCCCAAAGTGCTGGGATTACAGGCATGAGGAGTGGTGAGAATTCTTTCAGATCACAGCTATGGGGTAAAAATGGAATCATGTTTTCCAGAGACATTGTCATGAATGTGATCAGCCTCTCCAGGTCACCATGCTGAATTGACCAAACTCAGAGGATCAGCTTACGGAGAGGCAGATGTTTGAAAGAACAGGTGTGTAGGGATCTGGCCAATCTTAAATTTATTCCCAAGCTTGACTGTTGAATCCAAGAGCATTTTCCTTTAGGGGAAATGGGCTGCATGATTCCTGTAATTAGTAGGAAGGGATAATTCTTTGACATCACTTAAAGATTAATGAGTATACTGGCAGTTCTTCCTTTTCTTCTTCTAATTTCATTTACTCTCTATGCTACTAGCTGGGTTGGATGGAATGGTGTCTGTGACAAGTAATCAAGACCAATATTGGTAAACCCCTGAGGGAGGCACAGCTGGTCTCGGATTTCTGGTAGCCTTCTCTTACAACAGACTTCCTTCGACTCTGCAGGGCCCTCTCTCTTCACTGTCCTTTCACCCTGATGCCCCACCATTTATTTCTACATCTTCTCTGTCTTAGGGAACAATGGCCCTGAGGGCTTATGGGCTTGGGCTCTGGGTCCACACTGATATGAAGTTCAGCCTCTCCATGGTCAATGACTTGCTGTCTTATCTTTAGCAATCGCTTAATCTCTTAGAATCTTAATGTATTCATCCCTAAAATGGGAACGAATCATAGAAATGAAATCTCAGGGTTCCTATAACAATTAAATGAGATATGCATGGAACACTTTTCTCTGTTTAGGAGTTGGCCAGTTGTAGAATCTCAATACATTTTGGCTATCCTAATTATGGTGAGTTATTATGAATTAATGCCATTATTATTATTAATAATAATCCAATAAACTAATTTTAATAGCAAGGTAGGTATTTAGTATTTTCACTCTGGATTCAGTGTGTTTAATCCACATACATTCAGTGTGTTTAATCCACATCTTCTTAAGATGTCCAGACTTTAAGAAAGGAATACCTATTTTATTCTCAGGGCCTGTCAAAGCCAGTCTCCAATAAATATGGGCTGAATGAATCAAAGAGAATAGCAGTGACGTTCTATTGGTGCTGTTCAAATCACCCTCAAGATAGCTACTTAATTCACTTGTGACCGACCTATCCAGAAATCCTTCCTGCAAGAAAAAGTTTGGGATAAAGAATATAGCAAATTGATTATTTTCCTGTCCCCCAGTCTCCTAATAAAGCCGACCTTTCCCAGTTTCTTTTCTAGCTATTCTGTTTTTTATTACATAAAATGCTTAGGTGATTGCCAATAGTAGTGTATGAATACTTAATGAAGATGGAATGAATTATAAATGGCTTGGAATTTATCTACATTGCTTCCTTGCTGATGGCAGAATGGTCCTTTATCTTCTATCAAGATGTATAGGAGTCAGTAGGTGAGAAAGTATCCTGGTTGATAAATTTAAAAATTGTTACCGGATGCCATCTTAGGTTGCATGGAACCCAGTATCATGTGGCAGAGAGGGAGGAGTTTGACTAGGAAGCATGGTGAATATGATACTGGCAGGGGAGAGATGGGATTGGTCCCTAAGGACACCATTATTGCTAGAGTAGAGACCTCAGAATAGAGGCAGATAAAGGCTTGGGTGGGAGTTGTAGGTACCACTTACTCACTATGATTGAGTACCAGTTAGGCGGAGGTCTGAAAAGTGTTTCCAGTGCTTTGATTTCAAGGAGAAGCTATTGGATGACATTACCTAGAGAAGGGACTTCTATATCGTTTTTCCATCCCAAAGCCATCTGTCAACAGCTAGCTCCATAAATACAGTGAGCTCTCATTATGAAAAGTAACAGATAAACCTCCACATCGCAAAGGCTTAATGCAAAATTAATTCCTCGCTCATATAACAGGCAGCTCGCCTGAGTGGCTCTCCTCCAAGTGTTGATCCAGGGGCACAGGTTCTTTCATCTCGCGACTCTGTAATCTTCGTTCTCTTCCCAAGTGCACTCAAGAGGTAATCTCCCTTTCAGCCAACTGGAGGAGGTGTGAGCAGGGAGGGTTTTATGGACCAGGTCTGGAAGTGGAGTGCTTCCACTCTGCCCACATCCCTTTAACGAGGACTCAGTTGCATGGCCATGCTGACTCCAAAGAAGCTGAGAAATGGAATCTAGGTGCCCAAATAGAAGCAATAGCAAGTCTGATGCACGATTATCTGTGTCTGCCACATTTTTCAAATCACCAAGAAAATACATGCCCTGAGAAAATGAGAGGGTAAATTTTACTGAAAAAAAGTCATCTTATAGAGTGTTTGCAAACTCTTTTTTAAAAAATCCTTCTAGAGTATTGTATTTGCATGCACACAGTGGAAATGCCAGTTATAAATTGTCTTAATTTCTAAGACTTTCCTTACTAACAGTTTATCAGTTTTTTCATCATAAGATAGACTTTTATTTAAATTGCATATATGTAGTTAAGGCACAAAATAAATAGGCACATCATTATTAAAAATTTACACAGCACAGCAATGGATGAAGAAGATACTTAGAGTTGCTCATAATTTAACCTATGTTAATAGCTTGTTTTATATACACCCAGTGTCCTTTTTCTCCACATAAAATTATCTACTCTGTCAGGGGTCAGCAATTTCTTTTCTGTAAAGGACAAAAGAGTAAATATTTTAGGCTTTGCAGGCCACACTGTCTCTATTGCAGTCTCTCGATTCTGTCACTGTAGCACAAAAGCAATCAGAGACCATATGTAAACAAATGAATGTGGCTGAGTTCCAATAAAACTTTATTTACAGAAATAGGCGAGGGATGGGATTTGGCCCCAGGTCAACCTTTGCGGACTCCTGCAGAATACGATGGATACAAAGTAATGCATGCAAAGCACTAAGAGACTCTGCACACATGTAAGTGCTCAGTAAATATAAATTTGCTCTACCTAGTTTGAAATGAATATAGTTGTATGGCTTCTGAGCATTTAAAACTTTATAGATACATGTTTAGTTAGGCATAGCAAAAGTCTAGAAGCATAGACCTTGAACTCTGAAAGAAGCTTTAGAAGCCTTGGGGAAGGGGAATATTTTTACTTTTTGCTTTATTTCCTCCTGTGTTGTTTGGGTATTTTTTTTCAATGAGCATATTTTACTATTGTAATAAAAAAGATATTTTAAATGTATATACTTCAAACTTTTTGCTGACTCAGAAAAGAATGTTTCATTTTAATCCTGAACATGTAACTCATTTGCATTTTTCAATAACCAGTTGCAGTTATGTTTCAGGATTGTAGCTTGAACCGCAAAATAACATTGAAAGAGCTTAGGCAGAGCCAGAAATGCTTCAAGGAAGGCAAAGTCACGACTTCCTCTTTTGAACAATTTAGCTGACAGAGACATTGGTAAACGGGAAGGGAAGTGGTCTCTGAGGAGCTTGAGTCCCTTTGTGGTCTTGGGTCCCTTTGTATAGCCCTCTGCTGTCACCCTTTTACCATTGTTTTGTGGTCCTATTAGCCTCCTGTGGACAGGCAGGGCGCATCTGCTGGCAGACATGGGCACTTATAAATGCCTACCACATAACTACATGAATTAGCTAACCCTTTTCCAGTTAGCACAATGCCTAGCATAGACTAAACAACTACATGTTAGTTTTAACTGGACGGGCCCTGCAAACTGAAGGTGGTGGGTAGCATTTTCTTTATGGGCAAAGTTGCCTTATTCCTTTCAGGTTTCTGGGGATGTGGCTTGCCCTACTATAATTACAATAAAAAGACACATTTTATGAGACTTCAGAAGTGTTGCTGTACAGGTAAGATTACCTTGTGTGGAGTGATATGATTAGCCTAAATTAACTCTAGACATCATCCTGTGAACATTACCGTGAAAAAAGGAGACATCAGTGTCTATTCTCTGCTATGGTAATAAATAGAGTTTTTCATCAAGTTTCCTCTTAATTTCTTCTGTGCTGCTTGGTGCTTTTCCAAAATAGAAAAAAAAAATGTAAAAATGTTAAATGTGGCTGCATTTTTTTTTTCTGTTTTCAGTTTTTATCAGCTCCTTGTTTCTCTCTTAATTTCTCCATGGGCCACAATTCTGATTACTCTCCATCTCCATCTCCATCCGAGTTGTCAGTCAAATTTCACACTTTCTTTGTAAAATAGGAATAAAACAGTCAGACAAAATAATAGCCTTATAAAAACCACATTTTCTCACAGAACAGCATTGTTTGAACTTCAGGACAACTGTAGGAATCACAATACAATATCTTCTTGAGGGATTGAGCACGTTCTTCACTAGTTTGCTATCAGGCCAGGGGGTTGGGGGAAAAGCCTCCTTATTATTTGAATCAGTTTACAGCAACTCATGAATTAAAAGCTCACACCCGAAGGAGTATTTTCAGCTTAATGGAAACAATTTGTCTAACACTTGGAATTCTTTGCAAGAGTCTACATTGATAGATGGACATTTCTCCAATGCAGGTGCATTTTGTGGTAGTCTGTTGATGCAAGTTAACATCCGTTAAAAAGCAGAGCCAATAAAAGACAATTTCTGTCTAATAAGGAGCACTGAAAATGACCTAAACAATCACAATTTTATAAATTGTACTAAAGGTAAGTCTATGAGAATGCAAGCGGGTTTATTTGGTTTTAAACAACACTTTACTCGTTACTCTGCGTGTAACTCTGTGAGATGACACGATGATTTTAGGAGAGCTGATGTAAGTGAAAAGTTACACTCTCAGCATTGATTGCTTAATAATAAGGGAATACTATGGAAAGAGGAACATGGGTTTCCCTCAGATTTTTCAGAATTGCCTAAAAGAGCAGCAATTGTTTTAGCGGCGTCTGTCAATTCCAAACTATTCTGAAAGAAATTTCTGCCCATCTTAAAAGAAAGCATCAAAATGTCATAAAAAGTTGGAAGCCCATAAGCTTGCATAGCCGCTGCTGAAATTCTCTGGGGTGAGGAGCGGGAAAGGGGTTAAGATCTAATCTTGAACCTCTTCTAGAGTTACCTGGGGGATCTGAGTCTGCACTTTCTGGGTAAATCATAGCTTATTAGTGCCAGAAGTGAGGTTAGAATTCATCTGGTGAAACGACTGCTATTTTACACATGGAGAAACTGAATCCCAGTAAAAGGAAAAACTTCTGGAACATCACTAAATAGGTTGGTGGGAGACCCTTCCCTAGAGTCCACATCTTCCTGACCCTGCCTCTGTCCTGCTGTAGGCCGGCGTTGTAGCATTCTGCCTCACACAGAGCAACTGCTTCATAAATGTTTGCTGCATGCATGCAGAAAGAGGTGATATTTTAATTTCTCTAGCAGGAAGAGAGGTAGTAAGTAAAACTCAGAAAGCTGAGGAGAGAAAACTAAATAACAAGCACACCGCACAGCTATTGCGGGTTCTGTTCCAGACCACCACAATAAAGCAAATACAGTAATTAAGTGAGTCACATGATTTTTTTGGTTTCTCACTGCATATAAAAGTTATGTTTATACCAGGGTTCCCCAACCTTCGGGCCACAGACCAGTACCAGTGGCCCATGGCCTGTTAGGAACTGGGCAGCGCATCAAGAGGGCAAGTGGGCAAGTGAATGAAGCTTCATGTGTATTTACAGCCACTCCTCGTCACTTGGCATTACCACCGCCTCCTGTCAGATCGGTGGCAGCATTAGATTCTCCTGGGAATACAAACCCTATTGTGAACTGTGCATGCCAGGAGTCTGGGCTGCATGCTCCTTATGAGGATCTAATGCCTGATGATCTGTCACTGTCTCCCATCACCCCCAGATGGGACTGTCTCATTGGAGGAAAACAATCTCGGGGTTCCCAGTGTTCTATGTTATGGTGAGTTGTATAATTATTTCATTATATATACAATGTAATCATAACAGAAATAAAGTGCACAATAAATGTAATGTGCTTGAAGCATCCCCAAACCATCCCTGCCTCCCCCCAAGGTCTGGGAAAATATTATCTTCCATGAAACGAGTCCCTGGTGCCAAAAAGTTTGGGGAATGCTGGTTTATACTATACTGTAGTATAAAGTCTGTAGTAGCATTGTGTGTGTTTTTTTTTTTAAATGTATATAACTTAATTTAAAATGCTTCAGGCCAGGCGCAGTGGCTCATGCCTGTAATCCCAGCACTTTGGGAGGTTGAGGCGTGTGGATCACAAGGTCTGGAGCTTGAGACCAGCCTGGACAACATAGTGAAACCCTGTCTCTACTAAAAATACAAAAAATTAACTGGGCATTGTGGCAGGCACCTGTAATCCCAGCTCCTCGGGAGGCTGAGACAGGATAATTGCCTGGACCTGGGAGGCAGAGGTTGCAGTGAGCCTAGGTCGCACCACCGTACTCCAGCCCAGGTGACAGTGCAAGACTCCTCCTCAAAAACAAAAACAAAAACAAATAAAACAAAACAAAAATGCTTCATTGCTAAAAAAAAAAAAAAAAATGCTAGCATTCATCTGAGCCTTCAGAAAGTCACAATCTTTTTTGGGATGGAGGGTCTTGCCTCTATTCCGATGGCTGCTGACTTATCATAGTGGTGGTTGCTGTAGGATGGAATGGCTGCAGCAATTTCTTACAATAGGACGACAATGAAGTTTGCTGCATTCATTGGCTTGCTCTTTCACTAACAATTTCTCTGTGGCATGTGGCACTATTTGATAGCATTTTACCCACAGCAGAATTCCTTTCAAAACTGGAATCAAACCTCTCAAACGCTGCTGCTGCTTTATCAACTAAGTGTATGGAATATTCTAATTTTTTTGTTATCATAGCATCAGGAGTTGATTCCATCTCAGGAAGACACTTTCTTTTTTCTTCCATAAGCAGCAACATCTCATTCATTCAAGTTTTATTATGAGACTGCAGCAATTCAGTCATATCTTCAGGCTCCATTTCTTTTCTTTTTCTTTTCTTTTTTTTTTTTTTTTTTGAGATGGAATCTCGCTCTGTCTCGTAGAGTACAGTGACGTGATCTCAGCTAACAACAACGTCCTCCACCTCCTGGGCTCAAGCGATTCTCCTGCCTCAGCCTCCCACAGGCTCCATTTGTAATTCAAGTTCTCTTGCTAATTCCATCACATCTGCAGTTAAAGTCTGGAACCCTTTAGTCGTTCATGAGAATTAGAATCAACTTCTTACAAACTCCTATTAATGTTTATATTTTGATCTCCCTCCATGAATCACAAACGTTTCTAATGGCATCTAGAACGGTGAATACTTTCCAGAAGGTTTTCAATTTACTTTGCCCAGATCCACCAGAGGGGTCACTACTTATAGCAGCTATTGCCTTATGAAATGTATTTCTTAAACAAAAAGACTTAAAATTCAAAATTATTCCTTGGTCCATGGGCTGCAGGTTGAATATTCTGTTAGCAGGCATGAAAACAACATCCATCACCTTGTACATCTCCATCAGAGCTCTTGAATGACCAGGTGCATTGCTTTAATGAGCAGTAATATTTTGAAAGGAATCTTTTTTTTTTTTTTTTTGAGCAGTAGGTCTTAACAGTGGGATTAAAATATCCAGCGAACCATGTTGTAATCAGATGTGCTGTCATCCAGACATTGTTTCTCCACTTACAGCACCTAGGCAAAATAGATTTAGCATCATTCTTAAGGAACCTAGCTTTTTCACAATAGTAAGTAAGCTTTGGCTTCAACTTAAAGTCATCAGCTGTATTAACCCCTAACAGTCTCCCCAAAGACACCCATGTTGTCACTTTGTATGTCTCCATGAAATAATTTTGCTCATGTATGTAGTGATAACACTGCATACATCATTTTGAATACACCCAATTTATAATATTGAACATTTATCTATATTACCAAAAACTCTTGTGAAACCAATGTTGATTTCTTTTACTTTTTCTTCTGTTTTTTTCTCTCTCTTTTTTTTAATTTTTCTTGAGACAGTGTCTCACTCTGTCACCCAGGCTGGAGTGCAGTGGCACGATCATAGCTCACTGCAACCTTTCAACCTCAAACTCCTTGGCTCAAGTGATCCTCCTGACTCGCAACCTGTGTAGCTGGGACTAGAGGTGCTTACCACTGTGCTCGGCTAATTTTTTTTTTTTAGAGATGGGTGTCTCACTGTGCTGCCCAGGCTGGTCTTGAACTTCTGGGTTCAAGTGATCCTCCCACCTTGCCTCCCAAAGCACTGAGAGTGCAGACATGAGCCACTGCGCCCGGCCTGATTTCTTAAATGTAGCATTCAGAGGAAGTGAGACGTGCCTTCAATCCCTTTAGCCCATAATGGGGCTTTAGCTTTTGTAAAGCATTTTCAAACCTTTATCTTTTTAGTGATCATAACACTATAAGTTAGATGGGTGATTATGTAATTTATCACCCAAACAGGGTCACTTCTAGAGGTGAAAGGGTGCTATTAATACTCACACTAGGACAACAGGTGTAACCTGGGGCTGTCCTAGGCAAACAGAGACGCAGACACTCCAGCTAGGCAAGGCAGGGGCAATCTCAGGTTACTATAGAAGAAGCACAGAGGACAAGCGACTGTTCAAAAACACATATTGGTAACTGGTGGTACTGATCTTAGAACCCAAGATTTCAGGTTCCTAATCTAGTGCTCTATGAACCATACCCAGTGCCTCTCCCAGAGGATCTGCATAGCTTAGCAAATATCCTAGAGAGACATATCCCCTTCCATTGATGAAAATGAGATAAAATAACAGCTCCTTTCCTTCCTCCTTTCCCCTCTGCCCGTCCCTGCTTTCCTTTTCTCTCTTTTTTTTCTCTCTGTCTCTGTCTCTCTTTTCTTTCTTTCAATTTCTCATTGACCCCTAAGCCAGGTTACTGACACTTCATGAGAGGTCATTGTCCGAAGAAAGGCTTGCTATGAGAGATTAAGTCCCCTTTAATAAGAGTCAGTGTCTGATGTATTGTTTTTATTAAGGATGGTCTGCTCAAAAGAATGGTCATGTATGCATGCATTAGTGTCTTATCAGGCTAAAAGCTGGTTTGAAATAACATCTATAATACACCACAATCAAAACATTTAGGAGCAATTGTAATAATAAAAGGGCCTCCGGGAATTGGAATATTTCAGAACTACCTCCTGGATGAGACAGGGATGAGGGAGCGTCTGATGCAAACTGGTCCTTTGCTGTCAATCAGTCGACAAAGCGTATTCTGTACTCTTTCCCTTCATCCTTCCCTGACTCCATGGAAGATATTCAGCTTTGAAATCCAGCAAGGGTCTGTGAGTGGCCCTGGCCAGTGGAGTGCAGTGGACAAGGGGCACCTGAGCTTGGGGGGTTAGCACCTGAACTCTGGACTTACAGCCTTCTAAGGGTTTTGAATCCCAGCTGAGCCATCTATTTGCTCTGTGTCTTCCATATGTTACATCTCTGAAGACTTGGTCTCCTCATTTGTAAAAAGGGTTCTTGTAAAGAGTAAATGGATTAAACAAACAAACAACCTGTGCTTCTCCCGGGAACTGATACATAAAAACATCTGTATGTTGGCCGGGCGCAGTGGCTCACGCCTGTAATCCCAGCACTTTGGGAGGCCAAGGCGGGCAGATCACGAGGTCAGGAGATCCAGACCATCCTGGCTAACATGGTGAAACCCCATCTCTACTAAAAAAAAAAAAAAATACAAAAAATTAGACGGGTATGGTGGCAGGTGCCTGTAGTTCCAGCTGCTCAGGGGGCTGAGGCAGGAGAATGGCGTGAACCCAGGAGGAGGAGCTTGCAGTGAGCCGAGATTGTGCCGCTGCACTCCAGTCTGGGCGACAGAGTGAGACTCCGTCTCAAAAAAAATAAATAAATAAATAAATAAATCTTTATGTGTTTCAATGTATTTTTTAATCATCATTATTAATTTTTGCCAGAAACTGAACTCCACTCTCACATACACGTAGCAGGCTTTCTGTTCCTATCTGTTGGGTGTCCTTTTAAAGATTTCCTCATATGTTGATCCTCTTGGCCCATGCAATGCAATTAATAGATGTGATTCATCATTGAAATCAATCTGGGATTTCCAATGGACTCTGAAACTAGTTGCTATGATAAGGGGAGATTACGTGGGCCGGGCAATAATCTTCCAAAGTCCTTCAAAGCAGCATTCTGTGGCTTCTCCATGGAGCCCTGCACCCAGAAACAGTGTTGTAGCTTCGGTGTCCAAGGGACGAGGCCTCTGTCTCAGCATTTCTCGTGGTGCACTAAACATGCTGATGCTAAAACTGGCCCGAATCTTCTCACAATGATCCTCTGACCTTGAGTAAATACACTTTGCCCATCCTGTCTTATTTCATTCTCAGTATGGCCCTTTAAGATGCATTCAATTATTCCTCCCACATGCCCTTTTTTAAATATAAGGAAACTGAGACTCAGTAAAAGAACTTGCCCAAGGCTATATAATTCATAAGCAGAAAGCCATGCTTTGGAATGTACCTGTCCGACTATAAAATCCACGCTAATTTTTCTTAATATTTTAATTTTCATTATTAAAATAATACGTATGCATTGTATGAGATTTCTGAAAGTAGACTGAAAGCATAAAGAAGAAACTTAGCATTGTCCATACTCCTAGGCAAAATCAATATTTTTATTTTGCTATAAATCCTGTTGTTTTTCCTATAGGGCTGTATTTGTATTTGTGTGTGTGTGTATGTGTGTGTAAATGATAATAATAGAGGAATGTTACTATAATACATATTTTCATTTTGCTTTACCCATTTAATATTCTATCATGATTTTTCCCTACATAATTACCTATTAACTATCTTTCAAAAATGATGGTTTACAGACTAACACTTCTTCACACACACATATATTTGTGTGTGTACGTATATAAATGTTTAATTAATTCTCTACCTCTTTAGACATTTTAGTTGTTTGGTTTTTCTCAGTCAAAACTATGACATAGATAGAAATCTTCATTTAAAAAAAAAACAACCACAAGTGGCTTTACCATTTGCGGGACATATTCCGTGTGTTTTTACCATGTTACCTACCTCATTTAAATTAATCCTCCAAGCAACCCTGTGAGGTAGGTGTGACTATTATTGTCATTTTACTGATGAGAAGCTGATGCTTAAAGAAGTGAAATACATCATCCAGGCAGACATAAGTCACTTGTGACCAAGAACAAGTCGGATGCCTGTCTTGCAGGAGGTAAAAGCTGGTTCCCCCTCCACGGGGCCCACACCAATCTCTGCATTTGCTCCTGATATTATTTTGTTAGGATTTGTTCCTAGATGGAGAATGGCTGGGTATAAGAAAAGAGGTCCCTCTTTAGTTTTTGAAATTAATTACTAAATCAACCCTCATAAGGCATATTCTCCCTCCAGCAATGTAAGAAGTTCCTTATCCCTCAGCACAGACCACTGCCCCCAGGAAGCCCAGGCTTGGGCCATCCAACCAGACTGTCCCCAGAACCAGAAAGTCCCCCAGTTAGTGGGGCTGCCAGATATGGCCTGGAGGTGATGGAGAGGATGACCATCTTCTGATTGGTCAACATGAAATACTTGTATTAGGCAGGGGTTGGGGTGCCATGGGGGTTGACACTTTGAAGTCTCTTCCCAAAAGAAGTCCACCATCACTGAAGTTGAACCAAATGTCCCAGTTTAACAGTTTGCCCAGGAGGAAGCAAAGTGACAGCTTCAGGGTCATCTTGGACACCAAGGAGAGAGGCAGGAGACCAAGCATCAGTTTTGCTTCTTAGCCCTGACTGCCTGGCATTAGAATTATCTTTATTTGAAAAGTCCCTCCAGCAGAATGATCTTACACTTGTTACCTCCTTCTTGTGTGACCCCAATCAGTCCCATTAGACTCTGCTCTTCATCCTTGCTCTACATTCCTTCAAAGACAGGGACATACACACTAACCTTTCATCCACCCTTATTTCTGGCTGGTGTACCAATGCCTCCTGAAAATCAGTGTGGATTAAGTCTGCAGCTCCCTCACTGTCTGAGTACCCATTACAGCCAGGACTAGATTTCCCCAGATCTGTTGGGTGTGGTTTACCCTTTGGAGAATGAAGCTGTTTCCTCTGCCCTATTTGTGTCTCTCACACCTTCTTGTGTTTCCAAGGCCTCTCTTCAGCCACACTGGCTACTGGGAGATGGAATTTCTTATATGAAAAAGATTCAGCCAGGCAAGGTAGTTCACATCTGTAATCCCAATCTTTTGGGAGGCCAAGGCAGGAGGATCCTTTGAACCCAGGAGTCTGAGGCTGCAGTGAGCCATGATCGTGCTGCACCACTGTATGTCAGCCTAGGCAACAGTGCAAGACCCTGTCACTAAAATTTAAAAAAGGAATATTCAGCCAGGTGAAGTGGCTCATGTCTGTAATACTAGCATTTTGGGGTGCCAACGTGGGAGGATCGCTTGAGCCCAAGAGTATGAGGCTGCAGTGAGCCACAACTGGGCTGCTACATTCCAGCCTGGGCAACAGAGGGAGAGCCTGTTTCTAAAATAAAATAAATAAATAAATAAATAAAATAAAAGGATATTCTGTGGACTCAGCTCTTTATGTTGCTCTTCAAAAATCTTTGCTTAGTTCTTTCGGTTGCTTCCCCAATTATTTCAAGGATTATGTCATCACCGATATCTTGGTCCTCTTCCTTCTCAGCAAAACACCTTTCATCCCCTATATTAGATTCCTATTCTTGCTGTAAGAGAATCCTATAAATGTGGTGGCTTAAAGCAACAGAAATTGATTCATAATTCTGGAGGCTGCAAGTCTGAAATCAAGGTGTGGGCAGGGCCACTTTCCCTCTGAAGGGTCTGAGGGATAGCCCATCCCATTCCTCTGTCTCAGCTCCTGGGTCCTGCTGGCGTTCTTTGGCACTCCATGGCTGTGTCTGCCCTCCAAGCCCTGCCTATAGCCTTCACATGACCTTTTGCTCTGTGCCTCTCTGTGTCCAAATCTCCCCCTCCTTTCCCTTACAAAGATCCTCGTCATCGGATTTAAGGCCCACCCTAAATTCAGGATAATTTTACCTCGACATTCTTAACCAATTACACATGTGAAGGCTCTATTTACACATAAGACCACATACTGGGGTTCCTAGTAGAAATAAATTTACACATAAGTATTTCAGTCACCGAACCCCCCAAAACATCTTTCTTCTTGCTATGGAAGGAAACAAATAATTGTTCCTCTTCTATCAGCAAACTGTGGCTTCTGAGCCAGGGCAGGCCACTGTCTTTTTAGAATGACTGTCAGTTTAGAGTACTTTTTACATCTTTAAATGATTGAAGACAATAACAAAAAGCATAATATTTTTTGATCTGTAAAAATGTTATGAAATTGAAATTTTGGAATCCATAAGTAAAATTTTATTAAAATACAGCCACCCCATGTATTCACCTGTTGTCTGTGGCCACTTTCACACTTCAACAGCAGAGCTGAGTGGTTGCCTTGGGAGGTGTACAGTCTGCAAAACCAAACAGATTTATTATCTGAGCCTTTATAGAAAAAGTTTATAACCCCTGTTCTATACCTTCTCTTTCCCCATTTTTAAGTGTGTAAGAGAGGAGCTTGGGAAAAACAGGAAAACACGTCTCCTTTGCCTTCCCAGCATAGGAAAATGTGTCGTAACATTTAGAAATTAGGTATAAATGTCAAAAGCAGAAATCTGTGGTTCAATTTGTAATGGATAATTCAGAAGTATTGTGTGCAATGGTGTAAGTAGCTCACTCTTTTGTTTTCAAGATGGGGAATAAAAACAGCTGGCATGTACTAGTAATCTATGGCTGGGGAAGAGATTCTATTAATACATGTCATTCTGATAAGATATTTCACCCATGTATGGAGGCGGATTTTAATTAACCTCCTCCCAAATTGTGAGAGGGTGATAGGACATTACGACTCCACATCACCGCATAATAGCAATATGTCAGCAACAAGCATTTACCAAAAGCTACAGAGGACAGAGCTTGGCTGGGAAGTGTGCACAGCTTTTTCCTTTGGGCCACTTGTTCCTGTCTCTCCCACTCCAGAAAACAGACCAAGAGCCAAGTGAGTAAATATGAGAGTAGCATGGAGTTGTTATCAGATCTGCTTTAATTTATATGTTAAAAATAACAGCAAGCCATTCTGAAGTTTCCATATTTTACTAGTAATCATTTGAAATTAGATGAGGTTGGCTGAGTGTGGTGGCTTATGCCTATAATCCCAGCACTTTGGGAGGCCAAGGCGGGTGGATCACGAGGTCAACATGGTGAAACCCCTTCTCTACTAAAAATACAAAAACTAGCCGGGCATGGTGGCGCATACCTGTAGTTCCAGCTACTCAGGAGAGTGAGGCAGGAGAATCGTTTGAACCTGGGAGGCAGAGGTTGTAATGAGCCAAGATTGCACCACTGCACTGCAGCCTGGTGACCAAACGAGACTCCGTCCCAAAAGGAAAAAAAAGAAGAAAGAAGAAAGAAAGAAATTAGTTGAGGTTGTGCTGCACCATGTACTCATGCACCTGGTCGGGACTTCCTGTGTACCTACTGTGCGCTAGGCACCACACTGGTACAAAGGCAACTCACACAGCCCTTCCACTGGGGTGCTCACCTTCTGGCTCTGTGAATATGGTGTGTGCTTCAAGGCAGCATGTGCTGGGGCCCAAGACAGCTGCAAAGCCAGGGCAGCAAGAGCCCCCTTTTCTGGCTTTTCTTCCTTATCATTCTTAGAAACACACCATCTATTGCTTCCTTCCTGCATCCAGGTGGTAGTGGTGCAACTCAAGGGAAAGGAGAACTTGAACCATGTCCAAAGGGAAGGAATGTCATAATTAGGGAAGTGGAAAATAGAACTGAGCCAAAGGAATCTGGTTCTGACTGTGCCTGTCTGTTCTCCAGACTGTAAATAGGGACCTCAGTGAAGCGCCTGTGGCCAGAAGACCTCTCGCATCAAAACAAAACAAAGAAAAGCAAATCAACAACAGCAGCAACCCAAGTCCCTGATGCACTGGGTTATGTCAAATTTTATTTTCTGTGATTAATATATTGGTCTCTTTGGTTGCCCCTGTGATCTGTTTCGGTCGTTTCCATCCCGTGACTGCTGGGCATCTCCTATGCAGAATCCATGCTGGTGCTTCCAGCACTTCCTCTGTTGGCTTTGTCATCTTCTGTCCTCACTCTTACTGTGGTCTATGTAACATGGACCTCTTTCTGAGTGAGTGTCTATGGTTTTGCATCTTTCCATCCAATGGAGCAGAGCAGACTGTTTTTGCAGCAATATACTATTCCTTGGAACCTTTGTTTTCTTATCCAGAGCAAGAAGAGATTAATAAATATTAAGTGCTGGCCAGGCGCTGGTGGCTCACACCTGTAATCCCGGCACTTTGGGAGGCCGAGGTGGGTGGATCATGAGGTCAGGAGATTGAGACCATCCTGGCTAACAAGGTGAAACCCTGTCTGTACTAAAAATACAAAAATTAGCCGGGCATGGTGACGGGCGCCTGTGGTCCCAGCTACTAGGGAGGCTGAGACAGGAGAACGGCATGAACCCGGGAGGCAGAGCTTGCAGTGAGCCAAGATTGAGCCACTGCACTCCAGCCTGGGTGGCAGAGCAAGACTCCGTCTCAAAAAAAAAAAAAAAAAAAAAAGTAAGTACCTACCCCATAGGACGATAGGGATGGTGAAAGAGGTGGACTTGTGCAGGTGCAGTGCAAAGAACTGCTTAATACACTCTTATTCTTGGTACGTAAATGAACGATGAATGAACGCAAGGCAGTGCTGCGAAGTGCAGTGCCCTAGATTAGGATGTGCAAATCCCAGACTCAATCCCTGCCTCTGCCTCTTGGAGCTAGGGGACACGACAATATCTTTAAGATAGAAGGGGCTTTGGAGGTGGACAGGCCTGAAGTCAAGCTTGATTATGGCTCTTTCGATGTAATTGTTAATCTTAGGATGTCTCAGTCTCTCACATGATGAGGACAATAATTAATTCTACCTACCTCCCTGGACGGTCCCAGGGATGAAAAGTGGTGTCTGTGAAGTGTGGCAGAGCGCACACATGGAATACGTGCTTGAAAAATACCAGTTACTGTGATCATTATTGCTTTCCTTTTATTTCTTCCTAGCGCTTCTTTTCATTAGCATCTCAATGCCTCTGGGACATGGGCAGGGATCATCCAGGGCTCAGGGAAGGACGGAGGACCGTGCCAAGAGAAGGCAGACTCTGCACGACCTCGCTGGCTGTGCAGACTTAGAAAACTGATCCGCCCTCTCTGAGCTCCGCCCCCTTCCCTCCTCTGTGAAATGGAGGAAACAATCCTGTCCTCGAGGTTCCCGGGAAGATAAAGTGAGGAATGTCTGCAGGAGCCACTGACGCAAAATAAGTACCCAGCAAATGCCACTTCCCACTGCCCCGTTCCTTACATAATTCTCCGCAGCCTCCTCCAGGCTGTTATCTCCTTGGCAGTGAAGCCGGGCGCTGTCTCTTACCCACATGCCCCAGTTAATATTTCAAACGTCCTGAGTTTCTAATTGTGGCGAAGCCTAAGAGCCACCTAATCCGCCCGTGTATTAACTGCTCTACCTCCAAACGGGTGCCTCTGGTCCCAGGGCTGACACTGCTGAGTTAATAATGACTCGATTCATTCCTCACGCCAAGTGCAGGAACCACATAATCTGCGGGGCAGAAATAACTCCTGTAATTGGAAATGCCTGAGGGAACCCCCCACAAAGGGCCTTGTAGCTTGGCATGTGGGAACCTCCTGCCCCCACTCTCTTCCCCCTGCCCCCCCAACGCCACGGGGCCTCTGCTGTTTTCTAAAGCCTGCTCAGACCTGGCGTCTCTAAGAGACAGGCTCTCCAAGGGATGGCATTCCAGCCCCAGAAATATGCTCAGTAGTAGCCCCGGCTTCCCGGTGCCCTGGGGCCGACTCCTGTCTCCACAAACAGGCCTCCTAGAAGCCCAGGCCAGCAGCCCCTGCAGAGGCGGAAACCTCCCGCCTGGCCTGTGTCCCACTCTAGGTGAAAGGGGAATGCGGCCCACGTCTCAGCATGTGGGAACCCCCTTCCCAGCCAAGGCAGAAGTTTCTGTTGTGAGGGAGTGAAAAGGAAGTGCTAGGATTGAGCCTGCCCAATGCCAGCCTACGGTTTCTCTCAGTGAACTTAGTGAATGTCATGGCCGAGAAGCTCGTGCTCTGGAAGCTAGCAGAGAGTAATGCCAGGGTTTTCAGAGGCCAGTCCCCTCCACGGTGAAGCTGGGTGACCGGCATGAGCTCTCGGAGGTGTCCTTTCCTCAGCTGTAAAATGAGGGGGCACACAGGCCTCCTTGGGGGACTACATGGGTGGAATGTGCAGTGGCTGGCTCTGGGTACCTCCTCAACCACCTTTGTCTCCCTCACTGTAAAATGGGATGCAAAGTCCCATCAGCCCGACTTTAATGAAGTTGAGACATTCTTGAAGCATTTCAAGCAGGATGTGTGGCTGTGTCCCACACCTGTACAATCTCAAACAGGCCACACGGTGGTTGTGCAGCCTGGGGTTCTCTTACACCTGTAATGTACGTCTTCATGTTCCCGTTTTACACGGGGGATTATTTAATCTTGGATGACATGTAATTTGCACGAAGGAGAGCTAGGATTGCAACACAAGCGAAGATGACAGCAAAGTGTCCATTTGGTTTCCTTACAGCATGCTCTCTTCCTTACTCCTGTCTGTAAAATATACAGAAATGCACACACACACACACACACACACACACACAGAGAGAGAGAGAGCTTTCTCCCATTTTAGTCTTTAACACATGCCTTGAGAGTGGGCAGGGCAGATGCCGAGGTTATTAACAGTGTGGGGGATACATGACCATTCATGCACGTTCAAACTACTTCTGAAAGCCCTGCTTGTGACTCTAAAGTGCGGGATTTCTGAACAAATAGTCAGATCTCTCACTTTCAAAGGAGTATCAGCCATTTAGAAAACAGGCACCTTGGGAGACTTTGCCCAAGACAGTCAAAAGCCTGCCTGCGCTAAGTGTTGCAGCGTCGAGCCTGTGTGTGCAGACTCTCCAGATGCTGGGTCCTGCATGGCATGGTGGAGTGCTGGAGATGCCAAGGTGGAGACCCAGCTCATGTTTCCAAGAGGGCATCACGTCATCTTAGGGGAAGATGACCAGTGAAACCGACAAATATAAAGTGTGACATGTGGGAAGGGAAAGGTTAGCCCAAGGGTCTCCCTTTTAAATGTCTTTGCAACCAACAAGCCCTTTAGAAGTGATCTCAATTTGGTGAAACCCAGAAAAGTGAGTTACAGTCAAGTCTGGTGAACAAAATGATAAATAACCCTTTGGTGTAAAAATAAGCAGCAGTGAGAAGAAAGCAAGAGAAGCACTTTTCTTGTGTAATTGGCACCCCAGTTCCCAATGGGTCATCGGCAGTGTTATTTGAGAAGCGTTAACGCACATGTCTGATGCACAGTAGGTGTTTTGCAAATGTTGTTTAAAATGACCTATTTTAAAAATAAATTAATCTCAGCCAGACGCGGTGGCTCACACCTGTAATCCCAGCACTTTGGGAGGCTGAAGCGGGCAGATCACCTGAGGTCAGGAGTTCAAGACCAGTCTGGCCAACATGGCAAAACCTCATCCCTACTAAAAATACAAAACTTAGCTGGGTGTGGTGGTGAGCACCTGTAGTCCCAGCTGGTTGAAAGGTTGAGGCATGAGAATTGTTTGAACTTGGGAGGCAGAGGTTGCAGTGAGCCGAGATCATGCCACTGCACTCCAGCCTGGGTGACAGAGCTAGACTCTGTTTCAAATAAATAAATAATAAAAATAAATGAATCTCATTTCTCACAGACTTTGCTCTTTTTACAAATTGAGTCATAGGTTTTGCACATGAATGGGTGAAATCTTCTCCAACCGCATGCCTAAAATCACAGGGCTTTTGGTTTTGGCTTCCTGCACCCTTCTTGCTAATGAATTTTCCAAAGAGCAGGTCCCTTACCTGTGAATTGAAGGCCAAGCTTTCCTCACATGCTTTAGCAGACTCCTCTCTGAGTCCCTGGAGAAAAAGCCTTTGTTCGAGTTCAAGTTCATGCTTTTTAGCTACGAAGTATGGAATCTACATGGACAAATAACGAAGGATATGGTCAAGACAAATGCACATCTCGGCGTGAACTGGGGGAGACTGGCTTGTAAAGCCATCAACTCCTGGTGTAGGGACTTGAAAGATGAATTTGGGGAGAACATAGAAATGCCCTGAGAAGAGGACTAAAACTGCCACTGGCCAGCTGTGTGACCCTGAGCAGACAGTTCCAGCTTCCTGAGCCTCAGTTTCCCCTTGGGAAATGCAGATGAAAACAATAGCATCTACCTCATGGCCTGGTTGTAAGGCATGAATGACTGAATGTACATGAAGTCTTGGGACATAGTACAAGCTCAATGAATAGTAGCTTTAAAGAAGATTTCGCTATTGACCGCATCTATTTGACCACAGAAGGTACCTGTTTTCCTAAATCTAGGGCTTTGGCCTTGAATTCCAGGAACATCAAGGCTTTCAATCCCTCATTGTAATTTACAGGAAGATTTCAAAGAAGAATCTGTGTATATATGTGCATATGGTATGTGCCAACACCTGGTTGTGAATATGTGTGTGTGTGTGTGTGTGCACAGTCGCAGGTGTGCTTGTATGTGTGTGTACATATATGTGTGTACAGCTGTGTGTGTATATATGGACGTGTGTCCGTGCATAGGTATAGGTGTACTGCGTATATGTGTAAGTGGAGCCCTTGCATGACAGACTTCTTAGAGCAAGTCATGCCAGTCTAGGACAAAACAGAGTCTTCGTTGATGGGATGTGTCAACTCACTTCGCTTCTCCACACTCTGCTGGGACCCAGAAGTGATCACTCCCAACAGATAAGCAGCCGGATCTGGGCCCAAGTGATCTCATCACCAGTCGCAGACCATTAACAAATCGTTGCCTCCCTGGAATCCATTCCATGGCTAATGAAGCATCCAGTACCTCGATATGGGTTTCTGCCTGGATTCTAATCCATGAAAAGCTGAGCTCTGTGAACAGGACCAGAAAGGAACTAACCTTTGTGGATATTCTACTCTTTTCTTTATAATCTTTTAAAATGTAATATTTATATCATTTCCTATTCTATCATATAATCTTTAATAGGAAATAAAATATGTATGAATGATGATGTTCTCTATTAAAACTGTATATAATTTATTAAAATGGTATCTCATCTACTTTAATTATATATTATTTATTAAATATATATTGTGCTTTAAAAGTATATGTATACTTTTAACAACATAATCTATAACATAACATATGATATAAAACATCCCATATAAATTTAAGGACTGGCTCTAGTGAGCCAATGGGAGCTCACATCATAATAGGCTGGAGCTGGCTTGTAGCAGCCCCCAAGAGCCAATTGTTACATTTTCAGGTATTTTGCAAAAGCTGGTTGACTTCACATTGGTAGCTTGAAATCAGCCACCATGAGAGCATTTACACCATAGAAATTGGCAAACTTTAAAATTAAGGTTCCCCCTCTCTCCATGGTGAAGTCATCATTAAACATTTATAAGCACGTCACCGTGTGTGTGTATGTGTGAGCTTCACTGAGCTTCAGATAGGTTAGTCACCAAACATACATCATTTTCTTATTTTATTTAACCTTCACTGCAGTCTTCTGGCCCTGGCATTTCCTAGCTAGTGATGTTGAGAAAGTCACCTCATCTTGCATGGCCCAGTGTGCAGTTGCATGGGCTGTTTCACTGCACAACTCAGGGAGTGACATTTATGTCAAAGCCTATTTGACTCTAGTCTTCACCTATGCAACGGGGAGAACAGTCACTACCACACTACCTTGCCCTGAGGATGCTAATAGATCATGGGGCACAAGCTCCACATGTGGTGGGGCCTGGTAGAAGAAGAAAAGGGAAAGGTAGGGACTGTGGCCTATGTCCCATCTAAAGGAACAAACTCTAGGCCATCATTGCTATGTAGGAGTGCGAGGGGACCAGTCATGCCAGATCTTTCTGATTTATTACAAAGGAAACAAAATCTGGATTTTTAATCAAACGTAGAATTCCTCAATTTTTAAAACACCGCTAGCCTAAGTCCCAGCCCTACATCTCATTTCTCATGTGATACTATCATCCAGGAGGTGGCACACAGAAGGCACCAGGTGTGCTCATGGCAGTCGGTCAGTTGAGAACAGTAACAAGTTTGAGCACTCCCTCCCGGCTTCACATAGTATGAGCTTTTCTATCATAATCTGAAATTTATATCTTTCTCCTAAGTTCCTTAAGGGACTTACATCTAGTTCTTCTGTCCATTATTTTCAGATGACCTGCTAGAAAAGCATCACTTCCATTATGGAAGTGGTTAGTAACTGACCACCAAGAAGCTCAGAGCCACATTCTGAACAGTGAAAACAGTTGAGCTACAAATGTCATTCTGAGCACCCTGGTGGCCAAGGCAAAAAGACAACACAATCAGTTATATAGTTTTCATTGCTTAGGAAGATGAAACTTCACCAACTCCATCGTCCCGTTAATCTTCTAACTCTCTTTTTTTTCTGGTCATAGTATTATATATATATATATATATATTTTTTTTTTTACTTGTCTTATCTTACATTATGTATTTCCCTTAAGCTACTTTGAATCCTTTGCGAGAGAAAAGGAGTATAAATAATGACAGTCACCCTTTGGCAATGAAAGATTTAAGGTGCACAGCTTTCATAATTCAGGAACTATTGCAAAGGGACCATGATATGTGGGATTATGTAGCTTTGCTGAGCCCCAGATTTGAATCACATGATGTGGACGTGCTGTGGGGTTTAGTCAGTTACATGAAGGAAGAACTATCTTACCTGGTGTATTAGTTTGCTAGGCTGGCATAAGAAAATACTGCAAACCAGGTAGCTTATACAATAGAAATTTATTGTCTCAGGCTTTTGGAGGCCAGAAGTCCAAGATCACTGTGCTGGCAAAGTTGGTTCCTTCTGGGGCATGAAGGAGAGTCTGTTCCAGGATGCCTTCCCAGCTTCTGGTAGTTGGCTGCCATCTTTGATATTACTTGGCTTGTACATGCATCGCCTGATCTCCACCTTCACATTCACATGATGTTCTGTGTGTGTGTGTGTATGTCCAAATTTTCACTTTTTATGAGGACATCATATTGGATTAGGGGCCATCCTACTCCAGTATGACTTCATCTTAACTACTTCCACAAGTGATCCTAGGTCCTATTTCCAAATAAGGTCACATTCTGAAATACAATGTTCCCCCCTTATCTGCAGTTTTGTTTTGTACTGTTTCAGTTACTGTGGTACAAAAATATTACAGTATTTTGAGAGAAAGAAACCATATTCATATAACTTTTATTTAAGTATATTGTTATAATTGTTCTATTTTATAATTAATGTTGTTAATCTACTTCTGTGCCTAATTTATAAATTAAATCTTATCATAGGCATGTATAGGATAAAACATAGTACCTGTATATATAGGGTGTATTAGTACATTCTCACATTGCTATAAGGAAATACTCGAGACTGAGTAATTGATAAAGAGGTCTCATTGACCCACAGATCCGCATGGCTAGGGAGGCCTCAGGAAACTTACAATCATGGCAGAAGGTACCTCTTCACAGGGCGGCAGGAGAGAGAATGAGTGCCAGCAGGGGAAATGCCAGATGCTTCTAAAACCATCAGATCTCATGAGAACTCACTCACTATCAGTGGAACAGCATGGGGGAAACCATCCCTGTGATCCATTTACCTCCACCTAGTCCCGCCCTTGACACCTAGGGATTTTGGAGATTATAATTCAAGATGAGATTTCTGGTGAGGACACAGTCAAACCACATCATAGGGTTTGGAAATATCCGTGGTTTTAGGCATCTAGGGAACATCCTGGAATATATTCCAGTGGATATGGGGGAACTACTATACTGGCAGCTCAGTCTTCAGCATAGGCATATGAGGGAAAGGTGGCAATTCAACCTGTAACACTTGCTAAGGAAACAAAGTCCTGCTGAGCATTCACTTGCCATGTGGTTTTGTGATTCCCTCTCAGGATCCCTTTCCACAAGAACTAGTACCAGAAAATCATGTTTCTCTGTGCAGAAAAGTCCTGATCTTTTCAACTGTCCCTGCTAGTGATGCAAATGAAATCACGGGAGGTTTATGAAAGTGGCGCCTTTGAGTCGGAAAACACAGGTTAGCATTCGTCAGGGAAGAAGGACACAGTGATTCACAGATTTAGTAAATGTCTCCAATTATAACTTTCAAATGGCACTGTGAATAAAATCCTTCTTTGAATATAGAGAAACTGAGACCCAAAGAGATGAAATGATTTGCTCAAACTTACCAATGAGTAAAGAACCCAGGAATATTTAAATACTTAATAAGATGCACAGTGTATGTATGTACGGTATTAAGACCTATTTCAAGCCCACTACACTGATAACAAAACTGAGGTGCTGAGAAGTTAAATAACTTGCTTAATGTTATTTGGTTAGTGTATGGTCTAAGTGGAATTCAAATCCAGATTGCAGGTTTCATGGCCCTTAACTCTTTAACTTCTGTCCTCAGCAGCCTAAGTATCAGAACTCGGGACATGGGGCTCATCACCACGCTGCCTTCCTTTACTAGGTACCCAGGCTGCTGTGTATGGTTGAGTAGGTTGTTCACTGCACAAAAATGCTTGGTTGAGGGATGGGGTGAGGATGGAAATCCAGCCTGCACATGAATCCCCAAGCTGTGTACCCTGGTGTGGAGGCAGTGGTGGCTCCTTTTGCCCTGTTCTGATTCAAAGAAAATGATCTGCAGGTCCCCAGGATGTCACACAAAGGAACTATTCACCTACATGGATTTCAGCCATGTTGTCCAGAGCTAGTAGAAAAGAGGGAAGTCTCTTCCCTGTCACCCTGTTCCCAGGAAGAATTCCCCACTGCCCCAACCCAAGTTCTTGGATATACTTAAAATGCAAAGTGTCATTTACTTTCCTAAAATGTTTGACAGCAGAGAGAAAGAAAGGGTGCTGAGGCCAAGAGCAGAGGGCAAAACACAGAAAAGCTATGCGTGTAAAAGGCAGACAGGGACTGGGGGCCGTGCTCACCCTGATGGAGAAGGACTGGGCTTTATGTATTGAAGTAGAAGCACAAATCAGCACCAGCTGCAGGCCTAGCCGGGCACTTTTGACACAGAAGGCACCCTCTCCCCTGCCAGGCTTCCTCTCCACCAACACCAGGCCTGGGCCTCTCATTTTCCCAATTCAGCAGACATTTCCTGCAAATGTGCTCTGTGCCTGCCGTGTGCCGGGCAGAGGGGCCAGCTGGAAGTGAGTTGCCCTAGGTGGGGAGAGGGAAATGAGCCAGGAATGAGGAGGCACTGGAGCTGAGAGCAGAAACAGTTCTGCGGAGTGACAGCCTAAATCAGGGAGTGTGTCTTTTGGAGAAAATTTCCAGTTGGTGTTTGTCAAAAGCGTCCGAGGTGTTGACACCTGCGGTGGCTAGTTGTCTTGACGGGAAGACCCTGCTCAGCCCGGGGGAAGGTGCAGACGCAGCCCTGCCCTGAGGACTTCAAGCTGGCTTTCCAAACGGAGCAGGCTCTACGTGCTCAATATAGCTCCAGCTTATTTCCTAGTAAATTATGCAGATGTTAATTGCATTGTAAACAAAGCGCTACCTTTCTTTCCTTTCCAATTACCGTCATAAAATGTGAGGATGCAGGGAGAAGGGAGCAGTGAGTGGAGAGCTGAAGCGGGAGGCTGGGTTGAAGCTCCAGTTTTTGGCTTCCAGAATGAAGGGGCCCCGGGGTGGATGCCTGGCCTGGAACCAGAGCAAGGCAGAAGACTTTGGTCCCCAGCCCAGAACTCCAGGGTAGAAGATGTCGGTAGGATCTATGTCACACAGCCTGTATTCCTGCCCTTTTTCCTCTCTTTGCTCCACCCGGTAGCCCTCGGAAAGCTGTTTAGATTCATCCAGCAAGACCTACAAATTATGGTGACACCTTTCCTGGGGGGTTAGGCTGGAGGGAAAAGTACTGGAATGTTGCGTACACCACAGCACCAGGCAAGTGCAGAAAGCACAGGTCCAATAAACTGTCTGGATAGGATTTCAGCACCAGACACAAGGAATCCAAAGGGGTCATGTTTTTTTCCTTTTCCAGCAACTCCCTCTAATGCCTCTGTTCACTGGTGCATGGGAGTGGAGGCTTACACACCCTGGGAGAGGAGCCCGAGAAACCAGGGACAAGGAGCTCAACTTTGCTGCTCACAGTGGGGTCTGAATTCACCGTGCACAGCGAATCCACGTCAACTGTAAAGAGCCAGCCTGCCTCCCTCTCTCTGCTGCTTCCTTTGGAAATGACTGCAGTCCTAATTAAAAGCAAATTGCTTAATCTTGTGGCATCAGGCGAGGGAGGCACGGCGCTCCTCAGAGGGGAGGTCTCCTGCCAAGGGACAGAAAACGCTGCGTAGATGAAGCAGAGAGAGAAAGAGGAGGCACACAAAAGAGCAGAAAGTATCCCTCCGTCGGTCCTCTGCTTTGTGTCTGCAGCCCCAGCCTGTTAATTCTCTGCCAGCAGGTAGCAGACCCATGGGCAGGGCAGGATATTTGTATTGGCTCATTACGGAATAATACGAACTCGCCCAGAGATAGGCCAGTCTAGCGTGAGGCTCAGAGTTAAGCCTTAATTCTGGGAAAAGATGTTCCTGAGTCAGTCCTCAAGGTAGCCCTCCCACGGATGTGCCAAAACAAAGCTTATAAAGGTTCCTGCTCCCAACGTAATTACCTCCAATCGGCATTTAAAGACATCCGCATTGCTTACAGCACATCCTAGCCTCATGCTTGCCCAAGGATGGACTCGAAATGAACTATTTCCAGAGCGACTTATTCAGGCATTCTGTGGAGCCTCCGTTGCCCTGTCCATCACCGGAGCTTTTGTAATTGCAGCTATGCCATTGGCCTCTGGTAACCTCAAGGATGGTCCTCTCCCTTTCATTATTACTATTATTATTATTATTATTATTTTTCTGAGACAGGGTCTTGCTTTCTCTGCTGGCCTGACATGCAGTGGTACAATCTCAGCTCACTGCAGCCTCGACCTCCTGGGCTCAAGCAATACTCCCACCTCAGCCTCCCAAGTAGCTAGAACTACAGGCACAAACCATGCCTGGATAATTTTTGTGTGTGTGTACTTTTTGTAGAGATGGTGTCTCACTAAGTTGCTCAGGCTGGTCTCAAAACCCTGGCCTCAAGTGATCCACCTGCCTCGGCCTCCCAAAGTGCTGGGATTACAGGTGTGAGCCACTGCACCCTGTCCCTCCCATGACCTTTAGGAAGAAGGAAGAGTCTCTTTCTCTCTCTCTGTCTCTCTGTCTCTCTCTATCTCCTCGCCCCAAATTGAAAGGAAAATGCCAGTTTGGGACTCCAAGGGAGCAACAGGACACCACGTCCCGTGCAACATTGTCCTTGACACAGCTGGGTGTTGAGGTGGGGGTCAGCTAGAGGTGGCTGCAGAAAAGGGACCTAAACATCAGTGTGTGCTTGCCACCCCCAGGGGTGAGACTCAGAAGCTGGGCCCTTGCCTGGGATGCTCAATGCCATCTACAAGATTGGAGGGGAGACTGGGAACCCCCCTACATCTTTAGCTGCAGGTGGAGGAGGTGAGGGTAGCTGAAAGACACTCCATCTATTTCACTTAGAGCTGTGCTTTTTAAACATCAGTAGAGCCTCTTGGAAGTTGCTTCACAGCAGAAAAGCTTTTTTTTTTTTTTTTTTTTAATTTGAGTCGGTGTCTCACTCTGTCGCCTGGGCTAGAGTGCAGTGGCGCGATCTCGGCTCACTGCAAGCTCCACCTCCCAGGTTTACAACAGAAAAGCTATGAGGCAAGTTGGAAGCTATGAGCAATCAAGGGTGTCCCTCCTTCACTTATTCATTCACACTCCATTCATTTATTCATTTTGTATCTGTTAAGCATCCCCTAGGTTCCAGCCATTGAAGTCTAAGTCCTGGAGGCACAGAGCTGTATAAAATCAGATTCTTTCTCACAAGGAGGCCGTGCATGGTCTAATGGAAAGCCAGCTATACCAACGAGCAGAGCAATTACAACTAGGTGTAATGGAGGCTGGGATGCGGAATTCAGAGGAGAATACTGGGCCAGTACAGGGCTATCAGGAACGGCTTTCCAGGCAAGCAGATCCTTAAAGGAGAGGCAGAAAGTGGAGGAAGAGAAAATGGAGAGCGATTTGAGAGGGCCTTCGGGGTAAGGGAGGGAGCATTCCTGGCTGTGCACCCTGAGAAAGAAGTAGCCTGACCAGAGAGCAGTGCCCAGCTGCCAATGCACGCCAGCTCTCCAAACACAGTCCCAAGTCACTGAGCCAACATCACTACTCCAAATAAATAAATAGGCAAATGAATGAGTAAATGAATAAGTAACAACAGAATCGTGTGCTTAAAGAGCTAGGTAGACATCACCGATGAATGGGGCTGTTCAAGCCCTGTTGATGTAGCAGCATATGTTTGGGGCACCCCAGGATATGGCAGATGGACAAGCAAAGTGCCCTTGGTGGCAGCCAGAGGAGATACCCCTAAGCGATCTGAACCAGGCTCTTTCCAAACATGGGCTCTGACTTGCCTCTGGATCATTGATTGTGGCAGCTCTTCCATTTGCCTACTCCTCACATTTATGTTTTCTTTTCTAAAACCACAGTGATAATTTAACATGCATAAAGGTGGATAATTTCCTAAGAGTTTCCTACTCATTATCACGTGTGGTCCTCACAACAGATTAGGAGTGGGAGCGTCACTCTGGACTTTTCGGTGCAGCAATGGAGATATGGTTCAATTTGGCTTGAGCAGAAACCAAGATAATTTAGTGACTTCTGCAGTTCAGCAATCCAGATGTAGCTGGCTTCAGGTGCGGTTTGATTCAGGCACACAAAGAATGTCGTTAGAATTGTTTTCCTGCACCTCTCAGCCCTGCCTATCTTTTATGTCAGCTTCATTGTGGGATTTTATTATACACCCTATGTGTTGGCCCCAGCACTCCGGGCTCACGCCAGCCTTCCTGCTAACAGACCCAGAGGGAAAAACCACCCTTTGTCTAAACCTTCCATTTGAGTTTATGAATTCACTTTGCCTAGATTAAGCTAAGCTACATGTCCTTCTGTGAATCAATCTCTGTGACCACGAGGATGGAACAATGGCAAATAGCTAGGCTGGCTCAGGGGACTCACCAATGTTGGTTCGGGGAATCTGTGTTCTGTTTGGTCAGGCCTGGGTCACACACTTGACTCTGTAGCTGGCTGCAGAGTCTCACCTGATACAGGTAAACTGAGCATGTGGTAGGGCTGGATCCTAAGGAAAATGTTTAGTAAGAAACTAACAGTATGAGGGAATAGAGACTGGGCTATGTAAGATAACAAATACTCTTATGTAATTGTCACAGTTCTATTAGCTATATTCAACAACGAATAAAAAAAGAAAGTAAAAAGAAACAGTTAGAGAATTCATGATTATATTTGACCCAATATAGCTAAGGTATTATCATGTCATGTAATCAGCAGAAAAATTATGAACCAGATATTTTAGGTTCTGTTTTCCTACCAAGTCTTCGAAATCCGGCATGTATTTTCCACCTCAGTGAAGATGTTAATTTTTTTTTTTTCTTTTGAGATGGACTCTCGCTCTCTCGCCCAGGCTGGAGTGCAGTGGCACGATCTCGGCTCCCTATAACCTCCACCTTCCAGATTCAAGTGATTCTCCTGCCTTAGCCTCCTGAGTAGCTGGGACTACAGGCATGTGCCACCATGCCCAGCTAATTTTTTGTATTTTTAGTAGAGACAGGGTTTCACTGTGTTAGCCAGGATGGTCTCGATCTCCTGATCTGGTGATCCGCCTGTGTCAGCCTCCCAAAGTGCTGGGATTACAGGCGTGAGCCACCACCCCTGGTCCAACTTAGAATCTGAATGTTGCTCCTGATTTTGCTGTAGTTATGAAATTTGTGAAGCTAAATCTTGATTCTACCACATATGAGGTGAGAATGCTGCACAAAGTCTGTGTGCAATGTTCCTTCTCTGTAAAACTGGAAAAGTAATACCTGCAGCCCACAGGATTGGAAGGACTGAATTAGATAGGAATGTAGCTAGCACAGTGCTGGGTACAGAGTAAGTCAGAAAAAAAGAGGGAGACTCCGTCTCAAAAAAAAAAAAAAATCTAAATTGATGCTCCATATATGAATTGATGGTGATTTGGTTTGGTTTGGTTTGGTTTTAATGATGGCAAATACCTAATCCATTATTTGGGTATTAACTGATTTTCATAGCAACTATGTTTTAAACTCGAGTGAGAAAAGAAAGAAGAACTTTATTCAACTTTTCCAATCAGTTCCCACCCCAAGACAGAGAGAAACCTCCTGCCCTGAACACTGAGTTTGCTAGAGTTCCTAGGCCACAAATTGTGCCTTTTATCTCTGCGGATGTTTTCATGCAAACAATGTAGTAAGATCTTTTTTTTACCCATAGAGGCCACACTCCAGATAGCATAAAGCCCAAGGGAATTTCATTTTAAAAATAAAAAAAAGACATCATGGAGTGACACAAAAAGATGTAGCCACAGGAACCTCCATCACAATACTATCATGATAAATTAATCAAATAGATGGGAATGTACCATGAGAAGAGATCATATAAATAGATATGAATACATTTGCAATATGAAATATTATAATATCATTAAATAGATCATAACAGAATAATTAATACGATGAAAAGTATTCATCATCTTTGGGTATATGGGGAAAAAGGCTACGATAAAAATTGTGTAGAGTATGTTTGTGTGCTAGTAAAACAACAAAAAAAATCACCTTCTCTAAGCAAAGAGCATCAGAGTATACCTTCAAGGGGAAGCAGTGTCCTTTCTGGGTGGTGGCATATGATGAATAATTTGTATTTTCTCCTGTGTTCATCTATATTCTTCTTATTTTTCATAATGAAAATATGTAGATATTGGGACTTGGATAGGAGCATATTATATTTTGCATCCATTCAACAAATTGGCTAGAACATGAAATGTTCTGGTTTTTAAAGCATAGGTATATCAGGATAGAACCAACAACAGCCATACAGAGTTGGTTATGCAGCAGGATTTTTGTTGTTGTTGTTTAACACCATCTTTCCAACAGTCTCACAGCACTCCTGGAGGTTGGTAGGATCCAGCTGGCTACTCCAGCAATTGCAGTAAACACAGTGCCCAGGTCCCAGGACACATTCAGGGGCTCACAGAAACATGGAAACATTTAAATTTCCTTTAAAAATCAGAAGAAACAAATGAATAGAATTCAGCCTGGATTATATCTGTTCTTATACCAATGCAGTCATAAAATATAACTTCTAATTTTTTTAATCAAGGAGGGGGATCACACAGGCAAAAGTGCCCAGGCCCGCAGAAGCCATAATGCAACCTTAGAGAGGACTGTTTTCATTTGATGGAGAAAGAAACCCAAACTTAGCTTACCAAGCTTTCTCAAGCTGGCCGGTGGTATTGAATTCGAATTCCAGTCTGTGGACTCTACCATGTCACTTTGTTTCTGTTTCTTAGTGGTAACTTTTAAATGCATGATTTTTCAACATCTCGGCAAAGCTTCATTATTATTTTATTTTCCTTCAGACAAACAGGGTGTTTGCAAAATCTTGCCCTTTCCTTCCAAGACCAGCTCTTGCAACCAGATAATTTTGCATAAGCCCTGCCTTGATGACCATGTGGTTTGTGTAAACTATAAATACCTAGCAGTGCGTGTTGATGTCTTGTCTGCACCTCTTAGCAGAGAAAGTAATAATCTTAATGGGTGAAAACCTATGAAATAAGAACTGTTTTCATTTATTATTGTGTTGTAGCAGGCTAATGAATCTTAACCCTATTAAGATTCATGGTGGAAACAAATTGGTTTTCTTTCCATTTTAGTACCAGACTCGAGAACCTGAAGACATGACTGTTTTCAAGCATCTATCTAAGAATTTAATTTTTGATTGAATATGAATCACAAAATAGAAAGGTGGAGGCTAGGTTAGGTGGGTAAAAAGTAGGTTGGGAAATTCAAACTCAATACAGTTAAGTTGCTGGTTCCCAGGAGCTCTTGCACTTTGATTCCTGGGCAGGCCATAATTCAGAAGTTGGTGTATTTTTGCTATAAAGGACCAGATAGCAAATATATTAGGTTTTGTGGGACATGCTATCTCTGTTGAAACTGCCTAATTCTGCTATTATAACACTAAACAGCTATAGCCATTATGTGAACCAGTGAGTGTGACTGTATTCCAATAAAACTTTATTTACAAAAACAAATGGCCCACAGGCTGTAGTTCACCAACTCCTGGGGTAGATGTTGCTGCCATTCATGATTTGGATAATTCTGTGGATGGAACACACAAGTCATCGGGTTTGATTTGCTCAGACTCCTCACCATAGCCTCCACGGCCCTTATAGGAGGGGCTGACATCACATCACATCTTCCACATCTTGGACACGCTGGCCTCCTTGCTGCTCTCCAGACAAGCCAAATTCATTCCCACCTCCTCTCCTTGGTCCTTGCTGAGCCCTCTCCCTAGAACAGGTTCACCAGATTTAGCAAATGAAAAACAGGACACCCAGTTAAATTTGAATTTCAGATAAACAACTGATAACTCTTGCGGTATAGGTACATCCTATGCAATATTTGGGATATGCTTATTCTAAAACATGTTGCTCACGTGCACGTTACACTTAACTGAACGCCCTGTATTTTACTTGGCAACCCTATCTTAGAATCCCCTCCCTCTTGGGCTTTACCTGGCTGGCTGCTTCTTGCTTTTCATCACTGACATCACATCCTCAAAGTTTCCTTTCCTGCTTATCCTAGTTGGTTTCCCCTTCCAGGCACTTTGTCACTCCACCTGTCTTATTTTCTTCTTATCTGAAGTTATCTTATTTGCTTAACTGAGTAGTATCTGTCTCTCCATGACAGCAGAGACCTTACCTCTTTTATTCCTCCATATATGCTGAGTGTTCATAAGATTAGTGCAAAAGTAATTGCATTATTTTTAATAGCAAAAACTGCAATTACTTTCGCACCAACATAATAGAATGGTAACTGGAACATAATAGGTCTTCAATAAATATTGTTGAATGAGTGAGTGAATGAGTTTTAAATCATACTCACCCGAAAGCCAGATATGCCCCCCAAAGGAATGGGGATATGAATAAAACTAGCAGCTACTGAGCACTAAGTATATACCAGGGACGGCCCAGCTGCTTACTCTCTGCTAAACCCCAGAAGTGCATGGAGCAAGCTGTCTCCTCAATTTAAAGATGAAGAGAAAGAGGCTCATTGAATCTCTATGACTGGCTCAAGGTCTTGGAGGCAGTAAATGGTCAAGGTGGGAATCAGGTCTGTCATTTTAACCCAAGACTCTGGGGTCCCCGGGACTCTACAGAGAGTCCATGACAATGAAATGCTTTCTTTGAATTTCATTTTATTGGAGCACTAATAAAAACAGAAGAAAACCTCTGGCCCGTGCAGAAAGGAAAAGCCCCTTCACTTTGACGTCATTGACTAAATCACTTCTTCTTTCAACCTAATTCTTCGCAACCATGAAATATGCTGAATAAGGTTCTTAGAACGAGTGGTTAGGAAAACAAAATAAAGCAGAGAAACCCAAAATAACACATCAGCTCAGGCTTCATTTTTCCAGAATGCTCTGTCCTCGGTGTAGAATAAACAGTGATTCTACTTTATCATGCTCTCATTAAGAATTCACTACTCAAGGCTGGGCGTGGTGGCTCACACCTGTAATCCTAGCATTTTGGGAGGCCAAGGCGGGTGGATCACCTGAGTTCAGGAGTTCGAGACCAGCCTGGCCAACATGGTGAAACCCCATCTCTACTAAAAACACAAAAATTAGCTGAGTGTGATGGCACATGCCTGTGATCCCAGCTACCCAGGAGGGTGAGGCAGGAGAATGGCTGGAACCTGGGAGGCGGGGGCTGCAGTGAGCTGAGATTGTGCCACTGAACTCCAGCCTGGGGGATAGAGCAAGACTCTGTCTCAAAAGAAAAAAACAAAACAAAAGAATTCACTACTCAAGAGGCTGAGACAGGAGGATGCTTGAGCCCAGGAGCTCAAGGTTGCAGCGGCCAACAATTGTGCCATTGCACTCCAGCCTGGGTGACAGAGCAAGAACCTGTCTCAAAAAAAAAAAAAAAATCACTTTTCTTCATTTACTAACTGTCTTTCCCTTTTCTCCGGCCTGGTTTAGAATGTCTATCATCTTCCCTTCCGAGGTTTCTGTCTTCCGATCTGTAAAAGCTAAAAGTAGAGGAAACAAATGCATATTACTAAGTGACAAGAGCCAGTCTGAAAAGACTACATACTGTATGAATCCAACTACATGACATTGTGGAAAAGCCAAAACTATGGAGACAGTAAAAAGATCAGCGGTTGCCAGGCACTAGCAGGGAGGGAGGGATGAATGGGCAGAGCACAGAGGGTTTTCAGGGCAGGAACATGGCTCTGTGTGATACTAGAATAGTGGATACGTGTCATTATACATTTGTCAGTCCCATAGACTGCACAGCAGCCAGCGCTTATCCACAAGGGAATACGTTCTGAGACCTGCAGTGGATGCCTGAAACTGCGGACAATAACAAACGCAATGTATATTGTTTTCTCTTGTACGTACATACTTATGATAAAGTTTAATTTGCAAATTAGGCAGAGTAAGAGATTAACAACGGCTAATAATAAAATAGAACAGTTATATTAATATATTGTAATAAATCTCTCTCTCTCAATTTTTTTTTTTTTCTTTTTGAGACAGAGTCTCGCTCTGTCACCAGGCTGGAGTGAAGTGGTGCGATCTCAGCTCACTGCAACCTCCGCCTCCCGGGTTCCAGCGATTCTCCTGTCTCAGCCTCCCAAGTAGCTGGGATTACAGGTGCCTGCCCCCATGCCTGGATAATTTTTGTGTTTTTAGTAGAGACGGCAGGGGTTTCTCCACGTTGGACAGGCTGGTCTTGAACTCCTGACCTCAGGTGATCCACCCGCCTTGGCCTCCAAAAGTGCTAGGATTACAGGCATGAGCCACCGCGTCAAGCCTCAAAATATCTTATTGTACTGCAGTCACTTATTTGTGGGCCGCGGTTCACCGCGGATGACTGAAACCTTGGAAAGAGGCCTTGGAAAAGGGGGCACTGCCGAGCAACAGCTAAAGTGAACCCTGATGAAACTCTGGGCGGTAATGATGTGGCCAATGCACCACTCTGGTGCGGGAGGTTGTTAGTGGGGGAGGCCGTAGGGGGAGGGGGGCAGCAGTGATTTGAAAAATCACTCTATTTTTTGTTCTATTTTGCTGTGAACCTAAACATTCTCTAAAATAAAAATACTCTTATAAAAAAGAAAAGCCAAGAAGCCACATCTTCTGATCTTGTTTTTTTGGCGTGGGAAGGGCGTGTCAACATGCGGCCACTGTGTTCAGAAACGTGACTGTGTTCACGCGTTGTTTTGTCTGCCGTCGCTGCTGCCTGGAGTGGGTGCCCTGTCCCACGTTGGCCTCGTGCCCACAAAATCACATATAACGTGACACACATTTTGTTCGCCATACAAGAACACTGATGCACATCTATAAACAGCACATCTGAGGGATCAATCTTATTGATTTTCTTTTTTCCAAGTGCCTCTGTCAGAATGAACACAAAGTATTAGTCTGTCTCCCAAATCCACAGGCGTGTTATTGGATTCCTGCAGTTTTGTAGGTGCTGGCCACAGTCACTTTTGCAGTATGTTTACTTGAAGAAGATGCAGGAGAATTGTCAAATGGGTTAAAGAAAGAAAAAAAAAAACCGTGTGTTACCCTCTGAAAAATTGTCTGAATTCACTGGTTATACTCCAGGACTCTCCATGGAAAGTGTGAGTGGAAAACATTTTTTTTTTTCCGGGAGATTTAAAATGCCTTGGATCATGAATGACCAAAGAAAGCAAAGTTTGCAAAGTAAGGGTGGTTAATGGATGAACAGATCATGGTGATGCTGTGACACTGCCACCCTGGTGTCCCTAAAGCTTCCTGCACTCTTGATTAGGTATACAAAGATGATTTCTTCCTCGTGCCAAGGTGAGCTCGGTCTAGGTTTTCTTCTGAATTGTGGCATCTGTGATGAAAATCTCCCCGGCTCCAGAAAATCATCTGAGTGGGGCTGTTCTCATTTTGTCTGTTTCTTCAAAGAGGAACGGGTCAGATCTTGTTTTTCCAGAACAGACATGGAAGATAAGAGGTGGAACATCCTAGACACCAGAGAGTTGCCCGGCTCAGTGCGGCTAAGCCTGGAAGCCTGAAACAGGCTCATCAATAAGCTCCCTGCCTTGCCATCGGCATGGAAACTGTAAGGCGACTGAGGACAGAATCACTGATTTCCAAACCTAGGATGCTTCTAGCAGAAATTTCCACTTCCTCTTGTGTCCTGTTTTCTCAATCTCTGTCCATTTGTGCTGAGTCAAACGTAAGGAAAAGGTGAAATATTGTGACACCAAAGGCTGAAGCCTTGTTCCAAGGAAGTGTCGAGTTCTGTCATTTCCTTCCTTTCAGCCTCCTCAAATCCTCCCTCTATGGGAGGCTGCTGGGAGCCAAAACTGCTGTGTTTGGCCCATGCTGATATTAAACTTCTGAGCACCCCATGATTGCCCTTACCTGGCCAGCACACCTTCACCCTGGCAGAAATGTCCATTTTCCTGAGGGGGGAAGTTAATTCGGAGTTTGGTCCACATTTAGACTGGTGTATTTCCTGTGCAAACACTGCTGACATTTATGAAAACTAATTTAATAAATGTCTGTGATATAGCACTTATTAACATACCACAAAATAGCTCCAGAGTAGCCCATTTTAATCAAATAAATTGTTGCTGCTGGTACCACAGGCTGTTCTTTTATTATGGGGAAGGCAGCAGCCCCCAGCAGAGGAGCAGGAGACGGAGTTTGTGTGGGGCCCTGTGTTGGGGCCTGCAGCTCCACCCAACCATGCGGTGAGGAGCCTGCATCTCTCTGCATTTGCTCCTGATATGAGATAATGAAAAATTGCTTATCATATATCATCTCCATAAATCTTAGCGACAATAAGTCATAAAACCTTGTGTCCTTACATATGGTAGGCGCCCGGGGATCATGTTGCCATATGTGAACAGCAGCTTCTAGGAGAGAGAAAAAAATTCTGTTGCATAAGAAAAACTTCCAGAACTGCTTTCCATACCTAGAGTGAGCACGCCTCCCGCCCTTCCCCATCTATCCTGTTTTATTTTATTTTATTTTTCCTTTCCTTTGCCCCCTCACCACGGGGCTGCCTCCCTTTGTTCCAAATTACCATCGGAAGAACTCCCAGCGCACTAATTAGGAAATTTTGTGGTTTGCTAAATTTTCTTTCTGTCTGTCACAACAGAATGAGTGAATAATCGTCCCCAGCCCCAACGTAGGACACAGGTATTCAGGCTTTGTGTGGCTGAACAGGGGCTCTTTTTTTCTCTGTGGCTGCTCCCAGCTGACCGTGAGGCCCCAGCCCGAAAACTGTCCCCAGATAATGAGAAATGCCTATTTATTTTTAAAACTCAACTCGTTTTCATATCTATCAGCTAAATTAAAGGAGACACGAGAAGATGGTCTCTCAAGCCCAGCCGCGCTGGAGCCTGTGTTCTCGAGACACAATGAGAGGGAATCATCCGGCTTCAGGCTGGCAATGAAGATAGGTCCCTGTTTTCTTCCTCAGGCCAGTTGCACACTTGAGATGTAAAAAAGGGTCAAGGATTTTCTTTTTCTTTTTTAGTTCAACAATTTGATTATCTGTTGCCTCTTGCACAAGGCCAGACCCGCGCAGGAGGAAAACACTCACACATAGGCCAGTCGGGGGAAACTCTCCGGGGTGAAGCAGAGGACCCCTGCAATTTATCATTTCTAAGAATTCCCATTTCCAGGCGAAAATACGGATGCGTTATCGTGGAAAGTAACGTGTGCCGCGTCGTGTGGAGCTCTCCAGCAGCGTCTTATCTGGCCTCAAGAGGGACACTCCTTTCCTGAGATATTTTATCCAAAAGCTGTAAACAAAACTAAGCTCCTGATATTTGGTCAACAAGAGAAAACACTCTGACAGCCAAGCAGGAAGTTAGAGGGCCATGTGGGGAGGGGACGGAGGACCGTACTGCTCCAAGAAGGGGAAGCAGGCTAGGCAGGCTCGGTAGGGCTGGGGACCCCCGCCTCCAAACCTCTGCTCGCCCCAGCCCTCCCTCCTTCGGTTGTCTGTCCCCTTTCCCATGATCCTGTGCAGGAAGCCCACTTTGAGGACCACCAGTCCGCCAGCCCATAATAACATCGCACATCCAAATAGCATGACTTGAACCTTTGGGTCACCCTTGGAAACCGGCTGGGAGAGGGAGAAGTATCCCCTCCACCTTCAAAATAGAATGGGGATAGATACTGCCAGGAGTTCTTTTGATGTTTGGCACCAAGTTGCAGACAGACTGACTTTGTGCTATTCTGATGCTAATTATTTTACCAAGTGATATCTGATTGTTTCTATAAAAGGTTTATGTCGGTGTAGTTCACCACAGGCTTTTTAATGACCTCAAGATGGAAGCAAGAAATGCACCCAGAGTCCATTAAAGAATTAGGTTCTATGAACGCCCAAGTCTGCTGGAAGGGGTCGGCTGCAGGCACCTCCTCAGCCTCAAATGAAAATGAGAATGGTGTGCCCCTGGCTGAATAACTTTTGCTAAAAGAAGGCATAAAAAATACCCTTTCCGTCTGTGAGTTCGGCTCATAGCATGTCTTGGGAATTCTGGCATTGTGGAAACAACATGTTTGCCTGGATTCCATGTTTCTAACTTGAATATAAAGCTGGTGTGCTGGTGTGCAAATAAGAATAATTATGATTGTTGTCACAGTCATCACTGTAATACTTCATGAGTAAAAAACAAAAGGCTGTCTACCATCTTCCTAAAACTATATAACACTTCATTGTCTCCCCTTTACCCATGAAGAAATAGTCAAAAAACAACACAGCGGCTTCCCCAACTTTCTACAGGGAGAGGGTAGCAAGCTGCTTCAGGTCATAGGATGCTCTCTGGTCAGCAGGGTCTTCTAATCCCAATTCCATTTCTTGGCCTTGGACAGAACTGATGCTAACTGACCATTCGGAGCACCGCGCTCCCAGGAACAATATCTGAGTCACGTCTTTCCTTTCTATTTCTTCATCTGTAAAACTGGAGTGGGGGTACGGCCACTCCCTCCTGGATATTTAAAACTTTCAGCTTTAAAAATATTCAATTCTATGAAAGTCACAGTAAATGCCTGATCTTTTTTTTTTTTTTGCAATTTAACCATAAACCACTTCCTTCTTTTTATTCTTGCAAATGTAGTGTATCACCGTGAAGAGAAACAGAAGCACCTATATTTCGAAGAGTTTGTAAGAGTAAAGCCTGTTTCACATGCTGGGAACATATCACTGTGTTCCCAACATGTTGACATGGAGCTTGTCACAGAGACGCTTCCCAATAACTCATGGCTAAATGAATGAAAGGGATGACCTAATTCAGGTCCCTCAATCCCCAAGAACTCCATCAGACCACAACAGAATCAGAGGCAGTTCTGCTGCCACAGCTCAGCCATCTCCTGGTGGTGTCGTTGTCTAACTATTAGCAGTGAGCAATCGCCCCACTTCCATCCTGTGCCGCGGGTGGCAGCTTAGGGGCACACACAGCAGCTGCAGCCCACCCAAAGCTGGGCACATCCCCTCTGTCAGTGCTGCTGGTAGGAGACAGGTGCTGTGCTCGGGCGCAACCAGACACACGGCACTTTGCTAAAAGGAGGTAGGGAAGGTCTCACCCAAGAGGGATGCTTGGTAGGAAGTTCAGATTTTCATAGGGAGGGACATTCTAAGGACCGTAATACAATACACCAAGGGATGCAAGAGTATGGCCCCTGGAGAGAAGAGGGAAGCTGAGATTTGTCAAGGGGTTTGTGACTTGAGAGTTGCCATTGTTTTACAGATAAGGAAGCTGAGGCTCCGGGATTTTTAATAACTAGCCCCAAAGGCACCCAATAGAAAGGGGAGGGCCCAGGATCAAACCCAGGTCTAACTGACTCCAAAGCCCATGCCCTTTCTAATATGGCACAAGCAGAAGGGAGGGGTGGAGGCCTAGAGAGAGAGCAGAGCTGTCAGTGGCCCCGAGGCAACCATAGGATGCAAGCTGCTTTGTAGCTGCAGAAGGAAAAGTGATCCAGGCTTTGAATGCTGACCACACTGAGCAAGGCAGCATCTCTGCCAGCCTCCCTCACAACCTGAGCCATTCCTAATTTAAGGGGACTTCTGCCCCAACACATAGCTCTATTCCTGGATAGTAGAGAGATTTTTCAATGGCTAGAGTCCTGAACCACCCAACAATTTTCCTTCCCTCCTTCCTTCCTTGCCTCTTTCCCTCCCTTCCTTGCTCCCTCCTTCCTCCTTCTTGCCTGCCTGCCTGCCTGTTCATCCTCCCTCCTTCCTTCTCTCCTTCCGTCCTTCCTCCCTTCCTTCCCTCCCTCCCTCCCTTCCTTCCTTCCTTGTTCTTTCCTTCTGTCTCTAAAATTTGTTGACTTGTATCCTGTGCCCAGCACTTTGCTAAGTGCTAATGAACTAACAAGAGTCCTGCCCGTGTAGCTCTCCATGTTTGGGTGAGCTCATCCGTGGTTGAGGACAATGTTAGAGCTGCTCTCAAAGATTTCTAGTTCTCGCTTCCTGCAGGGCACACAGTCCTTTGAGGTTAAGCCTGGGCATGGGAATAGTTTTGTTCAATGAAATGCAAAGGGAAACAAACATGTCAACTCTGGATGGAAGCATTCAAGAGCTGGTGCAGAATTTCCTGTGGTCTCTGTTCCCCTGCCTCAGTGATTGGGGACACCCTATGACATGGAAATCCCATAAGATTTGAACAGTTTAGAATGCTAAGACAACACATGAACTAGTGTCGTGGAGGAGTTCCCTGGTCCTACAATGGATATCACGTGCATGTGCATCTTTAAGTTTTTGATATTTGGAAGTTGTTTGTTATTACAGAGTCTAATACAGTTTTTCCTGATTAACAAAACTCCATTTTGATCTTGGCTCCCAGCTGCATCTTTCCTTATGATTTCTCTCTTACCCAAACCATCTCTTTGAGACTTTGGTTTTCCTTCCAGCTTTCAAGCTCCTTGAGCACTAGTCCGTGTCTGTTTACCTCTGTATCCCACTGATATAGTTTGGATATTTGTCCCTTCTAAATCTCATGTTGAAATGTGACCCCTAGTATTGGAGGTGGGGCCTGGTGACAGGTGTTTGGGTCCTGGAGGCAGATCCCTCATGAATGGCTTTGTGCCCTCCTCACAGTAATAATGAGTTCTCACTCTATTAGTTCACATGAGATCTGATTGATTTTTAAAACAACCTGGCATCTTCCCTTCTCTCTTGTCCCTCTCTTGCCATGTGAAATGCTGGCTCCCCTTGCCTGCTACCATGAGCAAAATCTTCCTGAGGCCTCACCAGAAGCTGAGCAGATGCTGGCACCATGCTTCTTGTACAGCTTGAGAACTGTAAGCCAAATAAATCTCTTTTCTTTGTGAATTGCCCATCCTCAGGTACTCCTTTGTAGCAACACAAAATGGACCAAGACACTCTCACACTTGGTTTAGTGTCTGGCAAAGAACAAGAGCTCAGCCAATGTTTGTTAAGTGGATAAGTAAGAGAATGTATGAGGTATACACCCTCAACCACCAAGCTGGCAAAGGCAGTACTAGACTAGGCAGTGACCTAAAAGGTACAGGAAGGATGGATTTGTGAGCTCAGACAGCTGAGGGCATTTGGCCAGCTACTGATGGAGCCAGCATCTGAACTCAGGTGTGTTGGCCCCAAAGCTCATCCTCTTTCCATCTCAGCACACTCACTGATTCCCCACTGGATTTGGGAATGTGGCCTACTTTTGCCAATCTTTCTTCTCGAATGAACGATGTGTTATCATAATGTGCTTTACCCCACAAAACCACCCTTCCCCTGGCAGAGTAGGGGTTGCCTCTTCGGAAAGATTGCTGACCATATTATTACTAAGAAGGAAAATAACTAATATTACTCGAGTATTTCCTGGGTTTCAGGCACCTGATCCCACAATGGAGATTATCTGTGTGTGAAATACATACATTATTGACATATGTTATTTTATCTAATGCTTATAATAACTCTATGAAGTAGGTCTCATTTTTATCCCTGGTTAAAGAGAGAAAGATATAGCTCAGAGAGGTAAAGTAACTGGATCAAAACTGCACAGCTCGGCCGGGCGCGGTGGCTCACGCTTGTAATCCCAGCACTTTGGGAGGCCGAGGCGGGTGGATCACGAGGTCAGGAGATCGAGACCATGGTGAAACCCCGTCTCTACTAAAAATAAAAAAAAAATTAGCCGGGCGAGGTGGCAGGCGCCTGTAGTCCCAGCTACTCGGAGAGGCTGAGGCAGGAGAATGGCGTGAACCCGGGAGGCGGAGCTTGCAGTGAGCCGAGGCTGCGCCACTGTACTCCAGCCTGGGTGACAGAGCGAGACTCCGTCTCAAAAAAAAAAAAAAAAAAAAAAAAAAAAAAAAAAAAAAAAAAAAAAAAAACTGCACAGCTCACAAGTAGCAGAGCTGGAATTGGAGCACAAATCTAACTCCATAATGGAAGCTTGTAACAACTGTTTTATGTCACAACTTGTCCTGGGGAGTATGTATGAGTTTATGAGAAAGAAAAGGAGAGAGAGAGGCTTCTTGGGGCTGGCAATAATATAGGAATATTTTTTTCTCTACTTACTGTTTATCCAAGTTTGTCACTTGTGTTTTTACAGGAAGCTGTAAGGACTTCCTGCTTTAACTCTCACAGATGCTGACCCTGATAATCCCCTATTTACATACCTACAGGGCAAGGCGAAGCCCAAGGTGCTGACTCTTGTGAGATTTCAGGACAAGCACTGATGGATCACCTCCTCCCATATTATCTCTAGTGCCGCCTCCCAGAACGCTCTGGGTGTGAATGGGGGAGGGTTGTCTTTCCTCTGTCCTTTAGGACAGCTTTAAGCTCTGGAGTAGGCCCTTTCATACATGTTACTTCCATTGATCTTAACAACAACTGCTGGAGCCTATCTACAGGAACTGCGATCCCCATTTTATAGCTGAGAAAACCAAGGCTTAGCTTGAAGCAGTGCTCCTCAACTGGGCGCAACTGCCACAACTTGAGAGGGAGGTGCTGTGGCCAAAAGGGTGAAGGCCAAGAATCCTATTCAATATCCTGCAATACACAGGACAGCCCCTACAACAGTTACCCAGCCCAAATGTCAGTGCCCAGGTGGATAAATTTTGATTTAGATACTTCATGGAACATTCAAGCAATAGGGCTGGGATTTCAACCAATGTCTGTCAAGGCTGTGTACTACTCACAATGGAGGAAACACAGACATGGGGACCCTAAAGCCAATAGGGCCCTTCCCCAACACCTCCACATGGTGGCTTATCTGCCACCTGCACATACCTGGTACCACGGTAATCATACCCTCTAGGGTGTCAACTGGCCCTTTATCTGAACACAACTGTACCTCACCGTTGTGAACTTGTGCTCTTGACATCAGCCTCCCTGAAAGCTCATCTTTGCCATATTGTACTTGCATGTTTTATTTCTAAATTACCCCCAGTCACAGGCCTGTGAATCTTAAGGCCTGGCTCATTCATCTGAGACTATCCTCATATATTTCAATCATTTAGAAAACACTCACTCTCTGCCTGACGTGTACTAAGTGCTCAGTCTGCACAAGGGAAGCAAGGTGTCGCACAAAGTGAGTCATTATCGTGGTACTGGTAACAACAGCAACACTACTGCCACTTATGGAGCTTTCATACCATCCAGACACCATCTCATCTAACTCTCTGGTGACCCTACTACATATGTTTTTAAAGGGTGCAGAGGAAACACAGAAATGAGTGCCGAGGTTGCCTGGGTGGTTGAGGAAGACAACCTGAAGATCAGAGTAGAGATCTGGAAGAGGAATAGCTCTGTGGGTAAAGGCATAACATGCAGGAAGAGTGAGCAGCAAGAGGAAAAGCCTGGGGGAGCCCAAATCATGGTGTGTCTAGAAAGTTGCACAGAGTAATTCAGTAAATAAAGATAGTAGTTGGAGTTGGCCAGATGTCTGGCATCACACAGCTAAATCTTGTAATGACTTGTAATTGAGGTGATTCACCTCAATTTATAGGTTGCCTCCATCACTCAGGGCAAAAGTCACCAGACTTAGATGAAAAGAAGCCCAAACAGACCCCTGCAGGGCTCTCATCTTCTGCCCTGCAAACATTTCCAGGGCTTTCCCCAATGTTCATTGTCATGCAGGCTTCAGAGGCCTGTTTGAATGACACTGAGGTTGGTTACACAAAATAAAAGGTTCAGGGGATGGATATGGGGCAGATAACTCAAGTGTTCATAATACAGGAATTAGAATTATTTAGATGATGTTCATGTCCAAGTCAATAGGGATGTGACATAGAAAACCCAATTAATTCACCAAAGAGGTTATTTACTGAGCACCTGTCTTGAATGCTTGAGGGACAAAAAATAACGAGAAAGGCGAGGTCCCAGCCACCAAGGTTTCGAGGTCTTGTGAGAAAACTGCAAGGCGAACAAAATCAAGGACATTATGGAAAATCACCTGAATAGTGACTGGGGAGTGGAAACTAAAATGGGACAAGGGAGGAGTTGGTGAATAAAGGCAAGATCAAAGGAAGTCTCTGCAGAAGGCAGTACTCAGGCTGGTCTTGGAGGAAGGAAAAATGGATGGAACTAGTGAGGGCATTTAAGGTCCCTAAGACCGATATCTAAGGAAAAGTCAAGGGATCCTAAATTCAGGTCAGGTCCCCCCTCCCTGGAACATCACGTAAGGTCCTTCATTGTCAGGTATCCACCTCTATGCAAAGGGTTATCTCTGGCCTCTCTGCCTCCAATCAGGCCTGATTCACACCCAAACCCCAGCCCCTACAAGTCATCTGCCATCTATGGTCACACGATGGTTTCAAGCTTTTGTCCAGGCTCTTTCCTTTCTCTGGAAGATGAACAACTCTTTAACCTTATATGAGCAGCTCAAATGCTGCCTCCTCCATGCAGCCTTCCTGCATTCACTCTACTCTTTTTTCTTTGCCCTCATCCCATGTCACAGCCATGCATGTTACTGGTTGCCATGGTTGACCTTCTCAACAGAATGTGAGCAGCTCCTTGAGATCAGGGACTTGTCTAACTTTGTATTTCCTTCCACATATGTACCCAGCGCAGGGCACGATTCATACTGAAGGTACACTAATTATCTGTGGACCACATAGGTGAATTGAATAGGAAATGATCTTCTGCAATGAGCTGATTTACTCATAGAAATTTGGAGTGTGTTCGCAGTTGCTCAGTTCAATATGATGGCCACTAATGGCATGTGGCTATTTAACTTTGACAAAAGAAAAACTTCAGCCGAATTAAATTTAAAGGAGTTTAGCTGAGCAATGAAAGATTCGCAAATTGGGCAGCTCCCAGAATCACAACAGATTCACAGAGATTCCAGCGCAGCCATGTGGTGGAAAAAGATTTATAGACAAAAAAAGGGAAGTGACGTACAGAAATCGGAAGTGAGGTACGGAACGGCTGGATTGGTTACAGCTCGATGTTTGCCTTATTTGAACACAGTTTGAACACTCAGCAGTGTATGAGTGGTTGAAGTATGGCCACTGGGATTCGCCAAGACTCTGCTGTGGTTACAGGTGCATACTCCTAAGTTAGGTTTTCAATCTTGTGTACCTATTAAGCTAGGTTGCAATTCATCCACAAGGACTCAAATATAGAGGTATGGAGTCTTTCTCAGGCCATATTTAGTTCACTTTAACAATTTTAAGTTATTGACAATAACTGTAGTTTAGGGGTCGTACTAGCCAAACTTCAAGGCTTCAGTCACCACGTTTGGCTAGTGGCTATGGGATTAGTGCAGATATCGAACATTTTCATTTTAGCAGGAAGATCCACTGAACAGCACTGATCTAGCCTCTGTAGAGTAGGGATGGCCTTCTAAGTTTGTTCTCCTGTCTCTGTTCACACCCTCTTCCTCCTCCCCAAGTTTTGCTGCAGCCAACCCTCTGGGCAATTGAGCGTTGCTGTTTATACCATGCCAGGAGCTACAGAGGGATTCAGTGAGCTGGGTTTGGCTGAGGGTTATTACTACTCCGTGTAAATCAAATCACTCCTCCTGGGTGGGCTTCGGGCCTGCAAAGAGAGCCCAGCAGTTGTTATGTGAAGACACGGGCTCCTGTCATGGGAAATGCTGGACCCAAGCTATCGAGCAAGCTGAACTCAGCTCCAGTGGGCTACACAGGGTTCACAAACACCTGGCAGGCTCAGAAACACAGATGTCTCTCAGCCTTCAATTGAAAATGTTCTGAGTGTGCAGAATAAGGACAGAGCTATCTGGGAGTCTTCTTGTACAGATTTCTTGGAAAACAAGAAAACAGCGCGACTTCCTTTCCATGCCAACGTTTGGATCGCTGACTCAGTTAAAAGGCATTTATTGAACCCCAAGATCACTAGATTTCAAATATTATTGTTTTTTTCTATTTGAAGTGGATCCCTAGAATACAAGCCCAATTTATAAGGCGCCTAAAAAGAGTTTCTGTTCAGGTTGAGAGTGAGGAGGAGAACCTGGACACCTTTTGTTTGATCATCCTTCCAATGCCGTCCTGCTACACAACTCCAGGTGCTGTTCACACTGTAGTCTAGGTGACTCCCCCACCCACCCACCCCTTATGGTAGGTGGGGACACACGCAATTTGAAAACTCTGGTCTATGTGCAATCCTAATTTAAAAAAAAAAAAAAGCAGTAAAAAATACCTACTTCTACAGTTACAATAAAAATATTCTTTTTTCTATAACTCTTTTTAATGTGAGAAGTGCTTCTTATATGACCCCCCATCTGATTTCTTAACAAAGCTGGAATGAAGCCTTTGGGTGCAGGGATTCCCCTTATTCTTTTCTGTATCCTTAGTATCTAGTTTAGTTTCTGGAATACAGTAGGTGTTTAATACATTATTTGAGGGAGGAAATAAAAGGGAGTGGAGGAGAGAGAAAGGGATGGAGGGGAGGGAGGGGAAAACAGGGAGGAAGGAAGTGAAAAAAGAAAAGAAGGATGGAAGAATGAGAAAAAGGAAGAAAGGAAGGAAGGCAAGAATGAAGGAAGGAAGAAAGTTTATGACAGATTATTAGTTCCAGTTTACAGAGAAGGAAACTGAGGTGCAGCGAACTTAAGCAACTTATTAAAAGTCAATGAGATAATAAGTAGAAAAGCCACAATGTGGCTGGGTGCGGTGGCTCACACCTGTAATCCCAGCGCTTTGGGAGGCTGAGGCGGGCAGATCACCTGAGGTCAAGAGGTTGAGACCAGCCTGAACAACATGGCGAAACCCCGTCTCTACTAAAAATTCAAAATTAGCTGGGCGTGGTGGCAGGCACCTGTAATCCCAGCTACTCCAGAGGCTGAGGCAGGAGAATTTCTTAAACCCGGGAGGTGGCAGTTGCAGCAAGCCGAGATCCCATCACTGCACTCCAGCTTGGGTGACAGAGCGAGAGTCCATCTCAAACAAAGAAAAGAAAAGAAAAGCCACGATGTTAGCCCAGTTCTTCTGAAGCTAAAGCACATGCTTTTAACCATCCCTCCACCACGCCTTTAGGTTTTTTTTTTTTTTTTTTTTTTGAAAGGTAAAAAGCCAAATACATGTAGTTAATCACTCATTCTCTTATGGCGCCCGCCTCTTCATGTGTAAAACTGTCATGAGGGTCGATCTCCCTCTGAGAAGGAATTTCCTCTCTTAGGATCCTTGATACTCATTCCTGGCCCTGAAATAACCCGCCCCTTTCCTTGTCTGTCAGCTGCAAATTGTAAGCCTGCATAAAGGATGCAAATTAAAAGTGCATCAACCAGCACAGGAATTGAGGCATTCATGAAACGAAGCCGCGAGCAACCTGGCTTCGTGGGGCGGCTCGACTGGATCTCTGTTTAAATTCAACTTGTGTCAGGACGGAGGGGTGCTCTTGTGCTTGTTCCATTTTTATAATGAAGCCATATGTCTGGAAGTAGAGAAAAAAAATCTCTGACATGAAGAAAAAAATGAGTGATATGATGTGCTTCTGAGATTACCAGGGGGACTTCCTAACACAGGCTGAGCTGTTGTTAATGGGTCGTGCCATGGCCATGATGTTAGGAATAATTAAACCGTGAGTTCAGCTAAATCCCAATTGCAGGAACACGATTACAGGACTTCACCCCCACTACAAAACACACATGCAGAGGGAGAGAGGGAAAGAGGGAGGAAGAGAGAGAAACTTTCAAAGGGCTTGTAACAGAACAAAGAGCAGTTTTTACTATCACAAAATCTTTATGGATCACCATCCTTGAGGTGAAGTTATATCCTTTATGGTCACATTTTGGTAGTTTCCTTAAATTATTGATGGCATTTCGTAGGGCCTGCGTGCTTGGAACAGAGCTAGCCAAGAGGCCCCTGTCCCCCGTCTGGAGGTGGGTTAATGATGGCACTCCTTGCGCAACGCGTCCAGGACACCGAGGTTAATAAAACCCGTAGCTCTTCTTCATGGGTACCAGGGGATGGTTAATGTTCAGGACTGTGCAGGACCTCAGCTTAATGTTCCATATGAAGGATAGCACTGCCAGACGACACCCTCCCTGGTGCCAACCTCGCATATTAGCACATGCTGGAAGTGGGCTGAGCAAATCGGGAGAAGTTAGGTGCTTCTTTCCCGGCTGGGTGTGACGCGCCGGCAGCCTACTGTCCCTGCAGCTCCAGAAGTCTGCCTGTTCGGTTTGCTGAGAGCATCAGACAAGGAGTTAGGAGAGTGCCCAGCCCCTACTGGCTCTGGGATGTGGGGCAAGTCTCATCAGGTCCACTGTCTTCTTTCTTCCTCTGTCCCAGGAAGGGCAGGAAGCGGCTCTGCCCTTCTTGGGCACATGTACAGAAAGAGATCTGGAGCACCATAAGGTAATGCATCCGTTTTACGGTTGAAAACACAGGCTTTGGGGTCATAGGAAACTAGAGTCAAATCTCAGATCTGACTCTTCTTATAGACAGAATGTTGATGCCCCACTCCCCACAAATCCATATGTTGAAATCCTATCCCCCAATGTGATGGTATTTGGAGGTAGGACCTATGGGAGGTGATCAGATCATGAGGGTGGAACTTTCATGTTTGGGATCTGTGGCTTTCTAAAAGAGGCCCTGGGGAGGTCGCTCCTTCCACCCTGTGAGAACATGGCTTGAAGGCACCATCTATGAACCTGAACCCGGAAGCCAGCCTAAATTCAGTGTCACCAGACACTAAATCTGCCAGCTCCTTGATCTTAGACTTCCCAGCCTCTAGAACTGTGAGAAATAAATTTCTGTTGATATAAGCCACTCAGTCTATGATATCCTGGTATAGCAGCCCAAAGAGACTAAGAAACCATGTGAATCCTATGCTCCTTGGGGACGTGCCAGACCACTCTGTCTTGGTTTGGCTACTGCCTGAAACAGACCCTGAGACAGGATATGAAGGCAAGTAATTGACTTGGAAGGAGATCCTGGGAAGCAGTTGCAGGCGTGTAGGGAAAGCAGCAGGGAACAGCCAAAGGCCATGGATGGGTCACTGTGGGCAATTGGAAGTAATCTCACTGGGGACCTCTGGGAGGCAATGTAAAGCATGAGCCTCAGAGGTGAGGGAGTTGGGGTATTTATACACCAACCCCAGTCAGCCATTGGCTGAGGGCTACTCTGTGGCTTCTGGCCTGCTACACCCATGAACAGAGTGGGCTTCTGCAGCCAAAGAAGCCGTGGGCAGTGAGATACTGATGATGCTGGCAGTTGGAAGTGTGAATGGTGTGCATTGAAATGGGAAAGCCTGGGAGGAAATGAGATGGTTGACGGGTGGCATCTGCTACCTGAAGTCCAAAGTTCTTTCTCTCCAAAATGAGGCGAGCACCTCCTACCTCTCTTTGCACTGTTTTGAGGACTAAATAAGATAATGCAAGAGCTCAGTGACTATTAGTTATGATCATTGATAATCTAAAGGATGGATCTTTTTACTACAGTTAAGGTCACAACTTAGATCTGTATGAACATTCGAAGTCTTTCTTCAGGACCTAAATGTTTTGCTATTTGGAAAAATCAGCTTTACTGTGTGTTTTGCACTAAGGCGAATTGAAGGGATAAACGGTGTGGGTCAAAACCATGCTTTCCTCCCTGGGACAAGAGAGCAAGGAGGAAGAAGTGACTTCTATGCCCCATGTTTACATAGACAATGAAAGTTGTTCAGTGGCATTGTCACCTCAGATGGTAAATTACTTTCTCAACTAATAGGAGTCTGTAATGCAGCCTGTTGTTCTCCAGGTTTCTGGGAGTCCTTCATTTCTTAGATCATCTGAAACTTTGTTTCTGTGAGGCTCAGGTCAGTGAATTTCTTCACCCAGAGGATGAAGTGATGTCCCCATGTAGGTGCCCAGAACCTCTTGCTCAGACTTCATGAGAACATAGGGAGACACCTCAAAGGGTAGTATCTCAGAATGGCCCCTCCATCCTTTGGACATTCCCTTCTCCCCTGGGGTCCTAGGATAAATCCCTCAGAGTGCTGATGGATTCCTAGATGACATGGATTTACTGCCATACTGCTGCATATGGGAGTATTCGAGATCATTGAGTCCAAAGTGTCACCCACGCTGAAGAAGGAACACTGGAGCAGCATGTGGGACTCACCATCTAATCTTCCAGTACCCGGTGACACAGTGACACCTGTGTGGTTCGGTACTAACCAACAGCATCTGTAATCTGTAAACACCCCATAAGTACATGCTGAAGGAGAGAATGAGGGAGTGAGTGAATTTGTAAGTGTCTGGGGAGAAGAGAGAGAGAAGGAGGGGAGCGATTTGTAATGGGGAAAAAATACATTTGGGGACTTGCTGCTTCATTAGCTGCCACCCCTCAGTGGCGCTGAAAACCAGGAAGCTGAGTTTACACGCCTATGTCAGTCTGAGATTTCCCTTTTTGGGTTTCACAAATTCGGTTTGTGATGGCTGTCATCCACTGGGGAGACGTACCCAGTCTCACTCACAGTTAAGAATAAGTAGTATTCAGGCTGCAAAAAAAAAAATTTAAAAAAAAGGAGAGATTGAAGCGCTTGTCATTTCAATGTGTGTCATTCATTGACTCTGCGGCACCCCATGCGGTAAGTAAAGTGCAGGTCTCAGGACACCTGTCAAGAATCAGTCTCTCCTCGATGTACCCATTCTCTAGCTCTTCAAGGGGAAAATGCTTTAAAAATAATTCCAGGCCACGCGTGGTGGCTCACGCAGTAATTCCAGCACTTTGGGAGGCCAAGGCGGGCAGATCACGAGGTCAAGAGATCGAGACTATCCTGGCCAACATGGTGAAACCCAGTCTCTACTAAAAATACAAAAATTAGCACGGTGTGGTGGTGGGCACCTGTAGTCCCAGCTACTCCGGAGGCTGAGGCAGGAGAATTGCTTGAACCCGGGAGGCGGAGGTTGCAGTGAGCCGAGATTGTGCCACTGCATTCCAGCCTGGAGACAGAATGAGACTCCATCTGAAAAAAAAAAAAAAAAAAGAAAATCCAGACGGTAAAATGCATGTTAAGGGCTCCTACAAATCGGACATCTTCACTGGTAGGTTCTGGTTAAAAATGGAAACAGATCAAGGTGGAAAGTGTTTCACAGGGTTTCTTCAAATTCTAAATGTTTTTAGAAATACGTGGTGATGCATGGTCCACACTGCATGGACGGAGGTGAGTTTGTTTTATTACTTCCCTCCTCCACTTTGCCCAAACTCTCAACTTTTCCAGGAGAGAAGCACCATGGAAGGAAGACATGCCTCTCGCCCTCCCCAGCCATCCATGCCACAAAGAAAGGCTCTCTGTGAAATCCATCTGAGCCTCAAAGTGCTGTCCCTGTGATGTCGTTGGTGACCTTTGGTTGTTGAGCCACCCTCTTATTTACTGTTTTGTTCAGAAATATAGATCGTATGTTTTTCCTATGTTAGGTTGCTATCCCTGCCCTCAAGTTTCATAGTCCATATAGGAGACCAAGTAAATAATCTCACCATGGTGTGAGCCTTGCTAGACTCCAGAGGTGAAGAGGAACTCAACCCAGCCTCGTGGGTCAGGCAAGGCCCCTGGCAGAGCTTGAATGTGGGCTGAAACCTAAAGAGTGGCATTAAGGGAGGCAAAGAGAAGGATGAGCACTGACCAGAGAGGGTGTTCCTGGCAGTGGGCATGCACAGAGGCAGGGAAGTGAGGGGCGGGCACTTGATCCACTGCCCTGGATACTGGAGCAATCCTGATGCTGAGACCTTTCTGCGTTTGAGGCTGTCTCAAGCACTCTGGGCTGCCTTTCTTCTTCGCCTCTTAGGTTGATAACCCAGGCGAGAGCTTGTGATTTCTACCCATACATTTGCTCAGCATACACTGAGCCCCTATACCGCTCCAGGGCTTCTTTTAGCTACAGAAAATCGGGAGCTGAATGGAACAGAGTCTTTGCTTTTGATGGGCATACATTTTAGCGGGAAACATGGATACACTAGAAAGTCTGGTGCATTGAACGACATGCCAGAAGGTGCTGGCTATTATGCGATGATGTCACGAGGCATTTACTGCAGTTATTCCCATTTCACAGATAAGAGAACTGGCATGCAGGTGAAGTCATCTGCCACATCAAAGAGCTGAAATCCATTATGAGAGAGGCAGGATTTCACCCAGGTCTGCTCACAACCAGGGCCCAGCCCCTCTCCATGCCAGAACAGGGTAACCATGGGTGGGCAAGGACTCCCAAGGCTCCACAACCTCCACATGTGCCCAGCTCAACCCCATTCATGATCTCTGGGCTCAGCTGAAGGATGTGGGTTGAGACGTTTCCCTCCTCTACTCCTTGGAACTTCCCCCATGGACACCCAGGCATGGGCAGGTACAACAGTGAGAGCCTCCACAGAGCAAGAGGAAAGAGTGTCCTAATCCAGCGTCATTGCCAATGAATCCCTGTCCCTCTTGGTCTGGTGCCAGTCATGGGGGCTCCAGAAACCTGCCCTGCCAAGCAGTTGGGCCCTTTGGCCTTTATCCAACCGCACCCCTGGCACCTCCAACCTTTCCCCTGGAGCTGGGCTGGCTAACCTTGGCCTTCCTCTGGCCTCAGCCTGCACGCCAGCCCTGCTCCTGGAGGTAGGCCAGGCCCCACCCAGCGCCCCACCTCTCCCCCGTCACACCCACTGGCCCAGTGTTTTCCAGGAATGCGCCCTGTGGCCACCTGGGCCTGGAAGTGTGAGAGGCCCCTGGAAGAATGCTTGTAGCCTCTGAAAGGGCTAGGTGTGGGCCTGAACTCTCTGAGAGCAGGGGCCTTCCTGCTCCCCATTTCCAAGCCAGCAGAATCTGTCTCCTGCTCGCTTTCTCTCTCCTTCTCACCCACACCTGGGTTTAAACCCTGGGTAACAGCCTTTTTTACCCATTGTTTCTGTCCTTCAGATACTGTGTCAAGCAAATGCTCATGATCTTATTTAATCCTCACTTGCTTCCTAAAGGTCTTATGAAGAGAGGACTGCCACACTCCCCATTTGATGGGTAGGTCAACAGAGGCTCAGAAAAATTCAGCAATTCTGCTAGCTTAAGCTGCTAGCCTCAGGCAGCTAGAGAATGACAGAGTCTGAATTGAACCTCCCATTCTTCTGATCCCACAGTCCATGTTTCTAGCCACTTAGTAGCTGTGTGACTTTGGGCATTTAACCTCTTTGGCCTCAGGGTCCTCATCTATAAAATGGGGGTAATGATAGCATCCCATTTTCAAGGGTTTTGTAAAGATTAAATGAGCTGACTGATGGCAGGGGCATGCGGCAGGCCTGGAGCCAGGGCAGCCAACCACCATCAATGACCCTAGCCAAACCCCTTCCTACTTGGGGATACACATTTCATCTCACAGCTGTCATCTCAGCAGCTCTTGTCCTAGACTCTGTCTTCCCTTTCTTGTATGATAGCCACTAATTGCTTTGCTTCCCTTCTGGTCTCCGTATTCTGCGTACCACACGGCCCGAAAATTTCATTGATTATTATTATTATCACTATTATTATTTTGTATGGGTACACACTGGAATGTGAGAGTGGTACCCTGGCATCATTTCTTTCTCTAAAGTTCATGAGTACATTTCCACTAATTAATTTAATGTCCCAGACTGGCTTATTTTGTAGAAAGAGCAACAATTTAAAGGGAGGAGCTCTCCCTGCTCCAATAAAATATATGAAGTGTATTCTCAGTAGACCCTGGGTTTAAATGCCAGTTTTCCCACTTGAAGACTGTGTGACTCTGGGCAACTTACTTAACATCTCTGAGCTGCATTTCCTGTTTGGAGTTGGCAGTGGATGACCGTTCATGGGGTCTAGGAGAGAGTTCCATGAGAGAATGGCAAGGCAGTGTCTGGTATCCAGTAAGTGCTCAGAAAAACTAAATCGGAATCTATTTGAAACAGAGTTAACCACCACAGGTAGTTTGGGGAGTGAAAAAGGAAATCAAGAAATGCACTTAGCTTAAAGAAATCCACGCGGGAGAATAGGCAGTGGAGCAAGGGGGTCTCTGATCAGGAGTGAGGACCCAGCGCCACGCCCTGTCCCAAATGAAGCAGGGCCTTGGGAGATGGTGAGGGGCAAGGTTCAAAGCCCCAAGGGAGCCGACCTCACCACTTCCTGGTGAAGTTCTTGAGAACAAGGCCAAGACTCCTTATCAGCGGACAGAGTCTGTGGCCCCAGGGCTGGACGCCTGTGTATGTGTGAGCCCTGCTGTGTTTATCATGCCTCTCCCTGTGACAGGCAGATCAGCTGCTCAGACTTTGGACAGGATTGGGCCTGGAGTGGCAGCTCCTCCTTCCCCGGAAGATACCCCAGGCCATTTCTCAACATTCATTCCCAATAACAAAAGGTTGAAAGTCGACTGCTGTAGTTTCACAAACATGATGGCCAAGGCCAAAACTTGGGCGCCAGGAGTCCTGGCTCCTGCCTCCGGGTATAGGGTCTCTATCAAATCGCCTTGCAGGCAGAGATAATGTCTGACCTGTTTACTTTGCAGAGTGGTCTGGAATAGTCAGATCCCAATCAGGAGATGCTTGATCACAGATTATCTCTTTCGCCTCCTGGGAAACCCGTGAAGGGGGTATTCTTCTACCCATTTTAGAGTGGAGGAGCCTGGGAAACAAATGACGTGATGCATAGCAAAGAGCTCCCCAGAAGTATAAACTCCAACTCATGTTTGTAGTACTTAACCAGGCCAGGCACTGTGCTATGAGCACAACAGGGCGTAGTTTACTAAATCTTCCTAAGACCTTGTGGGGTTGGAATTCTCCTTATTCCATGGGATGAAGAAGAACCTGTGCAGAGTGATGTTCAGAAATGGTCCAAGGCCACCCAACTGGCACAAGTTGTAGTCAGAATTTGAAAATAAATGGTTGATCTCGGATCCTTACCCTACCACCCCAAGCCACAAAGGGATGTTCTCTAGCCCAGGGCCTCTCAACTGTGGCACTCCTGATATTTTGGGACAATTCATTCTTTGTGGTGGGGTCTGCCCTGTGTATTGTAGGATGTTTAACCACATTGCTGGTGTCTACCCACTAGATGTCAATAGCAACTACCCTGTCCTGGAGCAACCAAAAATGTCTCTAGATATTGTCAACTCTCCCCTGGAGGCAAAATAGACTGCTCTAGACCTGTGTCGGGTACTGCCATTACTATTCACAATTATGGTTTTAGTTGAAATGGTGGTCTTGGTTATGATGTCTTTGCCAGGGTTAAGTTTACATTTGGGCAGGTACTAACCCACGTGAGCTTCGACTAGTGTGGCCACGTAATTTATTGTCCAACTAGGATCCTTTAGAGATGAAAAGTTGAGACTATGAATAATTAAGTAAGGATACAGGCACACATTGGCACCATCATGGGCAAGCTGGGACGAATCTTCACCCTGCTTTGGTAACCCCCTTCTACCTGATAGCCAGGTAAGACAGCAGGTGCATGATTCCGCCTTCCTATGTTATTGATGCCTTGATCTCGGTTATGTTTCTTAGCTCAAGGGCTCTGGAAACTGTATCATTGGTTCTTTCTACCCTCTTCTATCCCTCAAAAACACCCCTCCCTGGCTGGGGCGTATCAGTGACAAGCCCCTGATTTTTTAAAATTAGTTGAAAAATGGAAAACAACCCAAGGAATTGGTGTCAGTTTTCTTTGCCCTCTGACTAGGCTGAAGCCATGATGTTAGGCCTCAGTATTATCACCTAAATTATGGGGACCAAAGCTCTACTTTGCAGTCAATTTGAAGAATACTTTTCCAGCCAACCCTACTGAACCATCTTTAACTAACAAAGGGTGAGCAGTGCTCCCTCCTTTCAAGACATGTGATGATGATGATGATATAATAATAATTGAGCACTTAATATATAGTTGTCTTGTCATGAGCACTTTACAAAGAATTTTTTCACCTCCTCCTTAGCACAGCCCATAATGCTATCTTTATTCCCATTTGATAGATCTGAAACCTGAGGTTCCAGGATGACAAAGCACTTAGAAAGTTTCCTATAATTACTCAAGGCTAGAGTAGGAATTCAATGGCAGGTCTGTCCATTCCAACGCCCACGGAGCACTGCCTCTCAACGTCACAGGGATTTGACCAGGTCAGTCCTTGTCTGTCTACTGAGTGCCTATTGCAGGCATAATGCTAAGAACTGGGCACTTGAGAGGCAGATTAATCTCTCCCGGCCCTTTGGAACCCACAGTCCAGTAAGGGAGATGGACAACACTGCAGGCAATCAGAATGGAGCAAGGCATGTGTTCTTCCAGGGAGCCATGGGGCTAGGATGTATTCCTTGAACCAAGCCTGCAATGGGGCAGAGAATGCCTGGCCTAGCTCAACTGGGGAGAGAATCTGAACCTAGTCTTGGGGTTGAGTAGGAGAAGTGCAAAAAATGAGTAAGAGAATGCCAGACAGAGGGGCCTAGCTGAGCAGGGCAGGCTGATGTGGGAGATTTGCCATTCATTATGGATGGGGAGGTCAAGTCCAAGGTAGGGACCTCAGAGAGCCTTGTGTCAATGTAGCATGCAACACACACACACACATACAGATAGACACAAATGCACAGAATTCAGCCACAAGCCTGTGATGTTGATACCATCAGACTTCTATCTCTAGGATACTCCGTCTCTGCTACCTGGTTCCATGAGTCCTGGAAGGCAATATTATCTCCCTCCATCTTCTCATTCCTCTTCTGCAGCAGATTGGATAATGCACCCATCCCTGCCCCACATCCTAAAAGATATCTGTGCTCTAATCCCTGAGGAGTATGCAAATATGAATGGGGATATGCTCTGTTAATGAATATGTCACAGGAAAATTAAGTTAATTTAATTTCCATACTGCAAGTTAATTAAATTGCAGATGGCATTAACGTCACTAATCAGTTGACCTTGGGGAGATTATCCTGGATTATCTTGCTGGACCTAGCGTAATCACAAAGGTCCTTATAAGAAAGTGGCAGGAGGGTCAAAGAGAGAGGAGATGTGGCAATAGAAGCAGAGGTTGGAGTGATTTGATTTGAAGATGGAGCAAGGAGCCACAAGCCAAGGAATGCAGGTGGCCTCCGGGAACTGAAAAAGGCAGGGAAGCACATTCCCCACCAGAGCCTCCAGAAGGAATGCGAACCTGAAACCACCTTAATATTAGCCTAGCGAGACCCAGGTCAGACTTCTGATCTCCAGAACTGTGAGATAATAAATTTATGTTGTTTTTAGTGACTACCTTCATGGTAATTTATCACAGCAGCAATAGAAAAATGATACATCTTTCTCTCCAGAATCAGGCCTATTGGTCACCTTGGTTAGGTAGGTAGAATCAGCAGCACCCTGGCTGGGGCATGGCCAGAGGTGCCTCAGGTTCTTCTAACTTCCTGGGGTCCTAAGGATGCCTTTCTTCACCGGGGAGGGGGGCTCTACCCTTAGAGCCAGCCTGGCCCCAAGGATAGCAATGCCTTTTATCAGTGCCCACAGCTATGCCCTGCAAAGCATTGATAACACAGGGTCCAGGAAGGGCAGGGAACTAGCAAGCCCTGGATGTCAGGAATTCCAGGAGATGGTCCATCATCTATGCAACCAGCCGGTTACATCCAGCCGGTCATCATCACACACTTCTTTGCTTTTGTTAAAAAAATGTTTTAACAAAAACTACAATATTAGAGTCAGGCAGCTGGGTTTTTATTATTCATACTGATTTCTAAAAAAGAACATTCTGGCTTTAATTAGAATGAAAAAAATATGAGCAGTAGAAATATTCAAATATCACACGACTTCATTATTTACACCATTGATTTTGACAGGCAGATAAACACAGAGTAAGACATATGCTCTGCACTATTTAAAGAACAAAGCAGCATTAATCTGCATTTAACTCTCCACACATTGATGAGATCCCGTGCTTTTTTTTCCCCCTCTTGGGCAAGAAAACCACGGTAAAGACTCAGTGCATGTGGCCCCATGGTTGTGGAAGACACAGATTGCCAAAGGATTCAAACCAAAGCAATGATTAATTCAAACAGTAGGTTGTATTTAATCTATGCTGTGTGCCCAGACATTCAGTAAATGTCTTCCATCCATTGGTTGGCTCACTTAATCCTGGCAACTTACCTGGATGAGGTCGGCATTTTAGTCCCATTTTACAGATGAGTCAACCGACTTCAGAGAAGGTAATAAATGACTCGTGCAGGTGCATAGCCACAGCATGGTAGATATTTGTGCAAGGCCAGCTGGCCTGGAGTGCCCAGGCTCCTGGCCACTGCAGAGCTAGGGCCATGGCCTCCTAAAACCTGATATTCTGGAGTGCTTACAATGTGTGTTAAATACTTTATGCCAGTGTTTCCTAAGTTCGGCTGCAAATTCACATCACCCTAGGAGCTTTAAAAACCTGCTACTGGGGTTGCACCCCAGAACTAATAAATTAGAGTGTCTGGGTATGGGAGGCAGGCATCAGTGTGTTTGAAAGATGCTCCAGTGACTCCAGTGTGCAGCAAGTTGGAGAACCACTGCTCTCTACGCATTCTTCTGCCCCTTATGAAGGAAGTACTATTATTGACCCATTTTAAAGATGAGGGACTTGAGCCTCAGAGAGGTCATGGGATACCCATCAAGTTGGGAATTGAATCAGAACATTCTAGAACCCTCATATTTAACCACACAATGCCTTCCTATTGGGATATTGTTAGTGGGTCAAGGAGGCTTTTTCCAGAAGAGTGCATTGCATCTTGGGGATGTATAAAAATTGAATCGAGCTTTTTCTTATCTTGTGGTTTCCACTTCTTTGAACAACCATGAGAGCAAAACTCCTTTTGCTGTGAGCATCCCCTTTTTTCTTCTAGAGTTTTAATCCTCTAATTGCATCCAGTTAAACCTATGTGTTTTCTTTAAAAGCTGCAGTGACTCACAAGGCTTGGTCCATGTGGAACTGGGGTAGGTCCAGGATGGCTTCTGCGTCCAAGCCTCCAGTAGTGTGGCCTCCTGGCACCCTCACCCCTCACCTGTGTCTCAGGAGGAGGCCTGTCCTGCAGGACAAACACCCTTTATGCAGCAGCCCAAGCTCTCAGATTGTGCTTAAGATCCTCTACGCATAAGGGATTTGGGTCATTTCCTCTTTCAATCTCTTATACCTAAGTAGGAAAATGACCAGTATCTCCAAGATGCCAAGACATTGAGGAAAAGCTTCCCCTTGGAGAGCCGGAACTGAGGCAATTATTCAGTCTCCAAATGCCACCGGGGGGGCCATTTGCCACCAGGTCTGATTTTCTTCTCGTTCTCTTCTGCCTTCCTGCTTCTTGCCTGTCTCGCCAGTTCTCTCTCACTGCCCTGTCCTCTTTCATCATCCCCAGACCACCTCTCCCTACTGTTTGAGTTCCCTCTTACTGCTGTAACACATGATGAGAAACTTTGTTGGCAGCTTACAACACACATTTATTCTCGCACAGCTTGGGGAACCAGAAGTCCAAAATCAAGTTGTGTTGGCTGAGTTTGTTGCTTTTTGGAGACTCTGAAGGAACTCCAGGAAAGAGGATCAGTTCCATGACTGTCTCCTGGCTTCTGCTGGTGGGTGGCAAGCTCCGGCATTCCTTGACTTGCAGATGCGATGCTCCAACCTCTGCCCCCCGTCATATGGCATTCCTGCCCCTCAGTGCCTCTCTGTGTCTTCCACAGTCTCCTTATCATGACTTCTGTGTTGAGATTAGGACCCACCCTCCTCCATTATGATCTCACCTGACTCACTACAACTCCAAAGAGCCTATTTCCAAATAAGCTTATATTCTGAGGTTCTGGTGGACATGAATCTGGAGAAAACCCTATTCAACCTGGTACCCCTATCTTCCATCTTAGCAAACCTATGCTCCCTCACTGTGGGATCTAAAACACACTTTGGATTGTGTCACCCCACCTGGAGATAACCCTTTCTGTTGCCCTCAGAATATGATCCAGCTCCTTGGTTTGCATCCAGGCCCTGACAGGCACAGGCTCAGGCCTAAGCTGCCCCTTCAACCTCATCGCAAAACACGTGTCCCAGTGCCCACCGCTTTGGCCTCCTACCTGGGCTGTGATCACACCTCCAGGCCCTTGGCTCTTGCGTTCTCTCCGCCTGGGGTAGATTCTTGATCTAGAACAATTCCTGGCACAATATATATTCATTGGAGTAATGAATAAATTTACTAAGCATTTAATAAGCATCTACTATGTATTAAGCTCTGTGCTATATGCTCTGTGCTATAGAGCTGGCCTGGAGTGCCCAGGCTCTTGACCACTGTGGAGTACAGCTGGGACCATGGCCTCCTAACAGCAGATGTTCTGGTACACTTATAATGTGTGTTAAATACTGTATGACAGTGGTTCCCAAACTCAGCTGCAAATGAGAATCACCCTAGAGCTTTAAAAACCTGCTACCTAGGTTGCACCCCAGACCTAAAAAATTGGAGTAGGAGTGTCTGGGTATGGGAGGCAGGCATCTGTGTGTTTTAAAGGTGCCCCAGCGATTCCAGTGTGCAGCCAAGTTGGAGAATCACTGCTCTCTATGAGTTCTCCTGCCCAAATCCTCCAAACCCCTTATGAAGGAAGTACTGATATTGACCCATTTTAAAGATGAGGGACTGAACCTCAGAGAGGTCATGGGATACCCCTCAAGTTGGGAAGACAGAGAAGAGTATGTGCCCCATCTAGTTGTGAAAACAATTCGTAAACAAGTAATCAAAATGCAGTGAGATGCAGGCAGTAAAAGATGCATGAGCTGACTTCCTGGGAGGCCCAGGGGAGGGAGGAACCAATTTGGCCTGTGGGACAAGGAGGAAGTCAGGGAGAGCCTCCCGGCAGAAATCACTTGTAAACAGGGTCTGAAAGGAAGATTTCCAGATTTCTATATTCCTGACTCCTAGCTGCCAGGAATAGAGATCCAATCAAGCTGCCGCAAGAAGGAAAGGAAGCTGTTTTCTGCCCCAGACTGAATTTAGACCTAAAGGTGTCTGCAGCAGCTCTGAGCCAGGCCTTCTCCATCACTGTCTGTGATGTCTCTTCTTCTCTCTGGACTTTTGATTTATTTTGCTCTCCTTGCTGAGAACTCCATGGGCAACCACACAGAGAATGACGGTGAAGAACGTGAACTTTAGAAGAACATGCACGTGGTGAAGCGTTCGTCTCCTCTTCTGTGAAATAGGGTGCTTTGCAAAACCTTCTTCAGAGTGTTTGGGGAGCGTAAAATGAGGCAATACATACAATGTTCTTTGCACTGTACCTGGCACATGGAAATACTTAAAAGCATACAACTTGGCTGCTATTGTTAACTTCATTATCATCAACCACCTTCTTCTGTTTGCTTCTTGCTTTTGCATCCTCAGAGGTTCACTTGGCCCAGCATTCATCAGCTCCTCCGTAAACACCTCTTTTGATTTTAGATCCTGCCAATTGCTGACTCAGCCCTTTAATGTCCAAGTTCAGAGGCCCAGAAAAGAGAGGAGCTGGCTAGCCAAGCATCGATGTCCCAGGTCACAAGGTTGCCTCTGCATGGACCACCTTTCTGGAATAATCCTTGATCTAGATCCCTGGGATGGAGAGAAGGAACCTTGCTGCACCCAGGGGCTGGAGCTGGTTAATTCCCCTAAAAAAGAGTGAGGAGGCCCAGCACTGAGGTCTAATCAGGCAGAAGTTGTATCATGGAATGAAAGGACAGAGGACAAAGCTCCGTGGTCTTCTGCATTATCCTCTTTAAAGAGAGACTCAGAAAGAAGGTCCTAATTCAATCAAATGAGGCAGAGAGCGCTGGATAGCCCAACCTCTGCAAACTTTGCCTAGGAATCCTGTCACTCAGGAATGCTGGCCAGCCCTGGCTATTCGCCAACCATGGAAATTAGCACCAGCCACTGGACCCACCCTGCAAGGGAATAGCCAACCCCCAAAGAAATCCCTTTGGAATCCAGTCTGTAGGTACAGCCCAGGAATTGTGGAAGCCTTTGTTTGTTCCCATCTGCAAACTCAGGCTGCCAAAACATATTGGGAGTATAATGAGAAATAACGGAATCAAAATAATGTAAAGGAAATAAGTGCTGAAGAGTATAATCAACATCCTCTCTGCATAGATTTCCTGCCAGGGAGACGGGAGCAAAGGGAATGTTTTACCCCTGGGGCCCAGACAGTGGTCCTGGAAAGGAGAAAAAAAACTTCCTGGAAGAGAGTCTTTTAATTGTTCTTTTAAGAGAGGGCGGCAGGAGCTGCCAAGGCCTGGAATGGAATGAGTCCACCATTACTGGGGTGTCTCCATTTGCTCAGCTGTAGGGGGAAGCAGAGAAACCCCCAAACTTGGGCCGTACAGCAGTGGATTCCCACAGGCATCTCTTGAGTTTGGCACCTGAGAGGTGTTTAAGCAACTTAGGGTTCTCACATGCCAAAGGTAGGGAAGCTGTGGGGATAGCGAGATGGACTTGGGTTTGGTCCTACTGGGCTACCTACTCAGCATGGCGGTGTGGGCTGAGTTTCACATGTGCTCTAAGTCTCACCCTCTTCCTAACAAATCTGAATCCTCGTTCATTTGTAAAACCTCATCAGTAAACATCCTAGGCATTGTTTTGGCTAATGGCTCAAATAAGGTAATATAGGAAAGCCGTGGCCTATTACAGCTGGTTCCACCCGTGTTCATCTCCTCTCTTGTTTACTGGCTTTGTTTCTCTCTCTCTCTCTCTCTCTCCTCCTATCTCTCCATCCCTCCTTCTCTCATCACTCCCTTCCCTTCTCCTCCTCCTCTCTCTTCCCTTTCTCCTCTCCTTTTTCTTCTCTTTTCCTGTTTCTCCTCCTTCCCTTTCCTTTCCTTCTCCCTGTCTCTCCCTTCCTCCCTCCTTCCTTCTCTCTCCTCTCCCCTCCTCCTCCCTCTCTCTCCTTCCTTCACTCTCTCTCTCCCCACTTCCTTCTCTCCTCCTCCTTCTACTCTTTTCTCTCTTTCTCCTCTCCCCCTCCTTCTTTCTCTTTTTCTTTCTCCTCTCTCTTCTTGTCTCTCCTTCTTCTCTTCCTTCTTCCCTCTCTCCTTCCTTCACTCTCTCTCCCCCTCCCCAGTTCCCTCTCTTCTTCTCTTTCCTCTCTCTTTCCTTCTTTCTCTTTTCTTTCTCTGCATCTCCTCTGTCTTCTCCTCTCTTCTCTGTCCTCCTTCTCCTCATTCTTCCCTCTCTCTCTTTCCTTACTCTGTCTCTCCCTCCTTCTCTCTCGCCTCTCCCTTCTCTACTCTCCCTTTTGTCCTCCTCCTTCTCCTCTTCCCCCTCCTCCTTCTCCTCCTCCTCCTTCTCCTCCTCCTGCTCCTCCTCCTCCTCCTCCTCCTCCTTCTCCTCCTCCTTCTTCTCTCTCTTTCCCCCACTTTCTCCCATGCCTCATTACTGGGAAAGGGGGACACATTTGCTTTGCCCTGGGCCTCTCCGGTAGCAGATGATGCGCTTTGGCAATTAGGACAGAAAGCCTGACGCAGCCGCATTTCCATTTCATTCTTCCTCTCACCCTTTATCAAGCCCCTCCTGGAGGCGGATGCCCACCTACGTTTCAGCGTGGGAAGCCGACCCCGGGGGGACCTGAACTCATATCCAGGGTGCCCCCATTTCACTCCTTGCTCTACTTCTCTTCGTGGTCTAACCACAGATGTTTCTTCCAACCTCCTATTTGAGAAGTCTGCCCCTCATTTTTACACCATTTCCTGCCAACTCTTTATTATAATCTTAACTGCCATGAAATAAAACCTTTACCTTAATAGAAATGGCAAGCAGGCACTTCTCGTGGAGTCAATTGCTTCCCTCCTATCTGTGGCTCTGCTTGGGCCTCATAACTCGGCTCTTTGCAAATAGCTAGAGAGAAAAGCCCCCCAAAAATCTAGTATAATAAAATATTAAACTAAGTGAACATTTTCTAAATAATCTCCATAGCTTCTTAATGCTGCAAGCATTCTTGAGAAGCATGTCATTATTATTCCCATTGTATAGATGAGGGAACCAGGGTGCAGAGGTTGAACAATTTGCCCAAGGTCTTAGAGCACTGGGTTTCAGGGCTAGGATTTGAACCTGAGTTTTCTGACTCCAGAGGCTGGGTTCTGAGCAATGTGCTATGATGATGGAACAAGGTGCTTCCACCTCGTTAGCCCACAGATAACAGCAAGTGGTGGAGAGGCAGCAGTGGACCCTGGCAGTGTGACGGAAGCCAGAGCCATCATCGAGACAATGCACTTCTGTCCCGAAATAAATCTAGCACTTGAGGGCTGAGAGACAGTAGCCCAGAAATCCTTTGATAAGCATCTCAGGGAAAGCAGATGGCCTTTGAAAGACAGCATGGTCCAACGCCCAGGTGTGAGCAAACCCTTTCCTAGCAGAAAAGACCCCACGGCGGCATGCTCCAACCTGGACCAAGCACTGTGGCCCGGTTATCAGATTATCATACAGAACAAGGACAATTAATTTCTCTACCCATATCTTATCTCTCAGATCTCACAAGTCGTTTCTAAGTTTAGTTTCTGGTTCCCAGTTCCTGTGCCCTGGCAGCTCCATGGCAAGAATTCAGAAATCTCTAATCCAGAGTGGTAAATGCACACTCTGGGGCTGAATGCACCTCCAAGCCGGGTTTTTCATAATTGGTTTTCAGAGCAGTCTGTTCCTTGATGTGTAATTGTTAGCAGTTGTAAAAAGATAACTCACATTTTTAAAAGCTTAAAGCTTGCTCTGTGCAGATAAAAACTGTGACAAATTATGTTCCGAAAAATCATAAAAGTAGAGAGAGACATGTTAATAACCAAAGGTGGCATTTCATTTAGAGGTCAGCCAGAGCTATTAAAGTGGTCAGGAATTTCAAGCTTTGGCAGGAGTGATTTGACCATATCACTTATCTCCTGCAGCCCATGCCTAAGCATCTCTGTCGGTGAAAAAAATAATAATAATAATAATCCACAGACAGTAATATGGGAGGTTGGGGTAACTGGGGAGAGAAGCAATATTGCCAAAATAAACCCGGCTTTCAAGGAGAGTCGTTCAGATTCGCCCAGTCCATTCGAGTGCTTCAGCTCCCACGATGTTACCCCCAGACTTGGGAATACACTTGCACATGCCATCACCAATGCACATGTTCAGGCACACACACACACAGATGCTCACACATGCCATGTGAAGATTTTTCTGGAAAAAGATGAGAAAAATCTAAGGATTTTTTTTTATTTTAATTTTTTTTTTTTTTTTTTTTTTTTTTTGAGATGGAGTCTCGCTGTGTTGCCCGTGCTGGAGGTGCAGTGGTACGATCTCAGCTCACTGCAACCTCCGCCTCCCAGGTTCACGCCATTCTCCTGCCTCAGCCTCCCTAGTAGCTGGGACTACAGGCGCCCACCACCACGCCTGGCTAATTTTTTGTATCTTTAGTAGAGAGGGCGTTTCACCATGTTAGCCAGCATGGTTTGGATTTCTTGACCTCGTGATCCGCCCGCGTCGGGCTCCCAAAGTGCTGGGATTACAGGCGTGAGCCACCATGCCCGGCCTGATCTAAGGATTTGATGGCAAACATGACAGACAAGTATGGGAAGGGCCATCCTGTTTTCCCAAACTTAAAAAAGAAAAATGTTTTATTTATTTAACCAAGACAGAAACAAACCTAAAAGAAGAGCAATCTTTAGCTGGACGCGGTGGCTCAGGCCTGTAATCCCAAAACTTTGGGAGGCAGAGGCAGGTGGATCACTTGAGGTCAGGAGTTCAAGACCAGCCTGGTGAACAAACATGGTGAAACCCTGTCTCTACTAAAAATACAAAACATTGCTGGTGTGGTGGCAGGTGCCTGTAATCCCAGCTACTTGGGAGGCTGAGGCAGAATCACTTGAACCCAGGAGGCAGAGGTTGTAGTGAACCAAGACTGTGCCACTGCACTCCAGCCTGGGCAACAGAGTGAGACTCTGTCTCATAAATAATTAATAAATAAATAAATAAAGAGCGATCTTCAGCCAGTGGGAGAGACTCCAAGACTTTCCCATCCCCACAGTGGTGGGGAAGGAGTTGAGTGGGGTCTGACCATTGGCTGCTTTGAAAATAAAAGTTTGGCAAGAGGTTGACTGAGTCTGTTCAAATGTTTGCCACCCGCTGTCCAGCCCCCTACAACCAGACAAATGCTGCTGTCTCCGATGGGATCAATTTTTTGCAGTGAATTATTGTTTCTGAAATAGTTTCATATTTCGTGCCCTGGAAACACATCATAAGGGCCTCCTTATAGGACAGTAGTAAGACTAGGTAATAAAACCAGTCTCAATCACGGCCCTTGGAAAAGGCATAAACTGCAAGTCAAGCTAGCTGAGTTCTGGCTTTAGGATTACTTAGTTGGGTACTGTTGAGCAAGTCACTTCACTTCTCTGGGCCTCAGTTTTCCCACCCGTGAAATGGACAGGAGAACATATATAAAAAAGGCTAATGCAATGGTGCTAATGCACACAATGTATTCCTCCATCCTTTTTCTTGGAGATAGTCTAAATTTTCCTGTATATTTTTGTGTCCTGTAGAGATCAGCAAATGTCAGTCATTTTTGAAATGACATATTTTTAGGCCATTTTATTGGCTATTGTTTCTTGGGAAGAGATAAGGAAAAGCAAACAAAGGCTTATAGATAGAGAGAGAGCACTGCTTTTGATAAGCACATGGCCCATAGTTGTTTGTTTTTAACACAGTTAATACATAGCCAAGAAAAAAGAGAAAGAAAATAGCAAAGAATGACCTCCGCATATTGAAGAAAAGTATCCTATGGACTATATATAGTGGCAGGGACATTTGCTCTAAGAATCCTCCACTTGAAGACAATGTTCTGTGGTACGAAATCCATCTAAGAGCAGACATTTGGCTTTGTAAACATGTATATGATTTAGTTTTACTATATTGTAGAAATCTTAACAGCCCAGAAATATGAACTTTCTACAAAGGTTATAAAACTCATGCTATTTATCCGCGGGCCACATCGGCACACATAACCCAGACAAATGGATGTAGCCAAGTTTTAAGGCATTATAAATAAACATAACTGTGCATTTATTTATTTTAATTCTTCATACATCTTGCATACCACTTAAGCTTTGAGAAGGGAGAAGTAAGTGAAACCAGGAGAGTGGACGCTGTGAACTAGCCCTGAGTCCAAAATAAACTCTAAAGAAAACTCAGTGGAAGTTTTGAGACAGGAATCTCACCACAGGTACAAACTCACTGTGTTTTTGCCCATTCACAAGGAACTTATTCTGATTTATTATTTATTCACAACCTACTATGAACTCAGTTAACTATGTTGGGGACTCATTGAATAAAACTTCTGCCCTCAATGAGTTTAATTAATAAGAAATTAGCTTAATTTGTTGATTGGAATCCTCACGTGATGAAGTTAGTCTTTTCTAATCATTTAATTTTATTTTAAATATATGGTGTTATTTAGGTTGCTACAGTTACTTGTAAGTAGCACTTATTGGAAATGAATCTCAGATATTCTCAATATAAACATTAGAACTATAGTTTGTTCCCTTTATACTGTTTGAACATGCTGCCCTCCTCCGAGGTCTAGGCAGGTACAGTTCATCAATAAGTACCCATTATTACATCCTTGTAATAAAGATTGTGCATATACACACTCACAGCCTCAGAGTGGAGTGCACTGGTCGCCATTGCCTTACCCAACAAGCATTGACTATTCATGTAGAAGGATGAACCAGACTTAGAGTAATACCAAGATGACACTAATAACTTCCCACTGGGACTCATGCATTGACCTGGTGGTTTTTGTTTTTCTCCTTTAGTAGTGGATGTTGGGATCCTGAGGATGGATTTCCATCTAGCTAGTAAGGATATAAATAGATATGAAAAACACAGTCTCCCTAGGCCCTTTGTGCATTAGAATGACTTTTTAATCCCTTAGACATGCTTATGGAGAAGGTTAAAAGAGCAGAGATGGGATAAACAACCAAATGCAAATGCTTAGCAGCACCCAGGCCCCCTTCATGGAGGGCACCACTGTTCAGTAAGGCATAGAAAAGAGAGAGCGTTCTGCTATTGCTGTGTGCTGCTGCTGGCTTCTGAAAGGTTTAGCAGAGAATTTGCTTACTTTAATAGAAGATAATAATAATAACAAAACCAAAAACAACAGGTATGATGGTGTGACTTTTTTGAGTAGACAGTTATTCTGGGAAAATCTATATTGGAAGCCTTGGGGTATAGTTAAATTGTTAAGCAGCTCAATGGCTGAACGTATAACCAACTCTAAAGCTAGATGAGCTTTTACAGCAGTTAATGTAAGACTTCAAAGAACTGCCTCAGTTTCCTCTTCAATACAATGAGGTTTATAATAGCAACCAAATTGGGCTCTTATTTATAATAACATTATTATCTCTCTGGAACCCTGTCTTCTTTTGGCTCTAAGGATGGCTTGTGGCTTGTCCATTGGATCTCACCATCTAGCACCTTCTCAGAGACTTCCACGACCCCATCACTGAGTCTGTGCTGCTCACCATTTTGTTTCCTATCCCTACTCCTTTACATCATCATGCTTTACAATCTGCGATAACATACCTTAGATATTATAAATGATATATGTGTATATAGTTATATACAGGAGTCCCCATCCACCGGGCCATGGGCTGGTATGGTTAATGGCCTGTTACGAGCCAGGCCACACAGCAGGAGGTGAGCTGTGCGTGGGTGAGCAGAGCTTCATCTGTGTTTACAGCCACTCCCCATCACTCACGTGACCTCCTGAGCTCCGTCTCCTGTCAGATCAGCCACAGCATTAGATTCTCAAAGGAGCATGAACCCTATTGCGAACTGCACATCTGAGGGATCTGGGTTACATGTTCCTTATGAGAATCTAATGCCTGATGATCTGTCACTGTCTCCCATCACCCCCAGATGGAACCCACTAATTGCAGGAAGACAAGCTCAAGGCTCCCACTGAGTCTACATTATGGTGAGTTGTATAATTGTTTTATTATATATTCCAGTATAATAATAATAGAAATAAAGTGCACAATAAATGTAATGCACGTGAATCATCCCAAAACTATGCCCTCAACAACCCATGGAAAAATTGTCTTCCATGAAACCAGTCCCTGGTGCCAAAAAGGTTGGGGACTGCTGATTATACACCTATTTATCTACTTGATTATTTTCTTTCTTCCTCCCTTAAGCTCTAAGCTCTGAGGACAGGCTCATGGTTTCCAACCCTCAGAGCCTAAGAAAGTGCCAGGTGCCTAGTAGGTGATCAGGAAACAGCTATGAAGTTTTTTTTGTTTTATTTTGTTTTTTTGTTTGTTTTTCGTTACAGAGTCTCTCTTTAGCCCAGGTGGGAGTGCAGTGGCACTATCTTGGCTCACTGCAACCTCCAACCTCTGGACACAGGTTCAAGTAATTCTCCTGCCTCAGCCTCTCTAGTAGCTGGGATTACAGGCGTGTACTACCACACCCAGCTAAATTTTGTATTTTTAGTAGAGACAGGGTTTTGCCATGTTGGCCAGGCTCATCTTGAACTCCTGACCTTAAGTGATCCACCTGCCGCAGCCTCCCAAAGTGCTGGGATTATAGGCATGAGCTACCACACCCAGCCAGGAAACAGCTATTAATTAACAAACTTTTAAAAACCAAATTAAGAACACAACGTGTAAAGTATAATCTTATTATTCAAAGCCATAAGTAGACGCATGCTTGCGTACGTTAAAAGGGAAGGTTTCGACTTTTTTATTTCGCTTTCAACCCTTTCCTCATTTTTGTTCTTACATAGAGAACAGGCAGAGTTTAAAATGAAAAAAAAGCATAATTTTATGCATAAAAAATGAAATGAATTTTAAACCCTCACTCGGGCAGAGACAAAATTCATATTAGAAGTGGCAGTCTGTTAATCACCATTCTCAGTGTAATCCAATGAGCAACTCTGTTGCCTTTATAAGTTAAATTGATTCATACATATTGGCAAGTTAGCTATTTCCCTCAAAGGGAGTTGAATTTATTTGGGCTGTATATTAATATCTTATTATCCTTTTTATGAACAGGTGACTTGATCATTATTTCATCTCAGTATGTTTATTAGTATAAATGATTTTGAATAAAGATATTGAAAAAAATCCACCTATGTCTAGCAATCTCCCTAGGCAGGTACATGCAAAATTCTCCAACCTATGGCTATAGCTGTTCTCAGAAGACCTTTCCTGATCCTGTCTCCAAGGTGTGTTCCCAGCAATCCACAGCCAGACCACATTGTTCAAATATGGCCTCAGTGTCTTCTTCAAATATTTCCTCTGTCCTGGTGCATAAGGTGCAACTTGCCTTAGAATTTTGTTTGCACAAGCTACTGTCATTGACGAACAACTGGTCAACCCCTGGAGGACAGTATTCGTGTAACTTCTGAATCTTCACTTCCCCAAAGTGAGCATGCTCCCCCTTTTTTAATTTTATTTTATTTTATTTTTTTTGAGACAGAGTCTCTCCCTGCTGCCCAGGCTGGAGTGCAGTGGCGTGGTCTTGGCTCACTGCAACCTCCGCCTCCCGGGTTCACGCCATTCTCCTGCCTCAGCCTCCTGAGTAGCTGGGACTACAGGCGCCCGCCACCACACCCAGCTAATTTTTTGTATTTTTAGTAGAGACAGGGTTTCACCGTGTTAGCCAGGATGGTCTCAATCTCCTGACCTTGTGATCCACCTGCCTCGGCCTCCCAAAGTGCTGGGATTACAGGCGTGAGCCACCATGCCCGGCCGCTCCCTTTTTTTTTTTTTTTTTTCTTTTTGAGACAGAGTTTTGCTCTTGTTGCCCAGGCTGGGATACAGTAGCGTAATCTTGGCTCACTGCAACCTCTGCCTCCCAGGTTCAGGCGATTCTCCTGCCTTGGCCTCCCAAGTAGTTGGGATTACAGGTGTCCACCACCACACCTAGCTAATTTGTTATGTTTTTAGTATAGATGGGGTTTCACCATGTTGGCCAGGCTGGTCTCGAACTCCTGACCTCAGGTGATCCACTTGACTTGGCCTCCCAAAGTGGTAAGATTACAAGCGTGAGTCACCACCCCCGGCCATCACTTTTTTTTAAAACAATGCTTAAATAGAATACTTTCCTGACTCCCTTCCTGTTCTAGGCACCCTCATCCCGATTGTACAACTCAGGAGGAGCCCCCTCAGCCTTGATCTGAACCTAAATTGGCTGAAGATTTGGTAACGTCACACCTGGTTGCTGTCTTATGCTCTGGGCCAACCCACGCCCTTTGGACTTTTTCACAAGTGGCTTTTCAGGCAGGACTTTTTGTATCTTGTACTTTTGGGGGGAAAAGTTTGCAATCTAAAACAGGACTTGACAAATGTATCTAACAGATTTCATCTTGATGACTAGTTCATCCTTTTAAACTATAAGGCTCTTTTTGAATTCTGATAGCCTTCTCACTTTTCTCATACCAACTGCAGGTTTAATGAGCACATCTGTAAGTCTTTTGAGAGCATCAAAAAATGATGCTTTCAAAGAGGACCAGCGTAAACACAGGGTTCTGTGACACCTACAGCAACTTCTCTTGAAATAAAAATAATAATAAAAATAATTCACAAAACCTCCTTGAATAAGGTTAAGTAGCTACAAGTCTGCTGATAATTGAGGCCTGGCGTCACATGGCTTCTTGAGATCAAAGCATACTTGTACTTGCATCCTTGCATTTTCTTGAGATAATGGATTTCCACTTTGCCTTTTCAAAACCAACTTGGTGAGAATCCATTCTTAAATTGTGCCAATATAAAGTTTACCATCATATAGATTCTGAAACCCATCCTTCATTTTTTTTTAAACCAAGACATTTAAAAATCTGGTTTTCTTCCTTTATTTCCTTCTTGATTTCTTGAGTTTTCCCCTGTGAATCTTTTCATGATGCCAGCATACTATTTATCTGGATACATGAAGTTGAACCATCTGAACAACCGTCTAAAATGGTTAGATTGTTTCTTTATCTCTTATCCCCACCCTGCCCCCACCCCAGTCCAGGGTTTCAGTTGGAGTTTAAGTACCCCTTCCAGTCTGAGCATTTCTTTCTGGTTCAAGACTGAAGTAAATGTCAATATCTCCAATGGTTCAAATTTCTCCAGTGGTTTACATTTTATCAAGTATACCATGCAAATGATATACTGAGTTATTATCTATTCTTTTGCCCCTATTTATAGATGAAGCAACTGAAATAGTGTACATGCTATGCAGTAAAGACTTAGTAAATATTGAATGGATGAATGAGTGAATGAATGAATGAATGAATGCTAGAGCACAGACCTGGGCTCGAAAGGCCAAATTTCATCCCATTAGTACTACTTTGCAAAGTGTTCCCATTCTGTCACCTGCTTACATCCCATCACCTAATTCGTGCACTAGAGCAGTTCTTTTCTTGCTCTCTGCCTTGCTCCAAACCTCAACATAAATGCACCATTTTATGAATAAATGCACATTTTTATTTTCTTCAACCTCTGCTTTTTCTGAGATATGATGCTCTGATCAACAGAAGGTCAAATGCAGCTTACAGACATGTTACTAGTGTTTGGAGGTGGAGAAAACAATGGAATGGATAATTCCAATTTTAAAAAACAATATTACCACTTTTTCGTCAATAGCTGCGTTCAGGGTCTGATCAGGTGTGCCATTCTCTACTGTACGTTATTTGTATAGGGTATGGCTAAATTTAATCTCAAATTTAAATTAGTTAAAATTAGCACAGTTTACAATTTAGTTCCTCAGTTGCAGTTGCCACATTTCAAGTGCTCAATAGCCACATATGTCCAGTGGTTACCATACTGGACAGCCCAGATAGGAAACTTTTCCATCCTTCCAGAAAGTTCTGTTGGACAGATCTGATATAAAACCTATGCATATGCATTCTCCATTAAATCGGTCAAAGGAGGAGAAGAAAGAGAATTTTAGTTTTGCATGGTGGTTGTTTTGAATTTCCCCAGTAGGATTAGACACTCATTTACCAGGTGAAATTCTTAGATCGGCTAGAAGAAAAATGATTGAGTTGTGTCTAAAAAAATGAAAACCCTCTGACATGTTGATATTCTAGGCTGGCGACTTTGCTTGTGGCATTTTGGAACAAGATTCAGAATCAGGAAAGTGTCACCTAAGTTGAAAGCTCCCCTGTAAGAAATGTCTCACTTTGACCTAAAGTAAGTGGAAGAGACAGGGGAAAGGAAAGAGAAGCAGCGGAGGATGTCTAAGTGATAAATGGTACCCTGTCATATCACATTTGACGTCTTAACAGGAAAAGGGGGCTGTTGAGCCAGATGTGGGTTAAGCGAGGAAGTTCAAACCTTTCTCTCGTCTTCATTTTGTTTTTCAAGGCGCAGGTTGAGTTCAAGAGCTCTGAGTTCAATCACAGCATATCCACTCTGTGGAGTAACAAGCCAATCAGGGCCAATGTGTTCTCCAAGGCAACCTCCGTCTTTGTCAAAGCAAAATGATTGCAGGCTTCCAAGCTGTTGAGAAATAGTGTAACCGAGAAGGAATCTCTCCAAGAGAAGACTGCCGTTAGCAACCACGTGATTCACACTGTAGCTACCAAAGTGGAACATGGGCCCCCAGACAGAGTGACAGCCATTAAAAACCTGCCCGACTCTCCCAGGGCCAGGAATGGGGGGAGCATCATCTATCAGAATCTAGGGCTCTAATCTTCATAGGTTGCTTTCCCCAAATAAACACCAAAGAGAACCACAGCGCTCTTTCTTTTAGGCACCGTCATTAGCCAAGCAGTCGCTTCTCTCTAGAGTTCGTTTTTTCTTCCTTCTGTTTTCCCAGGGTAACTTCCACATCACAAACACACTTATCTGGGCTTCGTATCAGCCTTAAAGATTCAGAGTATGGATCTGTTTTCCAGACTGACCGTCTGACTCTCTGACCTATGGTTGTTTACTCTCACAGAAATGCATAATGTGACCCTTGTTAAAACCACAATTAGTCTAAACCCTTTACAGGAAATATCGGTTTGGTAAGAAGAGAGATACTGTTAATAGGAAGTCACATGATTTGTAGGGAAAGCAGGCACATGCTGTTGAACGTACACAATTTCTACTTATCATTGATCTCTAGCTGCAGCTGCTGGCTGATGAATGCAAAGGTTAGCGTGCACATGTGCCCTTCATTCTGTTCAGGGAGGCCAGAGCAGAGGTGGCCCTGCCAGCCTGCCCTTCAGGGCAAAGGACTGCCAGGATGCAGCTCTAATCCCAGGTATGGGAGGTCTTAGGGGAGAGACTTCATTCCCAGATACTTCCTATCACATTCCTACTGAAATAATTGCCAGTCTGAAGGCTACCCCTGGCCATCCCAGATTTGGCAGACAACTTCCAATGTGCCCCCAAAGAGGTCACCCCACAGACAATGAAAGATTCAGAGTAATACCACAGCTGTAGGGTCAATGGCCGGTGGGTGTGTGGCTTTGGACTGGAATTGATGTGTTCTGCCATTTATTATACTAGCTCTATGGCCTCAGTCTTCCCATCTGTATAACAGAGCTAATGCCATGAAGAGCAAATTCTGTAGCAGTGGTACTACTGATCATCGTCAGAGAGGGTTTATTGAGTATTTATTCAGTTCCAGGCACACTACTAAAGATCCATGCATCACAAACCATGATAATGGAAAGAATATATCATAGCAGTTAATGCAAAGACAAGATATAGTCTAACCAGGCAGGTAGCTGTGGGAAAATTACTTAATCCTTCTGAGTTTTCACTTTTCCTCTGTAAAATAAAGATAATAATACCTCTCTCACACTGTATTGGAAAAATTGAATAAGCTAATGGTTAGCATGATTCGTGGACCTAAGAAGCATTCAGCACATGCTACTACTATTGTTAATTATTACTGTTATAGTCATCATACCCCTAAATATTCACAACTGCCCTTGAGGTAGGTGGTATTATTTTGTCTTATACATGAAGAAACTGAGGATTCACAGTCAATAAGCAGCTATTCTAATGAATATACATCACTTAGAATCTCAAGTGAAGGTCTGCTGGAAAAACCCAAATTGCATTTAGCCAATAGGAAACTGGGATTTTTGAAATATGGCAGCCATGATTAAATAGTGAGAAAATAAAGTGTCTAGTTGGTCCAAAGAGTTGTATGTTTAGGCAGTACTGTGCACACTGAGGGGTTCCATGCCAAACCTGTTGTTTGCCTGAGAAGGGAGTGTGCGTGTTACCTGGACCTTGAAGCAGAACTGTGTCTTATTTTTCTTTTGACTTTCCCCACATTCTGGGGGATTTTGTGAACTGCTCCATTATGGACTGAAACTGTGTCTGAGGGGAGTCTCTGAGCTCAAACAAGCTTGCTTCTTCTCATTCACTGAGTCCTCAGTGAGGCACCCTCTAGCTGATAGGACAAAAGCCTCCTCAAGCACAGAGCTTTACCGCTTGGAGCAGCTGGCCTTGAGCTATAGCTGTGTCCGTCATACACACTGAAACCCAACAAGGCTGCCCTTCCTTGCATCACCCTCCCTCTCCTCAAAAAGTGGAGCAGAAAGATCAAGACTCAGCCCCTGGAATGACTTAGTTTCACTTATTCAAAGTGACCACTCTTGACCACTCTTGATAAAGTTTAACTAAAGCCAGAGCAAATGTAACACAGTTTCATATAGAATTACCTGACTTGAGCTAGTCTGCTTATATTTAAAATAATTCCCGCTAGTTGTGTGTGTGTGTGTGTGTGTGTGTGTGTGCACTTCCACCAGATCAAGAGCCGTACTACTTCTGCTCCTACGTCCTCTGACCCTGCCCAGATCTTAGAAATACTTTTATAAGATAGTTCCACATTGGCAACTCATGCATACATGCAACAACAAAACTCAACTGCAAAGTAGACTGTCATACTCTGGGAGAGGGCTGACACACCCAAGGCAACATGCCAGTGCTCCCATTTCAGCATCATGGCAGGCATTACTAACAGATCACGACACTCAGAGTTCTTTTCAACACAGTTCTCTAGGTAGACACAACCAATCTATTAGGGTTGACAGGCAAGATGAGAGCTGTTTCTCTTTACCAAGTAAGAGAACATTCTTGTGCCAGGATTTGTGATTCAGAGATCTTACCCAAATTATCTTAAAATTATTGCCAATAATTAAGCTTTGTCACAAGCTGACTCTTGATCTTTAAAAAGCTGATGCCTCCTGGCAAAGAGAAAAGTTTATTCGATGGCACAAAATCAGAATAATGGTCCTGAGAGAAGGTCCCACTTTAATTTTACTCTAATCCAAATTAAAATAGGTATTGATGTTTATAAATGCCACCTAAAAATGTATACCAGTTGGCCCAGTAACTTAATTTCTGAGACTTTAAGCTGAAGAAATCATGTTAATTCAGGAAATTTCTTGTAAGAAAAAGCTGTTCATTTTGTCATTATTTAAAATGCCAATAACAGTAATCTAAATGCCCAACAAGAAGAAAAGAGATAAATTATTAGCATATACCCACTTGATTTACTATTATGCAGGAACTGAAATAATAGGATTACAAGATAGATACATTTCAAAAACATAAAAATACTTGGAAGATATAAATACATGTTTATAATGGTCATCTCTAAATGGTCAGATTATGGGTAAACATTTATTCCCTCATTCTACTCAGCATTATCTCTATTTTGAATAATGTGTGATTATTTTTCATTAAAATTGTTATTTCAGTGTAACATATAACATACAGAAAAATGCTCAAGTCATACAGTAACAATTTGATAAATTTTAGTAGTGTGAATACACCTTACATGCCTCAGATCAAGAAACAGAACAGCTTTGTTTCGCCAAGCTTGGTTTTAATTTTTATAATAATAGAATAAAAAATGAATGACTTTTTTCTATGGGCTTCCTTTTTTCTCTTAATATTTTGCTTTTGAACTTCATCTATGCTGTTGCATAGTAAGTCCACTGGCATTGCTGTATAGTATTCCATTTTGTGATTATAGCATTGTACGCTTGATGGACTTTTCCATTTGGGGGCTGTTTCAGTTGCCGTACTGCTGCAAATGTTCTTGTACATGGCTTTAGATTAACATGTGAGTGCTCATGGGTAGGAAGAATCAATATTGTGAAAATGGCCATACTTCCCAAGGTAATTTATAGATTCAGTGCCATCCCCATCAAGCTACCCATGACTTTCTCCACAGAATTGGGAAAACCTACTTTAAAGTTCATAAGGAACCAAAAAAGAGCCCTCATCACCAAGTCAATCCTAAGCCAAAAGAACAAAGCTGGAGGCATCATGCTACCTGACTTCAAACTATACTGCAAGTTTACAGTAACCAAAACAGCATGGTACTGGTACCAAAACAGAGATATAGACCAATGGAACAGAACAGAGCCCTCAGAAATAATGCTGCATATCTACCACTATCTGATCTTTGACAAACCTGACAAAAACAAGAAATGGGGAAAGGATTCCCTATTTAATCAATGGTGCTGGGAAAACTGGCTAGCCATATGTAGAAAGCTGAAACTCGACCTCTTCCTTACACCTTATACAAAAATTAATTCAAGATGGATTAAAGACTTACATGTTAGACCTAAAACCATAAAAACGCTAGAAGAAAACCTAGGCAATACCATTCAGGACATAGGCATGGGCAAGGACTTCATGTCTAAAACACCAAAAGCAACGGCAACAAAAGCCAAAATTGACAAATGGGATCTAATTAAACGAAAGAGCTCCTGCACAGCAAAAGAAACTACCATCAGAGTGAACAGGCAACCTACAGAATGGGAGAAAATTTTTGCAATCTACTCATCTGACAAAGGGCTAATATCCAGAATCTACAATGAACTCAAACAAATTTACGAGGAAAAAACAAACAACCCCATCAACAAGTGGGCGAAGGATATGAACAGACACTTCTCAAAAGAAGACATTTATGCAGCCAAAAGACACATGAAAAAATGCTGATCATCATCACTGGCCATCAGAGAAACGCAAATCAAAACCACAATGAGATACCATCTCACACCAGTTAGAATGGGGATCATTAAAAAGTCAGGAAACAACAGGTGCTGGAGAGGATGTGGAGAAATAGGAACACTTTTACACCGTTGGTGGGACTGTAAACTAGTTCAACCATTGTGGAAGTCAGTGTGGCGATTCCTCAGGGATCTAGAACTAGAAATACCATTTGACCCAGCCATCCCATTACTGGGTATATACCCAAAGGATTATAAAACATGCTGCTATAAAGACACATGCACACGTATGTTTATTGTGGCACTATTCACAACAGCAAAGACTTGGAACCAACCCAAATGTCCAACAATGATAGACTGGATTAAGAAAATGTGGCATATATACACCATGGAATACTATGCAGCCATAAAAAATGATGAGTTCATGTCCTTTGTAGGAACATGGATGAAGCTGGAAACCATCATTCTCGGCAAACTGTCACAAGGACAAAAAACAAACACCACGTGTTCTCACTCATAGGTGGGAATTGAACAATAACACATGGACACAGGAAGGGGAACATCACACACCAGGGCCTGTTGTAGGGTGGGGGGAGGAGAGAGGGATAGCATTAGGAGATATACCTAATGCTAAATGACGAGTTAATGGGTGCAGCAAACCAACATGGCACATGTATACATATGTAACAAACCTGCACGTCGTGCACATGTACACTAAAACTTAAAGTATAATTTAAAAAAAGAAAAAAAATAAAATAAAATAATGTATTCTCAACTAAACAAAGCAAAACAAAACAAAACAAAAAACATGTGAGTGTTTCTATGGGGGCTTATATCTAGGGGTGGAATCCCTGGGTCATAGTGTAATAACTTTTGCAATGAAAAAATACATAAAATTTTAAAATAATGAAACTCCATTTATTAAAGGCAAAAGCAGAGAAGATTGAAGAAAAGCAAAGAAGTTTCAAGAAATTCAGATTAAGATAGATGCAACCTATTTTTGTGTAACAATATTAAGAAAACTTAGAATAAAATTAAATAAAACAAGTAAACAGGAAAAATAAAACCAACTAAACTAATCAAACTAAAATTAGAATCTTAATACATACGAAGAAGTAACATTTACCTTTTTCTGGTGATTTTTTTTTGCTCTTTTTTTTTTCTCTCCAACAATACTTAGAATAATTGTTGCTTCACTGTTCTCCCAGGCAATGTCAATGTTTTGAAAAAAGTCTGCCGATGAGTTTCTCAAGATACATAAAATGAACTCTAAGGTTGATTTGTTTTCCATTGTGAAGGATTCATTGTTAACCCGCATTTCTCCTCACCCAGATCTCCAGTGCAGTGTTTGATATGTTCTGATTCTATCCATGTTTATGTAATAGCTTATGAAGTCCTTTGTTCTCCACCATGATGGTATGCTTCCCAGGTTCAGAGGCTGGGAACCACAAGGGAGTGAACTGGGATTTGCCAAAATGCAGCAGGACAGAGAAAAGGGTGATTATTTCATTGGGTGTAAACTACAGCAGATTTTTTTTTAAGTCTGTGACCCCATTTGTGATGTGATGTTAATAATTCCTTTTTGACTTGGTTGTCAGAGTCAAATGCCCAGGGAAGTGCCTGGGATGTGCATTAAATACCAGCTGTCATCATCACCTTCATCATCATCATTACCATCATCATTAATATATCATCATCATCTTCATCATCATTGTCACAGTCATCATCATCTTCATCATTACCATCATCATTAATATATCATCATCATCATCACCATCATTATCTTCATCATCTTCATCACCACCATGCCCTGTGGGAAAGAACATCAAGAACAAGTCAGTGTGAAATCAGTTGCTCTCTCTTATGGGAAGTGAGGTCTGTGTGTGAACTATCTGGGCATCTGAGATGTGCATGATGAAGAACAACAATGTGGAACTTTAGGAGGAGAGGAGGGATTCTCTCTTATTTGCTGGACAGAATCAATGCCTTGAACCCTTTTATGTAGGCAGAACTCTAAAGATCCTTCCCTGTGAATCACAGGAAATGTTCTATTCAACTTGAGGCATCAAACCTCCCTTGCTGAAAGAGATTGCTTCTTCTGAAAATAGCCATCCACTTTTTACACTGGATCCATGATTCCTTTACCTTGTGTAGTCATTTATTTATTCATTCATTCCTCCATCCATTCTACAAATGATCACCAAGAACTTACTCCATCTCAGCCCCATGTTATAAACTGAGAGTAAGAAGATAATCCTGGCCATAGAGGAACTAACACTCTATTCACAAGTGTGGACATAGTTGAGCTTATGTATACAACACATATGCACACATGAAAACTAACTCAGCCCTTTAGAGCGTGATCCTATATCAAGTTCATTTTCATACCCCACCCTGACTGTCTAACATATCTTGTCTATCTGGTCTGTTACGGACTGTGTTTTCTGAATTAATGAGATACTATAAAACACAAAGTCAGAGAGGAAAGAAAAGATGAAGAAAGAGAGAAAATAAATTACCTCTTCCAATTTCCCATGTCACTCAGCTTGCTCATTTCTCTATGAGAGCCGTCACTCTGTTTCCCCTAGAATTCTGTCCTTGATTACGCACCTGTCTCCCCTGGGAGACCACAGGCAGCCTTCTAGCCCCAGTGCCTTCATTGTGGCAGTCCTATAATAGCATCATCAATAAATCCTTGCTGAATGGATGCTTTGTAACTTGGAAATATTACCAGGTGTCACTGGAAAAGGATACAAAAAAGGGGTTCTTGCAAGAAGTAAGTAAGATGAAGAAATGAGGCTGTAGCAGCAATTGCCGCAATTCAGGAGAGAAATGTAGGGGAGGGAACAAAAGCAGAGATGAAGCTTGGAGAAGAGAAAGCAAATAGCAGAGAGGTTGGGAGGAAAATTCTACAGAGCTCATTGACCAGTTGGATGCAGAAGGTAAGATAAGACAGAACAGCCAAGAACAACACTGAGATTCTGAGCTCAGGCAACGGAGAGGAAAATGGCACCATTAATTCCAACTGGTTATGCAGGAAAGATATGATAATAATTGATGGAAAAAGAATTCCCAAAGAAACAAATAGGGGCACAAGTTAAGTAAGCACCAACCGGGATTGCCTTTGGGTCAAAGACCCCAGGGTACCTTCTACATGTTGTATTTTTTTACTTGTTTGATGTGTTTTCACTGACAAGGCAGAGGAGGAGACTGGGGATTTGATTGTTGGGCCAAACCAATGAGGTTAATAAAATAAATCACCCCAACTCTCAGGATCATGAGAATTAACCTAATTCTCTTGCTGTGTTGGACAATTTTCTTGGACTTACTAATTTATTCAGTTATTTATTGATTCCCATCTTAGTCTATTTTATGTTGCACATAGCAGAATACCTGAAATGGGGTAATTTATTTTAAAAGGAATTTACTTCTTACAGTTATGAAGGCTGAGAAGTCCAAGGTCAAGGGACTGCATCTGGTGAGGGCCTTCTTGCTGCTGGGACTTTGCAGAGTCTGGGGCAGCTCAGGGCATCACATGATGAGGGGGCTAAATGTGCTAGTTCAAGTCTCTCTTCCTCTTCTTATGAAGCTACCAGGCTGGATGCGGTGGCTCACACCTGTAATCCCAGCACTTTGGGAGGCTGAGGCAGGTGGGTCAGGTCAAGAGTTTGAGACCAGCCTAGCCAACATGGTAAAACCCCGTCTCTACTAAAAATACAAAAGTTACCCAGGTGTGGTGGCACATGCCTGCAATTCCAGCTACTTGGGAGGCTGAGGCAGGAGAGTCGCTTGAACCCAGGAGATGGAGGTTGCAGTGAGCTGAGATCACTCCATTGCACTCCAGCCTGGGAGACAGAGCGAGACTGTGTCTCAAAAAAAAAAAAAAAAAAAAAAAAAAAAAAAAAAAAAAAAAGCTACCAGTCCCACTCCCATAGTAACTGATTAACCCATAGATGAATTAATTCATTTAACAGGACAGAGCCCTCTTGAACCAATCACCACTTAAAGGTCCCACCTGTCAATACTACCACATTGGGGATTAGGCTTCAATATGAGTTTTGGAGAGGACAAACATTCAAACCATAGCAGTTCCCTATGCTACTAGGTGCTATTAAGGCAAGGATGAGGGAAAAGAGATGTAAACCCTCCCCTTACAGAGTTTATAAGAAGGGCTAGAGATATCCTATAACCACTCCTATTCTTTCAAAACAGCTAACATGAAAATAGCAAAGGTGAGGCAACCATGGTCCCGCATATATTTTACAGGAAATGCCTGGAGATGCTGTAGAGAGAAGGACTCTCTAGCAGAGATCTTGATGAGTAGGAGATAACAAAGGGCATTAAGAGGGGAGGAAAGAATGTTCTAGAAAGAGGCAAGTGCAGGCTGAAGGTCCTGCAGTGGGTGAGAAATAGGTGAGTATGAGTGTCTGAAAGGAAAATCAGTGGGTCTGGAGCTGAGAGGGTGCCAGGTGGGAGAAGCCAGTGGGGGAGGTTGGAGCTGAACCAGACAGGCTTTTGTAGGCCATGTAAAGTATCACAGAACCTGCTGGAGAGAGTGAATCACAGCTCCTGAGGTCAAACATGAAATTTCTCAATAACTGTGATTCACACGGATGGAGCCTGCTGGGGGCTCACCCGCCAGACCGCAGCCTGCCTCGTTGAAGTGGGTTATAAGATGCCCCAGTAGGTCACCACGGCTAAGACATTACAGCGTCTCTCCTAGGTTTTTCCAGTCTGATGTAATCTTTCTGAAGACTGGCAGCAGTTGCAAGAAAACTGTTTCAGATATCTATTAATATTTTAACATGCTTTTAAGAAAATTTGGCCTTTTGTCGAGCTGGTCTCTGAGCAGACATATATCACAGTCCAGGGTAGACATTACATTTATCCCTATTCAGTGGGTATATTTCTCTTGTTTGGATTCATTTTTTAACATCTATTATTTAAAAAATCTTTCTTCTCTGTTACATGTTTGTTCCTACAGCTCTTAAGCTTGTTTGCTCTGAGCAAGTTCCCCCATCCTCACCCTCTGCTCAAGGAATAGTGTGCTACTAATTCTGTGACCTGGGCTGGCAGAGATTACTGATCTCAAATTAAACAAAAAACCATCTGGAACCCAGAGGCCAAACCAGAATCTCTAGTAACAAGGAAATTATAGCCTGAAACTGGCATTGCACTTGGGGTAAAAAAAAAAAAAAAAAAAAAATTCCTCTCCCTTTTAACCAATATATATTGAAACTTTACCATGTCCAGTGATTCCACATGGCTTACCTGTGTGCAATCTCATTTTCTTTTTCATGGCCACACTTTAAGGTGAATGTTATTTATCCACATTTAACAGATGAGAAAAAGCGAAGCTTGGGAGAGTGAATAACCTACCAACAGGCAGAGTTTAAACTCCTCTCTGCCCAAGATCAGGATGTGTTCTGCCTCGGCAGAGCTGCATGCTGATTCTTTCAATCTCTAAAGCGAAGCTGTTGGCCTTTTAGAACATTCTAGTCTGAACGGTGGTGGGCCAAGCACAGGGGTTTCCTGGGTAACATGCTGCTGGGGTAGTTAGCAAAGAGGGAGACAGGACCTGAGGCCTGAATGATGAGGAGGAACTAACCATGGGAAGGGTTTTTAGGGAAAGGCATTTCACACAAAGGGAACAGCATATGTGAAGCCTCTGAGGTGGGAAGAAAGAGCTTGGTGTGTGTATGGAGCAGGAAGGAGTCCAGTGTGCCTAGAAGGCGATTTGGAAGGAGGAAAGGCAGTCAGGGGATGGGTCAAGAGGGCCTAGTTAGTCATTCGAGAAAGTGGATGTATTTCTGAGAGTGGTAGTGTGGCAAGTTGAAGATGAGCACATATTTCTAGACACTCGTCCCATTGAGAGGAGGCGTCTGTGTCCCCTGCTCTTGAATCTGGGAGGCTCTGTGACTCCTTTGACTAGTACAATATGGCAGAGGTGATGCTATGCCAATTTCTAATCTGACCTCAAGGGAGGGTCACTTTCCACTTCTTATTTTGAAACACTACTCTGGGAGCCTCTGTGTAAGAAGGCCAACTACCCTGAGACCACTATGTTGAAGAGGCAACAGTCAACAATTCCATCAGGGCCCAGCCCTCCAGGCACTCCCACCAAAACACCAAAAAAAAAAAAATGTGAATGAATGTTTGGGGCCCTCCAAACCATTCATCCACCATCTGAGTACCCTTAAGTGACTTCAGTCAATGCTGAGTGAAGCAAGAAAACCAGCCAGCTGAGCCATGCCTGAATTCTTTATCCACTAATTGAGAGCTACAATAAAATGGTGGTTCTTTTAAGCCACCAAGTCTTGAGGTGGATTGTTACATAGCAACAACACCCAGAACAAATGAGAAACCACAGAAGACGTCAGGAAGGTGTGGTTCGGTGAATATGCTGGAGAAAGACAACCACACCACTACACAGACAGTGAATTATGAAAAGGGAGGGTGGGGGCAGGGGTGAAATTGGGAGGTGGATTCTGGAGTTTATTTCAGTTATGTAGGCAAGAGAATGAGCAGGTAACAACAGAGACGGAGAAAAGCAGTGGATCTGATATATGCTTTGGAAAAAATAAAACCAACAATCAGAACTCACTGATGGATTACATGTGAGATGAGCTAGTGGAAGGGATGGAGGATGATCCCTCTGTACCCTAGGATCCTGCAGAGGTGGCACTGCTTTTCTCTGCCTCTGCAAACACACTGGTTCCACTTCAGTTATGCTCCTTATAGATGCTCATATCTTTAGAGAGAACAGATGTGTGCTCTTGCAAGAGTCACAAGAATGGTTTTGTTGCCTTTGAGTAAGCTTAACTGTGGGAAGGCTGAGATCTAGTCAGAACCTCTGTGAGTCCAGAGGTGTCATAGGCAAAGGACCACCCAGCACATTAAGTGCTCCAGATTTTGGGGGTGTTTTAAGGGATTTTGGTCTATGATACCAGCTTGCTGCTCTTCTTTCCTTGCCCACTGTAACTAACAGGAGATAACCTCCAGTCTCAACCCAAAGAATAACTCAAAAAACCAATTACCTTTGAATGTCATTTCTACACCTGTTCCTAACCCTGAGAAAAATTATTAAGACTACTCCTTTTACCACCTAGAAACTCTCCAAGTATACTTTAGCCAATTAGCCTCCTGGGGAAGGAGACTTTTAGAGGAGAGAAACATCCTTTGCCTACTCAGGTTGACCCAGTAACTAGTCATGTGAGTGAGTGAAGCTCCTCTTATTGGCATTTTATTTCAGGCTCCCGGTTGAGTCACCTCCGTGACATTTCTACTGAGTGCCAAGAAAAGAATAGCTACAGAAGGTTGGGAGAGGCCCTCTGTGGGGGAAGCCATCCTTGAGAATTTGGAGGCCTGGTGTTTGGTTTAATTTCAGTCCCCTTTCCAGTTATTTCTTCACTCTAACTGGGCTCAGGTCACAGCCATCTGCTCTTGTCCAAAGTTTTCACGATTTGAGATTGGCCAGAATGCCACTGCATGCCAAGCCTTGAACCCATCATGGAGGGTGGAAGCATTAGCAGTGGCTGAGATTTGTAAGATTGCCCTCTGGCCCTACACATTAGGCTGATTTCTCAGTGAATCCTTATACAAATGTTGTGAGAAGCCACAGCACAATTCCCCCAAAGTTGCTTCCATCGACACAAACTCCCAAGTCTTGGGTGTCAGAATCCCTGAGGCTGTGGCAGGAAAAATAAAGAAAAAGAAATATTTGCAAACAAACAGATGAGCTAAGTGTCATGAAAATCTACCTCCTTTCTCTTAGTATATGTGAAATCAGAGGATCCTCCTGTCCTCAAAGAGAAGAGCAGAACTAGTTTTCTGGGATGCAGTAATGTTTGTCTAAACATAGCAGATAGTGTCATGTAATAGAAAAATATGGGCTTTGGGATGAGACAGGCTTGAAGCTGACTCCCAAGAATCACTGGGGTCACTAGAATGTGAGTTCCTTGCGGACAGGGATCCCGTCTGTGTTGTTCCTTCCTGTAACCCAGCTCCCAGCACATAGGGAAGGCTCCCAAATCATTTAATGGATCTATTAATGAATACAGCTTTTCTACTTACTGGCTACAAAACTCTGGGCAACTAACTTCTCTAACTTCTAGTTGCCTCATTTGCAAAGCTGATTGTGAAGAGTTGATAGTGAGGCTTAAATGAAAGAGAATTAATTTATTCAACAAACATTTCTTGGGCTCTTGCTGTGTGTCCAACACTGTTCTAAGAGCTGACCACCCACCAAAGAACAAAGCGGATAGACATCCTTGCCCTCACGGAGCCTGTTCTCTGGTAGGAGGAGACAGCAAAACAACAAAAAACAACTTATGGTATATAAAAGTGTGTGATTTCAAATGAAGAAATATAAGCAGGAGAAAGAGACAGAAAGTCAGAAGTGGAGGGTTCCAATTTTAAATTGGAACTAGAGGTCAAGGAAGGTTTGAATGGGAAGCTGACCTTTGAGCAAAGACTAAAGGTGTGAAGAGTTAGCTGTGGGATATCAGAGGGAAGAGCATTTGCAAAAGTCCCGAGGCAGGAGTTTAAGCAACACATTCCAGAAATATACACTAGCCATTGTCATTGAAGTGAGCAGAGTGAAGGAGACAGAAGTTGAAGTTGAAGCAAAAGAGCACCAGGGCTCCTACTGGTGGGGACTTGGAGGCTGTTTGGAAAGGACATCAACATTTACTCTGAGAAAGGACATAAGGTTTTCAGTAACATTATGCACAGTAGACACTTCACAAATACTTCTGTGTCCCTTTTGTGAAAAGTGACCAAGATCACTTTTCTCATAGTCATATACTAAAAACCACTGCAAATCAGATGGATCACTCTGTAAAATACACAATCGTAGACCCGTGGAACATGAGCTCTAGAAAAGGCCTCAGATCTTTTCCTGATTGTTCAAAATTAGATAATGTCTACCCTCTGTGGCTAATGCCCTGCCATTACCTTCTCTTATGGATGATTTCAAGCAGATAGAATCTGGAGCCTCAAGAGCCAGGGATGTGGCTCATTCAGGAGCTTTTATGTAAGGATATTCAGTGAAATGAAAGCATCAGCTCCCAGACGCGATGAAAACTAGCCTGGCCCTCCAAATAATTCCCAGTCTGTGCAATCTCTGTGCTCCATTCTGGAGCCAAAGATCCTCTCTTCCTGCCTCTCTGGAGAGCAGGGAGCAGCATGCAGACGGGGAAGCCTCTAGCCTCTGAGCAGGCCTTCAGGGAGCTGTTCAGCCAGGATCTTTCTGCACTTGTCACTCGTTGAACAAATGGAGTTTGTGATGACGTAGAGCATCCCAGATTGGTCTGGTCTAGTGTCTGGCCATTTATTTTCTCTTTGGAAAGCATTTCTCCTCTGGCAGAGCCTGTGAGATCTGAAGGACCAAAAGAAGAATCTGGTTATGCACAGGACTTGCAGAAGCAGAATAAAAGAAATATGGAAGTGTCAGGTCATTGAGTGCCTACAATGTACTAGGCTGTTCATTCACTCAGTCTGTGCTGTCCAAGATGGTAGCCACTAGGCATGTGTGGGTACTTACGTGAAATTTAAATTAACTAGAATTAAGTGAAACTGAAAATTCAGTTCCTTGGCCACACTGACTACCTTTCCAGTGCTCAGTAGTCACATGTAGCTACCATCTTGGACAGCACAATAAAAAACATTTCCATCACTGCAGAGAGTTGCATTGGACAGTGCTGCCATATATCCCTGAGTCACTTAGTATGTAGTATCCTCCAAGAACCACCACTTGACAAGCATCAGAGGACTAAGCTATAAGGGTCATGTCTTGGATTCAAAGCCTAGACCCCAGTGAATTTGTTCTGACTGCAGACAAGTAGCCCTGTAACGGTGTCTTTCTGCTTTCTTGCTTCCTTATTTCTACAGATGGTAACTGCAGTCTTTCAAACCAAAGAAGGTAGGCCCCTTCCCCTGTGACTTCAACCAGCAGCTGTCATAAGACAAGGTACAACTGATCAATAGCAAGGGTATCATTTGAGCAGCCAGGCTGAGAGAGCTAACTTCCTCAAAGAAGTGGGTGTTCAGCAAAGTCAAGCACCCATAGAATTGACAGAAAGAGGAGAACTGTCTCAAATGGAGGAAAAACTTGATTCAAAGTACGGAAGATTTCCGTGTGTATATGGCTCATCTTTGCACCCTCAGGGAGAATCAAAGTGCCGTGAAAAACAAATGATAGATTAGGGGTAAATTATTCTTCGTCACACAAAAGGAAAAAAAAACCTTGAGTTTTTCAAAGCATTTTCATGAGGAGTTAGGAGCAACAACAATGGCAACTAATATTTACAGATGGGGCACTTGCTATATACCAAGCCCTGAGATACACACTTTCAATAGTCTTTGATACATGATTTCATTAGCTCTTGGTAGGAGTTTGTATGGCCAGAGTCTGTATGAGCCAGGCTATGCTGCAACAACAAACAATGCCCCAATCTCAAGGGCTTAAATAAATGTTGGCTTATTTCTTGCTCTGATCATGGATCAGCAGAGGTCTCTAGCACCATACGTTTCTCACTTCAGAACCCAGACTGATGGAGAACCCCCATAGGGAGGTTCCTAGTTATCATGGGAGAGATAAAGAAGTCATGGCAAATTGCATGCTGACTCTCAAAACTTCCACCAGAAATCCACATCCTTCATTTATGCTCAAGTTTCCTTGATCAAAGTAAGTCACACAGGTACACCTAACTGCAAGGGATGGTAAGGAACTATCTCATCATGTGTCTAGAAGGTCAGGAAATCTTAAATATATGAGAGAATTCCTAACTGTAGGTTCTTATTCTAATTATTAACTTATTACTAATGAAACTAAGACTTAGAATGGTTATGAGAATGACCCAAGGTTACAAAAAAGTAAGAAGACAACTTGGAATTTGAACATAGGCAATCTCACCTACATTTTTAGGCTCTAACCCTGCCTATACTCTTGACTGCTATCCTCTACTTAAGTTTCCAACAGATATTTGGTACCATGACAGTCTAGTGTGCAGTTACGTTTTAAAGGTTGAATCTTGTAGAGCTGAATATATTTTACATATTCTTTTTCCTTGGGGTTTCAGATGTCCTGATACTATTCCCAGGCTTGGGCAAAGCTTGCCACCATGAGAATGACAGCTGGTTAACCAGGGGTGTTCTTAGCAACAGAAAAACAAATATTAGTTTTTCTGAATAAAAAATACAACAGAAACTTAAATGGTTTTATAGAGAAACCAAGACAAAAAGGCAGTCTCAAAATTAAACATGTGCTTGCAAAAATGTATGTCATTTAGATGTTGACTTGGCAAGTAGATCAGACCGCAATTGGCGAAGGAGTCATAAAGTCCAAACAGGTCAGATGATCACATACTAATGAGTTCCTAAACCCAGTCCACATGTTTTCCGGAAACACATTGTCTTAACATTCTTCCTTGGAAGCAGTGCATGTTGAATAACTTTGAAGGAACATGGCACCTCGTCAACAATTTCATGGTTCTAGGAAACTTCACCCCATGAGATATTTGGCCTCTGGATATTTGTGGCATGGTCTTGAAGATGGGGGACATAAAAACATTTTGATCTCAGCCAATTCAGCCTAGCTCAGCCAGCTCCCAGCCAATCCACATACATACCAGTGAGCCCTGTTGAGACCAGGTCACAGACCCCTACACCCCAATCCCAGGAAAAAAAAAACAAACACAAACTTGCAAGGCCAATAGCATTTCCGAGAGGAGAGCTAGGGCCCCTCATCACAAAGTGCAATGAAGAGATCATCCACCAATCAGTCACTCCTTTAACAGTTGCTTACCAAATTCCATCTATATCCCTGGCACTGTACTAGGCTCCAGAAATTCATCAGTAAACATCAGCAGCGTTGTATTTGTTTTCAACTCCACTTTCTAGTCAGGAATCCAGCCATCAGTCTGGTAAACACACACATAGAAATGTGAAACTACAGCTGCTAAAAGTGCTACATGGAGAATTATATAGTTGTGAGAGTGCACGATAGCAGGGCCTACCTATCGTGGGGAAAAACATAGAGCAAACTTACCAAAGAAAATGACATTTAGATTGAGATCTTCAGGGTTCTAAAATAATTCACTGGAAGCACATTAGACGGAGACAATTCCAGTGCCTTGGGCTCCTATACTAGTAAACCCAAAACCCAACTCAATGTAAATAGTAAAGTGAAGTTGAAGTTTAACCAATCAGAAACCATCAACTAAGTTCTAACTAGGGACTTCCCACTTTAACCAATTACATTTTCTTTTGTCTTGCCTCTACAAACACTTCCCTTCCCACTCCTTCAGTGGTGCCCTGAACCACTTGTGTGTGATGCAGCCCAACTCTTGAATCACTGAATGCTCAAATAAACTCAGTAAAATTTTAATGTGCCTAAGTTTATCTTTTAGCAAGTGTATTTATAGAAGAGTTTAAACTGGGTTTCTGTTTCATTCTACACATGCAATAGTTCTGCCTCTTTAAGGGTCTAACACGGGAAGATCCCACAGGCATAGGACCCTGCCTTGAAGATTCTCCTTGTAGGTAATTACGTCAGCACTTCTATCAAAATCATATGAATGCTCTCAGAATGGCACATATACACATGGATTCTGGAAACTGACACCACGAAACTGTTCAATTGGGAGCATGCTAACTTTTTGCTACATGATTTGTAGTTGGAAAACAGTGTGCTCTGTCAGGGACCATGTTTGATGTGTGTCCATGACTTCCTGTCCCCAGTGGATTAAAAACCAAACTCTTCTTCATCCCCGTTCTGGGACCGTTCCTCTTCCTGTGGTCCAGGTTCCAGTGGATGACACTGCCACCCACCCAGCCTGGCTGGAGCATCTTCTGTGTGTCTCCTTCTGACTAGTGACAGGTGCGGGAAGTTGTGTCCAAAAACTAACTCACAGTCAATGTCCTTTTTCCATCTAGGAGCTGCTACTTTAATTTGGTCCCCCAACTTTGTTGTCTGTGTCACTGGTCCTTCCCTACCTTGAGTTCCATTCCTCCCACATCATCCTCCACATTCTTGGATTCGTTTTCTAAAATTCACATCCCCCACAGTGATTACTATGCTTAACATTTGCCCTGGGCTCCCTCCTACAGGATGTATAAGCTCCCAATTAGGGCATGTAGGACACTACATGAGCTCCTCTCACCAAATTTCCTATCCTTATCTGTCTTGACACAGACAAGGATTAAATTAAAGTAGCAGCTCCTGGGTGGAAAAAGGAAGTTGCCTTTGAGTTGCTTTTCGGGCACAACCTCCTGCATTTGGTCACTGGTCAGAGGGAACTGCACAGAAGAGGTCCCAGTCAGGCTGGATGGGTAGCATCTCCACCGTCCCTCCAACTCAACTACCCTTACACTGAACTATACTGAGCTATTTGCCATCCAACATAGATCACACCCATTCACCCTCCAGATATTTGTTCCTTCTCTTCCTTCACTTAGATGTCCTATATCTAGTCAACTCTTAATGATCCTTTACAACTCTTACCAAGTCTCCTATTTTGAAGTCTTGCCCCAGTGACCCCATTCACTGAGGTCAGAGTTAACCATTTCTTCCTTTATGCTTTCAGGAACTTTATCAGACCTCCATTTTGGTACCAATTTCGTTGTATTGTAATTACAGATGCTCTGGACTTAACATGGTTTGACTTAATATTTCAACTTTAAAATGGTGAGAAAGCAATACACATTCAGTAGAAACCACGCTTCCAGTGCCCATCCAACCATTCTGTTTTTCACTAGTAAGTAAGTAAGTAAAGTATTCAATAAATTACATTAGATATTAAACAACATATTATACAATTGGTTTTGTGTTAGATGATTTTGCCCAACTGTAGGCTAATTGAAGTGTTCTGAGCATGTTTAAGACAGGCTAGGCTAAGCTATGATGTCTGCTAAGTTAGGTGTATTAAATGTATTTGTGACTCACTATATATTCAACTTAGGTTGGGTTTATCAGGACATAACCCCATTGTAAGTCAAGAAGGAGCTGTATTTTAATATATCTCCTCCACAAGAGCTGAGCGATCCTTAAGAGCAGGGACTTTCCCCACCCCCCTACCCTTGTTCATCTTTGCATCTCTGATTTCTATCATGAGTTAGGAGCTTTCTCAATGATTTTTAAATTAATAGATATTCAGATAAACAGATTTGCCCCTCTTCTTCCCTGCATGTTCCCCCCCTTTTAGGGACCCATATCAGGTGATAAAGAAAGAAGTGAGGGCAGTTTCTGAAGCTGAAATGACTTTGCAGTTGAAATATAGTCCCTTATGCAAGGCTAACAGGATTACTAGTTGGATAGTTAATCATAAAAGAAGCTTAATGCAGGGAATCATAAAAAAAGGATATACCAGTATATAACAGGCATTTTGCTTTAACTTAAAAGATATAAATGCACACTTTCTTACTATTCTCTTTTGTAAGAGCAAAGCACTTGCTTTGAGCAGGTCTGGAGTAGAGCACCAGGTGTTCCCATTGTGGAAACCACACCCATACTGCTTCATCTGCAACTTGGAGTTTCACTTTCTTTAAAGTGTAGAATGTAAAGGTATGCAGTCTAGAATTTTATCAATGGGTTTTTAGAGGCTTATTAGATCTAACTTGACTACCCCGTCTGCCTTTGACAAGTCTTTCAGAATATTCCGTTTTCACTGCAGCAACCTGCTCTTCGTGCCTATAGTTCATTCGCAACTTTCTAAATCTGTTTCCTCATGAGAGGACTATTTCTAATGGTGACTAATAAATAACTTTAATGTGCTGAGAGCTTTTCATGCACTGAGGGCTGAGTCAAACATTCGACATGAAGGATCTCAATTTAACCTTCTCAGCAACAACAAAATTCATTGAGGCAAGCACTGGGATCTCCCTCTGAAAAGTGGGGGTAACTCGTATATTCAAGGCATCTGTGTGTGTCAGCGAGAGCAATACTGTTACTAAAAAGCCTGAAAAAGCATAGTCATCAGATGCTGCACGCTAACACAAACACTCTAACACAAACAACAGACAAGCAAACAAACAATATTTATGTGCACTGACTATGTTCAAGGCATTTGTCTACATACTTACCTTGGATTAACTAACTTAATTCTCACAATACCTTTATAATGAGGTAAGCACTGTGAATAGCACCATTTTGAAGATTAAGGAAACTGAGGCATGATATCACAGATAGGTAAGTGGCCTCCAAGTCAACCTGGGATTATAAACCCAGAGAGTTTTATTTCAGAGCCCACCTTCCTAATCCAGTTCATCTTCAAATGGGGTTAACGATCTCTGTCTTGGCAGAATTTGGGAAAGGATTTAACAAAATAGCAATTATTATAGTCAAATGCTTGCCACCCAGTGCTTGCAGGACAAACGTTCTGTCTGCTCCTTTCCTTTCCTTTCTACAGACAAGATGCCTCTCTGTAACAGCCTGGACTTTAAGCATTTATCTGACTTTTTCTCGATTCCTTCATATTCTCCCTAAAATAAAAATCAAAACAATGTCAGCTTGTGGGGGATTCAGCACCGAACTTCACCTTGGGAGATGAAAGACCACCAAATCTGTATATAAAACAACCAAAAGAAAAAAAAACCAATCTTTCGTGCAGACGTAATTTCTCTTGAAAGGTGACACAGTCCTTTAAAAATAGCTATGGGCTCCATTGTGCAAAGACAGTGACAGAGACTGACAGCTTTTAGAGAGGTGTAATGTTCCCAGGCAGCCGGCTAGCATGGCTCACCCAGATAGAGATCCGTCATTCAATCCGGGGGAAAGTGCTAAATGTTAGAGGTTAACCTGCTATGTTCTTATTACTAATCAAACTTCAACACCATGCCTCAGCCTCCTTAGGCCCCTATAAGGAAATGATACATTATTGAGAAGTTCCAACCCAGGCACCTTGCTTCACAGGTGCAGCTTGTTCCCAATCATTGGTGATTTCCACATCCTTCCTGGGTACACCTAGAGGAGGGACTCAGAGTGCTCTCCATGGATGCTGGTAGATTAAAGTTAAATGACAACCCATGTGGACACCCTCAGCTCTCCTAATGAGGGGACAACAGAGAGGGGCACAGATCCCTGGTGTCAACTCCACCAGAAAAGTTCTCCCTGCATATCAAGGCAAAGTTTATCTGTACTACTGATTCCTGTTCCTTGGGAACCCAAAGATTTTGAAGGTGAATAGTGTGATTTGGGCCTTTCTTTTCATAGTGTCAAAGGAATAGTGTGTGCTGGAATGTGTTTAGTAACATAAATATTGCTGGGGGGTGAAGGAGTCTTGATTCGTAGCTTTTGCCAATTTCTGTGGTGTAAATGCTCCTACCATGGCCGACTTCCAGCTAACAACACAAAGTCCCTGAACATGGAGTTAGAAAGAGATGTTCACAGTCAGCTTTCATGGCAGGAGCAACTCCAGTTAAAGGGTAGGTAGATGCTCCTGAGTCATCCCTGCTGGGTGGGCTATGATCCTATCTGTAGGGCAGGCCAAGTCCTTGTTCCACTCCTTCTTGCAGTGGATCTTGCCGCTTCTCTGAAAATGATTGAAATGCCCACAGCACTTGCAGAGCAAGCAGAAAAGACAAAACTTGTCCTACCCTGACCTCTTATAGACTGAGTCTGGTTGACCCTCATGCTCTTGGCTGCAAAATAAAAGAACTCAAGTCAAATTGGTTAATTGCTGTTGAAGAAAAATGAGATTATTTACCCTAAGCCTATGGCTATCCACAGATCTCATTGAATGTCTCCCAACAATCCTAACAGGTAGTGTCATCACCTGCAAGTTACAGATGAGAAAAACAGGCTCAGAGACGGCACTGGCACACAGCCACATGACTCATGAGTGGTAGAGCTGGGATTTAATCTCAGGTCTGTCTTGCTCCAAAGCCATGCTTTTGTGTATTGCCGTAATCCAACCAAACCCAGTAGGGCATCATTTAAGGGCATTTGGGAGGCTGCAGATGGGAAACAAGGCCAGGTGAGATTCCCCAGGAGAGCAGAGACAGGTGGATAGCAGAACATGAGGCAGGACAGAGGGGAAGGGGTTCAAAAAGATGGGGAGAGCAATCCAAATATGTGAACATCATTTTCAATGGAGCCCATCACAAGCTTGGAAACAGGGTGGCTAATGGAGACAAGAATGAGACATGATAGCTCTCTCATGGACAGCTCCCTGTGTTCCAAGGCAGCCATTCCAAGAGTCAGGAAGTCCTTCCTTGCATGAACCTGAAAGCCACCCCACCCTCTTCCCCAATTGCTCCAGGTTCTTCCCTCTGGTCCTACTCAGAACAATACTCCCCATGCCAAGAGCATTCACCCATGAATGGCAATCCTTCACATGTTATAAGATGGCAATCTAATATCCCATGGCCTTCTCTTCTCCAGGTTAAGCTCCTTCCACTTCCCAGCTGTTGCACATGTGAAACAGTTGAGTAATCCTTCATCATCACTGTCCCCAGCTTCTGGACTCCCTCCTGAATGCCAGTGTCTCTTTTAAGATGAAAGATGAGTTGTTGGTGTGGTCCTACTCTGCACTTACCTCAGAAGAAAGCTGGGGTCTGCTTGACCCCCAAGCTCTTGGCTACAAAGTAAAAGAACTCAAGTCAAATTGTTAATCAAAAAAATCAGATTATTTACCTTAATTGATTTCCGTAATGATTTAATTGTTATCTGAATTCTCCTCCTTAGCTGGGTGCATTCAAAGAACAGCAATTGGGGCTGGCTTTGTCCCTCAGCATAACCCACTCCCTGGCATGTCTTGATAGAGCACATTAAGCATTAGCTTGATGTGGCTGAGTGGATGATCTGATCAACTTTGAGGACAGTGCATTAGACTATCTTATCTTCTAGAATATTCTTCAGCAAAAAGTCATCTGAAAATACTGGCATCCCATCAGAGAAACTTTTTGCTGTGCCCTAGAATTTCCTGTTAAGGCACTATTAGCAAACGCCTCTGTAAAAGCTACTGGAACTGACATCACCATCACTTCCTGAGACCTCGTGCAAAGATGTGCCCTTTGGGGTACATGGCAACAAGATGACCTGGTTTAGGAAAGAAAGTGATGGCGTAAAACAGCCTTCTGATTCTCCATTCCCCAGCTACTGTGGGGCATGCATATGGAATGATGTATGGAGAGAGAAAGATTTGGAATCTGGGGGCATGTTATAGTTCCAAACCCATGCCAGCTTCCGGGGATGCCTGTGGATCTGGGCACTGGCTCCTTTGTTGTCTAGATTCTGCCTTATTCAGGCCTCCCTGAAAAATATGCATTTTGTGGAGAGCCTTTCTGTTCATTCCGGCACTCTAAATCTGTGGCCTTCCCAAGCAGCCAGGGGTGGCCTGTACCGAAGGGCCTCATCACAGCACTGACCACTTCTGCCAGGAAATTTCCCTCCCATCGGAGCAGCCTCTGCAGCATCCTGTTGGCCTACCTCAATCTCAGACTCCCCAGGAATGGGCTCCAGAGCAAGAATCTGAGAGAATGAGGTGGGAGACTGGGGCTTTAACATTGGAGAGGCATACTTGTTTCATGATAAAGCCAACAGTCTTAAAAGTTAGTGCTCACCATCATCTCAGCAGCCGGCACTTCATGCCTTCCTGCATGTCAGGTATCTGTAAAGCCCTCACCTACATTATCTTTTTACATCCTCGCAAAAAAGTAAAGTGACTTGTTCACATTTTGTGAGCAGCTGCCAAGGTGGGATCCTTCACTGCAGTCTCACGCCTCCCATCCACGCTCCTCTATCTACCCTGCCCCGGGAGCTATCCAGGCCTGGCTGGGATCTCTGGAGTTGGGTGGGATCAAGTAGCTCTGCTGGGCTGCCTTCTCCCAAATGAACGTCATCAAAATTAAAAATAATCACAGCTAGGGGATCAGTGAACGAGGGAGGTCAAGGGTCAAGCTGCCTGTCCAGTTCTCATCCCTTGGAGGTCATACTGATGTACCTTGGAATGTAGCAGATCCTAGCAATCATCACCCTGTAGCCTGCTGGGGTCGAGGAACTCTCGACCAGGACCCCCCAGCCCCAGAGCCGAAGCCAGTGAGCAGGATTTGCCTCCTCCAGAAGTCTTAGCTCTCATTACATCGCCAGTATTTGAAAAGCAAACAGTTTAGCTGTTGGTGGGAAAAATTCCTGGCCCTGCTGCCCTTCCTCTGGGGGCAGGGGCTGTGATGTGCCGTGACTGTGCCTGGGAACAGCTGCTTTGAGTTCTTTCCATATCCCTGCAAGGTACTGCTTGGTGGCAAAGTGGTGCTGGACACAAGTTGGCCATTCAAGTACCTTCACACGGTGTCCAAGAGCAATGCTGGTTGTTCTGTACTTGAACTAAGTGTCTTGCTGGCAGTCCCAGCCCGGATCAGGTTAGCCCCTGAGATGCTGGCCACCTTCAAGGTCAGCAGACCCATGCAAGGGGGATACATCTATGCTTCTGTACATGAAACATGGAGGACCTCAGATGTCAGACACTGGGCAGGGAGGAGAATGGGATCTTTTGTGGTTGGTAGGGGAGACTGGCCCATCATTCCCTCATCCAAATGCTATTCCCTGAGTAGTCACCTGGGCAGCATCTAGTAACCAGTCCAAGCAGTGCCAATGCCTGCTAGGGAACCGATGGTGAGGAAGACAGCCATGGTCCCAACCCACATGATGTTCAAAGACAGAGACTGACAGTAATTAGCAAAGTCACTCCAGTAACTGCAAACTTTCCCGGATGCAAAGTGCAGTGAGGATTGACCCAGCAGGGTTCCCATATCTGTCAGGATCTAGAGGCACAGTGCTCAGGAGACTTTCAGGGACCCAAAAAGTATATTAGTTTTTATTTCTGTTTTGTTTTGTTTTGTTTTTTGAGACAGTGTCTCACTCTGTTGCCCCAACTGTTGGCTCACTGCAACCTCTGGCTGCCAAGTTCAAGCAACTCTCCTGCCTCAGCCTCCCGAGTAGCTGGGATTACAGGCGCCCGCCACCACAGGCCAGCTAATTGTTGTTGTTGTTGTTGTTGTTGTTGTTGTTGTTGTTGTTGTTGTGACAGAGTCTTGCTCTGTTGCCCAGGCTGGAGTGCAATGGCACAATCTCAGCTCGTTGCAACCTCTGGCTCCCAAGTTCAAGCAATTCTCCTGCCTCAGCCTCCCAAATAGCTGGGACTGTAGGCGCATGCCACTGCATCCAGCTAATTTTGTATTTCTAGTAGAGATGGGGTTTCACCATGTTGGCCTGGCTGGTCTTAAACTCCTGACCTCAGATGATCCAGCTGCCTTGGCCTCCCAAAGTGCTGGGATTACAGGCATGAGCCACCATCCCCGGTCTAGTTTTAATTTATTTTCAATTAAAAAGAAAACATGAATAGAATAATAATGCTTAGATAGTAATAAACCCAGCCTGGACTACATTCACCTTCATACAAGTTGTCAAATATAATTTTTCATGCCTTTTAAGGGAGGAAAAGACCCACAAGTGCAAGCATTTATGGGGCCCAAGAGCAACAGCATGTGGCCTTGGACCCAGGTGTGGTCAGAATGTTTGTAGGGTGGACTTATTTTATACAGAGGTTCAGGAAGATGTCCCTGCAAACATAATAACTAAACTGAGAGCCAGTGGAAAGTGGGGGGAAGTGTTTCAGGCAGCAGCAACAGCACATCCAAAGGCCCTGTGGAGTGAATGGTGAAGGAAAGAGCTGGGCAAAGCAGAGACAGGAGAGCATGCTCAGAGACCTAGGGGTGTGAATCTTCAGGGAATACAGCTCCAGGCTGCAGAAATGTGAGTCACAAGGTTGAGGAGATGGAAGGCACGTGAGGAAGGCAGGGAGAAAGCCTCAAGCATGCTTGATATTAGGCTGGGAAGGTTCTATAGCAAGAATAAGAGATTTAGACCCAGAAAAGCGCTGCATTGGTTTCAACAAAACCAGGCCACCAGACTGCATCATGACACCCGAGATGATGATGTGGCCTGTGAATTTCCTGCTCGTTAGTTAAAATTGAGAGCTTGCAAGAAAAACTGGGTTTTAGAGAGCTGTGTCGCATGTGTGATGGCAGGGTATAGCATGTGCATGAATGTGTGCATTGCAAGGGTGTGTGAGTGCATGTGTGTGTGTGTGTGTGCACATGTATGAGTGTATGTGAATGCATGCATTTGTGAGTGTGAGTATGCATAAGTGCATTGAGTGTGTACGTGCTTGAATGCACGTGTGGGTGTGTAGGTGAGAGTGCCTGGGGATGCACGTGTGTGTGTGCATGTGCGTGTGTGTATGAATGTGTATGTGTAGGAAGAGGAGGCTCTCCGGGGAGGAGAAAGGAGAGAGGCATGGAGAATTCCCTAGAGACATTAGTTGTAGAAGGATTACGAGGCTATTTTCTGGTTGTTCAGAATCTTATTTGGAACTCATGTACGTTCAATTTGGAAAGAGCCTCATCTCCCTCTGGGAATATTGACAGAGGGATGCTGAAGACTTAGGACCCCACCACGTTCCCCTCCCCACACGCCGCCCATAGCCACTTTGCTAGTGGAGGCCGGGAGAGTTGATCTGTTCCTATCTCTCCCTGCAAAAGTTCAACACGGATTGCCACAGGGGAATTTCTTTTTGTACCACATTTCCTATCTCTTGAGTACTAGAAACAACTTTAGTTTAGATTCCAAAGAAATCATATTTGAGTCCCTACTGTATGCTTATTCTCACATAACTCTCAAACCAGGGAGATAGGACGTTCTCCATGGAAGAGGAGGCTGAGGCTCAGGGAGGCCAGAGCAATACATTCATGGTCCTCCAGCACCAAATTCCAGGCTCCTTCTCTCACTTCTCTGCCTTGGGGTTGGAACTGTTTGGCCAATGGCCATGGGAGGACCTCAGAGCCACTTCTCTTTAACTGTCCTTTGACTCCGCTGGGCTGTACTTATCCCACTGGAGCAAAACTTCATCCCTGGGGACAGGACGACCACAGCCTGAGCTACATCTGACCTGGGGTTCCTCCTGCCTCCTTTTGAGCTGTCAATTCAACTCTATGTCCATCAAGTTCAGCCATAGATAAGACTCTATTTTAAGAATGTGAGATACGTTTTCCAGCAGGGAAAGTTGTGAAACACTGGGGAGATAGGTGCAAGTACTGCCAATGTATTCTGGAGTTTTCACTAGGATCCTGCAAGATAGACTTTGGATTAATTGTCCTAAAGTGGAGATTATTTCGGTGCTGTTGAAATAGATGAGGGGGAAAAACTAATCTTATCAAGGAAGAAGAAATCTTTTACATTTGAGCCAACTTGGGTTTTCAAATGTTATGAAACAATTTCTGACTGTCTCCCAAACAGGTTTTTTAATCCCCTGCCAAGAGCTTTGCCAGCACTTGGGTTCTCTCTCCCACTTATTTTTTCCTTCTAATCTGACACTATCTCTCTGGATTTCTCATACACATGGTGTGTTTTGTGGGATTGTTATTTTTTTCTGTGTGTGTGTTCACTAGAATTCAATTCTTGTTCCTTTTGAGACAGCTTTATCATTTCCATGGTTCTGGGCTCCAGGATGGCATGGAAATCCCGCTCAAAGTGGAGAGGATCTAATTAAATTACACCTAAGGAGAACTGTTTTGTCCTGCAGGACAGTTTTTCCTTGGACAAATGGGCATAAAATGGCACATTGCTATCACCCAGTACCAATCCCTTTTGTCCCTACAAGGAGATGTGAACTGTTGGAATGGTTGCAATTCCTGGCTATCTGGCCAGTTACACCTTCTCTACTTCTCTCTTGAGTCTCAGTGCTTTCCATCCTTCAAATCTCACCCATTCTCCCCTCTACTGGGAAGTCCCCCTGATTTGCTTCTGTCCCCACTCCCACTATGGCCGAAAGGTACATGTGGCCTGTGTGCCTGTCACCCAGCACACATAATGGTGAATTGCAGACACATTCCAGGAACTAGGTTTCTTCCTATTTGCTCCTCACCATCTCGTGTGTTCCTCTCCTGTTGCATCCCTGACCTTCCACTGAATCCATCTGTTTACTGTGGCCAGGTGCCATGGCTCATGTCTGTAATCCCAGCACTTTGGGAGGCCAAGGCAGGAGAATCACTTGAGCCAGGACTTTGAGAGCAGTCTGGGCAACATGGCAAAACTCTATCTCTACTGAAAACCCAAAAAAATTAGTCACGGTGGTGCGCACTTGTAGTCCAAGCTACTTGGGAGGCTGAACTGGGGGGTTACTTGAGCCCCAGAAGTTGAGGCTGCAGTGAGCCGTGATGGCACCACTGCACTCCAGCCTGGGTGATGGGAGTGAGATTCTGTCTCAAAAATTTAAAAAGAAAAAGAAATGATCTGCTTATGTGTCTCTACCCCACTTATCTCTGGTCTCCATGAAGACCATGGCATGCTGGTAAGTGTGCAGTGATCCCCAGAAAGGTTTGTGGGTCTAGAAAACACTGAAGGAGGGCTTTAGGTGTTAACGATGATCATTCCCATCCACAAGACACTAAATAAGACTTTGAGATCTGCTTTTCTTTTTTCCTTCAGGGAGTGAGGACCATCGTCTAAAAGATTTTGATTTAAATCCTGTCTGGGCTGCAGACTGTATACTATTAGCCAAGTCCCTTACCCTCTCAGGACCTCAGTTGCCTCCTCTCCAAAGGCAGAAAAATAGCAGCCCACCTTACAGGGCTCTTAGGGGAATTAAACAGTCCAGGAACACCAGGATCCTAGCAGGACATGATATACAACAGGTGCTATGCAGATGACGCTCCTCCCTACCGGCGACTCTCAGTGCCCGTTCCCCTGATACGGAGATCATATTATGTAGCACACTTCATGCCATCAAGTGTGTGAGGGACCATTAGCCTCATAACTTCAAAATAACTTTGAATAATTTCTTGGTTTGAGGCCAGGCACGGTGGCTCAAGCCTGTAATCCCAGCACTTTGGGAGGCCGAGGCAGGCGGATCACTTGAGCTTCGCAGTTCAAGACTAGCCTGGGCAACATAGTGAAACCCTGTCTCTACTAAAAATACAAAAATTAGCTAGGTGTGGTTGTAGGCCATTGTGGTCCCAGCTACTTGGGAGGCAGGAGGCTGAGGCAAGAGAATTGCTTGGACCTGGGAGGCAGAGGTTGCAGTGAGCTGAGATTGCGCAGCTGCTCTCCAGCCTGGGTGATAGAGTGAGACCCTGTCTTGAAAAAAAAAAAAAATTCCTGGTGAGTTTGCATCATTTATAAATTTCATTTTTTTTTGTATGATTTTGGAGTCAGAGAAGACTGATTTGGCATCTCTATCTATCACTGTGTCTCTCTCCCCTCTCTCGCAGCCCTTGACATTCGTTATAAGCCAAAAGTTACAAATTTTGAATTATACTGACATATATTGAGTTGATACTCCATGTTCCAGGCACCATATCCCACTTGATTCTCCATCTATTTTTGTGGTTCAGAAATGAGGGTAATTTAATACCTCCCTGCAACATTTTGCAATGTCTAGGGACGTTTTTGGTAATCACAACTTGGGTGAGGGTGCTACTGGCATCTAGCTAAACATCCTATAATATTCACTACAATTCCCCTACCACAAAGGATTATGTGGCTCCAAATGCCCATAGCACTGAGGCCGAGAAGCCCTGCCCTGTTGGTTTGGTTGAAAGCCAGTGACTGGGTTCTATCTGCCTCTACTTTTTATTAGCTGAGGGTTCTTGGGCATTGGTTCTTCATTGGTTAAATCTGTTAAAAAATATAAATAAACTTAGCTGCTGAGGTTTATTGGGGTGATATGTAGCCCAATTTCTAGCACCCAGTGCTCCATGGATATTAACTGTTATTATTTTATGGGATTCCTTCAACAATTCTCAGGCTTAGAGGAGTTCAGAAACTGCCCAAATTCCCACAGCTCATAAAAGGCAACGTCAGGCATCCACCCTGACCCCACCTCAGTGCTATGACACCTCCTTACTCCCAGCCATGGACCAACATGGAGACCCAAGTGCCCCAGAGCACCCTCTATAATTATAGAAGACGTGGAATACGTGATTATTTCTAAGGAGTCTTGCATTGACAGAAACAGGTAAAAGAGTCTCCCCGTGACATTATTCTTGCCCGGAGCTTGGCCCTAAACCCTCCTGAAGCTGAAAGGATGATTTAATTCTGAGTTGAGGGTGTGGCTTCCTCCGCTTCTTGGCAGAACATTTTGTGATTCAGTTACTTTCCCAGGTCCCTCAAGCAGGTGCCATCTCCCCTAAGAACTAGTCCTGGACAGAGCTCTGGACAGATCCTTTCTGGGCAGCCCAGATCCAGAGGCAAGAACCAGGGCCAAAAAGAGAGATGTCATCTCAACGGTGACATTTCCATCACTGGATGGTGTCCCGGCATGCTTATCTTGGGGTGTGAAAAACTAGTGGCTTGGCTTTTTCGGTGTCATTGCACTTTTTCCAGGGGTAACAAAGTGAAAAAGGCAGCCCTGGAGGAAGCCCATCCATGGTGAAGCTGCCACATTTCCCAGCAATGTGTTGAGGCAACAATTGTGTGTTCAGGCTGCCGTTCCAGGCTTCTGCCCGACACTTGTCACTGGAAACCTGGGATGTCACTTCCTGCCACACCTCAGTGGGGTGGGCAATGGGCTTTCTGGTTGCTGAAGCCCCAGAAACTAGTGGCCTTGGATACTGCTTAAAAAAAAAAAATCTGTTTCCAAGTGTCCCTGAATCCACAATTCCAAGATTCTGGAATTCAGAGGTCTCTGGGCTCTGTGACTCTGAGATTCTGGGTCTCTGTGACTCTGAGATTCTGGGTGATCATTCTGCATAGAGATGCAGCATTTAAAGTCACAGTTATGCTACTTCCTAGTTTGTAGCACCCTGCCACTAAAAACAAAACAAAATGACACAACAACAATAAAACCTCTCTCCCGCAAGCCTGGAGCATGAACCCTGAACACACAAGGAGGTGGGAGGACCACGTTCAGATGTGCTGAGAATTTTTCTGCAAACACCAAAGCAGGAGGCCTTTCCCACTTAGTAGAGAGCTACCTCTACTCCTTGTTAACTATGTTCAGCAACACACCTCTCTGGGGCATCAAGGAAGGGATGAGCAAAGGCAGCCCCACTGTTTAGCTTTGCAGTCCTCGGATAAACAAGCCAAGAGAGTTTTCCAAATGCAAAAAGAGAAACTGAACCCCACAGAGAATGTAGTCACTTTCCAAAATGAGGACTCAATCGTGAAGCAGCATTTCAAGTGAGCATGCCACTTGTATGACAGCTGATGGAGAGGCAGAGCAAGGATCAGGCTTCCCCGGGAAGTGGCCAGTGTGTCTGTAGGATTCTCAAGCCTGGAAGCTGCAAGTGAAAAAAGAATGTGGGCCAGGCCTTCTCAGATCATCTGGGTTTCCTCTTGAGCACATAGTAAGTCTAAGAGACCTTGTATTCACACGCACACACACACACACACACACACACACACACACACACTTCTCACTGTTAGGCAGGCCACCTGCTGTACCACACAACTCTGACATTCCAGGAGCTTAACACATTCAACTTTGTATTTCTTGCTCACTGAAGGCTGGAATGCCTGCTTGAACAGGTTCCCAGGGCAGGTCCCTGCAGGGTCCCTCCCATACCCAGGGTCTCAGCAGCCCAGGCCTCTTCTATCTTGTGGCTCTGCCCTCTACTGGGTCCTGGGAACCCTCTCCAGCCCACTGTTGGCTGGGAAGGACAGAGAAAAGCAGCGGGAGGTTTTTCAGCGTGGGGCCTGGAGGGATGCATATCACTTCTGCTTACTGTTGAGTACGCAGTCAGGTGATCACGTTTAACTGCAAAGGGGGCTGGAAAAGGGTAGTCCAGCGGTGTGCTCAGAAAGAAAAGAAAATGATTTGGTGGACAATCAGCCAGGATCTGCAATGGTGTCATTTATCTGCTATAGAATTTCGTTTGTCCACAGCTGGAGACTCAAATCCTATTGCTGGGGTCAGAACTCGCCTGAGGCAGACAGATTTCTAAGGTCAAGGATTGTTCTATATGAGTCAGTAACTCCAAGGCCTATTGCTGATTTGGCACATAGTGGGCTTTTAGAAGTGCTGGTTAACTTACTCGCCTGCTCATTTCACCAACAAGCATAGCTGGTTTAGGTCCATAGAGTCCATGCTTTAACAAATCCTCATTTGGAGAGACAGAGAGGGCACATATGAAAAATCATCTGTACACAGGTTGCTGACAAGAGCTGGGGTTGGGGAGAAGGTTTAAAGGGCCAGAGGAAGCCAGAGCAGAGATGTACATACATAATGTGATTCAGGCTGGGGCAGTCCTGGGGAGCTTCCTGGAGGAGGTGACTTTTCATTGTGCCTTAAAGGAGGAAAGCCAACCAGAGTGCAAAGGCAAAGACTTTTGAAGGGTGCCATACTTTTGGAAAACGATGAAAAGTTCAGTATGAGTGGAGCATAGAGCGTGTGTGCTTGGAATTACTGAGGGAGAATATGGTGTGCTGAGAGGAATTGAAGGCAGATTGCAAAGGGCCTTTCACAACGCACAGGCAAGCAGTTAGGTTTTCAATCTAGCTAGCAGCCCAAGGAGGATCTTGGACAAGACAGGTGTAAAAGGTGTTCATGGCCTAAAGCAAGAGAGAGTTTTAAACTGAAGCCAAACATCACCACGAAATGCCCCCCTAGTCCCAGCATGTGTGAAGGGCATGATCCTCTGGGTTCCTGCACAGACAGCAGCTATCCTCTGGGTGAGGAGGCCTATGGAGAGGCAGGCCGTATGTTCCTGAGCAGACCCAGGTCAGTCTGGTGTCTGCTGGTGGTTAGTTCCAGAGTGAAACCCGAATGGGTTGTAAGGTAGTTGTTTTTGAAATTGGCAATGACCTCATTGCATTTTCCTGATAGGATGTACAAGAGAGAAGGGGTATTTGGTCTAGAGAGAGAAGTAACTTTCTAAACAGATGAGCTAGAAAACACTTGGGGTCCTCCACAAATAGAAAGGAGATCGGGGTTCTTTGGAAGGTGTAGGGTCTTGGATGCCTCATCACAGGAGGACAACCTCAAGTCCCTCTTAGGAGCCTGACCTGGGCATTATGAGTAGGACAATATGGGATTCAGACTCGGGGTGACTTACTTTGAGTCCCAGCTCTGCTGCCCTTTCACACTGTGTGCCCTTGGGCAAGGCAGAGGACGTCTCTGAGCCTCCTTTTTCTATTCTGTAAACTGAGTTAATAACCCCGCCACTGAAGTTATGAGAATTAGCAAACACCTGTTGCATAGTGAGTACTCAACAAATGTTAGCTGTCATCATTTGCTGCAGATACAGCCAATCACCACATCTGGGGGAAGAGCAATGGAGGGACCAGGCTCAGGTGCAGGGGGAGTGATGGTGGGCACACAAGAGGGTCTGTAGAATCAACTTCACCAGATCTAGGGCCTTGAGGTCAACCAGCTGGGTCACCGGAACGCTTAACAACACCTCTCATGAGACAGGACCTTGCCATTTAGCCCCTCGAGAATGGATCAGAATATCTGCCCTGACTCATTTTGAGTTAATTTCAGAATCACCAGAATATGACATAAGAATCACTAGAATTGCTTTTCAAAACACAGTCATTTCCAGATGGAGGTGAATCAGTTATCCCTGAAACCCGCCCTGACCATGTCGCCATGCAGGCAGATGTCACTGGGCCCAAGCCATGCTTTTGTTTCCCCGTCGTTGGAGTTTGGCCTGATATGATGATACGGACACTTTGAATTCTTCAAAGAGTAATTCTCAGTTACCTTTTTCCTCTTTTCCCCTTCAGGTTCAACCCCTTTTATCACACTAAAGTGCCAATCAATATTGCGAGATAGATGTTACATCTTAGCTTTTTATAACATTACGTGTCCCAGAAGGGACACTGTATCTTTAAGGAAATGGACCCCGTATCCTGTTTCTGAAGGATTAAAACTCTTTAAAGAGACAGAAGAGGCTGTAAACCCCGATCATATTCTTATTCTGTCTTCATTATCCTGTCCACTATCTATCCCTGCTGAGTAAATCTGGTTGTGTGTTTCTCCAAAGTGGTCATAAGAAGAAATTTATTTACTCCGCCTTGCACTGGAGGAGCATTACTGAGCTTCAAGGCTCTCCAAAGTAATAAAGATTTTGCAGTGTGTGCAAAAGGAACAGAAATTCAGAACTTCTTTCCCCCTCTGAGGCCGTTTGGCCATCCAAAGGGGGAGTCACTTCTCATTTTCTGACAGGGTTTATTTCCGTACGATTTTCCAATTAGCAGGAAAAGGTCACACTAATGTTGACGCTGAGTAGGGAAAGAGGATCGAACTATGCAAATAGAGACATCATTGAAAGGACAATATTAAAAAGAGTGGAATTCCTTCACTCCCTAATTTAAAAATTATATATACATGTATACATATAGATGCACGCACACTCATACACACACATCCCTTTCTTCCACCACGGAGAGAAACAAAGGTGATTGCACTTGACCCACTGTTCTCGCCTGGGACAAAAGAATCCATGGTTCCTGAGTCTGACCTCTGGGGTAACATGACCGGTGACTTGGTACCTAAGACAGGAGTTAGGAGATCCCTGAGCTCTTGGCCCGGGTTGTGCCACAGAGCTGGAATCCACCTGCCAGTTCAACCCCTCTGGACCTTGATAATGGCCGGACTGTCCCCAGCCCGGCGGAGCTGACTGCCAGCATATCATTTATAAACCCGGCTCAGATCTTTCTCTGACACCTCCCCTGCCGCTTTTGTTCCCCGCTCGGTGCATGCGAAGCGCAAGAACTTTTCTCGATAATAGGGAGGGCTGGGAGCCGTGTCAGAGAAGATGTACTCCAGCCGTGCTGAGGACAAAAGTCGCAGATGCCCATTAAAACAGATCCAGGGAACAGCTTCGCTTTGGGTTTGGAGCCGATGCTCCTTGTCAACTCTAACGTGCTATGCAAATGGTATGACCGAGACTCCTGGCTCGCTGCTACTCGCATGCTGCTGTCTGTGACCCACTCACTAGGTGAGGCCCCGGGGGTGAGCTGGTTGGAAGGCAAGAGCCCTGCATAGAGGGAGGCCTGGGTCTGCACACCTCTCACTCTCACATCTGCACGCCCACACGTGCAGCTGCAGTCAAAACGGAAAGTTCTATTCCTCCAGCAAGAATCCTTCTTTCTCATGGAAGTTCTGTGTGGCTGCACAGATTTTAGCAAATGAAATAGCCTGGCCAGTTTCTCACAAGAACAGGAAGCATTTGTTGAGAGCCCTCTGCGTGCCAGATCCCCTACTAGGTGCTGGGTTAAGGAGCTTTCTCAGGGTCACACAGCTGCCATTTGGCTGAGTGTGAGTTCAGATTCAGGTGTATCTGTCCTCATAATTCCAACCAGTCACACCCAATGTTGGTCTTACTTTATTGAGGAGCTTAAAAAAATAAACCTAATGGGATTATTTTGACTGCAGGTTAAATCTTATCAAATGCTAACAGCATCATCTGCCAATTCTCCCTTCCATGTAGGAAAAAAGTGCAAAAGGACGGTATTTGGGTATTTAAACATCAGAAATGTGCAAATAGATCTCTACGTGATGCCCCTGTCAAGTTCTTGTTGTTTTCAGTCTCCATTACAAATATGCAGTATAACTATGAATATGGGGTACTGGCTCACACCCCGTGTAGAAGACATATGGATTCCCTGGTATCGTGTAGATCCACCACAACACTTACTTTCACCTCAAATAATAAAATGAAAACCATCCATCATCACCTTCAAAATCCTTCTTCTATCCTTGAGGTTGAAGACTAATGCCTTGGAGGGCATTATTTGGATTTAAATGTGAAAGAGAAAGGTTTTTTTTTCTTTGCCGTTAGACAAAGAATGACGCCCTTTTTCTTCTGATTTCAGAGTATCATTTGTTTTTTATTTTTTAGCAGTATTCATTGTAGCCAATTCTTGGCCTTGTTTTTCATTAGAACAAATTGAGGTGAGAAAGAATTACAAAGGATGAGTTCCTGTCCTTTGTAGGGACGTGGATGAAGCTGGAAACCATCATTCTCAGCAAACTATCGCAAGGACAGAAAACCAAACACTGCATGTTCTCACTCAGGTGGGAATTGAACAGTGAGAACACTTGGACACAGGGTGGGGAACATCACACACCGGGGACTGTAGTGGGGTGGGGGGAGCGGGGAGGAATAGCATTAGGAGATACACCTAATGCTAAATGATGAGTTAATGGGTGCAGCACACCAACATGGCACATGTATACATATGTAACAAACCTGCACATTGTACACATGTACCCTAGAACTTAAAGTATAAAAAAAAAGAATGAGCCCTATCGGAGAAACATAGTAGAAAAGCTGCTGATTTATGTTTCAAACTCCATTCATAACAGAATGAAATTGATCAAATTCAAAATTATTCTTTTGGCTTTATCTAGAGGAAATTATAGCTAATCAAAGCAAAAAAAAAATAAGTAAACAAATAATTACAGTACCCAAACATCAAAGCAACCTAAATCTCCAGCAATATGCAGCTGGTTAACTAAAATATGATATACACTTAAAATGGAATACTATAGAGACATTATAAAGCAAGTTAAAGATTTTTTTTTTTTTTTTTTTTTTTTTTTTTGAGACGGAGTCTTGCTCTGTTGCCAGGCTGGAGTGCAGTGGCGCGATCTTGGCTTACTGCAAGCTCCACCTACGAGGTTCAAGCACTTCTCCTGCCTCAGCCTCCTGAGTAGCTGGGATTACAGGTGCCCACCACCATGCCTGGCTAATTTTTGTGCTTTTAGTAGAGACAGGGTTTCACTATGTTGGCCAGGCTGGTCTTGAACTCCTGACCTCAAGTAATCCACCCACCTCAGCCTCCCAAATTTCTCACAGGCATGAGGCACCACACCTAGCCAAAAAAATATTTTAATGATGTCTTTTCCAGTTTTTAGAATACAAGTTCTTTCTCCTTTTTATTGTTAGCATGTTATTATTTTAGAAAATTCTTATCGCCATTGTATTTTAGGACAAATTTGGATGAAATGAGGATTAAACAAAATTGATTTTGAGCAGAGTGACAAAAGATGACCAGAAGTTAGGTGACAATAGGGTGGTCAAGAGTTTAGGAAGCACATTATATTATAATCAGATCAAGTAATATATAATGTACTGACAAATGAGAAGACTATACAAATCATTCAGCAGGTTAGGGAAAAAGGAGGTACAAGTGAAAACAATAACGGTTAGGGTACATTTACTGAGCTCTTTGTACATGCTGAGCATGATTCTAAACACTTTCATTAAACTGAAATATTCCTATTATTATTCCTTTTGTAAATCTAAGTAAACTGGGGCACAGGGAAGCAAAGTAACTTGCCCTGAGGTCACACAACAGCCTGGGAGTGGTGGAGAATATTCCTTCTTTTTAATTACATTCTTCACAAAAGAATAGAATACATTTGTTTAAAGTTATGAGGATTTGCCTCTCTAAATGTAACAAAATGGAAGGCTACATTTCAAATCGGTCCTTATGTTCTTGACAATGATTTCTACCTTTAGCAAGAATATTGGAAGCATGTGTTAAAAATGCAAAATTCTGAGCACCAGATCAGACATACCTAATATAAATAAACAGGATGGTATAACCCAAAAATCAGTGTTTCAGTAAGCTCTCTAGATGACTTCAAAGTGGCTAACTATGATTCGGACAGCTCTTTGCAATGATAAGAGTCATCTGGGATACTTATTATATAGACAGTTTCCAAGAGCCTCCTCTAGAGACTTGATTGAATGTGTCTGAGATGGGACGTGGAAACCTATCTATCTTTAGTTCAGGCAGTATCTTTAAACCTATGTCCTGGATTGTATGGGACAGTCCTGATGTATGCTGTTGTCCAAGCATAGTTATTAAGAGCGCCCTCTTCCAGGTTCAAAATTGTCCCATTGTGGACAATTAGATATATGCTTAACTAGGACCCCAAGAGATTTATACCCACCAGACTTGGATATGAGCTTGGGAAGCCCCGATCTTGAAGAATGTCAGTGACTTGGGTCTAATCGCCCTTAGTCACTTACTAGCTGGGTAGTCTCAGGTGAGTTATTTAATCTCACTGGGGCCTCAGTTTCCTCACCTGCAAAGTAAATAGAAGGACTCCTAACTCCTGGGCTGTTGAGCAGTATAGATGCAATTTTCATCCCTCCTAGAGAGGCAGAGTGCTTAGGAGGTGTGTAGCAAACACCAGCTTCCATCTTCCAGGGAGTGTCAGGAAATTCCTTGGATCAGCTCTTGGAAGCCTCCTCAAGGTCATGCTCACAGAGTTTCTTTTGAATGCAGATACTTCTGTGATGAGCAAATGACACTCACTGGACCAGGATCTAGAGAGCAGATAGGAACATTTCAAAGTTTTCAGAGGATGCATAAATGCAAACATCACATTGATTTCACCTAGGAAGTCCAGTTTTGCTTTTAACTGTCAGAGCCACACCCTGAGGTTGTCTATCAAGAAAAAACAGAGTGTGCAGGGGACCGTGGGGGGTAGGAAGACCAAGTCAATAAACCATTTAGAAATTTTCAGACCTGTTGCCAAAGACAGAAAAATCTGCCATCCTGTTTGTAGCAGGAAGAATACTAATAAATAATCCAAAGAGAGACATAATCCAGATGACATTTTACAGATTATTGATTGAAAAGTCAGGAGTCTGCTAATATAAATGGCCTTTACCACAAAATTTGCATTCACGACAATCACTTTAGGCATGTCTCTAAGCCAAGGAAAGTATCGATATCACTGGCACAAATAATGATACAGACCAGGCAATCTGTTTTCAAGCAAAATGAAAAAAGTTTCCATTTACGATTATGGTTGGTGTGGTGGTGTGTATAATTTTTTGTGGACTCCGTGGAACACTTCAAGGGTTATCTGCACAGATGTGGGTTTCAATAATATGACACAATTGCCCAGTTCCAAATATGCTCGTTGCATCTTTTCTGAAGAGGTCATTCACAGTCTAGATGCTCAAGTCAGAGGCTAACATAGGAAGTCCTCTTCTATGCTGCGAGACACTCATGAGGAAATAACCAGGAAGAGAAGAACTGGAGCACACACATAGATTTTTTTGGGGGGGGGTTGGGGCTGATTAGATCCTACAGGCAGAATTTGCTATAGTCTTAGATTTGTGGCACCAGGACACATTTATTTCATGAATGATACAATGTCACCCGAAGGGACGTGAATGCCTCTTTGCTCCTGTACCTCATTCGCTTGTTCTGACAAGTCTTAACTTTCTCTTGCCTCCAACACAGTCTCCAGCTAGCTGAGGTGACTATCAGGTAGTGTCAAGAGGACTTTTTTTCTGTAAGAACCTCATATTTCTAACGTTGATGAAAAAAACTACCAGAGAAGATTTGCACATCTTCCTTTTTTCAAGCAATTAATGGTAAGGAGAGCAATTTAACTGTAAGAACGAACGCTTTGGAGGCCTAGAACCCCATGAACTCTTAATGAGTTTCAATTCTGGTTCTGCTATGCATGGACCATGTGATCTGTGCAACTTCTTTAGTCTTTTCTAGGCCTTGCTTTTTACATCTATTTTTTGGGTTAGTAACGTGACCCACCTCACAGAATTCTAGTAGGCGTCAATAGTAAGATGTTTTGTATTGTATCTATTTCATTGTTAGCTTTCAACAGATCTTAATTTTGTTATGATGATGGTGATGGTGACGGTAATGGTGACAGTGGTGGTGATGGTGATGGTGACAATGATGATGATGGTGATGGTGACAGTGATGGTGATGGTGATGGTAATGGAGATGGTGACGGTGATGATTGGGATGATGTTGATAATGATTACCTGCCCAGGAAATTTAGGGCCACCTCTTGGAATCCTTACAAATCTGATAAAAGAAAAAAAGGCTCAGAAAGTTTTGGAGAAGTGTTAAAAAGTGGGGGTCCAAGATTCAAGCCCCTTTAACTGCCTCATGCTGCAGCCCCTCTTGGATGTCTTTACTTATGCAACACTGTGAAGACACACCTGGATGTGAACCCCAAAGACGCTGGAGAGCAACGAGGGCCCTCTTTCTTGGCAAGGGGCACTTGTAGAGCAGATTCAAGATAGAAAGAAAGTGAAGCAGGCTGTGTGGTGGGAATGGGCTTCCAAGTGGGAGAGAGCTGATTGGGACCCCGGGTGTGCCACCTACCTGCCGGGTGACTTTGGGCAAGTCCCTGAACTTCTCTGAGATTCGGTGTTACATACCCAAAATGGGGCTAACTCTAACTGTAGTTTTCTCACGGTGTTTTGAAGATCAAAGAAATAAGTGGATGTTATCTATAATCAGTGTGTAGGTGCTTAATCAAAGGCAATCATAAATTTTGTTGTTGTTCATAATAGTTGTAGCAGCAGCAGTAGCAGTGGTTGAGAGATCACATCACTTTCCATCTGGCTGCTAAGTGCACAAACATCATCCCTGTTCTGTTCATTCTGCCACATCCAATCCACCAGCAAGTTTATCACTTTCTCTGCAGGATGAGTCTCAACTCTCCAAGTCACCCATCAGCATCTGATGGGAGTGGCCATCTCTTGGCTTTATGACTGCCACAGCCTGCTCACTGATCTCTCTGCTTCCACTCCTCCTTCAACCTTGCAATCCACTCTGTGCACCAAAGCCAGAGTTATATTGTTAAAATGTAAATAAAGTCATGACGCTGCTCTACTCAAAAGTCTTCAATAGCCAACCTAATAATAATAGCTGATGACCAGCAGTGTGCTAGAAAATGCTGAACTATATAGTCACTCCAGGGGTGGGGAAGAACCCTGATTTCTAGCATCTGCCAATTCCTGTAATGTAAATATTCCACTGTGGCTAATTTCAAATCAATCTACCAAAGAGGTGTGAGTTGAGAAGAGATACCAAAGAGGTGTGAGTTGAGAAGAGATGCATGAAGTCAGCTCTCAGGAGCTGGTTCCAGTAGCCCGCTGAGTAGCCACTGAGCTTCCGTACCAAGCTGGGGGTTCCACTTCACAGCATGAGCTCATTTAATTCTCACCATAGCGCTATACAAGACAGGTGCTTTTGCTGTCCCTGTGATATAGATGGAGAAACTGAGGTACAGGGCATCTGGCTCCAGCACCTACCCACACTACATTGTCTCTCCTTCTTGTGCTTAAAATAAAATCCAAACTCCTTATCTTGTTGACAAGACCCAGAACCTGTACCTATGTTCTTCTGCCAGCCCACTGTGTGCCCACACCTGCCCCTACACTCTGCTCCATCACACCTGGTTCTTCCTGCTTCCGGCCTCCTTCCATGCTGCAGGCCTTGGTCCCTTTGTCCCTCTGCCTGGAAGGCTCTTCTCCAGCTCTTTGCATAGCTGGTCCCTCTTCATCTTGAGGTCCCATCTTAAATGTCACCTGACCACCCATCTTCCTCTGTCTTGCTATCCTGTTTCTATCGATTTTAATGTGTATCATACCCACTTAGCAATTTAGTTATTTGCCTAATGGTTGAATAGTAGTTCCCAATGGAAGATGGGGAATGAGGGGGCGATTTGCTTCCCAGGGGACATCTAGCAATGCCTGAAGACATTTTTAGTCATCACAACTCAGGAGCGGTGGCTGATGGGCTACTGGCATCTAGGAGGTCAAGGCCAGGGATGCTGCTCCCCACCCTACAATGAGCAAGATACTCGATGTCTCCCTATCACTTTCCAGGTAGAGATCCCACTCTGTGGATTTGCATATAAAGTTGTCTGAGATTTAGCTCCTAAATGTCCCACCACAAAGAATTATCTGATCCCAAATGCCAACAGTGGAGTGGCAAGTGTGAAAAATTTTGCTGTTGGCTGTTTTTCTGTCCCTGCTAGAATGCAAATTCCAGAAAGGCATGGCCTTGACTACTTTGTTCTCTGCTATATTCCCAGTGCCAGGCACTGGGAATACCTATGTTCTTATGCCAGGCACTGGGAATATAGCAGAGAATAAAGTAGGTGCTTTAAAAGCCTGTGTTACATGACTAAATTAAAAATAACAATACTGCTGCTCATCATCATCATCGTGACAATAATAACAAGGCATCTTTTTGAAGAGACACCAAAGTGTTGAAGGCAGGCAGGAAGAGGTAGAGAAGGTGCTGCTCTCCTGTTATCTCTGCTTAACACTCTTTTTGGACCAAAGACAGGGAAGGAGGGGCAGGTATTTGATAAAATCACCTCCTCCTCCGTCCCTGACCTCCCGGAACAGCCGTCCACTAAGTATTGCACTTGGCTAGAGTTCCCCGTAGTAATTTGGTTAATTGGATGAACAGGCACTTTAGTGACACAGACTGGATTTCCACGCTGCAGTCCATCAAAACTAATCAGTTGGCTGTGTTCCATTTCTCAGCAACTGACAGCTTTGCCAGGACGGTGAGTAGATGGTAACTTTTTAAATTGAAGAACTTGCTAAATAATGGCAGTTAGAACTTGGCAGGATGCTTTTAGCGGAGAAGGGGAGACAAGAAATCCAGTGTTGGCTTTGCTTTACCTCAAAGAGATAATCTTGTTAAGGGGCTGGCTGATTAAAAGTTTCTTTTAAAGACTGGTGAAAAGTAATCATCTTGAAATTGTACTTTGTTTCTTTTGTGTAAAAAGTAATTGCAAAGCTGGTGTACTGCATTCTCCCTTTCTATGGTGTTTATTACACTAACAACAAACAAGGAATAACAAATAATATTGTTATTTTTTACACACTATATGACTGATATTAATGTATTGTATTAGTTAGAATAGTCCTGGCTATATAAAAAACAAACCTCAAAATTTTAGCGGCTTAACACAAGCTATCTCTCTCCCCTAAGAGTCTGATCAGGAGTTTCTGGTTAGAGTGGCTCTCTTCCATACAGTGATTCAGGGACCCAGGCTTCTTTCATGTGTGGGTCTGTTATCCTCTGGGGCCTCAATGGCATCTGCACCCAGCCAGCAGAAGGAGAAGAGCATGGAGAAGGCACACTCAATTTTTAAAACCCATGACCCAGGCCGGGTGCGGTGGCTCACGCCTGTAATCCCAGCACTCTGGGAGGCCGAGGCAGGCGGATCATGAGGTCAGGAGATCGAGACCACGGTGAAACCCCATGTCTACCAAAAAATACAAAAAATTTAGCCGGGCGTGGTGGCGGGTGCCTGTAGTACCAGCTACTCGAGAGGCTGAGGCAGGAGAATGGCGTGAACCCGGGAGGCGGAGCTTGCAGTGAGCCGAGATGGTGCCACTGCGCTCCAGCCTGGGCGACAGTGAGACTCCGTCTCAAAAAATAAAAAATAAATTAAAAAATAAAAAATAAAAATAAAAAATTAAAAAGCCTTGACCCAGAAGTAATACACAACATTACATTCACCTTCCTTGGATAAGAATAGTCATATGGCCATCCCTGGCTGCAAAGAGGACTGATGAATGTGTCCCTTCTGAGCCATAACTCCATGTCATGGAAGAGAGAGCATGAGCTTTGGTGGCCAGCTAGCCATCTTGGCCACAGGTGGACAGCTCACCCACACTAACCCTTTGAGAAATTAGGATTTCCCCTTTTCTTAAACAAGAAAACTGAGGCTCGGATGGGGTAAGCAACTGATGCATATTTATGTCCTTAGCAAGGAGCCAAGTGAAGTGTCGCGAGTGTATAGATTATAAAGCCTGTATCTTCCCTCTCTCCCTCTTTTCTCCCTCCTGTCCATCTCTCTCCCATTTTTTTTCTTCCTCAACTCTTTTGTTTATTCTCTTCTGTCATCCTAAACCTTGAAAATTTCTAAAAAGTATTTTGCTTCTGTAACCTTGTACGTTTTCAACACGATTGTTCTTTTTGGCTTGAAAATTGTTCTCATTGGATATCTTTAACCGCGAGATTTGCCTAAAGCATAGTAGATTGTTGCTGAAGCCTTCATTCTGCTCCCAAAAGTGTAGAAAATCTTTAAAAATGATAGAAAAGAGACATTTCTAAAAAGCAAATCTGATACTGTCACTCCCTTACAGAATAATACTTGATATCTCCCCATCACTTTCAAGGTAGAGATCTCACTCTGTGACTTAGCATATAAAGTCATCTGTGATTTAGCCCCTAAATGCCTCCCTGACCTTCACTCAGACCTCACGCAATTTCTTGGAAGACCTGCAATTCTTCCACACGTATCATGGGTTCCCCTGTCGGCCTGGCCCTTGTCTCCATATATGCATTTCACTGTTGCAAACTGTGATTGCAAAGTCGGCCCTGCTGAAGACTACACCACTAGACTAGAATTGCTGACTTGCGTGTATGTTTTGTGTGTTTTTCCCCATTGGACTATGGGCTCCTCAAAGACAGGGACTCGTCCTATTTATTTCCATCTCCCAAGTGCCTAGCACAGGGCCTGACACAAAGCTGGTGCCCATTCAATCTGAAGTGCATACAAGAAGGAATGAACGGCTGCTAAGCTACAAGACAGGCATCAGAAGTAAGTAGTTTCCCATCCACTGGAAATTTAAATTGAGGAAAAGCCACGATTCCATTTACTTGGAACTTACAGTGTGGCATAGTAGCCTTGTGTGTGCATAGAAGGGTTTTATAGTTTACAGAGCACTGTCCGATAGGATCTTCTGTGATCCTGCCACTATGCTGAGAAAGAGATAAGGTGCACACGTGTGCTTGTGTGTATATGTATTGTGTTTGTGTGTGTGAGCACCTGCTGCTTTCACCCCTAACAATCATGTTTGACATGTTTAAAGACGATGGAGATGGTTTCTGGGTTGGGTCAGCTTGCTTGCAAATGGTATGCTGTCTTTGTGTTTTGTTTTGTTTTTGAGACGGAATCTCGCTCTGTCATCCAGGCTGGAGTGTAGTGGCACGATCTTGGCTCACTGCAACCTCCGCCTCCCAGGTTCAAGCGATTCTTCTGCCTCAGCCTCCTGAGTAGCTGGGACTAGAGGTGCGCCACCACACCTGGCTAATTTTTGTATTTTTAGTAGAGACAGAATTTCACCGTACTGGCCAGGCTGGTCTGGAACTCCAGACCTGGTGATCCGCCTGCCTCGGCCTCGCAAAGTGCTGGAATTACAGGTGTGAGCCACCATGCCTGACTGCTGTCTGTGTTTTATGGGTGCATTTCTTTTCATTGCTGATCTGAAGAAGATGGTAGTCTGAGTAGAGAGATTGTGAAGGAGGCCACGGTATCCACAAACTTAGAAACATGAATGAATCCAGGGACCTATGACCCACTCACTCGTCTTAACAAATATTTCCAGTGCTGTGCGGCGACCAGTCCTTAGCCCTTATTGCACAATTGCAGGGTTTTGTATGAAGGTTTGCAGGGAGCATGCCAGAGCCTATTTCTAAACAGTCTGATGATTTATTTGATGCCTTTGGATATTTAAGTAGTCTGCAGTATACACCAAGTGTCTGAAATGTTTATTTTTTCCTTGCTTTAACGTGTGGAACCTCTCACAACGTCTTGTACACCCCAGGCACTCAATAAATATGATTTATGGAAGATGTAAATAAATCCAAACCAGGATTATGTCTGCATTCATTAATTTGTAGCTCCAGAAGGTGGTCCCCTTCTCCAAACTTGAAAAAGAGAAAAATCCTCACCAAATTACAGAAGAAAAGAAAATGCAAAATGCATGACTCATGTGCCCAAGTAAAAAGTCATGAAACTCCCTGGAGTAAAATAAGAAATGCTTGACTATGTTCTCAGCTTTGTGACCTTGGGCCAATTATTTAACCTTCCTGTGTTGTCCCTTCTTAACCAAACACTGAACTGGAATGGTTAAATGATAGGACAGTGCCACTGAGCTTCAGAGAAATGAGGAATAGAAGAAAATAGGACAATGAAGCTAAATGTGTTGAGTATCCACCACATTCTAGGCAATTTTATTTAGGATTTCTGACTGTTTTCCTCCCAGCATCCCTGAAGAAGCTAATAGAATAATTAGGAACACAGATTTGCCAGTGAAGCTACCTTGGTTCAAACCCTGGCTCTGTTCTTTACTGGCTATGTGACCTTGGGCAAGTTGCTTAAACTTTCTGTGCCTTGGTTCGCTCCTTTACAAAATGAGGATGATCATAACAGTATTCCCTTGTGCGTTGGTTGTGAAGCTCAAAAGAAGCTGTGTCTATAATGCATTTATGTAATGCTGCCATGTGACAAGTAGTGGAGCAAGTGTTATTCATTACTACGATTCTCACTTTTAGATGAGACACCTGAAGCTTACAGACTTTAACCTCATGTTTCAGCTTACACTGCTCATGACCTTGGAGAGCTGGGTAAAGGATGGGGAAAGGGTGAGAGATTTGAGCCTAGTTCCCTCACTCCATAGCCCTAGCTTCTGCCCTGAGCGCAGCCCTGTGGTGTCTTTGCAGCTAGGATCACTCCGTCCCACATCCCCAGAAGCTGGGCTCTCAACCTGGCTGGACTCTGGGAATTGTCTATTTCTAAACATGCTCAGTGCAGGAGTCCTGGTCAAACTCTGGCTCTTCCCTGGCAGGTCCAACCTCACCGGGCTGTCTCTTCGCCCCTGCCTCTTGTCCCCTCTGAGCAAAAGGGAACATAAAACTTAAGAGAGAGAAGAAAATCACCAACCAGAGTTGGAGCCAGCAGCCAAGACCCATCCTAGTTTGTGGGTGTCCGCTTCCTGATTCCCGGCCCCAGCAGCAGGTTCCTGGCTGCTGAATTTGCCCTTCATGGAAACTCATTAATGATCCTTCTTCCCTGCCTGGGACACATCACTGCCTCCCTTCCCCTTGGGGGTCCCTGCCTGCTTCTCTGCTCTGTCTCACAGACTTTCTGTGGCTGACCCCCGACCTGCCTCTGGAAAGTCCAGCTGGACTGAAACATCACCGTTCCTACCCATGCCATTTCTGTAGGACACACTGGAGAGGGTCCTTCCTGTCCCCCCTGGTCTTTCTGAAGCTTAATTGAATTGAATACAAATATAAATTTCAAATGCACATTTCAGCTTGACTTAGCTCTTCTTCTTCGAAGAAGCCAGTTTAACAAGCTCTCTGCAGGCTGGTCGGCCATAGTACGAGGAAGTAAGCACAGTTAAGTCAAATAGAAATTGCATAAAGAATGATTTGAAGAGATATCCTTCATTAAAAATCACCCCTTCTCCAACAGCCCCCAAAATATGATTGATTTCTATTTCATTCTATGTATGTTCTTTTTCTTTCTTTTTTTTTTTTTTTTGAGATGGAGTCTCGCTCTGTCGCCAGGCTGGAGTGCAGTGGCGCGATCTTGGATTACTGCAACATCTGCCTCCCAGTTTCAAGCAATTCTCCTGCCTCAGCCTCCCGAGTAGCTGGGACTACAGGCACACGCCACCATGCCCAGCAAATTTTTGTATTTTTAGTAGAGACAGGGTTTCACCATGTTGGCCAGGCTGGTCTCAATCTCCTGACCTGGTGATCTGCCCGCCTCAGCCTCCCAAAGTGCTGGGATTACAGGTGTGAGCCACTGCACCCAGCCTCTATGTATGTTCTTTAAACACACACACACACACACACACATACACACACACACACACACACACACTTTATTGACGTATAACTGCCAAATTTGCCCTGCATGGAAACTCACTACTGATCCTTTCTCCCTGCCTGGGACACATTACTTTACTCCTATAAAGTGCACTAACCTCGAGTGCTCAGCTTAACCAGGCCCAGCTTCATGGGTATGGGCTCTGTACAACAATGCAGGGCCCCACACTTAGAAGGGCCTGCTTTTCATTGAATGCTCTGCTGTTGCTATCCTGAAAGTCCTAAGAATTTTTTAGCAAGAGACCCCTCGTTTTCATTTTGCATTGGGTCTTGCAAATTAATCATACAATCCTAAGATCAATGAATTATTCCATGTCTACACCCATGTAACCACCTCCTTGGTCAAGATATAGAACATTTCCAGCTCCCAGAAAGGTCCCTCGGGCACAATCTCAGTCAGCGCCCCCTAGAGGTGACCGCTGTTCTGACTTCTGTCACCCTCCCTGGCCTTGCACAGCGCGCACATGGGACTGTACGGTGTGGATTCGTTTGCTTCTAGCTCCTGGTGCGCTGCAGGGTCTGGACGCTTTGACCATGTTTTTGCATGACTCAGCAGCCCTTCTTTGCCGTCGCTGTGCAATAGTCCATTGCACGACTGCAGCCCAATGTGTTTTCCTAGTCACCTGTTGACAGACACTTGGGTTGTCTTCTGTTCTCAGCTTTAGGAATAAAGCTGCTATGAACGTTCTTGAATGTGTCTTTGGTGAACAAATGAAGTTACTTCTCTTGAGCATGTGCTGCATCCGATGTTTGTCTCACATTTAGTGCTTGTCCTATCTGTGTTTGTTTCATATGAATTAGGAATAAGTCATTCAGACAGTGAGATGTCTCATGGGAAAGCATGCTCCTAAGAAAGCTCTCAGATAGGTTTCCACACGTGGTTATATCACCAGATCCAGGTGAGATGCTGCGATCCGGCATCAGATAGGTTTCTGCATGTGGTGGTATCACCAGATCCAGGTGAGGTGTTGGGATCCGGCATCAGATAGGTTTCCGTGTGTGATGATATTACCAGATCCAGGTGAGATGCTGGGATCCAGCATCAGATAGGTTTCTGCATGTGGTGATATCACCAGATCCAGGTGAGGTGTTGGGATCTGGCATCAGATAGGTTTCCGCGTGTGGTGATATCACTAGATCCAGGAGAGATGTTGGGATCCAGCGTTAGATTGTCTCTTCTTTTCTTATTCTCATCATTACGCATAAAGATTCCCATGTCTTAAAAAATGTAACTCAGTATCAAATTTTAATAGAATTTTCTGCCTTTTTGTCCACCTAGCAAAATCATGGAAATAAAATTGACATAAATGCCTCCTGGGGTCTTGGGTAATCGTGTTGGCACATCCTATGGGCACCTCCTCAGGGCCGCTGACATGGTCCGTCGTATCGTTTTGGCCTGTTGTCATGTCCTCTTTGGTCTGCCCCACTGACTTTTTACAGAACTCTCCCCTGCAAAGTCCCCTATAATCTCCTGACTACTTCTGACAGGCAGAGAGAGTAGGATTCCGATTAACCCACCCCTGATCCCAGAGTCTGAGCTCAGGTGGGGTCAGATCCACAAAGGCAAACAGGCCTCATCTGGAAGGGACTCATGGCTGAGCCCCAAGTGATACAGCAGCAAAGTTCTTCTGGTCCAGCGAGCCAAAGAGACAACGCAGTCCAGAGCCAGGACCGCCATCACCCGCTGAGATGGGAAATCCAGAGCCAGGACCACCATCTCCCGCTGAGATGGGAAATGAGGACTGCAGCGCCTATCCTTATGCTGACTCTCTTCAGGCTATTCCTGACTCATCCACCTAGCACTGGGGGAGCACCTGCTGTGCGCCAGTCCAGCTGCCAGTGGCCCGGAGACAGGGGGTGAGCTGGGCAGTGACGTGCAAAAAGACACCATGGACTTTAAAGTCAGCAGCACCTGGCTGTGAATCCCAGCTTGGAGAACTGTGGGGCAGGTGACCTTGGGCAAACTACTTCCCTTCCAGGTAGTAAAGGGTAGTAGAAATAGTGCTGGCTTTGGAGACAGGCTTAGTCACCCTCAAAGCCTAACTTCACTGCTTTCCTCTTGTGTAGGCTGGTTGTTCGTCAGACTGTGCCTCAGTTTACTCCTCCATCAAAGGAGACTTGTAATAGTACTGCGCTCATGACATTGCTGTAAGGATTCAAGAAGCTGCTATAAAATACACATTGTCTGGCATGTAGCATGTTTGATAAATATTAGCTATCATAATTATTATTGTGAGTCAGGCGTGGTGGCTCATGCCAGTAATCTCAGTACTTTGGGAAGCCAAGGTGGGTAGATCATTGAAGTCAGGAGTTTGAAGCCAGCCTGGCCAACATGGCGAAACTCTATCTCTACAAAAATGCAAAAATTAGCTGTGCATGGTGGTGCACGCCTGTAATCCCAGCTACTCGGGAGGCTGAGGCACGAGAATCGCTTGAACCCAGGAGGTGGAGTTTGCGGTGAGATGTGACAGCGCCACTGCACACCAGGCTGGACAACAGAGCAAGACTCCATCTCAAGAAAAAAAAAATATTATTATTATTGTGCTTATTTTTTACAATCTTACCTAGGGGCAGTAGCAGTTAGGATTAAATGACATAATATGCACAGGTGAGTGAATAGATAGCACGTCAGTTTTGTGCCTAGTAAATGGTACGCATTCAATAAATAGTGGCAGAGTTGGAGCAAGAGTAGTTTTTATTTTTATTCTTGTCTGACAATTCATTCTACACATGTTTATCGAGTACCTAACATGTGCTAAGGACTCCTCTAGGAATAAAACAAAAACAAAGTTTCTGCCCTCCTAGAGCAGATGTTCTAAAGTCAGGTAATGAACAAATTAACTTTTACGTCTATGGAAAGTCAAACAGCAATGTTACTTTTAAAAAATAAAGTCGAGTGAATGATAGAGATAGGATGCCACTGTACTGGTTGGTCAGGGAAGGCCTCTTTGTTGAGGACATGCTTAGAGCAGAGAAGTAGGGAGCCAGGTGGGCATCTGAGGAGGAGCATTCTAGGCAAAAGGGATAGGAGTGTGGGTTCTGAATGGAGGGAATGAGGCCACAGTGGCAGGAGATGGGGGCAGAAAGGAGGCCAGGGAAGACACTGGAAATGTGGAGCCATAGCAGTCTAGATCTTACTCTCCAAGAGCTGGAGACCCATGCTGTGCCTGAGCCATTTAAAGGATGTCTGTGGCTCTTGTATGGAGCCCAGAGGAAACAGGGAGGCGGGTAGAAGGTATGACTATGGTCCAGGCCAGAGATGCGGGTGGCTCGTGTAAGAAGAGCGGTGGATGTCTTGGAAACCTTCTGTTCTGTATTGATCCATTTTACAGATGAGGAAACCAAGTCCATAACATCAAGAAAGAAAGGCAAACTTCAAAGTTAGTAGATGGAGTCCAAGCCATGAAGGGTGAAGGAGATTAAGAAATACTTGTTTCAGTTCAGCTGGAATGACTCTGATGCCCTAAGCGGGGCCAGCTGGCATTTAAGGTTTCTCTGAAGCCATTTCATCCAACACCACCCCGTTCCTCACCCCAAGTCTTCCTGCCTGTATATGTTGACTGATGGGAGTGGCAGTCACACACACTCCAAGGTCTAGTTTTCCAGGCCAGGCAAAAGATTAAGACACATTTTTCATCTTCCATGTGGGATTAGGCCTGCATTAGCTCTATTTGTTAAGGGACTTGATTTCATTGTGGATCCACTTGCTGAGTTAGGAATAAATGGGAAACTGAGGTGCTTCAATCCTCAAACAAACCCACTTTGTTTCTTGAAATATCTGAAGCCATTTCCCATCTGAGCCCAGAGGTTCATTTTTCTCCTTGTTTTACAGCTTTACATGGCTTCTTACCATTGTTCGCCACTCACAGGGTTGGCCTTCATGTCCGGGGTTTGCAATATTTTGTCCAATAAGGAAGGTGGCTTTGCAGAAGGGATGGGAATTTTGGAGTCAGGCAGGCCTGGCCAGGTTTAACTTTTAACCAACTGCCTAGGCACTGGGTGACCAGGAGCCAGTCCCTTCATCTCTGCAAGCCACACATTCCTGACTTATACACCGAGGAGGGCAATTCCTGCTTAGAGGAGCTGAGCCAGATTTCCAAGTTCATGCCTCAAATTTGTAAGCACTGTGCGTGGCACCTTCTGGCTGTTCAGTGAAGGGGAGCTGTTTTGATGACTACCTCTCCCTTTGATCACTAACAGAACATCTTCAATACAGGTTGCTCTGCCTTGACCTCTGTCTTTCCCCACTGGTGTTCCTCCCCACCCTGTGGGTGGCCCAGTATCTCCTCTCTTGGCTTCCTCTAAGCCCTTTGGATTTAACTTCAGGCTACCAGCCATGATCATGGCCAGAGCATTCCTGTACGGCTCTCACCATTCCTCCAACTCTGCTCAAAGGTGGGCCTGGATTTCCAAGACTCAGAGCTTATAAAATGTTTGGATTGCTAACAAAATTAGAAATAGAAAATTGCAAGAGCCTTTCCTGGCATCTCCAAAGAAGTCTATACAACTGAGGGGGTTTGGAGCTTTAGTTTCCTTAACATATCTACCACATACACATTTTGTTCTCAAAAACAAAATGCCCACTAGCGTCAAATTATGCTTGGAATGATCTGGGCATAAAGAATGTTGAACCATAAAATTGGATTGCAGGCGGCATGTGTAGATAACCTTTGCCCTCTTGGGATATGGCAGGAGGATGAGAGCCTTTGCAGCCCATACTTTTACCTGCTTTGAATAAATCGGTATGAAAATAGACTTGCTACTTGATTAGTAAAAAATGGTGCGTTGAAATTTCTTTGATAATCAGTAAGGTTGAATTTTTGCCAATTGATTAGTTGCTCATTTCCTAATCCATAGTCTTTTGCTGTTTTTTTTTTATGATGACTTAATGTTTATTGTATGGTGTGTCTGTTCTTTATGCTGTATGGATATTAACCATATAACCAACATTTCCATGTAGGAAGTGAGTAGGAAAGATAATCGAGTTGGAAGAGAGAGATGTTAAATTTGTTTTGAATTTGTTTTGAAGCTGTATTTAAGTAGAAGGCATACTGGTTTTAATTAGATTATATACTATAGATCAATAAGAATAGTACAGTTTTCTAAGATGCTTTATTTTCACTTTACAGAAGATGAACAGATGTCTCTCATTCCTAACACAGTGTGGGAGATAAGGGTGTTTAGAGGGTTATTCAGATGGGGGAAGACACCGTGACTGATATGAACCACTTCCATCATATTTCTGGATAATGTCTTTTTTCCACTTTGTTGCTTAATGTACAGTTTTTTTAATTTTGGGGGACTCTAGACGGAGATTTTGGAAAGCAGATTACAATGCAACAATTTCCCTCTTGCATTTTTCTCTGTGAATTCCACCACGGACCCAGAAGAAATGCAACCAAAATTACCAGATACCGGTGTTGTGAAATCTCATTTGCGTGGCACTTTCTTCCTATATAAAGCTTTCTGGAAGCAAAGACTGATGCAAACTCTCACTTCTCCAAATTCCAGTTTAGTCGGTCTAGAGTCGGATTATTACCATCCATTTCTCAGTCACTCACTGGCAGCCCCCTTCTTATAAGGAACTGGGTTTTGAAGATCACTCAACTCTGAGAGCTCTGACTTTTCTAGCAGAGAGGGGGAAATAAGGTTTCCTTTAACCTAATGTGCCCTGGTGTTTCTTGCCTGGTCCCGTTCTCCAGGAAGAACAAGAACCAGAATGTGGGAAGTGAAACATGGGTTAAAAAAAAAAAAATCACAGAAGGAAGGGGGCAAGTTGCGGAGTGAGTGGGGGCGGGTGTGAAAGATACAGCTTGCAAAACAGCTCCTTCATGTTTCAGAGCTGTGGTTATTAGGAAGAGCTAAAGACAGACACAATGACAGATGCAATGATGTACCAGATTCTGCACCCAGTTATGCCCTTAGCACTAATACAAGCAACACAAAACTGAGAGTTAAACGCCTTGGCAGAAAACTAGCCAAAGCTTAAGGCAGCGGCTTCCTGGCATTCAATCTGACAGAGAGAGGCTGGAGCAATTGAGAGAGGACCAGTTCTTCAAAGGGTTCCATTTTAATTACAAGCTGGTTGGAGAATGTTACTTCCAGAACCCTCCCTGCTACCTGGGTTCACTTCCAAAATCTAATGGAGTTATATTGGCCAAATGAAAGACTCCCAAATCACACAGTGACAACTTCCCTGCCCAATCTCAATAAGCTTTGTCTTCGTTCAAGTGCCAGCTCGGCTCGAGGGATTTTAGGCTCTGAAGAGAATTAGCTCCCTCTTGCTCTCATATTGCATTAAGAAACTGGCAGCCAATCAGAAAGACAAAACAAAATCAAAAGAATGTATTCTCATGCAAGGGCCCCACCCTGTGACTTCCATTGTTTCCCAGGAACCTGTGGGGATTTCAAATTCTCCTTTTGCCCCTGTTTCCCTCTCCAGCACAACCAAGTGGCCCCCAAAATTGGAGTTGCCCTAAATGCCTCAAGTTGCATTTCCTTGTCTCTAGGCTCTTCCAAATGCAGAACCTGATTTCTTTTTTTAAAAAAAAAGGAGCTCTGATTTGCACTTGTTTGAGCTTATATATAATGAGGATGATATTGGCCAGGCAATGCCCTCTGAAAATAAGCGAAGAAAAAATAAGAGACTCCCAGGGCGGCAATATATTACTAGGCACCTACCCTATGTCAGGTGCTAATCACTTCCATAGGATTTTCTTAATGCATGCTGCAGGGATGAAAGCAACTTTTGCTATTTCACTTAATCCTTACAACTCACAGGGTTGGGAATTCTTATGCCCATTGCACAGAGAAGGAAATTGAGGCTCAAGGGAATTTCAGGAGTTTGTTCAGGTTATCATGCATTAAGGAAACAGCAAAGCTAAGGTTTGCACGTAAGTCTGGTTGGCACCTAGCAGGATTTTCTGGCGATCAAATGGTGATGGAAAGAACACTCTGTAAAGGATATTTACATAGGAATGAATGTTATTGCAAATGCCTGTTTGTCAATGACAGGGCTTCAGTTTCCTCCTTTATAAGATCAGCTTCTAAGAGTATCTTCCTCAGGGACTTGTGAAGATTAAAAGAGATAAAGCGGTCAGCACTTGTGGCACAGTCCCTGCGACAGTACGAGGCTTGTCAAGCAACATTATGACGATGAACAAAAATGTGTATCATTTGGATAGAGAGAGAGAACGCTTAATGATAGCCAGAAAAACACTATTTCCACCTTAGTTACTTTTGGGCCACCCTGGGTGGAGCTGACTCACCTATAGCAAGTTTTTCCAAAAGCTAGCTATGTGACCTTGTCAAATCAATACCTTGCAGCTTTATCTCTTGTCTTATAATAACTCATGGCTTTGTCCGTGCATGGACACTGCCATCCCCAGACCCATCTGCCTCCAAGAGAGACTATCAATGAGAAAATAGGTACATCAAAGAGCAAAAGCGCTTTAAGAATATAAAGCACAACTCTGATAACAAAGGCCATATGATAATAAATGTCATTGTGAGAGAACTACCCAGAAAACGGGAATGTGTACAAGAAGTCAGGGGTTGTGCCAAGCCTGGGAACTAGTTCTATACCCTCCACCACAGGCACTACCGAACTGGTCTCCCTGTTTTCCCCCTAAAGCCCCTGCCCCAAGCCATTCTTTAGAAAGCAGGCTTTTAAAAACCTTTTTACAATTTAAAAATCCAATCCACTTTTGCTTCACACCCAGAGATTTCCCCTGTACTGCATGCCACCCCCTGTTCTGGGCTGGGGCTGTGAAGTACAGTAGTTCAGTATGCAGACTGTGAGGCCAGAATGCCGGGGTCCAAACCCCACAGCTGCTAGGACGTTATGAATTGCCTTGGGCAAGGTATTCTCAGCCTCAGGACCAAAATCCAGCTTATCCCATCTGGAATCCTTCATCTGCGTTTCTCTTTTCTGAAAATCTATTCATTTCCTGTTCAGAGGCTCCCAGATACTACCCTGTGTCTCTGGATGCCTCAAGAATTACTGGTGATATTTGCCAATTTTCTCAGCACCCTAGGTCAGGAGTCAGCAAACGATAGCCTGCATGCCAAATGCAGCCTTCATCCACTTTTGTAAATAAAGTTTTATTGGAACACAGCCATGCTCCTGCATTTACATACTCCTGTGGCTGCTTTCCTGCTGGAACTGCAGAGTTAAACAGTTGCAACAGAAACCGTATGTGATCTACAGAGCCTAAAATATTTGTTATCTGGCCTTTTACAGAACAAGTTTTCCAAGCCCTGCCCTAGTTTACTGTCTCTAAAACTAATTTAGGGTGTAGAAAATTTAATGTCGTGCTCACGTCTGTTGAAGTGTATAAAATGTTGCTATATCCAACAGAAATTCATTAAATATAGGTGTTGTGCTAAATTAGATATATTGCAGATTTTTAAATGCTGCAATTTGGGATGGAAAAAGTTTAAATGGGGGTAGAACCCTGTTCATCAACTTTTTTAGAAAGTGGATTGGACAAAACATCTTAAATTTATGGAGCCCCTAGTATGCTAGGTATCATGATAAGTACTTTTATACATTTTAGTGCATTTAAGCCTCACTACAGCCCTATGAGGTTGATACTGTTATTATTTCTGCAGGGAGGCATAAATTCTGGAAACAAGGGGAAATAGGCATAATATCATCAAGAAAATCTTCAGTCTATAAAAAATAATAAATTATTGAAGTCTTCAGACTTTATGGGCAAAACTATATTTTGTGGATTAAAAATTGAGGTTGAAATTGGTAAAGTGGTTGCCAAAGGTGGCACAACAGGCTAAGTGATGGAGTCAGTGGTCAGACCCTGGTTGTCAGAAGCAAGATCTTGCAGGTTAAACCTTTCATCTGCCTCTCCTTGTTCAATGTTATGGAGTATCAGTGTCACACAAGATCAGAGTGTGGGGATCCTGGTAAGATACCTTCCTTGAAGACTTGAATCCATTTGCCTAGACTGGGGCCGTCTGTATCATTTCACGTATCTTCTGTTCCCTTCCTAGCCATGTTTGTTCTGCTCTTTCTGGTTTAAGCTCATTCCTTTGATGAATAAGACAAAAGCTAGTGAAGAACTGGGTCTTCCTGCCTTCCTGCCTTCTCACTTTAACTTTGCACATCTGCCTCAAACAGTGCATTTATATCTTGCTTTGTTCTTCTAGTTTTTAACCAGTACTCAAAAGGTCTGTGTGTGTGTGTTCTGTGTGTGTGTGTGTGTGTGTGTGTGTGTGTTTGTGTCTGGGTATCTGTGTGTGGGCATCTGTGTGTGTGTCTGTGTGCCTTAAGGAAGCCAGGGCTCCTGAGACAGCCCATCCACATTCAAATCCTGCTTTCCACTTACTAGCTGTGGGACCCTGAGCCAGTTGCTTCCTCTCTCTGAGCTTCATGAGCCTCCTGGGTAAAGACACGATTATGATCATACCTGAGTCACACAGCTGTAGTAAGGGTTCCATGAGATTGCATCTGAAGGCAACGTTTTTAGCAGAGCATCTGCCAGCTGGAAGCACGTGATAATGCCAGTTGCATGCACGGTTGTCGCTCAGAGTTGATTCCAGCCGTCTGTCTTTCCAAATCAGGTTTCTTTGTTTTATTTACTCTTGAAAGTATTTGCCTGTGTAGTGGATTGAACGGTGTTCCCCCACCCCAAGAAAAGACATGTTGCCCAGAACCTGTGAAAGTGACCTTATTTGTAAAAAGAGTCTTGGCAGAGATAATGAAATTAAGGGTCTCAAGTTGAGACCATCCCGGATTGGGTTAGGCTCTAATTCCAAGAAAAACAGTCTTTATAAGAGAAGGGGAGAGAAGAAGGAACAGGGGAGAATGCCAGGTGAAGATGGAGGCAGAGATTGGAGCACGTGTCTATAAGCCACAGAGCACCAATGATTGCCAGAAACCACCAGAAGCTCAAAGAGGCAAGAGCAGATACTCCCCTAGACCCTTCAGAAGGAGCATGATCCTGCTGACACCTTGCTTAAGGACTTCTGGCCTCCAGAACTGTAAGAGAATAGATTTGTGTTGTTTTAAGCCACCAAGTTTGTGGCCATTTGTAATAGAAACTGCAGAAAACAAATACAGTCCCCCTTCACCTTTCCTTCATTATTACCTTTCCAGGAGTGCCCGTCTGACTGTCGCCTGTGCCTCCTCCCCTTTCTGTAGAGGTGGTGGGTGCCCTGCACAGAACTTTGCATCTGGACTCTGCTGCTTACTACCTAGGTGTTTTCGACTCAATTACTTAGCCTTCCTGGACCTCCGATTCTTATTTGTATAACATAAAGATAATGCTTGCTTATATGGTCATTGTAATAATAATACAGTAATCCATTGGTACACATGGGGGATTGGTTCTAGGGCCCCCTGCTAATACCAAAATCCATGCATACTCGAGTCCCAAAGTCGGCCCTGCAGAATCCGAATATAATGAAAGTCAGCGCTTCGTACACACAGATTTCACCTCCTGTAAATATTGTGTTTTCAATCCATATTTGGTTGAAAACAAAACCACATATAAGCAGACCCACACAATTCAAACCCATGTTGCTCAAAGACCAACTGTAATACCAACAGGTTCTGTTTACCACACCCTGGCAATGAGAAGGCAGAATGACGAAATGCAGCATTTCATTTTATCCTATGAAATGGGCGCTACTCATGCCCACATTTTACAGATGGGAACATTGAGGCACACTGAATTTAAAGTAAATTGTCAGAAGTCATGTAAAAGCAAAATTCACATAACATAAGCTAACCTTTACTGAGAGCATGCTCTGTTGTAAGCACGGAAGGTCCACAGCAAAGAAAACAATATCCCTCCCTTAGTGGAGCTTATATTCTCAGTGTGAAGATGCATACGCTCTGGAACGTTCTGGGTGTTCTACAGGCATATAGTAAGTACTCAATAAATATCTACCCACCTCTCTCTGACCCCGCCGTAGGCAATAAAAGGGAGGAATTCGGTAGCTGTAAGTTCATGGTCACTTTCCCCCAAGGTCATATCACTTCTACTTAACTAAAAATTCCTTCCCCTGGGATTGCAGGTCCCCTCGTTATTTCCTTAACCCTCTGGGAAACTCTGTTGTCAGCAAAGATGTTGCTCTCAGATGCCCGGTGTGAGGGGAGTGAGTCTCCAGGGAGTGGCACAGACTGTGGAGAGGTCTCTTCAGAGCCCTCAGCTCACCTCGGTGCCAGCTGCTTGCCGCAAGGTACGGTCCCATCACCAGACGCACCCTTTCCGGTGCCCATGGGAGCGTGTGCGTTTCCAAAACTCGGCCACTTCTTTGTCTCTCTCCTTTCATCTTCACTCACATTGTCTCCATGGGTCTTGCAAGCTGAAGTTTATTCCTTTCCCTTCTTTTAATCTTTTTAATTTGTCTGTAAAAAGTTGCATCGGTGATACAGTTTTACATAGGAAACAACACAGAGATGTATTTAAAAAATGAAAAACAACCCATAATAATTCCAACCTACTCCTTTCCAGCCTGAGTCCCTGACATAACCACGGTCCTCTTTTCTCCCCTGGGACACCATTCGTGACATTCTAACTGGGCTCCCTGCAGCCTCTCCATGTCATCCCCCCTTCCAGTTGAACCCCCGGGACTAGACTGACTTTTCTGTTGAACTCTTATCATCACTAGTGCCCCATTTGCCTTTTTTTTTTTTTTTTTTTTTTTTTTTTTTTTTTTTTTTAGATGGAGTCTCGCGCTGTCACCCAGGCTGGAATGCAGTGGCTGATCTCCACTCACTGCAAGCTCTGCCTCCCAGGTTCACACCATTCTCCTGCCCCAGCCTCCCGAGTGACTGGGACTACAGGCGCTTGCCACCAAGCCTGGCTAATTTTTTGTATTTTTAGTAGAGATGGGGTTTCATCGTGTTAACCAGGATGGTCTTGATCTCCTGACCTCATGATCTGTTCACCTCGGCCTCCCAAAGTGCTGGGATTACAGGCGTGAGCCACTGCACCCGGCCCCAATTGCCTATTGAAGGAAAAACTAGAACCCTTTGGCAGGGACTATGGGGTCCGGTGAGCTGACTACAGGGTGACATTCCTACTCCTTTTCTCCACTGGCCTCTCACCTCTGAGCTCTTTATACCCCCTGCCACGACCTTCAAGTCCACCTTGACCCCGGCTAGATGAATCCCCCTAGATACCCACAAGCTCAGTACCCGTGTGTCGACCTTAGCACCATGCAATTGTACATTTATTTGTGGAATTCTTTGTCTGTGTCCTCTAGAAAACAGAAAGGTCTGTTTCCGCTTCCCATGTTATCCCCAGCACCCAGCACAATGTCTGGCTCATAGGAGGTATTTAATATAGTTTTGTTCTCTTTCTTTTTATCTGTGGCAAAGAATTCCTGGGCACCTCCTTATTGCCTTTTTACGCAGCAAACTTACTGTTTTTCTCAAATCACAAGCATAATCAAGAAAAGAAGATTCCCTTCCTAACTGAATCCACAGAGTGACCCAGTCACTTAACACTTTGTCTCCTAGGGACCTTCAAAATGGCCAGTTGGTGACCCCCTGAGTGCCGATACTCTTCTTAGAAACACTCAGTGATGCCTTTAGCCATAAAAGCAAATACCCTTTTTCCTTATTATTTCTTTTGAGGTGAAGTCTCACTCTGTTGCCCAGGCTGGAGTGCAGTGGAGCGATCTTGGCTCAATGCAACCTCCGCCTCCTGGGATTAAAGCAATTCTCCTACCTCAGCCTCCTGAGTAGCTGGGATTACAGGCATGTGCTACCACACCCGGCTAATTTTCGTATTTTTAGTAGAGATGGCGTTTCGCCGTGTTGCCCAGGTTGGTCGCAAACCTCTGACCTCAGGTGATCTGCCTGCCTCAGCCTCCCAAAGTGCTGGGACTACAGGTGTGAGCCACCGTGCCAGGTCCAAAGACCTTTTTTTAACAGGATGTTCAAGTTCTTGGTCACCCAGGACCAAGTCTTGGTCTCTACTGCTTTCTCTTAAAGCACATACACCCTGTCAGCCGGGCACGGTGGTTCACACCTGTAATCCCAGCACTTATCCAGGTGTGGTGGTGGGCACCTGTAGTCGCAGCTACTAGGGAGGCTGAGGCAGGAGAATGTCGTGAACCTGGGAGGCAGAGCTTGCAGTGAGCTGAGATTGTGCCACTACACTCCAGCCTGGGTGACAGAGCGAGACTCCGTCTCAAAAAAAAAAAAAAAAAAAAAAAGAAAAAGAAAAACACATACACCCAGTCTTAGCAGGCCTCTGTTCTTTCCTGATTCTGTGCCTCTGGTGATGCCTTTCCCTCTGCTGAAATGCCCTTCCTTCCTGGCCTCAGCTAAGCCGTCTCCTTCTCATTCTTAGCACATTGCTTGCTTTCTGTGAAGCTGTCACTGACTGGGCCTCTCCTCTCTAGCCTCCATGTTCTTGTAGCCCTTTCCCTCTCTTCCTCTGGATAAAATGCAGGATGTGATATTTGGGACATACTAGACATTACTTGCTGTTTATCTGAAATTCAAATTTAACTGGGCATCTTGTATTTGCGGTTCCCCTACCTTGAGGTGTGATGGATTCCATTCCCCTACCTTGTGGTGTGATGGATTCCATTCCCCTACCTTGAGGTGTGATGGATTCCATCCACTCCGACACCTCCCAAGACTGCGCTGTGGAATTTCCCTGGTGGAGAATTCTGGTAGGGCAGGCATCGAGGAGAATCACTGTATGTAGATGCTGCCAACACAGTGATTGGCACAGAACAGCTGTGCCTTGCATCACTGAGTAAACAAACGGACAGTAATGACCCTAATAAGGGCTACCAAGTGTGTGAGTGAGCAAAAGAGATCGAGATCAGACTCCTCAGTTAGTCACCTGGGTCTAACCCCACCTCTTGGAACTGGACTGGGTTCAAATCCCATCTTCTTCATTTACTGGACTGTGATCTCAGACTGTTTCTTAACGTCACTCTGCTCATCTTTAAAAGGAAAATAAAAACAGTACCTCCTGCATGGGGTTCTCGTGAGGATTCAATGAGATAATCAATATATAAAACACTTAACACAGGGCTATAGCAAATACTCTATAAACGTCACCCATTATTTATTAAGTGCCAAGCCCTGCCAAACACTACTATAGTTTTATATCATTTAATGTTCACAACAGCTCTATGGGATAAGTGTTAAAAGTCCCATTTTTCCCATGCAACCCTAGAAGCTGGAGGCACATTCATTCATTTGCCCAAAGCCACACCATTAGTGAAGGAGCTGGGATTAGAGTCCAGGGTGACTGGCTCCTTCTCGAGAGACAACGTTGCATAAGAAGCGAATTCTAGGTAGATTGGGGGAGTACCAGGAGCCTCCTTCGGAGATCTGCAGGTGCTGCTGCCCTCAGAGCCCACAGATGGGCCTACATTTCCACTGAACTCATGGGCTGACCAACGGCATCCCCACTCTGCCTCATGAAGCAGCAGCGTGTCCTGCAGCCAAATTCACAGCCCTCAGAAAATTGAGAAATTTCTTTCTTCCATTTCAGGAAGCCCCGTATCTTCTCTGGTGGATGTTTTAGCAGAATGGGAGCAGCTTTCTCCTTTATTCTTATTCCCCTATAATCTATTCTTTGGTGACCTTTAAGTATATATATAGAGAGAGACATCAGACAAAGATCACTCTGTCACAAAACCTTTTCAGTGGTTTCCATTGTACCCAAAGAAAATCCACATATGCACCAAACTCTCCTGGACATGGGTTCTGCCTTCCCTGATACTCCACTTTGTACCACCCTTCCTGTAAGCCTCAACACTGGCCTTCCTTCTGTCTGCCATGCAACCCAAGGTTGGTTGGACTCATACTCCTGGGCTAACCCATGGATATCACCTGGGCTGGATCTTAGAATCTCCTAAGAGCTGCATATTTTAAATATCTTCTCAAAGTTCAAGATTGACCTTAACTTTCACCTCTGCAGAAAGCCCATCTCCAACCATCCTGATCAAACAGTCGCCTAACCTCAGCCACTGCATCCCATCCTCCAGCCAAAATGATGTATTTCCGTATTTCTCTATGTGGTCATTGTTTCTCTCCCTCAACTGGAATATAAACTCCAGGAAAGCAGAGAATCACCCTGCCACTTTTCACTCTATGCCCACAAATGGTCCTTAGCACATCATAGTTGCTCAATAAATGTTTATAGGAGAAATGAATATGCAAATACATAAATCAATGGAGAAATAAGTAGAATAGTTTAAGAATAATCAGAGAAATGCCAAGAATCCCACCTGTCTGTTTTAAAGTGCATTATTGTCCCCCCAGCCCCTTTCCACCTACGTCAGATCTGTTACAGCCCAAATTTTCTATTTCTGTGAGTAAATGAGCACTTTCACAAACAGTTGTGCTTGGGGAAGGGGACTGAAGGTCAGTGTTAATTTAATCCACTAGCTAATATCCGGTTTATCAACCTTCTGCTTTATAAAGAAGCACTATATGTACATTTTTTACAAATAGTCTGAGCGCATTGATCCATAGAACTTCTAAAGTTTACTTCAATTAGAAAGAGTTTCAGATAAAGATCAAATTAATTAAGTCCTCTCCCCCGCTTAAAGTTCATCTTAATTAGCCATTGTTTCTTTCTCGAGGGCTTAGTAATTGGCTGGGCTTCAACCTGGACATAGAAGAATTAGAAGGGGACCTCCCCCCACCTCCCCAAAGTAGGCATTGACACCTGGCACAGCCCAGAGTTCTCTGCCTGGATATTTGGAGTGTGCCAGGGATTTAGGGAAAGTGTGCCTGCTTAAATGAAGGGAAATCTGCTGGAGAAAAAAAAATCTGTGATTCATCACAGAAGTGAATTTTCCGGTTTTCCTTGCTGAAATAAATAGTTGCAAAGGAAATGCTATTTTATTTTTGCCTCTCAATTTGTGTGTGTGTGTGAGTTTCATGGAGGTTTGAGGGTTCTGATGGCTGTTGAGGCTCAGGTGAGCAGATATGCTGTAAGGAGGAATCCACAGCTTTTGTCTTACCCATTGCAAACTTGGAGTCAATAAAAGAGAGGAGTCTTCCAGCAGAGGCTGTGTTTTCTGGTGTCCTGAGATGCTCTTTTCCCTGTGTCTCTTGTAGCCTTAAGAGTGTTTTATGGCACAATCTTTGATATTCAGGGAACAGGTGCAAATACTGTTAAGTGACAGGATGTGTCATGCAGATGATTTTAAAAGGAGCCATGAAATGGATGTATCCAATGAAAATATAATGTTTAATTTACTCCTTCCCAGAACTAGTGATGTTGCGCCAAGGGCTGTCAGCAGTAAATCATCTGCCGACTTAGATGACACCCAGCAATGTAGTTTCGGGAACGCTTTTTCTGGCTAGTGCAGGTTCAGGCTGATGAATCTATTCTGTCTGGCTCTGGGGCAGGTTTGTGGCTGTCACATGTTTGCATTTTCCCATGGATGGAGAATCAGAAGGGTGGGGACAGTGGACACCAGAAATTGCTCATGTACCCTGCAGAAGTGATGTATCTCCTCCTCCAGGAAGCCTTTCCTGATTAGCATGACTATGACTGGGCAATCCAAGTTGCTCCTTACCATTTAGCATCCCAAAGGACAATGCTCTCAAGCAGAGCCCTGCAGTGCTGTGTAGTGGATGCAACCTGGGAACAGGTGGATCATCTTGAATTAAGATCATCTTAATTCTTCTGGCCTAAGAGTCTCATAAGGCAAGGACCAATCTGTCCTGCTCTTCCCTGTAGCCCCACAGCCTACAAAAGAGAGATTTCTCACATATTATAAGTGCTCAAGACATATTTGGAGAATGAATGAATGAACGACAGAGCATATTCTCCTTACTCCTCAGCTAGGCCATAAAAGAACCAAACAAAGGCATGACACTGTTATGTTCCAGGATGTGGCTCTTTGCTCAGGGAAAATAAGAGTGAGTGAGTGAGTGAGTGAGTGAGTGAGTGAGTGAGTGAGTGAATGAATGAATGAATACAAGCTACCCCACAGATAGTAAATACTCTCCAAATGGAGCAGGGGCTGGGGGCTAGAAAACACAGTCAGCTTTGAACTCTCATGCAAAGAGAAGTGCAGATGATGTCATGTGTCCAGTGGGCTAGCATCAGGTGGAGCCCAGAGCAAATCGGCAGCCAGGCATGAGGAATGTGGGGCAAGGACAGCTGAGAAAAGTGGAAAACAAAGCATCTGCCTCCACCCTAGGCTGTTCCCTCTGGGAGGTCAAGGATAGTGTTGGCTTAGTTCACTGTTACAGTCCTGGTGCCTGGAATAAGTAAGAATTTGTGGTAGAAAGGAAGGGCGGAAGTAAAGATGGAAAGAAGGAAGGAAGAAAGCAAGGAAGGAAGGAAGAGAGGGAGGGAGGGAGGCAGAAAAGAAAGGGAGAACGGAGGGAGGGAGAGATGGAAGAAAAGAGGGAGAGAGGAAGTAGGGAGGGAGGGAGGGAAGAAAGGGAGAAAGGAGGGAGGGAGAGATGGAAGGAAAGAGGGAGAGAGGAAGGAAGAAGGGAGAAAAGGAGGGAAGAAGGAAGGAGAAGAAAGGAAAGAAAATAAAACAAAAGAATGAGAGATGAAGGAAGGAGGGAGAAAAGGAAGGAAGGAAGGAGGGAGGGAAGGAAGGAAAGAAGGAAGGAAGGAGAGAAAGGAGGGAGGGAGAGATGGAAGAAAAGAGGGACAGATGAAGGAAGGAGGGAGAAAAGCAAGGAAGGAAGGAAAGAAGGGAGGAAGGGAGGGAGGGAAGGAGGGAGGGAGAGAGACAGAGAGGGAAGGAAAATGGAGTGAGGGAGGAAGGAGGGAGAGAAACAAAAAATCCAGGGCTGAAGTGAAGGACTAGGTAACTCTTGGCTCCATCTCTTACTTGTGTGATGTAATGCATTTTCATTTCTCTAAGCCTGTTTTCTTCTTTTGCTAAATAAGAGTAATGAACCTTCGCTAGGTGAATTCACGAGGTGCTTTACTTCAAGTGACTCCTACTTTGTTGGTGTCCAATGAACATTGCTTTCTCCAACCTCACCCTCTTTCTTTCAGTCCAGCATCTGAGTGTTGGCAACCAGCCCAGAGAGGAAGAAGGGAGCGAGTAACACCTATTAGTTTGGGTCCTTCCATGGGTGTCCTTCCTCTGTCCCTATCTCCAGGGGAACTCTGTAAGGCCAACTGAATATTCTATAAGACCCCTGACCCCTCATGTTTCATCCTTCCCCCAGTAACATTTCTGTTTCCTCTGAAGGCATATCTTGGCATGCTGGAAGAGATGGAAAGCTGTCTGACACTCAAGGGGAGTGACTGGTGGCACCTTCCAGTGATCTTTGGGTTAATTGCATGCTGAAAAAAAAGATGCTTTAGCAATTCAAAGAAGGTAACATTTATCCCATTTAGCAGAAGAGAAAACCGAGGCTCAGAGACATGGAAACCGAGAAACACATGATGCAAATGTTGGCGCTAGAGCAGGTGTATGTCAGGGAGGAGGCAGAAAGGTTTTACCAGTGTCCTGCAGACCACAGTGTGTGGGCAGCTGCCTTCTCCATTTATGGGTGAATAGAGCTCTGCGGAGAGATGCATCTAGAACATTGCACAAGCTGAAAGTTCTCTGGAAACGGAGTGTGGTGAGCTTGTCAGTACAATCTTCCCTGTTTTGGTCATTTGCTAAGTAAGGTTACCAGCAACTTCAAAGTAGTCTCCACCATCAAATTGGAAATGGAAAAAGCTCGCATTTTGGGTGAGTCACGTTCTAACAGGCGCCCACGCCTTGAGGTAGAGTCGGGCTCTGTTTTCACCAAAATAAACCCATGCTTTGCATAATAAGGTTATGCATGTTGGTGACAACTCATGAAAATGACAACAATTCTCAGTCACAAGCATGAGCTGGTCTGCCTTGCAAGGACCAGCAACTCGCACAAGAGGTTCAGAATGGCAGGTGCTATTGTGAGGACTGTAGTCCCTGAAGAACAGCGGGGACCCCCACACACCCAGGAGCAGATTGATGGGAGCACCAGGCATGCATTTCCAGATCTCACTGGAATTTTTTATCTTAATTTTTGAAGGTCTCCCTAATTAATGAAAAGGAATGTAGTGGAGAGGACGGGACTTGGGCTTTGGAGTAGGACAGCTCTGGATTTTAATTCCTGCTCTCAATAACTTTTTACTTCTCTGCCCCTCACCTTCTTCATCTATATGAGTAAAATGCCACCCACCCAGCATTGGCAGTGTAATTAAAACATAGGCTTTAGAGTCAGACAGAGTTGGATGTGAAACCTAGATTCATCACTCAGTATTAGGAACTTGGGAAAGCTACTTAACCAAGCCCAGCCTCATTTTCCCCGTCTGTAAAATGGGTACACTTACTAACAGCGTGTATTAGTATGTAAAATATTTAATACATGTGTGGCACCTATTAACAGCTCAACGATGCTCTCATTGGTAGAAGTTGAAAGAGTATAAATATATCTATAATAAATTTTATAATTAAAATTTGTATAATCAATAGATGTTAGTTTCTCTTAGCATTAGTAAAATATTTTTTAAAAAATTAAAATCATAGTAGTTTCAACTCTCCCCCATCCATTCACCCAATTTCATAGTCCCCTAACTGGCTTCATTTTTCTTTGTACACTTATCACCCTGATATGTTCTATGGTTATTGTTGTGTTATTGCCTGGCTCTTCCCACTAGAATGTAAACTCCACAAGGGCAGGAATGATATTTGCTCACTCCTATGTCCTCAGATCCTAGAACCGTGCCTGGCACATAGTAGATGCTCAATAATTGAATGAATGAATAAATGAAATAATGAATAATAATAAATGAATAAATGAAATTAATAATATAGCAGACAAAAGGTCCAGCCAGCATGTAGCACACAGCAAGGGCCCCCGTCTTCATTAATTCCCTGTGTCTCAATACTGCAGAGGAACAATGGAGAAATAATTGATTTTGCTTCCTCCTTGCCATTTCGAGGTCACTTCCTGCAATGGGGGAACTAGAGAAGCCCAAGTGTCCCACCGGGACTTGCTCTGAGTTTCCCTGAGGAGGCTCAGGGAGGCTCATGTCCCTCTGCCTTCTAGGAAGGGAAGGAAGTGGATGGAGAGGTGCATCGTGGGTAGAACTGGCAAAACATCATCTGGGCCTCCGAGCCTCCTCTCATTTCTAGAGGCCCTTAAGCAATGACAAAACAGAACCTTCTGGAACTTCCTAGCCATTGCTTTGATGACCCTCCAGGGGAACCAGCCGGCATTTGCTCCAGCTAAGATTCCTGAATTGGCTCTGGCTTACCTTGCCAAACTGGTGCTCACTTGACTGGGAAAATGTAGGGACCTGCCATCCCCTTAGGAAGCCCCTCCTCTGCTCTCCCCTCCATGTCTGCCTCGGTGACCTCCTCCCTGGGGAAAGCTGACCCCTGAGAGATAGAGTACAGTCCAGTGTTTGATGGGACATCTGGCCAGCTGCCTCACTGCAACCCATCGCAGACCCAGACTTCCATGTAAATGTTATACCCTGGGAGCGTTTCAGCCATTTAACCTGGCCTTAGGAAGAGCCCTGGGGTACTTATGAAAGGAAAAGTGGCCTGAACTGAGGGACTTTGGGAGAGTGATGGTTGCCAAGAGGAGGTCACCTCAAATGTGCTGCTTCTCTAGGAAGGGTGAACACCTTGCAAGTATTTGGTCATAAATCTCCATATTTCCTCATTCTGTTGACCATAAGACATGCCATGGATTTATTAATAACAACAGCTTTCCAGAGGCAAACACGAGGAAGGGCCACACGGAAATCACATCAGCATGAAGGTGCATCCCCGTTTTAGGAATGTTAAAATGTGAACTGTCCATGTCTTGGAATCAAAAAATTCTGGCCGCAAGTAGTCACCAGTCCACCAAAAGCTGCTGTATTCCAACGCCATAGTTTTCCCTGGCCTTTATTCTTAGTTATTTAATCATCGCAGACATCCTGTGAACGTAGGTGCTAGTCCACTTCATTTTCTTATGAACAGGCAGGCTCAGAAAGTTTGTGAGACTTTCCAAAGCTAGAGGAGGGAGTTCTGAGACTTACACCTCTATCCCCCTGACTCCAAGCCTGGGCCCTTGACATCTATTGGCTGGAAACCTGAGCTGAAATCCTAGGGATTTCTTCCCCATTGAGAGCGGAGTGAGATAGGCAAAGCCTCCTGAGACTGGGGCTTAGGGTTCCACAGAAGCAAGGCTAAAAGCAGAAGTCCTCACCCAAGGCCTTGGGGGATGCTAAAAGCAAAGAAACAACAAAAACTGAAGATTGAGACAGCTGAAAATTGTGGCCCCACCAAGGAAGACAGAGACAGGGGACTGACTCTTAAGATTCAGAGTGTTTGAGAACAAAATGAAAATGATAGGGGTTGTTCTCTTTGGGTGATGGGAACAGTCCGTTTTTACAGATCTGCTTTACTGTATTTACAGTGGGAGGTGATGCCTGGGGAACTCAACATCATGGACCTGGTCATGACTGGCCTTTTACTGTTGAGAGGGTCTAGTTTTTCAGCTTTGACCCTTGTTTTCTTATCAGGCAACCTCAGAAAAGCCCTTGTGCTCCTGTGTGCCGTTCTTCAGGACTTTTTTTCTTCCCCCTTCTGCTGTGCAGAAAAAATTAATCATGTTGTTAAGTGAAAATGTTGCCGTCTTCTCCTCTTTTTTTGTTAGCGTTCATTTACTGAGCCCTTGCCCAGTGCCTGTGTGCCAGGCACTGGCCTGATCACTTCCCAGACATGGCATTCGATCTTCGTGGCACGCTTGTGAGATGGGTATTAACATTCCCCTTTGCAGACGAAGAAACCGAGGCGCAGAAGTGCAGTCTGTGCATAGGTTGCTTCACTCTATTTGCCCAGTCTACTCTTCTCTGAGTTGAAGCCCATGCTTTTAATTGCATGCAACTTCTCTCTCCACTGTCCCCATCTCATCTCATCCTAAACTGGGCCGATGATGCCGTAAGTCTTATATTATCAGGCCACTTTTGGGTTTAAACAGCCAAACATAAAACAGACCCTTCCCCAGTTGCAGAGTAAGTAAACTTGCAAAGGTGCCTGTCTTATATGTAGCCGAAGACAATCTGAGTCATCAAATACCCTTATCACCGATGCAAGCGGAGATAAAGGAAGGCATGTTCTCTTCCAAGGGAGACAGGCACGAAGACAGGCCCTGCGATTAGATATGAAAGTAGCGGCTCACTGGGTTACAGAATAATTGTTGTGGTCACCTGACCTTGATAACTGACGTGTTTCCTTCAGAGACGGTCCTAGGTATTGGGCGCAGGCCTTACACTGTAAGAGCTAGAAGGAAGGAATTTCTGTCTCTCTGCTCTGGCTCGTGGAAATTCGAACAAAAGAGCAAACAACTGTTTTGGAGTCAGTCTGTGCTATCACAGAGAAGCCAATGGAGAGAGAAGTGCTTGGGGACGTTCGCACTGAGCCAGACCACGTGAAATGCATGTATGGAGGTCAGCTATTAAAATAGGAGAAAATCAGACACCAGAAAAGATAGACGTTAATGTCCTTTTACCTCTGCTTTCGTATTTAATGCTTGCAGTGACCCATCAATGTGGGTGCAATTAGGTCTGTTTTGCACATGTGTGCCTTTGTGTTGTGTATGCAGTGGAGGAGTGCATACAAAACTCTGTGCAGACAGGGACAGTTGGCTTCATGATGGAGGAATGTCAACTTTTACTCTGCATATTTATTTTCCTTTAAATTTGTATAAAAAGTGAGTATTACTTTTGTAATGATGATGATGATGATGATGATGAAGGGGGTAGAAGAGAAGATCAAGGGAAGAAAGGAGGGAAGGAGGCAGAGAAGAGAAGAAAGCAGAGTGAAAAATGAGATTGAGAGTTTTGCAAGCTACTCAAGGTCAAGCAGCCCAGTGGGGAAGTGGACTTTAATCAGCAACTCCCCCTCCCAAGCCCTCCTCTTCCCTCTCCGCCATCCTGCCTCACTACCATGGGCTAGTTGAGCACTGAGAGATTGCTAAGGGCTCTGCTGAGGTCCGTGTGCCCATTTTGTTCTCAGGGATGCGTTCACTCCGTCCTTCATGCCCACAGAAGTGCCGACCACTTTCAGGGTGTTGCAGTACTCAGTGGCCCTGGATTTGCCAGGTGTGGCATCAAGCTGAGACAGGAAAAGTGGGCTAAAGCACTTGGGGAAAAAACCAAACATCCAAGCTGTGGAATTGAGTCTGTGGAGTGAAACGGCAGAAATTTCTGGACTGAGAACTGAATGCAGAAAGAGGCGCTTTGAGTCCAACCTGGGCTTGGCTGCCTGCCTCTCTTTCCAGCTGAGCACCCCTCATACTCACAGTACCCCGACTCATCCAAAGCCTGCAGTGAAAGCAGCTGAGGGCAGACATAATGTTTTTTTTTTTTTTTTTTAAAGAAAACAATATTCCCATGCCGGTTTTGTAAAACTGTGATGCCCATTTGCACAGTAAATCATGCACATTCCAAACAGCTCTGGAAAACTCACATTAGCCCCAAAGGGTCGCAGAAAAGGCTGCTGGACAGATGCTTTCCTTTTCAAAAAAGAAGTAGGAAAGGGCCAATACCTGCGTGACACTCTCTGGAGCCAGAAGGTGCAAACTCAAGCTGGTTTAGAGGGGAAAGAAAAGAGAAAAAAGGAAAAATGAAGTAGGAGTGGGAAGCTTTTTGGACAAAGGCGTATTTCCTTTCTCCTGCGCTTAAAGCAGCTTAGAGCCCAGAGAGAGGGCTGCGGGAGGGAGAGAGCCTGGCGAAGGAAGGGAACCCAGGTAGAAATCCAGGTTAAGAAGCCCCTGAGACACCACAGAGGGGAGGCCAGTGCTGAGGGAGTGGGTGTTTGAATTGGGTGCATTTTGCAGAAAAAAAAAAAAAAATGAAAAAGCAGCCGCAGCAGCAGCCAGGGTGGAAGCTCGCGCTCCTGGGAGCAGTGGAGCCAAGGCAGTTAGCTGAAGCAGCACAGCCCTCACGCTCAGCACCTGCCAGCCAGCAGACTCTGCCAAGAGCAACTTGGTACCAACTTCAATAATATCGCAATTCAGTATTTAAATAATGCGACAAGACTCCTTTGGAACACGACCAGGGACTACTCAGGGCAGTAATTTTCCTTTTAGCAGCAGGAGCTGAGAAGCTACAATTTCCCAAAGATAACACCACTCCACCCTGCTCTGGAAGAGCCCAAAATGGCCACAGAGGGAAAGAGAAATTCACCAAGGCGAGCCCCCAACAAAAGAAGGGATCTCAGTTCGTGACCAGGGATGAAGCTCTTTGCAAAATGTCGCGGAGGCGGATACAGGAGCCTTTGTTTCAACCCACTCGGTGGTGGTGAGATGAGCCACCTCTTTGGGACAGCAGTCCTCCCATCTGAACTCCAGATGTGAAAGCAATAAATTACTAAAGGTGGTCAACCTAGGCCTGGGGAGCAGGCGTTTCAAGTTGGCCTGGTTCTTGAGCGTATTTACAAAGAGGCTTTTCCAGCTGATTCTCTCTCTCTGTCTGTCTCTCTCTCTCTTACTCTCTGTCTCTATCTCTCTCTCGTCCGAAACAGCCATAGCCAAAGGCATCCTATGGAGTCCTTTTTGCAAATAGATGACTTCTTTCTTAGTTGATTCTCACTAACTTTTCCCTCCCTACATGCAAAATTACAAAATGAGACCGTGAGGGCATTTTGCGCTCCCGTGCGTGCACCAAGTCAGGGATTGACCTCATGCACAAAAGGGTGGCTGAACCTTGTGCCAATGACACTAAGATTGTATATTGCCCAGTTCCATTAAAGGAAGGAAATCGGGGGGGAAATGCTCACGTTTTTATTAATTCTCAGTGCTGGGAGTTCATTCTTGATTTGATATTTTTCCATATGTTCTGCTAACTGACCGCTGCTTGCCATGTGATGGATAATGCCCTTTAAGCCACGGTGTAAGTTACAGTAATGTCACCAGGCTATTAACCTCTGAATATTTGCATTAGTCAATTTTCTAAGTCCTTGGAGTTAAAGCAGCCACTGAGATTTTTTATTTCCATTTTGCAAGAGCTGGGAGCCGAGTTGTGGGGCTTTCCCACAGCATAGAGGTACAGCAAAGTTTTCTCAATTTGCTCTTCCGGTTTTGTTTAAGGGGAGCCATCTGCATCACATGCCTGGCTGGGAGGGAGATATGCTAATGACCACCTCGTAATTTATGGTGGAAGTTTAATACAGGGAGCACACTTCTAAACAACTCGACATCCGTTCCCTCTGTGGATGGGGACTCAGAGATTGTTGCACTATGGAATCTGTATTAAAGTGGAAACATTTTGTCTTTTGACAGGTGTTATGAGCCTCCTTTAAAAATGAAATATTTGTCCAGATAAAATATTCGTGCTCTGTAATGCAAGGCAATGCACCAAAATCTAGGGCAAAACCGTTTACATATAAAAACCAACTTGAATATGAAAACGTAAGTTCTCACTAAGGTTGCTCAGCGTGTAGCAGAAAAGAAGTGGGGTATGAGAAAAGCAGACCTTCTGGAGAGATGAAGGTGGGGAGGCCAGAGAGAACTGCAAACCCGACAAAATGGTAACCTTAAGCGAATCTTCTACAAATAGCCAATAAAGGCAATTATATAACAAGGCGCTTGCAAGCAGCTGGTCATAGCTCAAGGCATCAGCCAAATGAGGCCAGTCTCCGAATTAACAGGGAAACTCCCTACCATTACACCATCACCCCTTCAGCCTCAGTTTTTCCTGTATCATGGCTTATTGAAGAGCACCCCTGTATCCAAGGCTTAGATGGAACACTGACTTTGCACTGCTATAGCCTTTTGTTCCCTTCCACCTCCCACCTCTCTCTGCGCCCAGGGCCAGATTAGAGCCTCAACTCCTTCATATCACCCAGGTTGCATTTAAATATTTCCAGCTACTGTTCACATTATGTTACATCCATAAGTAACTTCATCTATGTTACTTCCATAAGTGGCCCATCACCCCAGAAGGGCCCACGCTTTCTAAAGGCAGGAGTCCTATATTCTCCCGTCTCCCAGATTCCCATTTCTGGGCGTTAGGAAAGGAGCGTGGACCATGGAGAGGACCCAGGTTCCAGAGTCAGGAATTACATGGCTTTGTGCCTAGATCTGCCACTTTCCAGCTCTGCAACTTTCTAGCTCTGCAACTGTGGGAAAGTTGATGCCAGTTGTCACTCTTAAAACTCATAGCATTATGTGGGGGATTAAAGGATATGCTTGTCAAAGACAGACATCAATACATTCCCAGGCAACTGTTAATAGGGCTTCAATATTTTGAGATGTTGACGGACAAGATGCTTTTGCATAACAGAAAATTCCTACACAGAATAAAGCATACTTTATGATCCCAGGCTTTTGCTAGCATTTCAACACCTCATTTCATTGGCTGGTCCCTACAATTCCATGGGGGCAAATACCTTTTCACCCCCATTTTCCTGATAAGCAAGCAGAGGCTCATTGAGGTTATTTAGCCTGCCTGCAGCCACACAGGCTGTTAAGTGATAGAGGTGCCTCCCAGAGGCCAAACTCCTACCATCCAATGGCCTCTCTGAAGTTTGGAGGACTTTGTAAGTTAACACCTTATCTTCTTAAAAGTCTGGTTCCTCACTTAACCAGGGCCTTAGTGACCAAAGTCCCTGAAGCATGGCCCAATAGATCTGATCATTCCAGGTGTCTTAAATGATCAATGTGGACCCGTGTTGGGTCAATTCAGCTGCAGTGATCCGTATTGATTGTCTAGACAGCTCCATCGATTGGGTCAGCAGGGCTGTGGGTCTTCAGGGACACCATAGATATGACACAGTCTGACCCTTCCCAAGGCTCTGTCAGATATTATCACCATTGTCATTAAAACAAGGGAAACTGAGGCACAGGCAGGTGGTCTCATGGCAGATGAATGAATTTAGAGGACAAGGAGGTAGTTCTGTTTTTGCAAATTCCAATCCAATATTTATGACAGTCAAAGATGAGTGAGTCAAAGGGTAGGTTGTAGAGGAACTGCTTCCTGGGGCCTGTTGGGATTTTAGGAATAGCTTTCTATAAAATTCAGTCTCTTCGTTGTTGGCTTACGATTTGGTGACCACAGTGACTGTCATTCTAGCACAATCCAGGGCCTAATTATTTCATATTTTCCTTATATGAGATCTACTTGAAGGCTTCATTCCAGAAAAACAGGTATGGGGAGAGGGGAGATTCTAATTTAGTCTAACTAGTTATCTTGCACATTAGTCCATTGTGTGGTTATATATATTTTTTTCTGTTTAAACATTTGCCAGACAGTATTGTTAACACCATTTTTTTATAGTAAAGGGTAGCAGTGAACTCTACTATTTTCTCATTTTATCGCCCATCATGTCGGGGGCATGTGATTGGATGTGTGTGGGGTATTTCCTCAATTCTGGTTTCCAACAGGCACATGAACTGCAAGCGTCCTGCAATCATGCAGAAAGCTGCTGATGCGTTGCTTCTAGCCAGGCTCGAAAGCAGAAGTCCAGCCCGTGAGCTCATGCCCAGGGACCCGGGCTGTGCCTCCCACTGAACAAGGGGACCAACCACGTCTGGGACCTCAAAGCCCTTCCTTCCATTCCAGGGCAGGGAAGAAGCCCAGGCTGGGCCAGCTCCTAGGGCTACGAGTTCATGGCAGGAGCTTATGATAGGCAGGCCCTGTGGTCAGCTCGTGTGAGGTCAGAGCCACCCAAGCCTCAGTCACCAGATTCATCTCAAACCTCCCGTTAATGATTTATGGGAGGGTTTCATCTCCACATGGACTGCGGAGACCTACTGTCCCTGTTTCTTGAGTGGAAAAAGAAGGTCAGGTTTTTGGGATCCATTTTGCAAACATACCCTTCGGATGGCAGGAACGGGATTTGAGTGATGTGCAGAAGTTGGGAAACACTGATAACAACAGAAAAGACAGCAGATTGTACATATGGCATATGCTTATGATGCTCCCAGCACAGTCTTAAGTGCTTTTTCACAAAATAGCCAATTTAGTCCTCAAAACAACCCTGTAATGCAGCTACTGTTATCATCTCCATTTTACAGGGTAGGAAGTTAAGGCACAGAAATGTACGTAGCTTGTCCAAGGTCACACAGAGAGACTGCCTCTAGTCCAGTGTCACTACTTTATGTTGAAGAGTGAAGCTGTCTATGAGGATTGCCCAGCCCAAGATAAGAACGAAAGTGATGATGATGATGATGATGAACCTGCTGGCAATCATGTGAGCAGTTAACATCTACTGAGCACTTAGAGTGTGACCAGAGCTAAGCTGATGGCTTTCCCCCATAGTTTTTCCTGGAAACTGGAGATAGATTTACTTTCCTTCCCCTCCTTTATCCCATACATCCAATTCATCTGCAAGTCTTATTACATCTCATAATACCTTGTAAGCCACCAACCTCTCTTCCTCTCTACCAGGAGGCCAAGCAATGCTCCGTGGGTCAGGGGCTTACCCTGGTAAGTGTATCCTTAAAAACCTACACTAAACCTTACATATTGTAGGCACTCCATACATGTGTGTGGAACGAATGAATGAAGGGCCTGGTTTCCTCATCCATTACAGCCTGTGAGGGTGGTACTGTTGCTGTCTCCATTTTGCCATGAGAAGCAGAGATTTAGAATGGGAAAATGGCCATGTGCATCACACAGGATTACAAGACAGGACAAGTCAAGCAGATATTTGACGCTTTGGGGCAGTCCTGCATCTGATAGCCTGTCTCATTTCAGGGGAATTTATCATCTTAAGAAAGCATAGGAGGCAGAGACTCCCTTTCCAATATTGGAGCCCTAAAAGGCCAACGTTACCTTTTCCAGCCTCCTTTGGAAGCTAGTGGTCACATGACTTGGTCTCAGTCAATTGAATAAGATACAAGAACCTAGACTTTGAATGTTACCAGTGAAGCCAAAAAATGACAAGAGGGGCATGCAGAGCTTGGGGTGCCGTTGCTGGAGCCCAGGGTCTAATACAAGCCAGGACTTGGGTGGCAGAAAAGCATGCTGTGGTCCCAAATAGTGCAAACGCAGTGGCTGTGAAGCCTGCAGCTACAGAAATGGTCTGGCAACGTGATTCTCCCTTCTGCCTTGAATCCCTATTTCGTAAGCCTCCTTTTCCAGCTCTTCTGTGCATCCCCCATTGACCTTTCAGTAAATTCCTCTCTCTGCTTAAATCTTCCAGCGTCGATTTCTGTTGCTGGCAACAAGAACCCGTCTATTACAGCTCAGGTTCAAAGCGATGTCTTATCCACAGACCCCCAAATTGTATCCAATTTATCTATTATCTCTCTGGTGCACCAGGAGGGTCTAAACTCCCCAATCCTAGTGCAGCCCCTCCCCATGACCAGTGGAGGTCTCACAGCCTCGTTTCCCATCCACCTTGCAGACCCTCAGCTGTGAACCACAGAGAATACCAGGGGCATCTCTGAGGAAGGTGCACTCCTCAGTCACACTCCCCACAAGCCCCAGGGAGGAAAAGCATCCAGCACTTTGCTCCCTGTCTGTTCCAACAGTAGATGGAGGTTGGAAGTAGGTTGGGACTGGAGCAGCAATACCTCACCTCTGCAGTCCTGGTGCCCCTGTGCAGAGCACAGGCGGGTCGGTAGTGGATATGCTCGGTAACCGAGCAACTGCAGCTTGGCCGCCCGGTTCTGGTGGGAACCGTCAGGGCCTTATTCATCACTGAGCCCAAGTAATAGAAACAGTTCACCTGCCCCGGATGACTCTCCCTTCCCCTGCAATGCTCCCTGGGACCAGCCCCTGGCCTGCTGGCATGACCTTGTTTCTTTGGACGTTCTAATACAAGCCGAAATGGATATTAGCTGTAATTACTCATTCCACACGATTCTGTAGGCCGCTCTTTGTACCAGAGTTGAGAACCTTCATTGTCCACATTGCTTAAATTACTGAACATTGTGCCATCCATTCTGAATTAGTGCTCATTAATGAGCTGGTGGTTCTAGAAACTCCCTATTTATTATTAAGGCGCCAAGTATAATCCAAGCAGCTGCATTGCAACACCACTCATGTGACTTTTGATCTGCCATGGAAAGAAATGATAAAACACAAACACGCAACTCACATTTATTAACTTTTTTGTTTTTGTGACCAAAAGTGTAATGGACACAGCAATAATCATTTAGTCCCTTTTGGTCCCTAGCTTACAAATGGCACTTTTTCTCTGAAACAAAATATGTATGATTAGGAAGCGAGTGTGTTTTTTAGGGTCTGGTTGTCTGGCTTGATGTTTAAGAACTCCCACCACCATTTTTCATAATCTTCATACAGAAAACACCTTTCTTTTTCTTGCTCTCACTGACTTATCTTTTGTTCCTTTTGTCTCCAACTTATGGAATCAAAAGGGCTAGTTCTGGTAGTGAGACCAGACCCACAAAAAAGGTAAAACAAAACAAAAATTAATGGTAAAACAAACCATCAAAAGAGAAGTCAAAATTCTATTTTTTAAAAAAAGACTCTGGAATGGGAAGATTAAAAACCAGAGTCCACATTTCCTTTCTGCCTGTTATTACACAGTAATACGATACAGTATCACCCAGTGTCCAAGCGGTATAACTGCATCATTAGCCCGTGTTACAGGATCAGCATTTCTCACTGGAGGGGCTGCTTGCCTGGAAAGGGGGAGGGAGCGATGCTTCCCGGGCTGACATTGATGTCTCTGCAAGGACATTCTGCCAGGGTGCGACAGGTCACAACCAAATGGATTGCTCCCCAGTGGGCTGGACTCCAGTCACATTGTCAGGTAAACACAGAAATATTCTGTCTTCGCCTGCCAAGCCTTGTCAAGTATCTGTATTTGTTATTGCATCTTGGGTCCCACAAGGTTCCCACCCATATTTCTTTATAGAGGAAATGCAAACCATATGCTTTCGCCTTATTTCCACTGAATGTATCCAAACACTCTTGGAGCCAGGCATATTCTTTTGCAATGAGTCTTTTGAGCGAAGTGCATCAACCCTTAACCTCTCTCTTTTTTTTCTCCCCGCATTTTGACATGACATAAGTTGATTTGACTTTCTGGTATAAATTACAGGAGTCTTTGATAGATCCTAAACATGAAGTGAGTTCTGATGGTCCTAACTTGCTTTTTCTCTGCTTGTTTGTTTTAATAAACATTGGCTTGTGGCAGCAGATAAGTAATATCATGGTCTGATAACCAATTATAGCACTCTTTCTTACGGGTGTGCCTCAGAACCCTTCTCAACACAGTACTCCTGACAGTCTATATGAATTAATAGGCATCATTATTTGCCATGCCAGTGGAAGATGCATTTTTGAAGCCATTCGTAGGCACTGGGTTTGGCCAACAGCCTTTGGAAGAGGGCATATTTCTCCAGGTACCAGAAGCCCTGAGAAACAGAAGTGTGAGACAACGCCTAAGGTCAAAGGCAAGAGAGAATCTAGCCTCAGCAGGGATCATTCTTGAAGAATTGCTGCCTGGGTAGTGTTGAGAGCCCCGTGCTTCCCACATTGCACACTCTTTGAAGAAGTAGGCAGTGCCTTTAACTTCCCACTGCAATCCCATGCCAGGCTCTGAAGCTATCATAAGCCCTGCTATTTATCTGCCTGGTGAGGCACAACACTTACTTATTAAAAACATATCTATCATGGTTAATGACTTGATTTTTTCCCTTTAATACAGTACAATGACAGGTGTAAAGAGAAGATGAGAGTCAGATGCTTCTGCAATATGCTTCCAGCTCTAAGATGTCTAGAACATCAGCCTTCCTCCACAGTGCTGGGAGTGGGGACGCCTCCCACCCCCTCTCTCCCAACACACACACATTCACACACACACACAGATTACACGCTTGTGTTGGATGGAAAATCGTGCCATTTGCAGTTTCAGATAAAAGCATGTTTGGGTGCATATGGAAGGTACCGTCAGAAGCAACTCCGGAGTGCCGAGTAAAATGGGTCATTAGGCTTTTGTTTGTTGGAGAGTGTCTCCCATCTGACAGTGCCGAATGGTACCACTTTTAGCAGCTTATGTTCCCAGTTACATTAAACAGACAAACAGATTGACTATTTTGCATTTCTCATTTGACAACAGCTTGTCTTCATTTGCTGCACACTGGTGGCAATGCTGAAAGCATGGTGGATGACTGTCGCCAAGGTCCAGGTTTTGAATAACAGCAAATGCCAACATTTAACTTCAAAATCAATCAATTCTTTTTCCTGAGTATGGATAAAAGGTCTTCTAGAGCGCCTGCAGGGGGATTTGTGCTGTTTACAGCTGAAAACATAGAAGCCACATTCATTACCAAACTTTCTGCAAGAAATAACAAATGTGGGTGTTTTTATGAAAGGAGGTGCTTGGAAGAAGAAGCGTTTTCTTGGAAGGGAGAACGAGAGTGCTGCCTGCAACCAGGCAACTTGATTTGAAGGTGAACTCTTTGGAGCTTCACTGATTAAGGCATCAGCCATGTGGGTTGATCTGATTCTGGCACAAGGTATTAACGTGCAGTGGCAGAAAAGAGTCGTTTTCACACTGACCACTTTTCTTGGTAGCCTGTGTCCAGTGGGCTAATTAAAAGCTTTCTCCAAGTGGGGGACAGAGCATTCATTGCTCATTAGAAATTAGAGAGCCCACAGCCTGCTTTAAAGTCAACCAGAACGTAATCCAGTGTCTTTGTGTCTCCAACTCACTGGGCTCAGATTCTGAGGCTCTTCGAGAATGGAGTCCTGAGTCATTCCAAGCAGTGGTCTTTCCAACACATCTCGTGGCTACCAGGCTGGATCCCAGCCCTCGCCTGGCACCATCACTGAGACCCCAGGTGTAGGAAGGCGTGTCCTAGTGGCACTGGAGGGATGCAGGTGAGAGTCAGGCCCTCCGCGGAAGTCCATCTGGATGACCTAGGTCATGCCTATCTGTGAGAGGCGGTGATCTCAGTGGTTACAGCCATCAGGCTTCGGCATAGGACGCACCCTTGTGCAGCTCTCAACGTTGTGCTCAAAAGGCTGTGAGACCTTGTGAAAGTAACCTAACTTCTCTGAGCCACTTTCCCCACTAGTAACATACAGATAATAGTGTAGTTTCCATTTCACAGGGTCATTATGGGGATTAAATAACAGCAAGTGTGTAAAGCCTATAGCATCATACCCAGAGCACAGTAAGTGCTCAATGATGGCTACATATGTGTGTGTGTAAATGTATATGCACTTTATCATATATGTGTGCTTTATACACACGTACAACATATATAGTAAAATACATTATATGCATGCATATATGTATGTGTCTATATACACACATAGATATAATAAAATGCATATAAATTAAATGAATAAATGCATTTAAATGTAAAAAATTAAAATATATGCATAATAACTATGTAAATGCATATAAAACATCCTCACGTAGTCTCATCCCTGCGTCCTATCCAAGAGTCAGGACTAAGACAGTCTCCCTTTGGCCTCCTCCAGCTTTGTCATAGAAAGACTCATTCCCTCAAATGGGGGGAAAAAATGCACTTCCTTAAGTTGTATAACAAGAGCAGCTACTAATTGAGCTTCCGGTTCATGCATGGAGGCACACTTACAATCCACAAACGCAGCTTGAAGTGGATATTAGTGTCCAGGAGTGGCCTCACCCAGGGTCTCGCTGGTCAGCAGGCTAGCGGGCATTCAAACACCAAACGCTTCCCCCTGTCCCGTCCTCCCCAGGACTGTGGGGTGTCCTTCATGCAGTTAGGAAAACAAATCTGACACCTGCGGGCCACTTCTCCTGAGGACCCGACTTGTTTCTCGTGTAGCAAGAGCAGCTGGAGTTTCCTTTCCTCCCTACCTGGACGGCTCTTTGTTGAGACTCCGCTTGGTTTTCGGTTTTGTGTGTGTTTTTTTCAGGGGACCTATTTTGTGCCTGAGTGTCCCCTCCCTTTCCTCTCTTTTATTCCCGTCTCCTCCCCCTTCTGCCCCTCTGCTGTCCTTTGCTTTCTTCTCCTCTTCATGTGTTGATCGAAAACCCACACACAAGCATTTTGGTTTGTATAAAAACATGCAGTAGACCCTTTACTTTGTAGTAAATTTTTATTGACATTAATACAATGGACTTCTGAATAATCTCTTAAAAACAATAAAAAAACTGAACACAAATCATTGCTCTTATCTGCTATATACACACATAGATAACATATAATAAAATGTATATAAATTAAATGAATTTTTTTTGTCTCTCCAAAAAAGAAAAAAAAAAAGAAATGGGTTGTTTTTGGTTTTTGTTCTAATTGATTTGGTTTTTATTTTCATAATCTTTAGGAACTTGCAAAAACCCTAGTATAATCTTGAGATTTGAGATAAGGGTGTTGTTTGTTTGTTTGTTTGTTTGTTTGTTTTGAGATGGAGTCTTGCTCTGTCACCAGGCTGGAGTGCAGTGGCCGGATCTCCACTCACTGCAACCTCCACCTCCCGGGTTCAAGTGATTCTCCTGACTCAGCCTCCTGAGTAGCTGGGACTACATGTGTGCACCACCACACCCGGCTAATTTTTGTATTTTTAGTAGAGACGGGGTTTCACCATGTTGGTCAGGCTGGTCTCGAACTCCTGACCTGGTGATCCACCTGGCTCGGCCTCCCAAAGTGCTGGGATTACAGGTGTGAGCCACCGCGCCTGGTCAAGATAAGGGTCTTTTAAGAGTTAAGTCATTAACACACAAATAGCAGTCAATAAATGTTGTCTATTTTTAATTTTTTATTCCATACACCTATCTAGCTTAGAAACAATCATTAGCCATTATGCCTAACATGACATAAATAATAACTAACATATATTAATACTTGATCCTCCCATGACCAAACATTTTTGGAGCATGTGCTTTTAGCCATGAGCTATCCTGGGTGCTGCGGAAGAGACGCCAGGTGGGAGCCATAAGGAAGGCTCCCTAGCCTGCACAATCACTGATGCTCTCAAGTAAGTCACAAGAGGTGGACAAGCTAAGCCCAGTGGACAATGGGTCAGAAAGCCCTGTTTGCCAAGAGTTCGAATTTTTAGGGTGAAAGAGATGGCTCTGGGCCAGAGTGGCTTAGCAGAAAAAAGGATAAAGCCTTTTAAATAATCATATTCAACATCAACAAAGGAGAGAGAAAATAAGAAAGGAAGAGAGAGACTGTGGCCATGTGATTGGAACACACGGGCACCCATGTGGAGCCAGGAACGAAAAGCATTGCATTAGAATAGTCAAGATCAAGGTGCCTCTGGGTTGCCATGTCACTGTGCCATGTCACTGTGCAGGACGCTGGTCTCAGGGGCCCTCCAGGGCCTCACTTTTTATGCCTGGAATGCTCAGAGCAACAAAATTTGTTGAGGGGTGGGGGCAGACCCACCGGAAATAACTCTGAAAAAAAAGTAACCGTCAATTGAGTTTCCCTCTCTTCCTTGACCCCCCTCCTTCTCCGGCCACCCGCTTGTCTGCACAGTTTGCGCCCAGGCCTGGCATTTAGGACCTTTTGTTATCTTAATAGAGACTGAAACCTACTTTGGGCCTGGAGTTTGCTGTTTTAATTCAACAGTGGAAGGTTGTTTTTTTTCTTTTTTTTTTTTTTTCTTTTTCTTTGTTTGTTTTTCTTTTCCATTTTCTTTTTCTAAGCCTGGCAGACAATGCGTTTGCAGAGCAGAAGCTGTGAGCTAGGCGTTCCTGGGATCCTGAACAAAACCCGCATTAATGGGAGGTGGGATTTCCTGGTCACAGCTTTTAGCCAAAGGGCAAAGGTCGCCCATTAACCAGCATCCAGTCTAAACAGGGCTGTATAAAATGACAGCAGAGGAGGGAGAAAAGGGTGAAAAAAAGTCAAATATTTGCTCTTCATTCTCAAGTTAGCAGTTGGGGCTTGTTGCCGCCGAGCCCCAGTGCCCATCAGCACCACAAGGTGCCCAAAGAAGGATTCCTTAGAAGGGGCCACTCCACCAGGAGCAAGCATTGGTGGGCCAGGCGCTCAGGGGGCTGAGAGGATCGGCCTACCACACAATGCTTCCCAACCTGCCTTATAGCCCTGGAGGCCTGTCTGCCAGAACTTGCTGGGCGATGGTACAGTTTCCATTTGCTCCCCTGCCTATAACCTCTGAGGGGCCTCTGGAAGCCCTCCAAAGCCTGCAAGGCCCTGCTGGGTGTCCACACCAGCTTCCGTCACGTCCGCTCTGCCCTGGCTTCACCCAAGTTCAGCCCCCAAGGCCTTCCGCTTCCTGTATTACGCCCAGCTCCATGCCACCTCATGACCTTGGCACTTGCTCTTTCCCATGACAAGTGAGTTCTTCCCTGGGTCTTTGCATGCTGGCTTCTGTTTAGTGCCCACTCTCCTGCATTTCTGCCCACTGCTTCTTAACCTGGCTGGAAGAGAGGCCCGTGATTGGCACCCTTCAAACTTCAGCTAGGAATGACCCTCCTCTTCCCCTCCCCAGTTGGAGCTGGTTGTCAAGGGAAATATATGGTTGTTATAGTCCTCAGATTGGCCAAGGGAGCTTGCAGGATCTGTATCCCAGCATTACACAAATGTAATCCCCAGCGAAGAAAGTGCTAGACCATTCAAGCCTTGCAAACAAGAGGTGCCTCTGTAAAACTTAGGATAGACAGGAGCAGAGCAAACACACCTGGTTTGTACAGGCAGGTTGATTCCTAGAACTGAGGAGGGCTGCTCTTTTCCTCACATTTACTAGCCAGAGATGCCACATCTCCTTTCCTGGGGACGCAAGTCCCCATGGGCAGAGAGAGGCTGGAATGTTATGCAAACACAGGGCTTCTCAAGCTCCGCCTGAGCTGGCTTCATCAGTGTGCTGCCTTGCAGTGGCACCCGGCCCTTGGTATAATACTCTGCTGTCATTGCCTTGACATTGTTAATAATTTCAAACAAGTAGCCCTGCATTTTCATTCCGCACTGGACCTTGCTAATTACATAGCTGGTCATGACCTCAGCAGCACATTAGATCACTTGTGAAGGTTTTTGCAAATATTAACTCCTGGGTCCTATCCAAGAGATTGGGATTTAATTGGGTGGGGCTCCCCAGGTGACTCAAGTGTGCAGCCTGGGTGTGGGCGCCCTGCTCTACAGAACAACCCTATAGATGGAAAGAAATTGGAGGTTGGGGAACCCATGTTCTCCCCACCAGTCCCTCGCATAGAGAAGCCAATGGCACGCAGCCCCACATTTCCACAGAACTCCATGTGTACCTGTGATAGCACTGAGACCACTTTATTATCATAATGTGAAGAATGAGAATGGTAGTGTTTACTGAGTGCTCACTATGGGCCAGGCACTCTACTAAGTACTTTTCTGTATCATCGCGTTGGATTCTCACAAAATCTATAAGGAGAGTCCTGATCTTCTCCATTTATAGCCGGGGAAGCTGAAGTTCTAAGCAGTTCAGTAGTTCGCCCAAAGAAGCACAACTACCAAATATGGTCAACTTGGGATGCTACTTCCTCGTTCACAGTCTGACTTTGTTACAAAATGGTGCCACCCTCCAAGGCGTGTGCACTTCCTTATCCATCCCTGTTTTCATAGCATCAAGCCTTGCCCACAGTCACCGTAGATATTCATTAAATGCTGAATCAATTCTTCAATGAAAGCATTTGCCGCCGTTTTGCTATTTTCTCTGGGTGGAAAGCTTTACATTGCTTTCAGTGCTATCAAGAGTAATTGCCAAGAAAAAATTCCTCCAAAGTACTTTTTCATGTTGTCTCATTGGATCCCCTTTGCTACCCCATAATATTAGGATGGCCTTGCGTTAAATGATGGAGCAGGGCCTTATAACATGAGGTTAACATCATCCAGACTGCATCCTCACAAATATTATCTGGAAAAGGTGACTGGTTGGGAGTAAGAAGCGACTGTATTAAAGCAGGGCCCTCAGGCAGACACAAGGGATGTCGCCACAGAGCAGCAAAGACACCGTGCAAAATGTATGTTCCCTGCCATTGAGGAACAAATTTATTCCATAGGGGGATTTGCTTTTTCCAAAAAGCAAAGTTTTGTGCCCGCACAGAGGAGAGTCCACCCACCAGGGCATTGAGAGCAAATGAACGACAAGCTCAGAAAAACACACGAGGGAAAACTGAACTTCCTCAGTGGCCTTGAACTGCAGAGGGTAATGCTAGGTGGTCTGGAAGAGAAAATAGGCAGAGTGTTTCCCATTCATCTCTAAGGTTGCTGGGCAGGGCCAGTTCTGAGGCCTGAGGTTTCTGTTTCCCTTAACCCTGGGGCAGGTGAGGAATTAGATCAAGACTCTAATGTGGTCAAAAGACTTGAAGATCCGGGAAGTAAAAAAAAAAAAATTACAAATCTTTGAAACACAGAGTAAATATACTGTAACTAGGAAGCTGCCGAAATGCCTATTTATGAAACTGATTTTTTTCTTTTAAAAAAAAATTATTTTATTTAAGTTCCAGGATACATGTGCAGCAGGTGCAGGTTTGTTACATAAGTAAACATATGCCATGGTAGTTTGCTGCACTTATCAATCCATCACCTAGGCACTACACCCCGCATGCATTAGCTATTTATCCTGATGCTCTCCCTACACCCTGCCCCCCGACAGGCCCCAGTGTGTGTTGTTCCCCTCCCTGTGTCCATGTATTCTCATTGTTCAGAGCTGATTTTTTAAAAAGATTAATCCTTCCAACCTGTATAGGTCTTTTAAGCTTTCACTATGTTCTTAGACTGTTCCTGAACAGATCTATAAAATTAACTTTATTAGGTACTTGCTTCGTATATAATAACTTATTTAGTCCCACAGTGATCTATGAGGAAGAATTTACTATAATCCCATTTTACAGATAAGGCTAAGAAAGAGCAAGTGAGACGATGCTGGAATCAGCTTTCGACTTTCTTTTCCCATTCCACAGCCATCAGCCCACATGGAGGACTGATTCAGCCAGAGGGGGACAGCCCCACCCATGGCTGTCTTAAGGCAGGTCTAGCTTACAGACCGCAGGAGGTGAGGTACTGACTTTAGGAAGGCCCAGAGCAGAGCCCAACAGCAGAATGCAAACATTGCTGATTCTTGTCCTAAATGCCTTGGGCAAAGAACGTGGCTTCAGTTTCTCATCTGTGAAACGGGACTGCCAACAGCCCCTGCCTTAGGAGCCACTGGGAGAATTAAAATAGGGAAAAGTTCTTGTGGACCACTTACCACTGTGCCTGACACACAGGGAAGCCCCCAGTAAGGGTCTCTGCCACTGCCCAGTGGGAGACCCTGCTTTGTGACACCTTCTCCAACGAGAATATGTCTTAGGGCTCATTTGCATTAAACCTGGTCAGGTTAAGTTAACAAATTTAGCCTAAAAGCTGCCTCATTACATAATTTAAGTTCAGCCTAAAGGCTTTTCTGTGCATCATGAACTATAACAAGTGGAGGTGTAAACAGACAGTAGCCCACACATGTGCCAATCACTGAGTTTTGGCCAACCAAATGTGCCAACTGTTCAAACCATGTTCAAATAAGGCAAACACCGAGCTGTAACCAATCTGGCTTTCTCTGTACCTCACTTCCATTTTCTGCACATCACTTTCCCTTTTCGCTCCATAAATCTTCTTCCACCACGTGGCTGTGCTAAAGTTTCTGAGCCTACCCGGACTCAGAAGGCCGCCCGATTCACGAATCATTCATTGCTCCATTAAACTCCTTTACATTTAATTTGGCTGAAATTTTTCTTTTATCATTCCCCTGGTGTGTAAACAGCTCCAAAGACTGGTTGAAAACGCAGCAAGGAGTGTGGGCTGAAGCTCTTGAGGACCTCAATAGCTTCAAATATCTAACCCAGTGATTTCATTTGTCTTATTTATAGACAGCCCCCTGCCCCCTCCCCCACCCCCAAAAAAAGTATATTTAGAGAGAATTACTTTTGCTGCATTAGCTTCTAGCATTATTAACAACCTTTTTCTTGTAACCTGCTCTAGGGGGAAGTAGACTGTTTTCAAGGGGAGAACGATGCCTATCTTTGCAGAACTGTGACAACTGATGGAAACATGAGAAACCCTCCTTCTTTGTTCCTTGTTCCATGTCTGGAATGCCAGCTGAGCAGTTCAGTTGATTCTTTTAAGCTGAGTTGATGCCATGCTGTTGTAGTTTGGTTGTGGTTTGATCCCTTACTCGGTTGAGGTTGCTCAATGCTGGATAGAGAGTTGGCCCTGTGCAACCAGTGCAGACTTTGGAACTAGATAAACCTGCATTTGACTCCTCCTTCTCCCACTATCTAGCATGATAGTGGTGAGTTCCTTAAGCTCTCTGAAGCTAATTTCCTCTGTAAACTATTAAGAATATTTACCTAAAAGCATTTGAGTCAAGGATCAAATAAGATACTACTTCCTGATAATAGTATACCTACGTAAATATTTCCCAGGGATTACAATACGGTAACAATTAATTCCAAGACAGCTTCAAATTCTATCAGTGGCATGAACTAGGGAGCATCTGAGCCAGCTTCCCACCTTGTCAGTTGGAGACAGTGACTGACCCAAGGTAGCCCACACTCACTCTTGATCACACGTAGTCAAGAGCTTGTCTTGAAGGAGAGGAACTACAAACAAGCCCTATTGATCAAAGAAACAGTCTTTTATAGACAGTTTAACTCTAACAGCAATGATTGTCATAGTTCCCCAATTCTATTCTTTGCTCAAGGAAAAAGGACACATATACAAGAGTCTAAGAGGAAGGATATCAAGAAAAGTTCATGGGAAGGATTGCATGACTCAGGAGCTCTTGATATTCAAAGAATGACCCTGACATTATCCCCAAAGAAGCTGAGATGTTGCTTTGTCCCTGAATTCAAGTCCCTTCAGAATTACCTCAGAACACTCGTGCAGAAGGTTCAGTAGATTACCAGGTAGATTGTGATGGAATCTTAATTACCCTGGGGGCCACTGCCTCTTGCACAATCGTGGTATCTTACCTTATTACAGCAAATCTGTGGGGAAAATCTCTCCACTGGGCCCCATCCAGGCAGTAACCTACCAACCGTGGAGTACATGGGACTGAAATTGTCTGATCACATTCTCAGATAGAGACAAAGCCTGCTTTTCTCCTCTCTTTCTCTCTCTCTCTCTCTCTCTCTCTCTCTCTCTTTTCATTTAGAAGCCAGTGAGAAATTATAGACTGGCACAAGAAAAGGTGGTTCTTGTTTCTAGCATCCAACAATGGGATGCTCTGATAAAGTTGCCTTTCCCCTTCACAGACACACTACTATGCACAATTTCTACTAGGTGAACACCAACCAAGACTAATGTAAGAGTTGGGAGAAAAAGAGTGGTCATCTGAGTTCTGGAATAGCAGGCCAGGGTGCAAAGAACATAAGTCGTGGGGTCTGACCTCACTGAGCAATTTCCTAGCTCTGTGATGTGGGTGTCTAGCATCACTCATTTGACAAACATTGATCATTGCATATACCTCCAAGTTTCTTGTAAGGAAAAAGCAGTATATTACATATTATGTGCAAAAATGTAACATATAGAAAGTGTATATTACATAATAGGCATTTTTTAAACTAGAATTCAGTTTCATTTTCTCTTCTCTGTTTCCAGAAAATAATTCCATTTGTTTCAAGAATGTTTGTAGAACTGGCTTTGCCCATGTGAGTGAGGTCCCTTAATCCATCCTCTGTAGACTCTGTTTTGGGCACCCCTATTGTTTGGAGTCTTATTGGGGTGGCTCAGCATCAGGCCTGGGACACCCCAGGAGTTGGTGTTGTTACCAGAAAGGAATCCTGATCCAGACCCCAAGAGAGGGTTCTTGGACCTCACGCAAGAAAACTCAGGGCCAGTCCATAGGGTAAAGTGAAAGCAAGTTTATTAAGCAAGTAAAGGAATAAAAGAATGGCTACTCCATAGGCAAAGCAGTGGCATGGGCTACTCATTTGAGTATATTTATAGTTATTTCTTGATTATATGCTAAACAAGGAGTAGACTATTCATGAGTTTTCTGGCAAAGGGGTGGGCAACTCCCAGAACTGAGGGTTCCTACCCTTTTAGACCATTATAGGGTAACTTTCTTATGTTGCCATGGCATTTGGGCATTTGTAAATTGCCATGGTGCTGATGGGAGTGTCTTTAGCATGCTAATGCATTATAATTGGCATATAATGAGCAGTGAGGACGACCAGAGGTTACTATCATCGCCATCTTGGTTTTGGTGGGTTTTGGATGGCTTCTTTACTGCATCTTGTTTTATCAGCAAGGTCTTTGTACCCTGTATCTTGTGCTAACCTTGTATCTCATCCTGTGACTTAGAATGCCTAACTTCCCGGGAATGCAGCCCCATAGGTCTCAACCTCATTGTGACCAGCCCCTATTCAAGATGGAGTTGCCTGGTTCAAATGCCTCTGACTATATTGGTAATACATACTTCTGAGTTCTTTCTCTCTACCTGTGTGAGTTTCCTAGGACTGCCACAACCAAGTACCACAACTGAGTTACTTACAAAAGAAATTTACTCTTTCTCAGTTCTAGAGGCCAGAAGTTGAATAGTAAGGTGTTGGCAGGGCCATCCTCCCTCTTCAGGCTCTCGGAAAAGAATTTCCTTGCCTCTAACTAGCTTCTGGTGGTTGCCATCAATTTCTTGGCTTGCAGCTACATCACCCCAATCTCTGCTTCTATCATTACATGGCCTTTTCCCTGTATGTCTGTGTGTAATCACTGGATTTAGGGCTCACCCTAATCCAGTATGTCTTCTCCCTAACTTGATCACATCAGCAAAGACACTATTTCCAAATAAGATCACATGCACAGCTACCAATGGTTATGACTTCAACATGTCTTCTTAGAGATGCGATTCAACCCACAATATTCCCTACAGCTTCTGCTTGGAAAACCTTGTCCCAGTGTCTTCTTTTTAAGGATGAGAATGTTCTAGGGTATATATACCTTTAAGATGTCATCTTTCCTATTCTAAGCTTCAGTTTCCTCGTCTGTTTGAAAGAGGGACGATGCCACTTGCTGAATGGAGCCAGGCCCTACTGTTGTACCCTCATGAGAACCATCCAGTTCTCTGCAGTGACCCACACATCACACCTGCAATTCTCTATGCAAGGTGAGCCTTCACCAGGAGAGGTGATACCCTGTGAGGGCTGGGACCACAACCTCTTGTTCCCATTGTAAACCTAATTTCTAGCTCAGTTCCTACCATCTAGTATGTACTCAATATATACTTTTGAATGAATAAATAATATATCTAATATAATATATCTAAAGTTTTTAGCGCCATATTTGGCCCACCAGAGGTACCCAATAACTCATGGGTAGCTGGCTAGTCATTTGTATGACAACTTTTACTGTGTTTCTCCCTGCATAGGTCAGAGTAGAGTCTGGAAAACAGAACTCACCCCCAGATAGGTTCAGAGGAGGAAACTTAATATGAGCAACTAGTTACAAAGGTCTTAGGAGTGCTAAAAAGGAAAAAAGGAAAAGGTAAGGAGACTCAGAAACAAGGAAATTCAGGAAGCCACTACCCGCTGGAGAGTATCATGCTTTAGAGCCAGAATCCAAAAGCAGGAGATCTGGGCAGAGGAAAAGTGGCTGTACAATGGAAACTTGAACCAACAAGGTGACATGACACCTGAAGGAGAGGAGAGAAGTTCCCTGGCTTCTCCGTCCCTCCCACCAGCACCTCCCACTGTCCAAACCTACAGGAAGCCAGTTGGCAAGGGATTTGGGGAAGCCAGGAAATGTCATTCCCAGTGGTCACCTCCCTGCCCTCCACTCCTATGCTCTGTAGGAGAGGGAAGAGAGCTTGAAGCAGACCAGCAGACGACGGCCCCATTTCCTAAATGCAGGGGCTTCCACAAGCGGGGCTTCCACAAGCAGGGCTTCTGTGATTTGTAATGGGTCCTATGGGAGATGTGGAAAAAAGCAGTCTCTTCACAGACCTGACTACACTCGAGCATTCGTAATGGGGCATTTAGTGTTTCTTCCCCATGGTCCTCGATTGTCATTGTGAATAAGCATCACATCTCGGAGGAAGCATGTAAAATTGGAATTTCCAGACCCTATCCACAGAAAGTCTGGTTGAGGCCATTTTGGGGGTAGAGATTGGGAATCTGCATTTTTAACTGAGGGTGCTTTCTCATGGAGGACCAGCCTCAGTGACTCTAATGCAGTTGATTCAAGGTCAACAATTTGAGAAACACCAAATTCGCCCTGGGAGTTGGACGGTATTCTAGATTCCAAAGGAAAAAATGAGGCATCATTGGAAGCTGTTGCACGGAACAGACAGATCACACAGTGTCTCAAAGCACACCCGTTTTATGTAATAGACCAACAGGATGATCTGCTCCATGTAGCCAACCCCCCAGCCCAAATCTTGTGACTTTTACTCTGTTTTACTCTGGATTAGATAATGTACACACACGTCGCAGCATGGTTAAGCACACAGGCTCTTGGGACAGCTGTCCCTGGATTAAAACTCAGTTCCCCGTGGTTAAACTCTCTCTAAAAAGATGATTCTGACTCTCAGACCTCTGTTACCTTTTTGAACCCAAAGGGTATTCAGAAAGAAAAGGCTTCTTCATCTTGGGCATTGACTCGATGACCCATGTAACTAGTCCTGGGGAAAGATAATTTGCCGCAGAGCCCGTATGATTTATGGGAAATTAATATGAAAAGCCTGGCTATATCTCTCATCAGATAAAAGCTCGGTGTTGTTGGCATCCTCTGCCCTCTGTTCTAAGCCTCCCAGGAGACAACTCTTTTATCTGATTGGAAGTAGCTTCCCTCCCATGGGGTTTTGGACTTGGGATTTTAAGAAGATATACAGGCTGAGCACAGTGGCTCAGGCCTGTAATCCCAGCACTTTGGGAGGCCGAGGTGGGTGGATCACAAGGTCAAGAGATAGAGACCAGTGCCTGGCCAACATGGTGAAACCCCGTCTCTACTAAAAATACAAAAATTAGTTGGGCGTGGTGGCAGGCGCCTGTAGTCCCAACTACTCAGGAGGCTGAGGCAGGAGAATCGCTTGAATCCAGGAGGTGGAGGTTGCAGTGAGCTGAGACTGCACCACGCCACTGCACTCCAGCCAGGTGACAGAGCAAGACTCCGTCTCACAAAAAAAAAAAAAATACACAAACAAACATCCTGCCTTTTGTTCATCCCTGAGGGGACAGCCTGCCTAAGAGAACAAACTTTGGACTCTGAGCACTTGGATGCATCCCTCCCTCTGTTTTCTCATGAGTTGTGACACCTTGGAAGAATGATTTGACTTCTCTCAGCCACAGTTTCCACATCCCTAAAATGGTCAACAAGTGCCCCATTCAGGCTGCTTTGCAAAGCTGTCATGATAACCATATGGCCACAGTGGAAGGTCTTGTCTGATGGTCACAGCCATGACACACTCATCCGCCCGTAGTATAAGGCACAGGTGCCAGAATAGCCTAGAAGCCTATAAATGTTCTGCGAATTAATCAAGTACTCTCAGCTTCTCCTCCCAACCCCAAAAACCTGCTTCCTCTGCCTTCTCTCACGGTGGGTAGCCAAACAGTCCCCCAGGTGAGACATCTAGGTGTCCCCCTTCACAATTCCATCTTCTCCCCACTGCCACTCCAGGCCTTCCCTGAGACCCACCAATTTAACCTCATAATGATTTCCCCCATCTCCTCTCTACCTCCCGCCATCCCAGAAACACTGCTCTTGCCTGCCCCAGTCTTCCATCACCTCCTTTGTGGGCTCCCGCCACTCTGCTGCCAGAGCACTTTTGAAACACCAGTCACACCGTGCCACTCCCTGCTTGAAATCCCTACAGTGTTTCTCCACAATCTTGAGAATCGAGTGACATTTTCTTAGCTTGGAATACAAGTCCTTGCATGGCCTCATACTTCACTAAGACCAAACCACTTAGAGATCTCAGCAGGTATCTTTGCTTCTCTGTCTCCTTTAACAAACAAACAGGCTGGGTGCAGTGGCTTACGCCTGTAATCCCAACACTTTGGGAGGCCGAGGCGGGTGGATCACCTGAGGTTAGGAGTTTAAGACCAGCCTGGCCAACATGGTGAAACCCCATCTCTACTAAAAATAGAAAAATTAGCTGGGCATGGTGGTGCGTGCCTGTGATCCCAGCTACTCAGGAGGCTGAGGCAGGAGAATTGCTTGAACCTGGGAGGAGGAGGTTGCAGTGAGCTGAGATGGCACCACTATACTCCAGCCTGGGTGACACAGCGAGACCCTATCTCAAAAAACAAACAAACAACACACTGCTTATTCTCTTCCACCTGGAATGTCCTTCCTTTCCTCATGTTTACCTAATTCACTCACCTGTAAGATTCCACTACTCAGTCAATAAGCTTATTATCTATTTCTATATAACAACACCTTCCCAAAACTTAATGGTTTAAAATAATTGATTATTACTGTATCTCAAAATTTCACGTGTCAGGAATTCACACAGGGCTCAGCAGAGGTGACTTTGCTTTGTTCAGTGATGTATGGAGCTAAACTGTGATGACTCCCAAGGGCTGGGGGCTGAATAGGCAGCTCACTCTCTGTCCACATGGCCTCCCCACGTAGCAGCTTGGACCTCCTCACAGCATGGCAGCCTCGGGATTCTTATGTAACCGGCTTAGGATGTAGCAACTCAGATCTCCAAGAGAAAGGAAATAGAAACTGCCTTGAAATATCAGAAATGGCGATGGTGTGACTTTCACTGTACACTATTAGTCAAAGCAGGTCAGCCCAGGCTCAAGGGGAGGAGATACACACCCCACCTCTTGATGGCAGAAGCATCAAAGAACTTGTGAGCATCATTAATCCATCACTGTCATCATCTCCTTGAAGAAGCCTGGAGTCCACTCCTCCCCTGCTTCCCCTTCACCCTCCCTCTGCCCTCCCTCCAATGCCTTCCTCTCTGTTTTCTGATAAAAACAGAGTAATTACAAGCAGTGAAAAATATCCCCAAGGAACTGGGAGTAGTTTTGTTAAATAAAGGGTGCTGGAGCTCACTGGTATGGCACATGTTGTTTGGCACATAATGGGTTCTCAATAAATCGGAGCTACGATGAGGAGGGTTAGCTAGCTTTATTAAAATTAAAATGTGCCTTGTCTGTTTGGTGACTGCCTAACACAGAGAAGCTAACCCATAGGAGGTTCTCCCAAGGTGATGAATAAATGAATGAGTGAGTGAATGAAAGAATGAGTGAGTGAATGAATGGGTGAATAAATGAATGAGTGAATGAAAGAATGAGTGAATGAATGAATGAGTGAATAAATGAATGAGTGAATGAAAGAATGAGTGGATGAATGAATGAGCAAATAAATGGCTCAACAAACAAGTGGATGTTTCTGCATGCAGTCTGATTCCTGACGCTAAGGGATCCAGGCAAACCAAAAAATAACATCTGATTTCCGGCCTGCGTAGACACTCCAGCTTTAATTACACGTGGGTCATGGCAGGACTCAGGGTTTGGGGGTTTGGGGGAAAACACTTGGCCTCCTGCCACAACCCTCACAATGGACTAAGGTCTTTACCGCCAGCTGCTGGTCCTCAAGCTTCCAGTGTGGACTCACATCAGCTGTGCCTCCCCCGCCAGCCCCCGCCTCACCGGGAAGGGGCTGGTTTGCAGAATGAGACCCTCTCAAGGCCGAGGGCCCGGGAGTGCTTCCTCTCTGCCCCTAGCTGAACAGCAGCTGGGCTGGGAGCGTGGCAGGTGTCTAACAGCCTGCCGCAATCCTGCATAACAGGAAGTGAAAGAGAACACCATATCCAATTGAAACTGCAGTGGAATATGGGCTGCAATGCTTAATTAACCACCCTCAGTCATTTCACAGATTTCTGTTGTTGCTGAAGGAAAAAAAAAAAAAAAAAAGGAAGGCAGAGTACGTGGAGGACAACAAAGCTGATTCTGGAATGTTCGTTTGTGTTCATGCTCCCTGCTCCCACAGTCAGCAGCCTGCTGACATAACGCGAAGGGGACGCTCACTTCTGGCTTCGGTTTTTAATGGGTTTCCAAAGGGTTTTTTTGTCTGTTTGTTTTTTGGTTTTTTGCCAGAGAGTCAGGTCTGTGCCATACTCCAAGAACTCGTCGATACGTTTGTGTGGGAGGAGGCGGGGAAGAGGCATGTTGAGTGCATTTGTGCAGTTGTGTCTCTACGAGGGTGTTTGTGCAGAGGCACACAAAGCTGTGTCCTGGGTTGTGTGGGAGCCTGTGGATACGGCCATGTGAGAACGGGTGGACGTGTGGGCATTTGCCTCTGTCTGGGTTGTTTCACCTGTTAAAGATGCGTGGGAATGTCTGTGGGTAGCTCTGAGCAAGTTCTGTATCTATGTGAGGCACCAGTATGTATGCCTGGATAGATATTTCAATAGATGTGTCTTTGCCTATGCTGAAAAAAGTGAGTGAAAGAAGTATTATTGTTCAAGTGTGCATGCACATATACACGTGTGCATGCAAGGATAATGGTGTGGCAAATAAATGTGTGAGTGAAGATGAGAAACAGCATACTGCCAAATGTATCAAGAACCCACTAAGTAGTTGGCAGTGAATTTATGCTATGAAACTATCTGCTACTTGATGGTGGGGCCAACTTTTCAATATCAGGTGACCTCAGCTTCCTTCTCTAGCAGAGGATAGTACAGAGGACTTTTCTAAGAAGGTTCCATAGTTTCTGTAGGCTTCACTTTGCATCATCACCTCATTTTCCAAACCAAACTTGCCTGTTCACCTAGATAGACTTTCTGGGGAGAGTCTTTGGAATGCTGTAAATTCTAAACGGTTTTTAAACAAAAAAGTATTTAAAAAGTATTTTAAAAGTATTTTAAAAGAAAAACCAGCTAGCTACTGCTTATTAAGGGCTGACTAGTTGGCCCATATCACCCAGATGCCTATCAATATTGATCTTATTTGATCTCTCAATAAACTTATTAGGTAGGAACTGTTATCATTTCCTCTGTAAACTGAAGTAGCCAGTGGGAGGTAGGGCCAGGGTTTAAACACACACTGTCGTGCTGTAGAACCCAAACTGTACTGAGTCATCGTCCCTAAATATGGGGGCAGAGATGGTGCCCCTTTGGCTCAGCCAGTTGTGCAGTGGGAATAATTTGCCACACTGCCCTTAGGAACAGTGGTCCCTTCTGTGAGCACCAGAATTGCTCCTGGAAAGAATGGCAGTGCAGACCTCAGTGTGCGCTGGTCACGTTGGGGAAGTCACCTCCCGCCTTCCTGCAGGACGTCAGTGCCCTCATTTGGTGGTGAGTCCTGCGGTGCCCTCTGGCCTTGCGGAATCCAGCTCCTGAGCAGCACACTTTCAGGATTTCAGGGTGGTTTCTGAGTAATGGATTCCCCACCCCTGGAGGCCACCAGAATCACCATGGTAAACTTCCTATAAAAGCAACATCCAGAGTCCCACTCCCAGAAATTCAGAGTCAGCGGTTCTAGAGAGGAGTCAGGAGCTTGCGTTTTGCACAAGCCTTCCCTGCTCCCCACACCTAGGGGACTCTGATGTAGGTGTCCAGGGACCAAATTTTCGGAAAAACTGCTGTCCCTATTTTCCAGCTGTACAGCTTAGGCATTCTCGTCCCTAATCCTAAAGGAGCTATCAAGAAGGAAGCCCTAATTCTAGGTCCAAGGCCACTCGTGGCTAAACAGTGCCCAGAATGGACCTAAGGAAAGCGGGGCCGTATATATTATGGCTTAAAGACCTAACGAAAGGGGGGCCGTATATATTAAAAATATTTTTTTAATAGATATTTTTTCCAAAGTCCAGTCTGCACTGACAGGCAATATTTCTTTAAAAGCTGCTGGGGAGAGCAGCAGACAAATGCCTATGAAGCCAGGCATCCCTCAAGGAATTTAAATGGGTCAGGAACTCTTAAAGAATTTAAATGAGCATGAAATAGGTATGGAAGGTTTTCTGGGCCAATATGCAAGCCAAATAGTAAATAACTATTTTCAGCACTGAGTTTGGTTGGCAAATTTGCATATACATGTGATGCCGTACGTTTCTATTTTTACCATGTAAATCTGCAATCTGTAAAGAGAGCCGCGTGCCTTCGTGGAAATCCAGGCTTGGACTGTTGGCTGGGGGGAGAGCTGATTTTCAGTCTGGCTGGACCCAGAGTTCTGTATTTTTAACGAGTCCAGGTGACTGAGAGATGAGCAGAAAAGAGGCACGGTGCACACTTGAAGTTTGTTCTCAGGTTGAGCCCTCATAGTGCCCAGATTTCCCCCAAAGCAAAGTGTTCATGCCTGAAAAACGGAAGTTAAAGTGGAAAGTTTGACATTTTCCTGTGACACCAGCCCTGCACAGTTTGAAACAACTTCCCAACCTTTCTTAAAAAGTCACCCTTGTTTTATGACTAACATTATTATTATCGATGATTATATCATTGGGATTATTATGATGATGGTCAAAATGTGAGAAAAGCATTGGCAGACATCTGCCGAACTAGAAATATCTCTGCTCTCTTTCCTGGTGCCCTTTTATGTTAGGCGTCTGCAATGAGCTAGATGTAAAGGTTTTGGGTAAATTTTTTGATGCCTTACTTTAGGCCCAGCATATAGTTGCCACTCAGGTATTTTGTAATTACCCAGTGGAACCCTCTAAGGGGTGATGTTGCCAAGTGAATGGGGCATTTGCCTTTGGATGGTGTGGAAGTAGTACCCGTCCTTCACCTTTTCTTGCTGCAAGAATGCATATGGCAGAAAGAAGGAAGTGCAACATCTTTCATATCAAGACCTTCATACCAAAGGGAGTTCTGCTGGGGTAGAAGGCGGATGGAGGTGGTTTGCCATAGCTTGTTTGCTTTAAGCTCCTGGGCGCAAAGCTTGCTGAAGGGTCAGTGGTGTTCTGCTAAATCGCCACTTAATACCAGCAATTTCTAGCACAAATATCAGGAGATTAACTTTATTAAAATACCTTGTAGTTGAGGAACATGGTAAGTGTAAATTTGTGCTAAAAGGACCCTTGTTCTGCCATCAATCACTACTATGGGGCTTTGTCTTTTTTTTTTTTTTTTTTGAGGAGGAGGTGCAGGGGGTAGATTATGGTTTCACTTAAATGGAAGGTGAGTGAAGCAGATTAGCTCCCCAGCTACCCCGTGCAGGAGACACTGGCATGTCTGTTTGAGGACAGGCCAAGCAGCTTGGTGAAAGTTCAGGTGCATCTGCCCAAGGTCTCTGGAGGTAGTGCAAGTGCCAAAGCAGCGTGCAGGTTCTGTGCGGCCTGTGCTTAGTTCTCAGATACTTTCATTTTCAGAATATTAGTTCCTTTGTCAGAGCTAACCCAGAGTCTGTAATGATTGCTGAGCAATTGGTTATGGCGACACTACCATATTTGGACAATTTTCAGAAACTACCTAAGATTTTTATGACAGCTTCAAAGACTTGCAAAATGTTTTTTAAGAGATCTTTTTAATCGTTTTTTAAAAGTTTGTCATTCCCTTTCTTTCAGTCATCAGAAAAGCATATAGGTGACCTAAAGGCGTTGGATGTAGAATTTGGGACTACAAATTAAGCATTTGAGGATCTTTTTAAAATACAAAGATTTATGCTTACACTGCTCTAGAATGAGGAGAACTTTTTACCAATTTTAAGAAGCTTTTAAAAAGAATATATTGCAAATTCTAGCCCAAAGTGTAAACTTTCTGGAATGTACTTATTGTGAACTGGGAGGAAGTTTCATATGTCTAATGTAACATGGCGTGCTTTTCTAGAAAGATGGTTTTCTTTGTTCATCATTGAGTTTAAAAATTATTATCTTACACAAACCCTATCCATTCATCCATTCATCCATCCATCCATTCATCCGTCCATCTATCCACTCACGCCATAAATATGTGAAGGACATTCACAATGCCTGGTACTGTGCTGGTTGCAGTTACCAGAGATACAAAGATGAATCAGAAACATTCCCTATTCCCCACCCTCAAGGAGCTCAGAATCTGGTACAATAGACCCTTGGCAGGTGCAGGTTTGACATTTGTGGTTTTGACTATTTGTGAGTAACCCAAAGCTTTATGACTTCCTAACTTGTCATTTTTGCTGCTTCATGGGTTTGAAACATGCCTTTGATGAAACTCATAAGCAAATAGGACCCTTTGGATTAATGAATGGGTTTAGCTGACAGCCCACAGTCCACCCTGAGACTAGCTTTGTAGTTCTGCACCCAAAATCATTCTCCTCAGGCGATAAAATACTGTTCAAGGGAGAATATTAAACCCCCAGATGAAACCACCTGCCAATGCTATTTATTAAACTAAAGAGAAAGTAAAGAGATCTACTTACAGTTTTGATTGGAGAGATCATATGACAAACTGATACTGAGTAATTTGAGAATTTGCACCTTCCTAATCTAAAAGGTCTTCTTTGGCTAAAGAGAGTTGAGTTCATTCTGTTACCGTAGCCTTTGGGGAAGCGGTGACTGTGGGGCCAGTTATAAGTATTCCTGGGACTCCAAGTTGCAGGACTTCTGTCACTTAAAGATTCAGATCACCTTAAAGATTCAGGCTCCCACTCTTTGGTGACACCATTAATATTTTCCTTTTAGAGGAGGGATACCCTAGTGCCCACATCACTGATGCTACATTAGTGGTTATTCTGGTTCTGCTGTTTTTATGATCACAAAGTTAAAAGAGAAATTGATCCACCAACCTCCTAACAGTTTTATAATCTCCTCTCCCAGGGAACTTGGGGTGGCTTCCTTAATGCCTGGGCCATGGATATTTACAAAATACCACTCCGAGTCTCCATTCCACTTTGAAACCACGGGTGTCCCCAGTTTAGACAGACTTTTGGCTTCCTAATTGGCATTTCTAGAACTCATGGCACTAGGCTAATTTTTGTATTTTTAGTAGAGACGGGGTTTCACCATCTTGTCCAGGCTGGTCTCGAACTCCTGACCTCGTGATCCAACAGCCTCGGCCTCCCATAGTGATGGTATTACAGGCATGAGCCACTGCACCCGGCCTTTTTTAACTCTTACCTTCAAGACCCAGACACCAGGACTCCTGTTGGATTGTTCCATATCAAACTATCCTGGGGTGAGATTGCAGATCAGTATCCTCATTGTGGTCCTTGCTAGCCACACACAGAAATGCAGGGTTCTACAATTAATACAGGAGTTTAGGGGAGAGTGTGTGCTGTAGGCGTAAAGGATTGTAATGGATTTTCCGATGAGCACTTTAGGAGGCTGAGGCAGGCAGATCACAAGGTCAAGAGATGGAGACCATCCTGGCCAACATGGTCAAACCCCGTCTCTACTAAAAAGACAAAAATTAGCTAGGCGTGGTGGTGCACCTGTAGTCCCAGCTACTGAGGAGGCTGAAGAAGGAGAATCGCTTGAACCTGGGAGGCGGAGGTTGCAGTGAGCCGAGATGGCGCCACTGCACTCCAGCCTGGCGACAGAGCAAGACTCCCTCTCAAAAAAAAAAAAAAAAAAAAAGTCTTCAAAGAGTGAGCTTTCTCAAGGTGCTTGAGATGGGATTTCATATACAAACAACTGAATTACAAACCTTTTTTCAGGAATACAGCTCACTTGCTTAAAGCAAGGCTCACCTTAAATATTTGGTATTAAGTACCCTATGGCTCTCTTTTTTATTTGTTATGACCTCTGACTTCTTTTATTAAACCATAGATTGTATTTTCTAACTCTTTTTAGAGGCTTTCTTTCATCTTTCACGATCATCCCCCTAGACTTTGGGATTAGCTGGAGCATTTACCTAATACCCTTTGCTCATTACCCTCCATGTCCTTTTTTTTTTTTTCATATTGAAACTATTGGTTAAATGTATGTGCAAAAACAAGAAAAGGTATGTGCACATCTTCCGTCCAACCTCCTATCTTCTACTTCTTCCCTCTGGTAGCCTCTGGATAATCATTCATCCTCTATTTGTCTTCGTCTCTTCTTCCTCTTCCTCTCTGCTCTTTTTCCTTCTGTCTCTTTTTCTCCCTGTCTCTTGCTGCTTTTTCACCTGCCTTTATCTTTGCTTCTTCCCCTCCCATTCTGATCTGGGAGACACTCCTTTCTCAGGGTCGGGGGTGGCAATCACTAGACTGCTTTGACAATGGATCAAGGAAGAGGGAAACTAAATCTTCAGAGTCAATTCATACTCAATAAGGAATCCGCATCAGAGTCCTTTAAAATGTTCCCACGCTGTCTTAGGTGCAGTTCCTGAGGAGTACAATGGGAGAGAGTGATTCCTGGTGAGCAGTGTAGTGACAGGGAAGCCAGGATAGGAGCTAGTAATGCAGGGGCTGGACAAGACAGTGGATGGAGATGTGGGTTCAGCTGAAGTCTAGCATCACCCTGAGCCCACAGGGGCCCTGGAGTGTGAATAGCACTGCAGCACCCCAGAGAGAAGAAATATCTATTTTAAGCCTTCCAGTTCTTGGTCCTTGCTTCAAGCAGCCCTAGGAAACTCAAAAGACACATATGCAAGTGATCCCTCATGGTGGAAGAATGAGTTTAGGTGGTGGCCCCCCAAGCTGGCCTGTGCATACAGGTTTTGTTGCAGAATCCCAGGGGTTCTAAAACTTTTAAATTTGAACCTGGCCTTCAAATAGTTGCGAACATGTATTTGCCAAAATAGGAGGATAGAGGTTATGTTTTAATAGTTTCTTAGTTGGATTTGCCCTTTTCAAAACTTAGACTGCAGCTGGACTCTTGATCCAGTCCCCACAAATGTTGAGGTGAGTCTGCCCCAGACCTCTCTTCTCCCGGCATTTACACAAAACTGGATTTATCAAAAAAGTCCCAATTATAGAGTGACTTCTGCTGCAAGCCCGGTTAACCAACACGTGCAACTGGCTTAACCTTTTCTGGATTTTCCTAAATGTAATTTTTTCCCTTCTTAAAGAGAGCTGAAAATCACTTCTGGTTAATAGGGCAGCTTATCGAGCTGATGGTCTTCCTGTTTCCTTACCTGCTGTGGCCTCACATCATCATCAGAAGAATCACTCTGCTTTGGAGCCTGTGACAGGGGCAGCAGAAACCATGCTTCACATCAAAGCATCGAGAACACTTCCATTGCCCACAAACTGTGTCCCGGGCAAGCCCCGTATTTATAACATTTTCCAAATCAGTGTAATTTAGATTGCCTTTTTATGAAGAATAGGCTGGACTTTCCCCAAATCATCTAGTGCTCTGCCAAAGCTCTGGGAGAGTTATTTTAAAAACAATAAGCAGGTTGTTAAAAAAATATATAAAAGAAAAAAAAAGAAGCAGCAGCAGCTCTGCTCGAATGAATCCCAGGCTTGGAGGTCAAAGTGTAAGAGAACCCCTGCGCGAGGCAACATATGCCATTAGGAGAGGAACTGGCCACGGTCCTTGCCCTCTGGGGGTTCACACTTTAGTACAGTCAGATCTGAGCCACTTGCAGGGGTGAGGGGTCAGTGCTTGAATGTCCCTCTCTCCAGCTTCGTCATCCTGCAGCCCAGGATCCACCTGCAGTGGGCATCTCTGTTCTGTCCTGGCCTGTGCTCCCCGCTTCAGCCTCTTCCCCAGGTCCCATTCCCCACAGCTACTCAGAAAGCAAGTCCATGGAGTGTGCGTTCATGGAACAGAATGAAACTCAGAGCCACTAACCTTTACGTGTCCCTTAATAGAAGTGAAACCTCCTTGTAACTTTCAGCCCCATTTTCTCTTCACCCTAGGCTGGTATTGCTGTCATTCCCACTTTCCAAAAGAGGACAGTGAAGCTCAAGGAGGTCACAGTGACCCAGCCAGAAACAATGGAGAGCTGACTAGGACCCCACATGCATGGATCGGGGTGAGAATGAGGGGGTGGAGAGGGAAGAAGCAGCATTCTACCATTTCCTATGTGCGTGACCTTAGAGAAGTCATCTGATTCCTGAAGCCACTGGTTCCTGTCTATAAAATGTTGATGACAGGGCTACCTCCGGAGCAGCTGGAGGTGAGAATTGAATGATAAAATATATTCAGAATCTTTAGCATATTCCCCCAGAAAATAGGAAGCATGCTGTATCCTGTATACATATATTTGAGGGGTATAGCAAGTTTCCAAATTCTGAATTCCTCCTCCTCCAGCCTACAACTTTTCCATGGCCCCATTCCCCAGGAACCTGGTACACCACCTACTTTCACATTAATAGACGTGTTCAGTAGGCTGTGCCTTTGCCCCGAAGATCCAGTGTCAGCAGAAGGGGCAGACACTTGGGGGCCAGCAGGCAGGAAGGCAGGGAGCCATCTCCTGTCCCCCTGTCAGGGCGGGTCCCTGTTTGGGTAGCTCGACAGGCTTCCTGACTACGCAAATCACACCGAGAGCAAGGCTTGGTTTCTGAAACTGCTAGTGCCTTCTACCCACGAAACCCCAAACCCGGCACTCAAGGAGGCTAGAAACAGCTCTTGCGCTTTCAGACACAGACACGGAAAAAGCAATACTTCAAGCAGGCATCTTCCTTCCAAAAGCTCACTTTGAAAGTCAAGGGCCTCTTCGTTCTGTACACAAGAGAGAAAATGGTTCTTAGGTGAGAGAACAAGTTGATGGAAAAGCAAGCCGGAGGATTTGCAGGAGGGAAAACAAAAATCTTGGGAAGAGACCTTGTTTGTTTCTTTTTCCTCTCTGTCCTGGCAAGTCACAGGGATTTCGCTTCCAGAAGAAAGATGGCATTGATTTTTAAACCTGTAGTTTTTAAGCATGGTATTTATTTTCATCCAAGTAATGGAAAAGTCAGGAACATGCAACTAAAGATTTTGCTAAAGATTCACTTTCCCCTTGAACGGTTGCCATCTAACCTGCCCTTTTTGGGCAAAGGATGGCTGTCAGCTGGTCTCCCATTTCCCGAGACTGTCTCTGAACTTGCAGGGGGCAGGTACCTGGACGACTCAATCTAGTCCTAATTAGACAGCTGTGTCCTGTTGAAAGGAAAGAAGCAAACTTGTATTCACTTAGTACAGTTTTATAATGTTTGCAATCGCAGGCATTACCCCAGGGGCACCAATTAAAATGCACTTTTCCAGGCCTTCCCTTAGAGAGATGTCAAATTAGTAGCGCTGGGCAGATCCTAGGAACCTGCATTCTTAACAGATGTGCCCCACCCCCAGTCAACTCCCAGCCAATTCCCAAGTGTAGTGTTCCCCAGATCACACTTTAGGAGGCACAGATATAATGCCTCCTAAAGACCAGACACCTTGTGAGATGCTTCTCCTCACTTCCAAATTATTGGCTTGGGCAATTGTCGTATTTATACACACAGGCGTTATTACAGAAAAGTTGTCTCAAATTTTATAAACAGACACATAGAAGCTCAGGGGGATTAGGTAACTCCCTCCTGGTCACATAGAGAGGAAGGGATAGTTTGACTAGTGTCTGTACAATTCCTAAAGCCATCCACTACTTCATCTCCCTGACAAATGTAGGTGGCTCTTTTTCTCCTCTGTTAGCAGATACAATAGTACTAATAGTACTAATCTCAGAGAGTTAAATGAGATAATAATAGTAATAATAGTACTAATCTTAGAGAGGTAAATGAGATAATATGAAGTTTAGCATATGAAATTGGTGATATTCAACAATTTATAGCCTACAGATGCAGCAATTCCATATGGGTTGACCCAGGCATTGCAAAGTGCCTGCTACAGTCCTGTAACAAAGTCATAGCTCCATAAATGTCAAACATGATTAGAAACTTTTGTGGGTGGAATGGGCACCCCCCAAAAGTCATACTGAGGTCCTAGCTCCTGGTACCCCTGTATGCGAATTCCTTTGGAAATGCGGTCTTTGCAGATGTAATCAGGTTAAGATGAGGTTACACCGAACTGCACGTGTCCTAGATTCAATTACTGGCGTCTGCCTAAGGAGCATTTTGGGAGGCTGAGGCAGGAGGATCGCTTGAACCCAGTAGTTTGAGGTTACAGTGAGCCATGATTGCACCACTGCTCTCCAGCCTGGGGCACAGAGTGAGACCGGACTCAAAAAACAATAAAAATCAAAATTAAAAAAGAGAGATTTAGATACACAGGCACACAGAAGAGAAAACACCATGAGAAATGAGAACAGAGATTGGAGTGACACAGCCAGAAGCCAGAGTACGTCAAGGATTGCCCGCCGCCACCAGACATGGGAAGAGGCAGAGAAGGATCCTCCCCTGGAGCCTTGAAAGGAAGCGCAGCCCTGCCGACACCTCGATTTTAGACTTCTGGCCTCCAGAACTGTGGGGAGAATGAATTTCTGTTGTTCTAGGCCATGCGTTTTATGGTCATTTGTTAGGCAATCCCAGGAAATGAACAGGGAAGCTTTATCCTTTTCATCATCAATGTCGTCATCACCATCACCACCATGACCATCCTTTCTCAGAGCACAAGATGTGGCTCCTGCACTCCGATCCCAGTGCAGTGACCTCTGGCACTGATGGGTGATGTCAAAGTTGCTCAGTCCTAACCCAGCCCTTCACTTGCAATACCCATCTCAGCCTGGTTTGGTTTCCACCCAAATTTTAAAAGTTTCTTTTATGTTTCACACACATTTGTGCTTTTTGATGCTTTCCCAAGCTCCTTCCAGCTTGTGTAATGGAGACGTGTCCCTAAGGAAATGTTTCAAGAGACAGAAAGACAGAAAAATGGTGGCCACAGAACGCTGGGTAAACATTAACTCCTTTCACAACCCTCCTTTCTTGGATGACAAATCTGTGCTGGGGACCCCGAGTCCCAAGAAGGCCTGCTGCAAACATTTATTTAGACCAGTCTAAAGGGTCAGGGGCCTGCTACATAAAAAGCCTCAAAATGCACACTGTTCAGATAGGACTTGCAGGCTGGCAGAAAAACTCCAGGGTGGAGTCTGTGGCCTGTTTTCTTTTCTTTCCTTTCTTTCTTTCTTTCTTTTTTTTTCTTTGAGATGGAGTCTTGATCTGTCCCCAGGATGGAATGAAGTGGCACGATCTCGGCTCACTGCAACCTCTGCCTCCCAGGTTCAAGAGATTCTCCTACCTCAGCCTCCCGAGTAGGTGGGATTCCAGGTGCCTGCCACCACACCTGGCAAACTTTTTGTATTTTTAGTAGAGACAGGATTTCACCGTGTTAGCCAGGACGGTCTCGATCTCCTGACCTCGTGATCTGCCTGCCTCGACCTCCCAAAGTGCTGGGATTACAGGCATGAGCCCCCGCACCCTGCCTGGCCTGTTTCAAATCATTTTTCAATCAATACATGGTTTCCAATGAACTTCCTTTCCATTTTTGCACAGAAGAGATACTTCACTATGGTTCTCCTCTTGCCTTTCCCCTCAACAAAAATGGAAGTAAAACATCATGAGGCTGTAAGTTTTGTCTGTTCATTGACCATATTTTCCAAATAAAAAAAGCAGCATGTATTCCAAATTAAAAAGTAGCCATGACTGACAATGGGGCAGAATGTTTAAAATCTGCATTGTCCAAGACAATCTGCTGAAGAGACTACACTCTGACTTAGCCTCTGAGTTCAGATCCCATCTCATCATTAGGTCTTTGAGTCTGAGCAAGTGACTTTCCTTGCTCGTGTCTCTGTTTTCTCATCTTTATGAAGTCAGTCCTGTGAAATTACTTCCATTTTAAGAGTTGTGAGTATTCAATGAATAATGAACAACAGGAGTTTAGCAGAGTAACAAACATGCAACTTCTCAATAAATAGTTAACTATTATTCTCTTTTTTTGGAGATGGATTCTTGCTCTGTCGCCCAGGCTGGAGTGCAATGGCAAAATCTCACTGCAACCTCCCTGAGTTCAAGTGATTCTTCTGCCTCAGCCTCCTGAATAGCTAGGATTACAAGCGTGCACCACCACACCCAGCTAATTTGGGTATTTTTAGTAGAGACAAGATTTCACCATGTTGGCCAAGCTGGTCTCAGACTCCTGATCTCAAGTGATCCACCTGCCTCAGCCTCCCAAAGTGCTGGGATTACAGGCCTGAGCCACCACACCCGGCCTCTATTACTCTTTTTAGATGTAGAGAGGAAGGCTTTTATTTTGTCCATTCTGTATATCAGAAACTCAACATATGCATATCTCAGTTAAGGTCACTACCATGCAATAGTCTTTATGTTATAGCTCAGAGAGTTTAGGCAACATACACAAAATCACACAGCTACTCATCCCTGAACTTGAATTGAATCCTAACTGGATGCCAAAGTCCTTATCCTTTCCTCTATACCATGTTGGACTGTCTAGAATATGTTCAATCAAAATGAAGCCCCTCACCATAGAATGATGACTCACAGCCTTGACCCCTTGCACTGAGTCTTACAAGGGGATAGTCCTCCTGACTGCCCTGACTTGGCAGAGGGTAGGACTGCTGATGGTACAAAGACCATTCTTTGCAGCTTAAGCTCAACCCCCTGAACCCCATCTCCCTGGGCTCCAGAATCAGTCCACAAAAGCCTGGACTATGGAGTGCACTAACTGCCGGGCTATACAGTAGGGTCCTTTCTTCTGTTCTCAGTGACTAGACTTTGTACTTAGAGGTGGACTGAGGACCCGAAAGTCCATGTGCTGTCAGTGCTCCCTGGACACCAGAGTCTCCAGGGTGCAGCTCCTAGTGCATTTGCATTGGGGTCCCCTTGGGGAGCTTGTTAAAATGCAAATGGCTGGGCCTCTCCTGGAATTGCGCAACCTGAATCTCAGCTGGTAAACCAGACATCTGCATTTTTGACTAGTGTCTGAGTGAGCACGGGTTTATGGATCTTTGTGAGCCATAAAGCCACAGCTTTATTGTTTGTTCTTTTTTCTGAAAATTAAAAAAAAAAAAAGGCTGGGCAAAGTGGCTCATGCCTATAATCCTGGCACTTTGGGAGGTCAAGGCAGGTGGATCACCTGAGGTCAGGGGTTTGAGACCAGCCTGGCCAATATGGCAAAATCCCATCTTTACTAAAAATACAAAAATTAACCAGTCATGGTGGCGCATACCTGTAATCCAAGCTACTCGGGAGGCTGAGGCAGGAGAATTGCTTGAACCTGGGAGGTGGAAGTTGCAGTGAGCCGAGATCGTGCCCTTGCACTCTAACCTGGGTGACAGAGCAAGACTGTCTCAAAAAAAAAAAAAAAAAAAAAAAAAGGCAGACACGAAGTACCTAGAACCCAGCTGATTCTGCAGACCTCCAGCTATGGCAGACAGAATACTAGTCCCTCAAAGATATCCATGTCCCAATCCCTAGAACCTGTGAATATGCTATATTACATGGGAATTGCAAGGGGAAATTAAAGATACAGATGGAATTAAATTTGCTAATCAGCTGACGTTAAAATAAGGACAATACCCTGGACTATCTGGGTGGGCATAATTATTCACAAGAGTTCTTTACAGTGGGAGGGAGGCAGAAGAGGTCAGAGTGAAACAGGATGAGAAGAGCTTCACCTGCCATTGCTGGCTTTGAAGACAGAGGAAGGAGCCAAAAGCCAAGGAATGTTGCAGCCTCTAGAAGCTGGAAAAGGCAAGAAAACAGATTCTCCCCCACAGCCTCCAGAAGGAACACAGCCTGGCAGACACCTTGATTTTAGCCCAGTGAGACCTATTTGTGCATCTGACTTCTAGAACTGAAACATAAATTTATGTTGATTTAAGCCACCAAGTTTGTGGTAATTTGTTACAGCAGCAAATGGACGTTTCACTCATCAGGATAAAAGGGAGCATAGGTTCACATGGCAGCAATGAAAAGTCTAACGTCCACTTTAAATGCCTTTTTCGAGTCATGGAACTTCTCTTTCCCTGCACTGTCTGAGCCCAGAGATTAGATAAATGCTCTGACCACTGCAGAAGCTGGTGGGTTGCATTGTGTCTCAGCCGGGGTTGGGGCCAGAGGAGGTTCCCTAGGGGTTGAAAGCAGGGATCAGGGAGCAGACAGTCGTGGGGGATTCCCTGAAGGTCTGACTAAATGTATCTTAGGGCCCCAGCAAAACAAGGACACCGCAGAGCAAAACAAGAATTCCAACTTTGGTGAATTTTCCCACATTGTATTATCAATAACTTCGGCACAATGTCATTTTAACATACTTCTTACTTCTGTATTTTATAATTTAGAGTTTAGACACATTTTGGATTACATGAAATGCAGAAGAGGAGAGGCAAAATAAACTCTTCTAAGTTTAGGGTCTTGGATCAGGCTTTGGCAAGGGGGTCAATCAAGCAAAAGCCAATTGTTAGGAGTTGGCAAACAGGTGCCAAGACCAAAGGAATCAGGTCAACGTGGAGGACAGCAGGGAAAAATATCGGGTGCTCCTCTCGTTACCGAATTGTGGGTGGTGAGGAGAAGTTGTGTTGAGATGTTTAAAAAAATATGGTTGGGAGGAAAGAATGAATGAATGGACAAATGAATGAATGAATGGCTTTAACTCAGAGTATCGGCTCTTGGTGTGCTTTACGGTCTTCTCTGAAGGTCATAACTCTTCCCAGGTCTGTGCCAAACCTCAGGAAGTTCAGAGATGGGTGGGGCCACGTGGTCACAAATGAAAGTTGTCCTACTTAGGGCATCCGCATGGAGCGGCGCTGTGGTCTAGTTCTGAGCAAGTCGGTGTGCAGAGATGAAAGCTCCCACCTCCCCCTCCACTGATGTCTTTGGCCGTAGAGTCACACGCACAGGGCCTCCAGGGGGCTGGCAGCCCAGGAGCAGGCGACCCGCCCCAGCCTGAGCCTGTTACTCTTGGGCTCGTACTAAAGGGGGCTTAGGTCTCTGCACTTTTCATGTGGTGGCTTTCAAAATCGGAATCCACTTGAAGTGGTTTGGGTTTTTCTCTTCTCCGCCTGGTGTTTGCTGTAGAGAAACACCTTCAAACACAGAGAGCACCGCTCAACGCCTCTGTCTCTGAGCGCGTTCAGAGGAACCAGAGACGCCACATCAAGCTGAACGTTTTCATCAGAGACGCCCTGGTGGGGGCCCCCGCCTGCTGCCCACTAGGCAAAGGTTTTCTTTTACCCCCATTGACATCCCCCCACCCAAGTATTGGCTCACACGTACCTGTCGCTGGGAGAACAAACTACCCTTGTTTGTGTGAACGGACCTATTTGGAGAATTTGGAGGCCACAACAGGCAGAAAAATCCCTCTTGGATCCCATATCCTGTGTGGGCCCCCGTTTTGCTGTTGGAGTCTGCAGGGGAGGCAGAGGGGTCAGGGAGATTCTCACTTCTTCTGCTACTGTTACAGGCAGCACCTTCTTCCTCATCACCTCCCTGGTGGTGCCACCAAGCTCCATATTGTACCTTTTATACCATATTTGAAAGAAAATGCTGACTAAGCAAGGAAGAAACCTGGATAGATGTCTCAAGTCACATCCCTCAGAGACATCACATGCTCCAAATCATGTTTGGAACAACTTAGGTTCCTTAGCAGTAGAGATGGATATTGATAGTTCTTCATCAATATCAACAGTCTTTATTAATATCAACAGACTTGTATCTGAGAGAGAAAATAAGCAATTGAGGGGTTGTGGATATTATTTTAATGCTTGAATTACCCAGAGGCTGTCACAGTCTACTCATGCATACTTACAGAGGACAGAGGGATTTTGGAGAGCAGGTAATTCAACATCTTTATTTTGCAGCTACACGAATTCCATCCTGAAAGTTTTACATGACTTGCCTAAGGTTACCGGGCATTTGTGCAGCTGCACCAAATGGCCTTATTTGTATTATGAGATTTAAGGGTATTTACATACATTGGGAGGCTGGGAAATTTTATTTAGTAGTAACCCAATGGAGGTTATGTGCCTTGTGAGGTGTGTACTCTCCTATCTGTAAATGGGGAAACAGTGAGCTAGGGCCCTAACATGGTTCTCACTTGAAAACTGTGGCCATGGCTGGGTGCGGTGGCTCACGCCTATAATCCCAGCACTTTGGGAGGCCAAGGTAGGTGGATCACCTGAGATCAGGAGTTCAAGACCAGCCTGGCCAACATGGCGAAACCCCGTCTCTACTAAAAATAAAAAATAAAAAAAAATGCCAGAAAGCCAGGCATGGTGGCGGGCGCTTGTAATCCCAGCTACTCGGGAGGCTGAGGCAGGAGAATCACTTGAACCCAGGAGGCGGAGATTGCAGTGAGCCAAGATTGCACCAGTGCACTCTATCCTGGGTGAAAAGAGTGAAACTCTGTCTCATTAAAAAAAAAAAAAACTCTGGCCATGTCTTTGTACTCACAAATTAGAGGGACAGAGTGTGTATGAGTGTCTCTGTCTGTGTCTGTGTATAGGGTTGTGGTCAGTGCATGGTGACCTCCCAAGCCACACTGCTTAGACGCACTCAGTGAATTACACCAGGAAGAGATCGCCTTCCAAGCCTGGACTTCAGCCCACACAAATCAGGGCCAGTGGGAGCTTTCTCCACCCTCCTCCTTCCTACTGTCACCAGTGTATTTACTTCCTGAGAGATGGTTGTGCCAGAAAGTCACTGCATCTAGATTTGGGATTATCACTGGAAACAAGCCAGCCCTACCTAAGCAATGATGGGGCTAAGACTAAATCTTTCCCTTGGTATCCTGCCTATAAATCAGAGGAGCAGAGAGATGATGGATTCCAGCTCCTTGCTTTCAGATGGGGAATCTATGGTTCAAAGACTGGGTTGAGTGCCTCAAGGAGGCAGGATTCCTAGCTTTTCATCTGTTCTCCTTCCTCCACTCCACACATGCTCCTCTGCCCTTGGCCACATCTCCTTGACTGCAAGCCTTGCTACTACTTTGGGTTCTCAAGAAATATATCACACACAGCCACCCACTGTCTCAAGCCAGCAAAGAAAAAGCCCCCTGCAGCCCTCAGGCCAGCACACAATAGAACTCATACACTAGGATGCTTTTTTAAAGGGGTACCTTCTGTGGGAGCTAGATGCAGAAGGGATCTGCTTTTCAGGGGCTTCCTTTGTCTCTTCTGTCCCAAAGCTGCCTATTCCCTGATCTTCTAGGCCCTTCACCTCCTTCCACCCACCCCGAGAAGAGGTAGCTAGGAGACTTGAATTCCCGTAAGCATGCAGGATGAAAAAAACAGGATTGCAAAAAAACCCATAAGCCCTTCAGAGCTGTGATCTTTCTGGAATGAAACCAATGCATTCATTTCTTGAGAGATGAATGGACCAGGTTCGTCTCCATAGCTTGCTTCTAGGTTTGGGATTTTATGGAAATATGCAAGACCTTGCTTGGGTGACGATGGAGCTAAGGCCAAACCTCTCCCTTAGAGGCTTGCCTATAAAATAGAAAGTAGGTCCGTGGAGGTTGGAGTTCATTACATTCCTTTGCTTCCTTTTCTGGTGTTGCTACCCCTCACCCCTCACTCAGGGCGATTTGCATGAAAGGAAGTCTGAGAGGCAGGGACAGCCCCCGACCTTGAAGTCACAGGCCACAGAGAAGGAAGATGAGCCAAAACCAGAATAATTATCATTCTGCTCCTGCCCTTGAAGTTCACCGGAGTTTCAGATCAGCCATATTCTTCACCATGACCTTATTTCTGCAAGGGGAACCTCAAGATGCCATTAATCACAACTTAGATTTTTTTTTAAAGCCTGGTGACAAGACAGGGGTGTTGGCTCATTTGGGATGGGAGCTGTGGTTCAAGCCTCTGTCCACACCCACCCATACCTCCATTCGCCAGAGAGAAAGAAAGAGGTGTAAAATCTTGTTCCTGACTGAGAAGGGCTTCACGGCCATGGTGACACCTGTAAACCTACAGGCTGGATTTGCAACCATGTATGAGCCATTAGGGGCAGTGAGTGAGAGGAGGAAGGTGTAACTCACTCGGGTGCCCAGACCCAAGCCCGAGAAGCACATAGCCACTGCTGGAAGTCACTCCTTTGCTAAACAGCCCCTACATCACATCCAGCTTCCATTCCACGTTGGACTCTGATTTCAGTTCTCTAAGGCAAACACCAAGACATCTTGGGTGGTAAACAGTTCAATAAGCATTGAGACCAAATGACCAACATAGAGACAGGTCCCAGGGTTACAAGACATTAAAGCTGCTTTCCATAAAGATTTGGCCAAGAAAAGGTAGAAAGATTGGAAACTAGCAAATATCAAAACACCTACTATGAGCAAGCCACAGCTGAGGAGCTTTTATCTCTTAATTCTCACACTCCTAAGAGATCCTGATCATTACTCCCATTTATCAGGCAGAGAAAGAGAGGTGCAAAAGAGTGAAATGGCTTGCCCAGGGCTATACCACTGGTAAGTCACAGGGAAGAATTGCAGACAAGCATCTGACAATGCGGCTTGTGTGCATGATGTTGGCTGCCCCAGGTGGCCGGCAGCACAGTGAGAATTTCTTTCTCAGGATTGGGGTCCTCTTTTGAAACTGATATATGGAGTTGGTGGGCTTCCTGTTGCAATGTTTCTTGGGTAGTTTGATTTCTTTCAGCCTACAGTTTGGCTAATTCATTCTTCCAGTTCTTTTCATTTAGCTGAGAAATGCCATTGTTTCTTCCTTAATTTTTAAACAACTCTATGTCTGTTGTTGCAAAACCTGTTGTCCTAGTTCGACTACAGAAATGTGGCTACTGTGGGGAAAGGTGGTCACAATTGCTAACCTATATTACGTTCCAGCCTTGCACTTTTACTATGCATTGTCTGAATTCACTTTCACAGTAATCCTAACAGGCTAGTGCCATCATTACTATGACCATTTGACAGATGAGGAAATGGAGGCTTAGAGAGGTGAAGTGACTTGCTCAAAATCCTGCAGCCAGGAGCAAAAGACTCAGGATATGAACAGAGGTTTCCTACAAGCCCATGATCATAACCCTCAGGCTGAGACGACTACATTTTTCTTGCATGGTATGGGTACAGTTACGCACAATTCCGGTGTTTGTGGGGGAGAGGGGGTAGCTGATTCCAACCCCAGGGCTGGGAAGCTCATGTCCACACCCCATGGTCATGGAGGGCATAACAGAAGCAACGAGGCCACTCTGGGGGCCATGTTGTTTTTCTTGGGATTTATTGTGTGGGTCAAAACAGTAAAGATGTTCAGTGAGAGTTCAGAGACCCAGCTCCCCTAGAGGGGAGGATGTGACTCAGTGCCACCCGGACAGCTCTGCCAGTAACTGAGGTGTGATTAAGTCCCACAAGCCGGAGAACCAGGGGAAAGGCGTGCCCCCGCCCACACCCCCAGGCACCTGAGAACGGGCCAGGTGGAGTATTCCCCAGCCCACCCCATCCTCACTCCCACCTCCTAGTCTTAGTGGAAAGAAATAATCTGTCACTTAGGAAGCTCCCTCCAGACCCTTGTCCCCTGGCCTCATCATAAACATCTACTGGGCACATGTACGCTGCACTCTTTGTGTTCTCCCCTTACTCCTGACAACACCATTGAAGCAGGTGTTCATCTTAATCTCATTTCATAGAAGAGGAGGTAGAGGCTCACAAAGATGAAGTGTCTTGCCCAAAAGACTGAAGAACTCTCTCCATGTCATACTACCCGGTGCATCCCAGAGGTAGTGCCTCTGCACTGTCCGCCACCAGCTGATTGGCCGTGAGCCATTCTGCCATTATCCCTCTGTGTATCTTCACACTTGGTACTTGGCCCTAGAACAACAGCCCCGCAGCAGCGGGCAAAGGGGATTCCTCCCATTCACTGGCCCATTCACTCCTCCTTTCCCATACCACACACGTACACACACACACCTAAAACAATCTGCAGAGCTCACACTTTTCGTGTATCTCCTCTCCTCCTTGTTCTGGGTAGTGAGTCCTGAGCAGTAACCACGTGAACCACTTCCAGGCTGGCAGATCTAACTGCAAGTGCTAGCTGGACCCTCCATAGAGTGATTTTCATAATGGGCACAATACCCCACCACATCCAAGATGGCAGCTGCTTCATCAGTGTGAATCTTCATGGACAGAACTTCCACGCTGATCCATGGTGACCTGTAACTTCAGCAAAATTGAACTTTGTTGTTCTAGGCTTCTGAGATGTTGGGGTCTCTTAGCTATCCTGACTTTATAGTGTATTACATGCATAAGCAATTATTACTTAGGATGGATTCACAGCCCCATAGTGGAGACAGACTAGTAAATAACTATGGTAACTCATTCATTCAACAACAGTTTATTGAGAGCTGCCATGTGCTCCATGCTGTGCTTGAGTCCAGGAATGTGTGAGTCTCCCTGCAATCAAAGGAAAGATACATGTCATTACCATGATACCCTGTGAACACTTCTATCTCCTCATCTCCTCTTCATGAGCATTACTGGTTGGTACCTTTTTCTAACAAGGCAGGCAGCAGGATCATGTTCGGTGCCTTGCCTTCCAAGCCCAGTATCCTGTGTCTCACATAGTAGTTGCTCAAAAAATGTTTATTACATGACCAAATTATAAATAAATCCACCCAGCCCAATCCATCACTCTACCCTACTCTCCCTCATGTCTCAAGATGAAGAAGCTGGTTGAAGCTTGGAAGCTTAATTCTTATATAAGTAATAAAAGTGCAGCATCAGAGGTGAGGAAAGATCTTGATATCATGCATATGGCTATTTCCAGAAAGACAACCCAGTCCAAGTGTTCCATACACCACCATGTTGTTTTTTTCTTGGTTATCAACTTCTTTCTTTCCATCTTTCTGACTTTGATAATAACAGCCAGAGATGCTCTTATTGCCTTTTGGGACCTACCCCTTTGCTCTGGGAGTCCTCAGAACCCCTCTATTAAAGGCTTGGATTCAAGGTATATTACAGTAGTCCCCCCTTATCCATGGTTTTCCTTTCCAGGGTTTCAGTTACCCGTGGTCAACCATGGACTGAAAATATTAAATGGAAAATTCTAGACATAAACAATTTATAAGTTTTAAATTGTGTGCCATTCTGAGTAGTGTGATCAAATCCTGCTCCCTCCAGCTTTGGCTCTGTCCCTCAAGACATGAATTCTGGCCGGCTGTGGTGGCTCACACCTATAATCCTAGCACTTTGGGAGGTCAAGTCAGGAGGATCACTTGAGCTCAGGAGTTCGAGACCAGCCTAGGCAACACAGTGAGACCTCAAAGAAATAAAAGAAAAAGAAAAAGAAAAGAAAAGAAGAAAAGAAAGGAGAGGAGAGGAAAGGGAAGAAAAGGGAAGGAGAAAAAGAAAAGTTGAATTCTCCCTGTGTTCAACATATCCCTGCTGTAGACACTCCCCACCTGTGAGTCACTTAGCAGCCATCTCAGTCATCAGCTCGACTGCTGCGTATCACAGTGCTCATGTTCAAGTAACCCTTATTTCATTTGGTAGTAGCCCCAAAGAACTAGAGTCGAGATGCTGGCAATCAGATATGCCAAAGAGAAGCTGTAAAGTGCTTCCTTTAGGGGAAAAGGTGAAAGTTCTGGACTTAAGGATAGGAAAAACATTGTGTGCTGAGATTGCTAAGATCTGTGGTAACAGTGAATCCTCTGTTTGTGAAATTATGAATAGTATATAGTTCTAATTGTTCTGTTATTATTAGTTATTACTGTTAATCTCTTACTGTGCCTAATTTTTAAATTAATCTTTATCATAGGTACGTATGTCAAGGGAAAAATATACTGTATATAGGGTTCAGAACTATCTGTGGTATCGGGTCCACTGGAGGTCTTGGAACATATCGTACTTGGATAAGGGAGAACTGCTGTACTTATTTCTTCCTTAGAGTCACTTATTCGGGACCCTGGCGAAAGAGAGAAGTGAGAGGAGGCTGGGAGGTCAGTCATTGCCACAACCAACTATTGGGGAGTGAGACTCAAGTGAAAACACTAAGAGAATTCAGAGAGAGGGCTGATTTATGTGCCTAAGAATGATAGTCAGGATTAAAGTATTGTCTTTACACCATGACTTTTTGGCCACCATCTTACACTTGATGAATTTAGATTAAACAGGGGGAATACATCCTTATTCAACTGACCAATGAAATTAATGGATCTTGAATAATAATAATAATGACTTCCATTTATGCAATATCCATGTGTGCCTAGGTGCTTTGAATATATTACCTCCCATGGCAGATGAGGAAATTCGTAGAGTTAAAAAAAATTACTTGACTTAAAATTAGTTGATTTTTTTCAAAGAGCTTCCTAAAGAGTTGATTTCAGTGAAAGATCAGCATTAGTCACAGGCGAGTTCTGGTTCCCACAGCTTCCCTTTCTCAGTCTTCCCCTTTGACTTTGCAAGTCTCTGAGTGTCTCCTGAGAATTTGGTACTGAATTAAAATTTGGGAACTGTGGGGTGGAGGGAACTGGTACTCAAAAGTATGACGAAGGCAGGAACCGCTGTCTTGAAGACATGGAGCTTCAGATCCATGGGAAACTGGTGGGGTGAGGTGGGCTGCTGAGTAAGTTTCCTAGAGGTTAGACATTTGTATCTGGGAGATGTGCTGGTTGTGGCTTGGAGCATTTAGGGAGGTCTTCCTGGAGAAAGACATCTCCCAAAAGATGACTAGGTCTTAAGAGGAAAGCCATAATTCTTTTGTCTGACTCAGCAAAAGCAGCATTTGAGAGAGGATAGAGCTCAACTGTTGGGGTCAAATCCTGGCTCAGCCTCGCCATAGTCTCCCATCCAAGTACTAACCAGGCCTGACCCTGCTTAGCTTCACAAGATCAGAAGAGATAGGGCACATTCAGAATGGTATGGCCATAGACTCTGCTGTGTTCTCAGGGCAAGGCTTTGAGCAAGTTATTTAACCTAACTGATGACTTGGCCATTGATTAAAATGCTTAGTTACAGTAAAGATTGGATAAAAGAACACACCCAATGTGTTTAGCACAGTCTCCGAGGCCATGCAGATTTCCAAGGGCAGGCAGTTGTTTTTAGTTCCCTTACAACTGTCCAAATCCCCTGAGTTTTTCAAGCTAAGGTTTCTCTATTTTTGCCCCCTCTGGACTGAGATGGAAGATCTGTTTTCAAGTCCCAGCTCTGCTTACAATGTGATCCTACAATATGATCTCACTTCTCAAAGCTTCCACTTCCTATTCTGCCTCATGAACAGGAGGGATTTCAATCTTCATGGGACTGTTTTCCATTCCCCTGGAGTCTTCTCCATTTACAGACACAGCGGATGTGTCTGCTTTGACTACTGGTTGTCTTGGGGCTCTCTTGCCACAGGAAAGCTTACATCTAGACTTTTCCTTCTAGGCTAAAACAAACATCTAGCCACCAGAACCAGTCTTTCAGGAGACCAGAGGGATTAAGGGATGTGGGACCACCTAGAAATGGTGGTTGTGGAGCAAGTGGCAACAAAGTGAGATTGCTTCATGCCTGTTCTGCAGCTTAAGAGCAGAACTCTTGGAAAGTACATGGTGCCAGACAGAAGACCAGTCACAAAAGTGGAGTTGACTGGCAATGAACTCTCATGAATCTCCAAGCTAATTACCAGGGAAAGTAAGGTTGAGGAGACAACCTCCTCCCCCACTCCACATGCAAACACAGAATGACAGGTTTAAAAACCCTATGGTTTCAAAATTAGCAAAGACACTTTGACTAAGATTGGCATGAGGAACAGAGAAAACGGAAGAAGAGGAAAGAGAATCCTGGGCCCCACAAGGGGAAAGGTATTGGCATGAAGAAACAAAGTTAAATTTTAGAACGTCACTGCCTGAGCGCCACCCCTTTAGGACAAGGACAAATGGTTCAGGCCCAAATTACAAATACTCTTGGATTTTTATAGAACATGAACAAAGATAATATCTTCTCTTAGGACACTTCCAGATATGGAAATCAAATCATATCCTCCAAAGTGCTATGTTAATATTTGTAACTATAGATAGCCATTCCCCATCTCTGTCTTGACTTCCCTTAGAAAATTTCCCCAGTTTGAAGACTATGAAGACTAACGTGAGAAAGTTGCAATGACTTGGCCAAAACTCTTGGATGCAATGATGCGTTTAGTTATCCATTTCCCGGCCTCCCTAGATATACCAGGGTTATAAGTTCAATGAGAGGCCGTGTCTGCCTAGTTCACTGCCTAGTCCCAGTTCCTGGCAAGCGGTAAAAACTTGGTAAAAGAGTGTTGATGACCTGCATTAACACTGGGCCACACTGTGTCAATATGGAAAATATCAGTCACATCCTATGGGTGAAATGACTGTCTCCGAATTCCTGCTCCTTTTGTTTGACACGAGCTATGGGATAAATGTGTATCTGATTGTCCTACTCATTACTCTGCTGCAAACATACATTATGAGAGAATAAGATGCCACTCCTAAGTTCTTCAAAAAAATGCTACGGTTATTTCTGCACCCCTTCAATACCGTTCACCCACCAGCTTCTAGATAACTCTCTAATATTTTCTAGAATGTCTCCCATTTAGATTGGCTGGGAGTTGAGTCCCATTACCAACAAAGGGGCTCTGGATGGTGCAAGCATTGACTCCTTCCCTAGAGCATCCTGCCTGGCTCAGAGCAGATTCTGCTCTTACAGAAGGAACTGTAAGACTGTAAGGGCCCAGCAGCCCAGCTCGTCCCTCTGGGCACGTCCACCCCTCTCTCATTTCCATGCTGTGAACAAATTGCCATTGTCACACCTCCATGCCTTTGCGTGTGCTGTATCCTCTGCTGGAGCTCCCTTCCCTATGGGTTGCATAAACAGATAAGGTATCCACCCGAGGCCCTTGACCTAACAGATTTTGTCTTAAGGCTTTCTCCCCAGGTCCAGAGCATCTAGCCACAAAAACATCCCAAAATAGTTCTGTCCCAAGTATCATGTCCTTTGTCTACATTTTCTATTGCTTTAGGCACAGAGCCCAGAGGTCTATTTTGGATAGAGAGTAAGGCTGTGAGTATTAGAGAGAACATGAGTTTTAGAATTCGAAAGAGCCCAGTTCGACTTCCAGTGACGATACCTACTGGCTGTCTGGCCCTCACTAAGGAGCTCAGTCCCCCAAACCTCTGAGGCCTCATCTGCAAAAACTACCCATCCTGCACAGTTGTCGTGGCAATGACCTCAGACAACATATGTAAAGCTCCTGCTGTGGTGAGTGGTACACGGAAGGGACTCTCCAAATATTAGCCCCCTCCCTGGCCATTCTGCCCTGAATGTGACTGCCTGGGGGCAGGCAGACTGTCCTGGTCCCTCCTGGAATGTCACCTAGGATTGTGCATGATGTTTTCTGCAGCCAGTCTGGAATAACTCGTGAAAAGTCCATATGAGCAACTTAAGAGATGGAGTCCTTCTCCCAGCCCTCTCCACTGTCAGGAGGAGGACTGAGTTAGTTGAGCATTCTGGCCCCTCCCTTCCACTAACCTCCACCCCCAACGCCCCCAAGGACTCAGGGCCAAAGGTGATTAATGGGAGTGTCAATGAAATTGTCTTTGAGGCCAGGCCCTGCCCTCATCATTTTCCCATCTGCTGCAGGAACTTCTCATTCTTTGAACCTGTCACTCTGCAAGCGGCAAAGGCTGGCCAGAAGAGGGCTCCACTGCAGCCAGCCTGACAGGCGGGGCAGGCCGTCCCTCTGCAGTGTCCCTGGCCTCCTTCTAATTGTCTCCTCTATAGAGGCATCTTTCCCCCAGAGAAGGGCATGAGAAGTCCCCCGGATTATTTGGATGAAGAGACTCACAGTTACTCATTCATCCACAAATTTGTTAAATATTTACTGAGTAGCTACCATGTAGAAGCTCCTGTGCTAAGTCTTAAAAGAAGACCAGCCAGGCGTGGTGGCTCATGCCCGTAATCCCAGCACTTTGGGAGGCCGAGGCGGGTGGATCACTTGAGGTTGTGAGTTCAAGACCAGCCTGGCCAACATGGTGAAACCCGGTCTCTAGTAAAACTACAAAAATTAGTTGGGCGTGGTGGCAGGTGCCTGTAATCCCAGCTACTCAGGAGGCTGAAGCGGGAGAATCTCTTGAACCTGGGAGGCAGAGGTTGCAGTGAACTGAGATCATGCCATTGTACTCCAGCCTGGGTGACAAGAGCAAGACTCTGTCTCATAAATAAATAAATAAATAAATACCCATGGGAGCCACGACACCTTCTGGGCCATCCTGCCAGCTTCCTCACCTGCTCCCGGTCCAGCCAGCTCCTTTCACCCCACTGCTTCTCGCCTGCAGCCCCAGCCCTCATCTCAAGCCTCATTTCCTCTGCCTTGGACCAATGGAACAGCCTCCTCTCCTGTACCCTGACCTACACCCCAGGGTATTGCCTGAGCCATCTTTCTAGAATGTTAGTTTGGTTGTATCTGTCTTGGGTGTGCTATTTTCCACCTGGATTTTGTACTTTGCTATACAAATAGTTTTCTTTAAAAGAACTCAACTTTTTTTTTTTTAATTTGGCCTCACTCTAAGCAATAACATCTATGAAGTCACAGATTGGATGCCAGCTCCTATATCATACCAAAGTGAGTTTTTAAAAATCTCTGTGAAAATGAAGAACATTTATTCACATAACACCTAAGACTATCAGGCACCGATGCTTCGCCTGTTGAACACTCACTGGTCAATGCCGAAGATCGGCAGCACTTATTCACTCAAGAGCTCTTTGTTGAGTAATTACTATGTGTCAAGCACAATTTCTGTATTGGGAATACAATTTTAAAATGGTGAAATCCCTGCTCTCATAGTGTTTCCATCCTAGTGGTAAAACAGACAAATATATAGATATAGATATAGATATAGATATAGATATAGATATAGATAGATAGATACATGAGCCAGGCATGGTGGCTCACATCTGTGATTCCAGGACTCTGGGAGGCCAAGGCAGGAGAATCACTGGATCCCAGGATTTCAAGACCAGCCTGTGCAACACAGTGGGACCCCATCTCTACAAAAAAATTCAAATATTAGCCAGGTGTGGTGGTGCACACCTTTCATCCCAGCTGCTCAGGAGGCTGAGGCAAGAGGATCACTTGAGCCCAGGAGTTTGAGGCTTCAGTAAGCCACGACTGCACCACTGCACTCCAGCCTGGGCAACAGAGTGAGACCCTGTCTCAAAATAAACAAACACCAAACAAAATAAGATAAATGAGTCAAGTGTATGGAGTTGTTAGTTGATGGCAAGTGTTAAAGAGAAAAGGAAGCAAGAAAAAATATCCCAGTCAGCTTCTGCCTTATTTTCCAGCCAGCTGCCCACTCTCTTAGCTGGGGCTCACTGCAGGTAGTCCCACTATGCACTGTGCTGTGTCACACTTCCCTGCCTTGACCTGGCCTCACAGCCTGCCCTTCCCACATATGCCTCTTGCCACATCACCTTTGGTTTTCCAAGTCCTTCTGAGCATTATCATCCCTAACTCCCCCTTCCCACCCCATTAGAATTAAATCAAATCCACCCTCCTCTGGGTACATTGGGCCATTCCTGCTGTTGCCCTTCTCAGCCTCTATTGTCCTTTTTTGTGTCATGTCTGTCCCCACCACTGGACTCTCTTAGGCTAGGATGACCAGCAGTCCTGCCCCCTGTACCCTAAGACATGAGCAGAATCACTTTCTTCTCTGGGGAAGCAAATTTTTATATGCAACCAAGAGCCTGTGTTCTATCAAGTGAAGACCTCATTCTTCCATCCTTTTTTCACCCAGCAATGATTTACGGAGCACCTACTACGTGCCCTGCATATTCTTAGCACTGGGGAGATGTGTGTGGCCATGAAGGACAAGCACTTAGTGTCATGGAGCCACCTCCTAGTGGTGGGGGAGTAGACAGTAATCAAACAAAGACATAAAGGAATTACCTGTTGTGACCAGTGCTATGAAGAAAGCAACTGGGGGTGACTTCACAGGAACTCAGCGAAGCTCTGAATTGATAAACACTGACCCATCCTGCAGAGTGGTGGCTGGTGGCTGGTGAGTGGGGAGGAGGCCAGTTTTCCAAGCATGGGGAACAGCATCTGCAAAGGCCCGGAGTGGGCAAGCGTGGGCATCCCAGGAGCAGACAGAAGGCCAAGGGGACTGAGCAGAGCCAGGAAGGGAGAAGGTAAGTCACGGAGGATTCGAGCCAGCCGGCCTGGTGAGGAATTGGCTTTCGTTTCTAATTCTATGGAAAGCCATCGGTGAGTTTTACACGAAGTGCTACAAGCAGACACTCATTCTGGGGTTTAGGGGATGGTTGTCAGGATGTAGAAGGAGGAGAATTTTTAACCTCCCAAAATGTAATCTGGGATGGGGGGGATCTCCCTTCTTTCAGCCTGGATGTGGTGGGCTCTGGGACCCTCCAATAAATGGAGGCAGAGGCAGCCTGAGACTGGGTCCCATCTTCTCTCTACCCTCCCTCCCCTAGTCGCACAGCAGTGGGCAGTCTGACATCTAGGTTTCTTCCTGGATGAGAACCAGAAGTGCAGAGAGACCTTGGGGGTGGGCTGGGGGCTTCACTAGCACTATACTTGCCAACAGGGTTGGAGCAGGCTCTTGAAGGGAGAGGGGATGTCTATTTAGATCACAGAAGTTCAAGTTTGCTGGGTGCCTAACTGACTACCACAGCTCTGCTGAGCCTGATCCCTAAATTTCAGGGGCAGGTGGCCCCTTGTTCCTTCCCCAAAGCCTGTTGAGGGCCAGCAACCTGGAGGAGAGTGGGATAAATGGCTTGAGTGCCCACAAATGCCCATCAGAGACCTTCAGGAGAACAAACAGGCTGGAGAAGAGAAGCCTAGCCACTGCAGGCTAGCTCCATTACAGGAGAGAGGAAAATTTGGAAGCAAAGAAAATGGGCTTGGACCCCACAAGGCTCTCCCTGGAACAGTGCTGATGCAGCTCCATTTGTCAGCCCATGTCCGCTTAGAGACTCCTGTCTGGGGCTGGATTCAGAGTGTGGAAGTTGGAGCAGACCCTGGTCCCCATGGAGCAGGTGACTGACCACTCTGCTGGGCTGGCTCCCGGACCCTGCATGCTCTAGAGTGTTGCACATGTTTTACGAGCAGACTGCATGCACTTCCGGACTGTGGTGATCGTGACCATCCCTGATATTAACAACAGCAAATAACCACACACCCCAGAGGCGTCTCACTCCTCCTCCTTTCTTAGGGAAATGCAGCATCTCAGAGACAGATTCTGCGGCTTACAGGCAGCACAGAAATAATGATAAGGGCTGAGGTTAAACACGCAAAGCAGCTGAGACGCGATGTTATCTGGCCATTTGTACTTAACAGAGTCACATTTTATTCTCATTTTAAAATTCAACATACTAGTGCTCATTGAGTTAGTTTTTAGAAATCATGGCAGAGTTTAGAAAGGAAAACAAAAATGCACCACCTACTGATAACATCTGGGCAAAATTTTCTAGCCACTGTTATACACATCTCTATGCCTTTCAAAAATAGCATCAATAGTATAAGTATGGCTTTCTCGTCTCCAGTTTTCACTAACAGCAACATTTTCTCATGTCATGAGTGTTCTTCTTGAACATGATTCTAGCTCACACTTACTGAGACGCATACATGGTGCCAGATTCTATCCTGCACACAAATTACATGTACAGACTGGACACAAATATGGGATGACATAGATGTTATTATATTACATTCATTTTCTAGATGAGATGCCCAAGGCACAGAGACATTAAGTAGCTCGGCTGAGGCTGAGCAAGATAAGCAGTACAAGGTCACCCAGCCAAGCTGACCCTCACTCACCATGACCCACTGCCCTCACCCACCAAGCAGCTGGGTGAGAATTTACTTTAAAACCTCTTATGGTAGACATTATGGCCTTTTCTGTATGCATCTTTATTTCCTTAGGATAATTTTCTGGAAGAACAGAGCAAAGTAGGGGACTTGCATTTTTAATATTTTTGCATTTTGAAACAATTTTAGGGTTATAAGGAGTAGCAAAGCTAGTAGAGAAAGACCTTAGCTCCCTGCAATGATAACACGTTATTTAATCACACAAGACCAGGAAACTGACATAGGTACAATACTATATTAACTAAACAACACACCTCATTCAGATTTCACCAGTTTTTACATACACTCTTCTTTTTTTTAATTTTTATTTATTTTTTTGAAGTGGAATTTCGCTGTGTCACCCAGGCTGGAGTGCAGTGGCATGATCTTGGCTCACTGCAACCTCCATCTCCTGAGTTCAAGCAATTCTCTTGCCTCAGCCTCCCGAGTAACCAAGACTACAGGCGCCCACCACCATACCTGGCTAATTTTTGTATTTTTAGTAGAGACGGGGTTTCATCATGTTGGCCAGGCTGGTCTCAAACTCCTGACTTTGTGATCTGCCCGCCTCGGCCTCCCAAAGTGCTGGGATTACAGGCGTGAGCCACCGGGCCCAGCCCCTCCCTTCTGTTTATGGTTTGTGTGTGTGTTTGTGTGCGTGTAGTTCTATGACATTTGATCCCATGCCTAGACTCACGTGAGCACCAATGGGGAGATTTTTAAGGCTTAAAATGTGTACTGTCAAAATTTCTGCAAGACAGGTTGCCTAGCATCATGCATCTCACAGTTGTACCAATTGAGTGCCGGTGAACAGACATGGAAGGCAGTGTCTGGAACTCAGAAAGGATGGTCCACTTATAACGGGAGACCTGGCTTTGCTAGTCCAAAGATCTATGTCCATGGTTAAAACCTCATGCTGGGGACGTCTTATCAGTCATCTCACTGTCAACTCAGGTACGCTCCTGGTGTGTCCTTGTCTGTGGTCACCTGAATTTTTTGGCAGGCAGTGCAAGATAGCAGAGAGAACACTGAATCATGGATCAAGGAGGTTGAGTATGAGTCCTGAATGTGCCATTAGGTACGAACCCGCTAACTCACCTGAAATTCATTCTCCTTACCTGTAAAATATAGGGGGTAAAATGGATGCTGTTGCAGTGGGGAGAGTGATCTACCTGCTCGATTTATCCCTCTCATGGCCACTGCAATTCATTCAGACATCTCTCTAGCTGGCCGGGTGCAATGACTCACACCTGTAATCCCAGCACTCTGGGAGGCCGAGGCAGGCGGATCACGAGGTCAGGAGATTGAGACCATCCTGTCTAACATGGTGAAATCCCGTCTCTACTAAAAATACAAAAAAAAAAAATTTAGCTGGGCGTCGTGGCATGTGCCTGTAGTCCCAGCTACTCGGGAGACTGAGGCAGGAGAATTGCTTGAACCCAGAAGGCAGAGGTTGCAGTGAGCTGAGATCGCACCACAGCACTCCAGCCTGGCAATACAGCAAGATTCCATCTCACAAAAAAAAAAAAAAAAGAAAAGAAAAGAAAAAAGAAAAGAAAAGAAAAGATAAAGACATCTCTCTAGCTAACAATAATAGCTTTCAGTGTTGATCATTTCTCACACCAGGTACCATGAAAAGGACTTGACAAACATTGCTCCTCTTCCAGGCAAGTTTGTAGGGAAGCTGTTAATATCCCCACTCACAGATGAGGAACCTGGGCCTTAAGTTAATCAAGGGAATTGCCACCATCTCCCAGGTCATCAGTGACAGTCTTGATGAGCTGAGCGTCCACCTCTGATGGCCAAGCAGGTGTGTCTTCCCTCACTGTCTGCTTCTCTTCCAAATCTGTACAGACAGTTGAAGACAATGCTTTCCACAGACCAAGAGTTTAGAAGGGGTTGTCTGTGACCCCCTCAGCTAAGGGCTCCAACAAGCCCTCAAGATGAGCTCCAAGGCCCCTTCTGGCAGTAAAGCAAATGTGTTATTGTTGTGAGGTGAATGCTGCCTAAATATAAAAGCATGGAGATCAGTTTCGAATGGATTTTCTAGATGGATCCAGTTTTTATTCATTCTGAAAAGAAGGCAGGTAGCAAATTTCACTCCTGTCACTTGACACAGGAGGTAGCTGTCTCCCAAAACGAGCAGAGAGCTCTTCTTAGTCACTTCTGATTTTCATCTGCACCTAAACCTTAGACTATAGACTGGCCTCACAGAGGGACCATGACAGGTCGAGCCAGCCATTGGATGTGATTTCACAGAAAAGGCAAAGCTAACCATTCCTGGACTGAAGTTAACCAAAGCTTTTTCAGAAGTCAGTCAAACGTGTGTGTCAGCTAGGGTGCATTTGAGGAGGGTGTATATGCATCAGTTATTGGATTGGATACAAGAAGCCAGGAGACAATTTAGCCCTTGGTGTGTTTAGAGAGAAGACGTTTTCAGGAGACATAAAACTGCACCGGTGAACAGTGGTAGGCAAGGATCCAGAGTGATTGCTTGCTCTCCTGAAGGCTTTAGCAGTGAAATATTACAGCTTTACTTTGCAACACACTCATGAATACGTTGACCTGGGGATTCGACTCTTGGAATTTTTCTTAAAACAAAGAAGTTAGGCTTTGCTATGTATCAGAGACAAGTTGACGAACTCAGAAAGGTCAGGCAAAATGATCAATGGTTGAGCTGGTATTTATGTTCTGAAACAAAAGGTTGGTGCGTAGAGTTCATCTGCTGTAGTTTGCAGCCAAGTTCACTAAAGCAAAGGGAAGGGCATGGTTTGGTGTAAAGGTGACAAACTGAGTGGAGAGTTTCTTGAGGATTATTCTCTCTGGGAGAATAATCCAGGAACCGAGATCCCAGACCAGTTAGAAGAAGCAGAAAGTCAATAGTAGCAGTCATATCATGTAACACAGGCTCTGACAATACCTTTTCCTTAAAGAATATATAACTATCTCTAAGATGTTTCTCAAGTCATTCCACCTGTAGGCAATCAACCATAAATAAGTAATTTAAGATATAATAAAAATCATGTATTCACAAAGATGCTACTTGGAGTATTATTGATAATGGTAAAAATTGCAAACAAATGCTTAATAAAATGGAAATGATTAAATAAAATGTAAGAGGATCCTTGGATGGAATAATATGAAGTCATAGAGAGATGCCCACTAGGAGAGTAATAACAAAGAAAAATATTGATGCTACCGTGTTAAATAACTCTATCAGCATACACTACTACATATATATAAATGTAGAGAGAGAAAGAGGCAGGGAGAGAATGATCTAACCACAGGAGTATGTCAAAAATTTTTAGTAGAAAATTATTCGAAAATGTTGAATAATAATATGCTTGATTATTTTTCTCTTTATTCAGCTTCTACACACTTTTAATGAGGCATATGAATTACTTTTACAATGTAAATGTGCATGACGCATTTTATTTTTAAACAATAAGAAAAATAACATATAAAGAGTTTTTTATAAAAAAAAAAACAAAAAAAGATTTGCTGAGGCATTTCACAGATGCCCCAGCAACATCAGGAAGGGACTGTGGTTGGGGACAACTGCATGGCAAGAATTCAGAACCCAGAAAGCCAGCCCTTTAGCAACTAATTTAGGTAGGGGCTGGAGGAGAAAATAAGGAAGGAAAAGAACCCCTAGGATTCTTTAGGTGATTGCAATACAAAGAAATCCAAAATAACTAAAACGAGCCTCAGAACAGGAGGTGTGATAGCCCAAATCCCAGGCCTCGCAGACGGGAAGGAGCTAGAGACGATCAGGCTCGAAATGTCCCCCCAAGAAATAGCAGGTGTTCCATGTTTCAAAGTCAAGGACAAAGAGATGCAAGGAAAGGAGGGAGCTCAGTGGAGCCCAAGATGAAGAAAGGAGTAGAAAAACGTTATCAGATGTGTATGTGACCACGCCCCACCCTCCCGCATGCACATACACACACCTGCCCCGGAGGCCCTTAGAAAAGAGAGGCCACGTGCTAGCTTCGGCAGCACATACTAAAATTGGAGAAGGGAGGCCACAGGAACTGCCTAAGGGATTACATAGAAATTACACTGCTCAAATGGGGAACCTAGGGGAGGAGTTGAAGGTAAGACTGATAAGGTTATTTAAGTGAACCTTGCTCATATCTCTGGAAAAAGCTGCAGAAGAAAAGCAAACAACACTTTAGTCCAGGGAAAAGGCCCGGGAGCTCAGCCAATAACAGGCAATGATGGTGGGGTGGAGGCTGGGGGCTGAGGGAACAGGCATACTTTTGTGAGTCTGATCCATGCTGATTCTAGGTCAGTTCATTCTGCCAAAACAGGCCCAGGATCCAAGTTCTAAGCATCCTTGCGTCAGGGCTGTGCCTTGCAAAGGTCACAGCTATTTGAAGGTCAAGAAGGGCAGTACACTGGTTTCCAGGAGGACCGGGTAATTATAGGTGAGGGTGACCACCATGTGCTGAGGTGTTTTACTGTCTTATCTCATTTAATCTGCACAATAAACTCATGAAGTGGATTTTATTTAAGCGTGAATTTCTTTTTAAACAGACTTTGTTTTAGAGCAGTTTTACGTTCACAGAAAAATGGAGAGGAAAGTACGGAGTTCCCATCTATCCCTGCTGCTTGTAGATTTTACTTTTACACCCCTTTCACAATTAGGGAACTGAGGCTTGAGGACTTAAATAACTTTCCCTCAAATGTGCAGATAGTAACTCACAGGGGCAAAAATCAAAACCACGGCCGGGCACGGTGACTCACACCTGTAATCCCAGCACTTTGGGAGCCTGAGGCGGGCGGATCACCTGAGGTCAGGAGTTCAAGGCCAGCCTGGCCAACATGGTGAAACCCTGTCTCTACTAAAAATACAAAAATTAGCCAAGCGTGGTACCGAGAGCCTATAATCCCAGCTACCTTGGTGGCTCAGGCAGGAGAATCGCTTGAACCCAGGAGGTTGCGGTTGCAGTGAGCTGAGATGGCGCTACTGCACTCCAGCTTGGGTGACAGAGTGAGACTCTATCTCGAAAAAAAAGAAAAAAAATCGAAACCAGGCTCCTGACAATCTTTATAGCAGGGATCAGCAAATGACAGCCCATGGGCCACATTGAGCCTGTTGTTATATACTTGTCAGCTGAGAATCGTTTTACATTTTGAGGGGAAAGAGAATATTTTGTGACACACAAAAAGTATATGAAATTCCAATTTGTGTCTATAAATAAATAAAGTTTATTTATAAATAAATAAAGTTTTATTGGAACATGGCCACACCCATTATTTTACATTTGTCTGTGGCTGCTTTCGTGTTGGGAGGGCAGAATTAAGTAGTTGCGACATGGGTCGTACGACCCACAAAGCCTACAACATTTATAACTCGGCTCTTGACAAGAGAAGTTTGCCAGTCCTGCCTGACAGAACCAGAGTTATCACATTGACCAAATGTTTCTTTCTAATATTGTTAGGTTTCTGCAGGCCGGGACGGCATAGACCAGTGGGTTTCCAAAGGATGCTATTTGCAGGATTCTTAGTTCTCCCTTACACCAGAATAACTCATTTTAAAGGTTTTATCAATTAGGCATTTGTGGAATATTTCATTTGAAGAAAGGGTTCCACTGATAACCAAACACACACACACATACACAGAAGTTTAAATATCAAGGCTTTTCTTACAAAAAAATTTTTTTTAAATTATCATGATGAAGATTACGTCTAAACCCAGGCAAATCGGAGAATAGATACCTGATCGCTTGGCTGGTCAGGGGAAGACCCAGCCCAGGCCCCCAGCGTTGGCTCTTTCTACACTATTGTGACCCCAGGGATTGCACTGAGGGACGGCTTTGAGCCTGATATGACTTATTGACATTGGTTTGATTTCTTTTCCCATCAGTAAATGTTCCTAAATATGTCCCTAAAAGATGAAGACTTAGGCCTGGCGCAGTGGCTCATGCCAGCACTTTGGGAGGCCGAGGCGAATGGATCACCTGAGGTCAGGAGTTCGAGACCAACCTGACCAACATGGTGAAATCCCGTCTCTACTAAAAATACAAAAAATTGGCCAGATGTGGTGGCAGGTGCCTGTAATCCCAGCTACTCTGGAGGCTGACGCAGGAGAATTGCTTGAACCCAAGAGGCAGAGGTTGCAGTGAGCCAAGATCATGCCATTACACTCCAGCCTGGGTGACAAGAGCAAAACTCCGTCTCAAAAAAAAAAAAAAAAGATAAAGACTTAAAAAGAAATAATAACCATAACAGCATTTGCACACCTAGAAAACAGTTAACAATGAGTCCTTGATGTCATCAAATGCGCAATCAGCGGCCAAATTTCCAATTTTGACACAGGGTTTAAGTTCAGGTTGGTCAGTTTTGGAATCCTAAGTATGCTCCTTATTAGCCAAGAAACTTTGAAATAAGCACTTAACCTTTCTGAGAGTCAGTTTCCACCTGTGAAACGGGGGGAATCTAATATCATCAGGGTTGCTCTGAAGGTCAGGTGGTATTAGTGAAGTCCTAATAAAATGTAGCAGGTGCTAAGCACTTAACAACTCACTGTTACAATGATGCTGATGGTGATGGCTGTTGCTTTTGTAATCGGAATTATTACAGACAAATACAGTCACCACTTGTCCAGTCTGCTTGGGACTGTCCCAGTTTTAGCACTGAAAGTCCCAAGTTCTGGGACATCCCCTTGGTCCCAGGCAAACTGGGATGGTTGATCCCCCTAGTAAAGCCAGGCCACGCTAGCAAGCTGGAAACCGAAGCTCATGGAATCAATGCGTAACGGATTTCTCAAACGAATTTATTATTTGGTGGATGCAATTGGCAGGCCTGCTGGATAGAATCCCAGATTCTCTATAAATAGACAGGAAGTGTTCAGGAGCCTCAGACCTGGTGCTCATCACCATTGAATTATGCGCTTTCACTGCTCCCCCTGCTCAGAAGTAGAGCCTTCCCCAAGCACCAGAACAAGGACTGATTCTTACCTGGGAAAGAAATGTAGTCCCTCCATATAATGGAAGTCATTGCAAAATGCTAGAGCAAGAGCAACCATAGAGTTTATTTCATCAAATCCTCTCATTCTGGCAATTAAAGAGCCAAGTGCCAAAAAGGTGAGATGACCTCTCCGCAGTCTCTTTGGGAATTGGAGACAGCTGAGTTGCGGAGAGGTCAGTTTGACCTTCTTGCTCTCTGCAGATTGCCTTAAAAGCGTAGGCATGAAAATCACAATAGGGAATTTCACCAGAAGTCCTCTTTTGTTTGGATGGCCTCCTTTGCAAGGATAACACAGTCCTGAGAAATATTTGTTCAAAGTGCCATGCACAAGAGCCAGAACACAAGGGAGGAGGGACCCAGAATCCCTGGATTGGTGGAGTCCTTCTCCTGAAAGGGAATATTTGTGGACAAATCTGGCTAAAGAGGTGAGAACAATGTCTTCTAAAATGGCAACAACATAGCAGTCATAATTCAACTCAGATTCAAAATAAAATAATGAGATCATGCTGGTAACGGGCTAATTCAGTTAATGTAGGAGGCCAGGCCAGAGAATTGAGGAGAAAAATTAACCCCTCTGGGACCTGTATTTTAAAATTAATTTACCATACATTTATTAAGCACCTGCTTTGCATCAGGCACTGGGCTACGTGCAGTGAGCATTATGACCATTATGTTACAGACTCAAGGAATATAAAATAGTGGCAAAGACAGACCAAACAACAACAAAAAAAGCAATTGCAAGTTGTAAATTAGCTCCATGAAGGAGGAAAGAAGAGAGGAAGGGAGGAAGGGAGGGAGGGAGCGGGGAACAGCCAGGGAGGGTATCTCTGAAGAGATTTTTAAGCTAACTTCTAAGAAATTAGGGAGATTTAATTATCTAAAGAGGGGAGTTGTCTTAGTCTGTTCAGACTGCTAGAACAAATTACCTTAAACCATGTAATTTATAAACAATAGAGATTTATTTCTTATAGTTCTGGAGGCTGGGATGCCTCTGCTGGGAATCAGGTTGCAGCAGATTTGGTGTCTGGTGAGGGCCTGTTCCCCAAAGATGGATCTTTCTCTGGCCTCACATGGTGGAAGGGGCATGGCGGCATCCTTCAACCTCCTTTTTTTTTTTTTTTTTTTGAAACGGAGTTTCACTCTGTCACCCAGGCTGGAGTGCAGTGGCATGATCTTGGCTCACCACAACCTCCACCTCCCAGATTCAGGTGGTTCTCTTGCCTCAGCCTCCCAAGTAGCTGGGATAACAGGCATGCACCACCACATCCGGCTACTTTTGTATTTTTAGTAGAGATGGGGTTTCTTCATGTTGGTCAGGCTGGTCTCGAACTCCCGACCTCAGGTGATCTGCCTGCCTCAGCTTTCCAAAGTGCTGGGATTACAGGCGTGAGCCACCGCACCCGGCCTCAACTTCTTTTATAAAGGCACTAATCCATCCATGTAGACAGAGCCCTCATAACCTTACCACTTCCCAAAGGCCCTGTCTCTCAATACTATTGCACTGGGGGTTAGGCTTCAGCATATGAATTTTGGGGGTACACAAACTTAAATCACAGCAGGGGTTAAGTGCATTCTGAGTAGATTTTTAAAATATATTTTTAAATGTTCTTACCCAATGCAATGCATTATGTACTTAATGATAAATGGCTGACAGAGTGGATTCTTTTGGACAAAATTTTATGAAATTGACTAACCAAGTAACTTAATAGAGATATTCAGCTCACTAAGCTGAATTTTTTTTTTTTGTAAATTTTGGACACATTGTGTTAATTTCAAACAATCTAGGCATCATCTGGAATTCAAGGGAGAAACACTTGGCAGCATGAAACCATGTTCCCAGAGCTAAAATCCCTATCTTCAGAAAACAGTGCAAGATACCCTACTGAATAAAATCAGAATATTTTTTAAGTGAAAATGAGATGAAAAGAATTGAGAAGGAGCCAAGTGATAGTTAAGTTAATCTTCAGGGGAGGGAAAACATGTCAGAAAATGTAAACCAGATCAGTCCAACCCATGTTACAATTCTGCAGAGGGAATTAAATTCCTGTGGAAAAACAAGTCTCTGACTATGAAAGGATTTGACTGTATAGAAGAATCTGGAACATCAGTCTATTAAAAATACTTGTAAAACCAGGGGCATCATGTAAGAAATTAGAGAGCTAAAGAAGTGGGAGAGCTTCGGATGTCTGAAATAGAATTATTATTGCAGACACTGTATTGTATTAGTAAGACAGCAACGAAGAGAAAATTGCTTTATTCCAAAAAGCAAAATTTATTATCAGGTAGGATCATTTAATTCTAAGTGGCTCTCTTAACTCTTTATGTATAACTCTGCTTGGCTTAACCATGAGTAGTTAATTTAAAAAAAAAAAAAAGTAATTCCAGTGTATCTAACATGTGGTACACTTGTTTTATGATCCAAAGAAAATGAATCAATAGCAAAATTAATCCCGACATGAGGGTGAACCTTCTCTGAGGTTTATTAAGGACAAATAAAAAGACTGTTATGTGTTAGGAGTCACTCAGTTTAGTAAAATTCTGTCCAAAACTGGGTGGGTAAAGTAAGAAGTATTGGGAAAAGATGTCCTTAACCGAAATTATAAGCACATTTAGAAGGAAACAAAATAAAAAGAGTTTTCACTCATTCCAGAATTTTACAGGCAATGGCTATTTTCTAATATAATTATTTTAGCAAATAAATGTTTGATTTGGATGTGCTATGACAGTATCTTCCATATTTCATTTTATTCATTACATATTTCTGATGCACACACAAATGGGAGTTAGTTCAAGCATGTCCAAAAAAAACCACTTTTATTTTTTTAACCAACAAAGGCTTCCAGGAAGATGCCTTTGTTCCGGCTGCAGCTAATGAGGATGGGTTGACAGTGGTAAGACCGGCTAAGCAGTTTGCAAATAGCCACCCATTACTTCCAGCGGGGAAGAGGTGCCTCAGGAAATGTTTGCGCAGAGTGTTTTGGGCTGTTTTGGCAAAAACCCTAATGCCAGTTTACCAAGTGCCTAATTTCACAAAGCTCAGCAAACAGGAGTCAGTTACTGAATCAGGCTGGATTCAACTGGGTGAGCTGGTGAGGGGGAAGCAAGTTTGCAGTGAAGCACACACAAAGCCATTGAGATCATCGGCAAGGAGAAGTTACGTATGACTTTGCCATTGATAATATGGGACTGGCTTCCAGTATCAAAAGATATCAAATCCATATTCATTTCTGTTCTCCATTGACATGCCAGTAATTTCAAGATGCCTTTTCTTCTTAAACTATTCTCCTTTGACTCACTTGCTGAATCTTGAACCAGGCCAGGCTCATTCTTGCCTCTGAGCTCTCACACTGGCTATTTGCTCACCAGGCAGGACTTGACTTTATTCTTTTCATTCGCAGCTTGCTTGAAATATCACCACCTCGGGGAGGCCTTCCCTGACCACCTGCTTTAATGCCCTTGCCCGGCACTTGCCCATTATACTCTATCACAGCACTGTGATTTATTTTCCTCATAGCACTTACCACTAGCTGATGTTCTCGTTTATTGATTGATTTATTTTTTGTTTGTTTGGTTGTTTACTCTGTCTCCTGTCTACAGAATGGGAGTTCCATTAGAACAGGAACCTAAAACAGTACCTGGCACAGAGTCAACAGTTAAAATTATTGAAAGGTAGATGGAAAATTATTGAAAAGATGGATGGATGGATGGATGGATGGACAGATGGACACAAACAATTTCCAACTGGAGTGACCTCACTCTTGGACTTTTTTCTTGGGTAAAGTTCCAATGTTGAATTCTTAGACTCAATTCCACCCACCACAGATTATTTACCACATATTGACTGATGTTCCAAGACACCTACTGAAAGCCACTTAAAAATTAACACATTTCATGTTGGAAATTTGATTCTCTATCCCATTTCCATGTTTTCTACTCCTTTTTTCTCTTTTCTCATTAACAGTAAACTGAAAAGTATATTTAAATACACCCCCACACCCCCCCCAAAAAAAACCTGCCTAAACCAAACCAAACATATCAAAGGGAACTCAAATTTTGTTTTACAGGGTTATTTTAATGGGTGTCTATGTGAGGGGGTCCTTGTGTTTTCAGAATCAAGGCCCATGAAATAAGAAAGATAGCCAGATGGTGACTTTGGTAACATTTGTGGGTTGAGATATGTTCAAGCAATGAGAGAGTCAAACAGGTAAATGAGAGGTAAACTCTTTTCAAACAGATGGACTCTTTTTCTAAATTTAGACAGTCCAAAGTAGTCATTAACGATTTAGTGTAAAATGCTTATGTGGGTGTGCACTTTGATTTTTTTTTAATTTTCTTTTATTATACTTTAAGTTCTGGGGCACATGCGCAGAATGTGCAGGTTTGTTCCACAGGTATACACGTGCCATGGTGGTTTGCTGCACCCATCAACCCGTCATCTACATTAGGTATTTCTCCTAATGCTATCCCTCCGCTAACCCCTCACCCCCTGACAGGCCCTGGTATATGATGTTCCCCTCCTTGTGTCCATGTGTTCTCATTGTTCAACTCCCACTTTTGAGTCAGAACATGCGGTGTCTGGTTTTCTGTTCTTGTGTTAGTTTGCTGAGAATGATGGTTTTCAGCTTCATCCATGTCCCTGCAGAAAACATGAACTCATCCTTTTTTATGGCTGCATAGTATTCCATGGTGTGTATGTGCCACATTTTCTTTATCCAGTCTATCACTGATGGGCATTTGGGTTGGTTCCAAGTCTTTGCTATTGTGAATAGAGCTGCAGTAAACATATGTGTGCATGTGTCTTTATAGTAGAATTATTTATAATCCTTTGGGTATATACCCAGTAATGAGACTGCTGGGTCAAATGGTATTTCTAGTTCTAGGTCCTTGAGGAATTGCCACACTGTCTTCCACAATGGTTGAACTACTGTACACTCCCACCAACAGTGTAAAAGTGTTCCTATTTCTCCACATCCTCTCCAGCATCTGTTGTTTCCTGACTTTTTAATGATCGCCATTCTAACTGGTGTGAGATGGTATCTCATTGTGGTTTCAATTTGCATTTCTCTAATGACCAGTGATGATGAGCTTTTTTTCATGATTGTTGGCTGCATAAATGTCTTCTTTTGATAAGTGTCTGTTTATATCCTTTGCCCACTTTTTGATGGGGTTACTTTTTCTTGTAAATTTAAGTTATCTGTAGATTCCAGGTATTAGCCCTTTGTCAGATGGATAGATTGCAAAAATTTTCTCCCATTCTGTAGGTTTCCTGTTCACTCCAACGATAGTTTCTTTTGTTGTGAAGAAGCTCTTTAGTTTAATTAGATCCCATTTGTCAATTTTGGCTTTTGTTGCCATGGCTTTTTGTGTTTTAATCATGAAGTCTTCGCCCGTGCCTATATCCTGAATGGTATTGCCTGGGTTTTCTTCTAGGGTTCTTAGGGTTTTAGGTCTTACATTTAAGTCTTTAATTCAACTTGAATTAATTTTTGTATAGAGTGTAAGGAAGGGGTCCAGTTTCAGTTTTCTGCTCATGGCTAGCCAGTTTTCCCAACACCGTTTATCAAATAGGGAAACCTTTCCCCATTGATTGTTTTTGCCAGGTTTGTAAAAGATCAGATGGTTGTAGAGGTGTGGTATTATTTCTGAGGCCTCTGTTCCATTCCATTAATCTATATGTCTGTTTTGGTACCAGTACCAGGCTGTTTTGTTACTGTAGCCATGTAGTATACTTTGAAGTCAGGTAGCATGATGCCTCCAGCTTTGATCTTTTTGCTTAGGATTGTCTTGGCTATGCGGGCTCTTTTTTGGTTCCATATGAAATTTAAGGTAGTTTTTTCTAATTCTGTGAAGAAAGTCAATGGTAGCTTGATGGGGATAGCACTGAATCTATAAATTACTTTTGGCACTATGGCCATTTTCACGATATTGATTCTTCCTACTCATGAGCCTGGAATATTTTTCCATTTGTTTGTGTCCTCTCTTATTTCCTTGAGCAGTGGTTTGTAGTTCTCCTTGAAGAAGTCCTTCATAATCTCTTGTAAGTTGTATTCCTAGGTATTTTATTCTCTTTGTAATAATTGTGAATGGGAGTTCACTAATGATTTGGCTCTCTGTTTGTCTATTATTGATGTACAGAACTGCTTGTGATTTTTGCACATTGATTTTGTATGCTGAGACTTTGCTGAAGTTGCTTATCTGCTTAAGGAGATTTTGGGCTGAGATGATGGGGTTTTCTAAATATGCAATCATGTCATCTGCAAACAGAGACAATTTGACTCCCTCTGTTCCTATTTGAATACCCTTTATTTCTTTCTCTTGTCTGATTGTCCTGGCCAGAACTTCCGATACTGTGTTGAATAGGAGCAATGAGAGAGGTCATCCTTGTCTTGTGCCGGTTTTCAAAAGACATGCTTCCAGTTTTTGCCCCTTCAGTATGATACTGGCTGTGGATTTGTCATAAATAGCTCTTATTATTTTGAGATACGTTCCATCAATACCTAGTTTATTGAGAGTTTTAGCATGAAGGGTTGTTGAATTTTGTTGAAGGCCTTTTCTGCATCTACTGAGATAAACACGTGGTTTTTTTCATTGGTTTTGTTTATGTAACGGATTATGTTTATTGATTTGCATATGTTGAACTAACCTTGCATCCCAGGGATAAAGCTGACTTGATCGTGGTTGGCAACCTTTTTGATGTGCTGCTGGATTCGGTTTGCCAGTATTTTATTGAGGATTTTCGCAGCAATGTTCATCAGGGATATTGGCCTCAAATTTTCTTTTTTTGTTGTGTCTCTGCCAGGTTTTGGTATCAGGATGATGCTGGCCTCATAAAATGAGTTAGGGAGGATTCCCTGTTTTTCTGTTGTTTGAAATAGTTTTAGAGGGAATGGTACCAGCTCCTCTTTGTACCTCTGGTAGAATTCGGCTTTGAATCCCTCTGGTCCTAGACTTTTTTTCGTTGGTAGGCTATTAATTACTGCATCATTTTCAGAACTTGTTATTGGTCTATTCAGGGATTCTACTTCTTCCAGGTTTAGACTTGGGAGGGTGTATGTGTCCAGGAATCTATCCATTTCTTGTGGATTTTCTAGTTTATTTGCATAGAGGTGTTTATAGTATTCCCTGACAATAGTTTGTATTTCTGTGGGATCAGTGGCGATATCCCCTTTTTCATTTTTTATTGCAATTATTTGAATCTTCTCTCTTTTTTAAATTAATCTGGCTAGTGGTCTAATTTGTTTTAAAAAACAAAAATAAAAAAATAAAAAAGAAAAAAACAGCTTCTGGATTCACGGATTTTTTTTAAGGGTTTTTTGTGTCTCTATCACCTTCACTTCTGCTCCCATCTTAGTTATTTCTTGTTTTCTGCTAGCTTTTTAATTTGTTTGCTCTTGCTTCTCTAGTTCTTTTGATTGTGATGTTAGGGTGTCGATTTTAGATCCTTTCTTGCTTTCTCTTGTGGACTAGCTGGTTATAAATTTCCCTCTGCATACTGCTTTACATGTGTCCCAGAGACTCTGGTACTTTGTGTCTTCGTTCTCATTGGTTTCAAAAAACTTCTTTATTTCTGCCTTCATTTTGTTATTTACCCAGCAGTCATTCAGGAGCAGGTTATTCAGTTTCCATGTAGTTGTGTGGTTTTGAGTGAGTTTTTAAATCTTGAGTTCTAATTTGATTGCACTGTAGTCTGAGAGACTGTTAAGATTTCCATTATTTTGCATTTGCTGAGGAGTGTTTTACTTCCAATTATGTGGTCAATTTTAGAATAAGTGCAATGTGGTGCTGAAAAGAATGTATATTTTGTTGATTTGGGGTGGAGAGTTCTGTAGATGTCTATTAGATCTGCTTGGTCCAGAGCTGAGTTCAACTCCTGAATATCCTTGTTAATTTTCTGTCTCATTGATCTGTCTCATATTGACAGTGGGGTGTTAAAGTCTCCCACTATTAGTGTGTGGGAGTCTAAGTCTCCTTGTAGGTCTCTAAGAACTTGCTTTATGAGTCTGGGTGCTCCGGTATTGGGTGCATATATATTTAGGATAGTTATCTCTTCTTGTTGCATTGATCCCTTTAGTATTATGTAATGTCCTTCTTTGTCTCTTTTGATCTTTGTTGCTTTAAAGTCTTTTTTTATCAGAGACTAGGATTGCAACCCCTGCTTTTTTTTTTCTTTTTTTTTTGCTTCCCATTTGCTTGGTAAATGTTCCTCCATGCCTTTATTTTGAGCGTATGTGTGTCTTTGCACATGAGATGGGTCTCCTGAATACCACACACCTATGGGTCTTGACTCTTTATCCAATTTGCCAGCCTGTGTCTTTTAATTGGGGCATTTAGCCTGTTTACATTTAAGGTTAATACTGTTATGTGTGAATTTGATCCTGCCATTATGATGCTAGGTGGTTATATTTGTTAGTTGCTGCAGTTTCTTCATAGTGTTAATGGTCTTTACAATTTGGTATGTTTTTGCATTGACTGGTACCAGTTGTTCCTTTCCATGTTTAGTGCTTCCTTCAGGAGCTCTTGTAAGGCAGGCCTGGTGGTGACAAAATCTCTCAGCATTTGCTTGTCTGTAAAAATTTTATTTCTCCTCTGCTTATGAAGCTTAGTTTGGCTGGATATGAAATTCTGGGTTGAAAATTCTTTTCTTTAAGAGTGTTGAATATTGGCCCCCACTCTCTTCTGGCTTGTAGTGTTTTTGCAGAGAGATTTGCTGTTAGTCTGATGGGCTTCCCTTTGTGGGTAACCCAACCTTTCTCTCTGGCTGCCCTTAATATTTTCTCCTTTATTTCAACCTTGGTGAATCTGATAAGCATGTGTCTTGGGGTTGCTCTTCTCGAGGAGTATCTCTGTGGCGTTGTCCGTATTTCCTGAATTTGAATGTTGGCCTGCCTTGCCAGGTTGGGGAAGTTCTGCTGGATGATATCCTGAAGAGTGTTTTCCAACTTGGTTCCATTCTCCCCGTCACTTTCAGGTACACCAATCAAATGTAGATTTGGTCTTTTCACATAGTCCCATATTTCTTGGAGGCTTTGTTCATTCCTTTTCATTGTTTTTTCTCTAATCTTGTCTTCTCACTTTATTTCAGTAAGTTAATCTTCAGTATCTGATATCCTTTCTTCTGTCTGATCAATTCAGCTATTGATACTTGTGTATGCTTCATGAAGTTCTCATGCTGTGTTTTTCAGCTCAATCATGTCATTTATGTTCTTCTTTAAACTGGTTATTCCAGTTAGCAATTTGTCTAACCCTTTTTCAAGATTCTTAGCTTCCTTGCGTTGGGTTAGAACATGCTCCTTTAGCTCGGTGAAGTTTGTTATTACCCACCTTGGGAAGTCTACTTCTGTCAGTTTGTCAAACTCATTCTCCATCCAGTTTTGTTCCCTTGCTGGGGAAGAGTTGTGATCCTTTGGAGGAGAAGAGGCATTCTGGTTTTTGGAATTTCCAGCCTTTTTGCGCTGATTTCTCCCCATCTTCGTGGATTTACCTACCTTTGGTCTTTGATGTTGGTGACATTTGGATGAGGTCTGTGAGTGGATGTCTTTTTGTTGATGTTGATGCAATTCCTTTCTGTTTGTTAGTTTTTCTTCTATCGGTAAGGCCCCTCCAGGTCTGCTGGAGTTTGCTGGAGGTCCACTCCAGACCCTGTTTGCCTGGGTATCACCAATGGAGGCTGCAGAACAGCAAAGATGGCTGCCTGTTTCTTCCTCTGGAAGCTTTGTACCAGAGGGGCACCTGCCAGATGCCAGCCGAAGCTCTCTTGTATGAGGTGTCCATTGGCCCCTACTGGGAGGTGTCTCCCAAACAGGAGACAAGGGGGTCAGGGACCCACTTGAGGAGGCAGTCTGACCCTTAGCAGAGCTCAAATGCTGTGCTGGGAGTTCTGCTGCTCTCTTTAGAGCCATCAGGCCAGGTCGTTTAAGTCTGCTGAAGCTGCGCCCACAGCCACCCCTTCCCGCAGGTGCTCTGTCCCAGGGAGATGGGGGTTTTTTATCAATAAGCCCCTAACTGGGGCTGCTGCCCTTTTTTTTTTTTTTTTTTTTTTTTTTTTTTTTTTTTTTTCCAGAGATGCTTGTTGGCAAATGGAGGCAAAAGGGTTTTTTATTCTGGTAGGAGAGGGGGAAGATGATGTTGGCTAGAGAGGTCCTGAAGGGGTAGTTGAAGTGTTGTAGGGCTTGGGAGTGGGATGAGGAGTTTAGTTAAAATGTCACCAGGCATACAGACAGAAGAAAGGGCAATCGGGCACATTTTGACAAAACAGAACATGTGTAACCAAGAAAACCATGTCTTCCAATTTTTTTTCATTCAAAAACATAAGACTGCTGGATCCAAACATGTTTAGTCCTGAATGTCAATCCAGTATCCCCAAGTTAATTTTCACATATAGTTTTTCTCCACTTACACCCCCCGCCATGGGACCCTAAACCCCCAATGCCATTCTGGGCTCTATCACCTTTGCATTGCCCAGCCCTTTGATGTTCTTTGCAAGCAAAGAGAAGGGAAGCCATGTGCCCACCTTGATAACCCATTTAAAATAATAATTTGGGTAAATACTTTGTGAAGCCTTCCTGGGCATGGCTACACACATCCTCTGCATCTATCCGTAAAACATTCGTGTTGTGCTGCCACTATCCATCTTAAATAATCATCTTTCTTCAAGGCTTCTAAAGTTGAGGGCTGTGCTTCTTCAGCCCATTCCCAGCGCCTTACCCCTGCCATGGCTGGGCATTGAATCATCCATTTGCTCAGTCAATAGATATTTTGAGAGCAGCTACAATGTGCCTGGACTATCCTAACTTCTGGGGATTTCAGCAATAAACAAAACAGAGAAGGCTTTGGCCCTCACAGAGCTTTCCAGGTATTGAGAGGGACAAAGAATAAATCTGTGATTCCCAGCTGTGAGACATGCTAGGAAAGAAACCATTAGCATCTAGGGGTTCGGACTAGGTAGGCAAAATGGTCCAGAAATGCCTCCCTGTGGAGGTGATGGTTAATCTGGCCATCTGTGGAAAGTCTGGAATTCACTTTTATCCATCCAACCCAGTGTGAGTGAGAACCCTATCATTCAGTGGGTTGGAATTTGAATTTTGGAGGTTTGTTCCCTACAAACCATCCCCCAGATAACTCCACCAACAGCCTCAAGTTGGATAACCAACTCATTCCAACTTGCCCGGGACTTTACCAGTTTCAGCGTGGACTGTCCCACGGCCCAGGAAACTCCTCACTTCTGAGCAAACCAGGATGGTCAGTGACACTACTTAAGAGTGACAGACATGTGTCAATCACTGCGCACAAACTAGGAGCCTAGGGCACCCATGCAAATGTTCCAGCTCGGCAGAATTTGGGAAGCAACAGAGAGAGAATTTGACAAAACCGAGAGTTACAAAATCAGGAGCTGCAAACACAATTAGTTTGACTGACTTTTCACTTTCCTTTAGGACAGTGACTATGGACAAATCCTTGGCCAGAGCTGCAAACTACAACAGTGGGAGTGGCTATGAGAACCTGATCTAGAGAGGTGTTTAGACCTCCCCAGCTTGTAGCCAGCACGGTGAGGACAACAAGATGTGACAGGATGAGACTGCGTCTCCCTGGAGTCCTCACTTCCCCTGGTGGTTACCCCACCATGAGATCAGAGCAAACAAGTCCAGGTCAAGATGGAGTGTGCTGGGGTCAAGTTCAGGAAGTAGAGTGGGGTCAAGTTCAAATCCTATATCCCCCAAGAAAAAGAGATCCTGCCTGCCTAGGTGACCAGATTTAGCAAATAAAAATACAGCCTACCCATTTAAATTTAAGTTTCAAATAAATGACTGATTTTTTTCAGCAGAAGTATATCCCATACTGTATGCATGGGATATATTTATACTTTAAAAATTTGTTTTATCTAAAATTCGAATTAAATTGAATGTCCTGTGTTTTAATCTGGCAACCTCATTCCCATTTCCAGAGACTCTTTCTGTCTTGCACCTGGCATTCCCAGGGAGACTTTAGGCTTCAGATGTGACAGTGAAAACAGTCTGGCAACAACAGCACTAAGTGAGTGTTATGTTTTGGCACAAGGTCACATAATAGCCCAGATTCCACTTTCTTTACTGTGTGGTCATAGACTCCTAAAAGAAATGAACTATGTACCCAAATAAGTAAAAAAGACGTATGCTCTACAGTGCCCCCGCTCTTAGATACAAAGGGAATCTGTAAATGAAGGACAGTGGGTACCTGCTTCCAAGAGCCAGGAAAGAAGCAGAAAGCTTTCATTGTGGCCTCTTTTCCAACCAGGGACAGCTTGGGTCCTGGGAAAAGCTGGCATTCAGTTATGAAGCCATCATCTTCTGCAGTTGTGGGGATGCTGGGCTCTGTCCCAGGATACTAGAGGCAAGGGTTGAGCTCTGTAGTTGTCTTCAAGAAGGAAGAGCCTCAGAAAGGGTCAGAGTCAAGATCCTTTGCTGATGACTGCAGGTCAAAGCCTGACAAAAAAAGAACCGCATGCCTGGGTGAGAGGAGAAATTGAATGGGAGCAAAATCCAGAAGGTCAAAAGGTGACACAGGCCAGGTCAGTAGAGAAGCAAGTCAGGAGGAAGATTCCCGTCTAAGACGAGTTGCTGGACTGTCACGATGCACCATGATGGGATGCTGAGCCACAGGACCTGGAGGGTGCATCTGGCTAGACCAGGGGTCCCTCACAGGGGGTGACTGTGCCCCCCATGGGACATTTGTCAGTGTCTAGAAATATTTTGGATTATCACAACAGGGTGCAGTGTCGCTGCTAGCCACTGGTGGATCAAGGGCAGAAATGACAGTAAGCACCCTGCAAATACACAGGACAGCTGCCTACAGCAAAGAGTGATCCAGCCCCAAACGCCAACAGTGCAGGAGCTGAGAAAACTATAGGATAGATCATAGTTTAAGAAGCACAGCACGCTTTCCCCTGAGTGTCCTCTGAGATGGAACTCACCTACTCAGAATTTCCACGTCTCCATACTCTGAAAGGCCAGGAGGTGTGTGAAAGTGAATCACCCTCTATGCCAGAAGAACCATGGGAAGTGAGAAAGAAGTTGGGGGAGAAATCCTCCAACCAACCATTTCCAGTGGTTATTTGCAAAGTGTGTGCTTATTAGCCAATTACAGCAGAGATTTACCGAGTGGAATTATATGTTCATTTAAGTTGTTCCAAAACCCTTCCCTCCCAAGCCACCAGCAAACGCCATGAGGCTTTAATGTGACCAATGACAAAGTCAACTAATAGAGCCTGCGTGTTAATGGTGCCCGGGATTTATACTTCAGTTGTTTCCGTGGCTCCCTGTCTTGGGGAGATATTTGTCTTGGTGCATGGACACCAACTGCGTGCCATAACATTACACATAGGATTATGAGGGTTTTTTAAAAATTATTATTTCATCTGTAATTATAGGCCAGACCAGTTTATTATTTGGAAATCTTTGAAAACATTTTAATTGAAATGGCCACTGGCCTTTAACTGACCCTGTCTCAAGGCACACTCTGGCAATCCAAGTATATGCAGCTATTGGGTTAATAAGGCGAGTCCTGATTCTAAACCAACTCATAAGCATTATTTAAAATTTTGGATTTGAGTTTTTTTTTTTTTTTCCGAGATTTATGGCACAGTTGAAATGAGGTCAAGTAGAAGCACTAAAGAATTTAATTAGAAATGTCCTCGCATGCTCCCTATGGCTGTAAACCTTGTATAGGTTGTCCCTGGAGGGCCTGGAGTCATCGGAGATGGCGTGCACTTTTCTTTAACTCCTAATAAGAACGAACTATGATCAGCTCCTGTTTCTTCAATGGGGAATGCTGAGGACCTGGAAATTTGGAAAGGAGCGGAGCCTGGAGAAGGCCTACTCAGAGGACAAGGAAAGGGACCAGGGCCTCCAGTCTAGCCTTGTAGCCTGGCCTCAACAAGAGTATTCCCTAATTTCTTCACAATATTTCCTGAGCCCCTTCTGTGTCTTAATACTGTGCATAGTGTGTGAGATGTACTTTATGTTTTGAAAGATCTCATGGATGAATGAGAGAAACAAGACTAAACACACAAAGCCAAACAGCACAGCCACTTAATACTGGAGAAGCAGGTGCAGGATTCTGTGGATCCAAAGGTGGGAATGCTTGACTTTCCCCAAGGAATCAACTGGAAAACTTCCCCCAGGATGTGGCTCTTGGAGGACGTACAGGAGCTCCCCTCAATGAGCCTGGAGGAGGGAGAGGGAGGGAAAGGAGACCCCAGGTAGAGGACACAGACTGTGTCCCGCTGTTGCCCAAACACCAACATTAACCAGGATGGTCATCAGAGCTCCATGATGTTCAAGTATTCCTCTGTATCAAGAGGACAAGTTGAGCGCACAAGCTATGGCGAGGAGAGACACCAGGAAGCAATTCTGTTTGGAAGTCAAATGCTTGCATTGTAAAATATTCTTCTAGCTGTGGAAGCCCACTCCAGAGGCCCACCAGCCAAGGTTCAGCTAGCATGGACTATGGGAGTGTCAGGGTTTCAGCCTCTGGCTGAGATTCCCGTGGGCTCCACAGGATATGACTGTGGAATAGGATTGCTGGTACGGTGGCAGAGAACAATTTTAGGAGAGAAATGGGAAGGACACCCTGGATTCTGGGCGGCTTGGCTTGCAGTGAGGGATGGGAGAGGATGCTTCTTGCTCTTCCTCTTGCTTCTGAATTCCACTATCAGTGAATAGTTAAGACAATAACAACCATCACAACCATTACTGCTACTAATGCTAGTGGTGTGCCTGTGGTGTGAGGCATTTTTCACCATTATTTTTAATACTTACTGGTCAGGTATTTTTTGAATTTAGCCCACCTCCCAACATTGAGGTGAAGAATTGTCAACCATTGCTAACTAAATTAATTTCTCCTTCTATTACCGTAGAGCGTGTGCATAGAGTTGCCCATATGAGAAGCACCTGGATGAAAATCAAGACCCATAGTGAGAATGGCTGCTTCTGCGGCTTTCAATCATATTTTTAAAATTTCTTCTGGTTTTTTTTAGAGACAGTGTGGAATGCAGTAGTGCGGTTGCCCCTCAAACTCCTGGGCTCAAGCGATCTCCCCACCTCAGCCTCCCTCCAGTGTAGCTGGGACTACAGGCGTGTGCCACCATGCCCAGCTAATATTTTTTTATTTTTTATTTTTTCTAGGGATGGTATCTTGATATGTTCCCCAGGCTTGCCTCAAACTCCTGGCTTCAAGTGATCTTCCCTCCTCTGCAAATTTTGTTTTCTTTATTCACTATGTGTGACTTCTCTTTTGAGCTTATAGTCCCGTGTGCCAAACATCCTCTACAGCAAGTGAAATGAGGTAAATTGACTGCCAGCTGCTTTGAGGATGTCCCCAGAGCATCTCAAAGTAAATTCTGGATATGCCACTTTCCCGGTGAGCTTTGGCTGCATAACAAACCACCCCAAAAATGGTACTGGCTTAAAGCAGCTATCATTGTCTTTATTGCTTTTGCATCTGTCTGTAAGCTGAGGGTCAGCTGATCCCAGCTGGGTTGGCTCCAGGCTATGAATTAAGTCCGTGGCTACTGGATGTGTCTCTGTCTTCCTTGGACCAGTGGTCCCCTTGGGGATGTTTCTCTCATGGTGAATGGCAGGAGTGTAAAGAAGGGTGCGTCCAGCAACGCGAGGGCAGGTCAAGCCCCTGCTTCTGGGTCTGCTCCTATCCCACTGCAAAGTAAGTTACATGATCAGCCTCATCAAGAGACTCAGGTGGCTGAATCAGATCCTACCCACCTCAGGCAGGACTGGCTTAGGGGAGCCACTCCCCACTGTGTTGGGTCCACAGCTGGGGGTGGTATCAGCTAACCCTTTCCTGGATGATCTAAAGTCAGGGGCTACCACTACCTGCTTTCTGCTAGGACAAAGGTGTGGGCTTGGCCAGTTTGCATTTCCAGGCTGAGACACACAACATGTTGCTCTTTCTTTGGGAGGTCCTGAAGCCGACTTTTGCAAAATGGGTTGCTTTTATAGATGAATCTAACTCAGATTGCATTTGAGAAATAAATGTGCACTAAAAGTTATTAAAGCATGTTGGTTCATGAATAATACACTATTTTACAACTATTTGCTGAGCATAATGAGACAAGCTACTAAATTGACAATGAACACTCTATTAAGTGATTGCCAACTGTTTTATAAGATATTGAACATATTTCTTCTATCATCGTGTGTATTATCAAGCTATTGCTTTTTAATAAATTAATTTTCCAGACATCTCTGGGGTCTTTGAAATCTGGCTGAGGGCAAAAATAAAATTAATAGTATGGTCTGTGTGGAATGTTCAGGGCTTGGTGGCTTACAAGTAAGTGTCACAATTGGCAGTCTCTGCCAAAAAAAACCACTGTGTGTGCCACACAAGTGTGAAGGACAGTGTGAAAAGGGCCACTGGCACCTTGAGAATGAAGAGGGTGCTTACTCCAGGAAGGTTGGAGGGTGGGCGGGTTCAGGATCACTTTCTGAAAATATTTAATGAAAGCAAAAATTGGTGTTTGATCTTACCCATTCTATACACTTACTCTCTTTTTTTTTTTTTTGCGATGGAGTCTCACTCTTTCGCCCAGACTGGAGTGCAGTTGAGTGATCTCGGCTCACCGCAACCTCCGCCTCCCATATTCAAGGGATTCTTCTGCCTCAGCCTCCTGAGTAGCTGGGATTACAGGTGCCCACCACCACACCCGGCTAATTTTTGTATTTTCAGTAGAAACAGGGTTTCACCATGTTGGTCAGGCTGGTCTCAAACTCCTGACCTTGTGATCCGCTTGCCTCGGCCTCCCAAAATACTGGGATTACAGGCATGAGCCACTGTGCCCAGCTATATATACTTATTCTTGAATCTGCTTGTCTACCATTTTTCAAATGTCAATATTACATCCCATGGGAAGTTTTAACGGTATCCCATCACCTCCCAGTGGGACAGAGCTGGTTCCTGTGATCTCTGTTCCCACAGTACTTGTGCTTAGCCCATTGATGTATTTGCCATTGATGATTAGCCAGTGATGCTTAGCTACTGATGCATCTTGTGTCTTGATTATTCACAGTGCCCCCAGTTGCATAGCTCTGGGAGATGACATCCACCTTGAATCTCCACAATGGAACCTCTAGGGCTATCACTTAGCGTCCAGTGTAATGTTACCACCTGCAGTTGCACAAGGGGCCCTGGATGATCATTTCATAGGTCTACTTCCAGAACTCTAGGGCTAACATAGCACATTTTCATCTCTGCATTTCCAGTTGTTGAACACAACCTGTATTAGGGTCCACTTGGTGATTGTTTGTTGAGTGAGTAAATGACCCATTCTGTGCATTGATATTCCCATGAGTTAGTCAAGATCCTTCTTCATTGCATGAAAAACCTGCACGGGTAGTCATTAAGAATGGCCTATCAAGGCCGGGCGCGGTGGTTCACGCCTATAATCCCAGCACTTTGGGAGGCCGAGGTGGGCAGATCATGAGGTCAGGAGATCGAGACCATCCTGGCTAACACGGTGACACCCAGTCTCTACTAAAAATACAAAACATTAGCCGTGCATGGAGGCGGGCGCCCGTAGTCCCAGCTGCTGGGGAGGCTGAGGCAGGAGAATGGCGTGAACCCGGGAGGCAGAGCTTGCAGTGAGCCAAGATGGTGCCACTGCACTCCAGCCTGGGCGACAGAGTGAGACTCTGTCTCAAAAAAAAAAAAAAAAAAAAAGAATGGCTTATCTTTACAATAACACTTTTCCAGCTGTTATTAAACTGGGCCATTATTTCAGGGACTTCTGCATTATCTAATCCTATCAAATCCATAGATCAAATGGGAGGGAAGGCTCAGCTGCACAGATCATAGGGCATCATGGAGAACAAAGAACCCCAGATGCGAATTGACTATTTTTATTTTGATTTAACTTCTAACCAAACTTCACACACTGTCCATGTGCCATGAGTGTCAGGCAGGAAGGGCTTAAGCCTGAAATGTCCTTCTAATATTAGGTTAAGTATGTTGGTAAGAGCCTTCTCAGTTAACTTCTTCATGATCTAGGCTGGGATATTATGTTGTATCAAGACTCCAAGTTTCTTTCTCCATATAAAAGAGAAATTGTCGAGTCAACTACCGTACCTCCAAATTCTGGAATCTGCTGCAGGTGTTACCAAAAGTCGTATCAATAACATGAAAATGTTCTTATGCAAATTTTGTAAAGTACAAAAGTGTTTACATGTGAAGGTAAGAAGAAACCATGCCTATATTCATATCTCCCCAAATTCACATTTCACCAACCCAGCCATTTTAATAGACCACAGTATATGTAATTTAAGTCTTTTTAACTTGTATATTGTCTATATCAGGGATTCCCCAACCCCTGGGCCACAGATTGGTACCAATCCATGGCCTGTTAGGAACTGGAATGCGCAGTAAGAGGTGAGTAGCAGGTGAGGGAACAAAACTTCATCTGTAATTGCAGCCGTTCCCCATTGCTCACATTACCACTTGAGCTCCACCTCCTGTCCTATCAGCGGTGGCATTAGATTGTCATAAGAGGGCAAACCCTATTGTAAACTGTGCATGCAAGGGATCTAGGTTGTGTGCTCCTTATGAGAGTCTAATGCATGATGATCTGTCACTGCTTCCCATCACCCACAGATGGGACCGTCTAGTTGCAGGAAAATAAGCTCAGGGCTTCCACAGATTCTACATTATAGTGAGTTGTATAATTATTTCATTATATATTACAATGTAATAATAATAGAAATACAGTTCACCGTAAATGTAACGTGCTTAAATCATCCCGAAACCATCTGCCACCTAACTCCGGTCCACAGAAAAACTGTCTTCCGTGAAACCAGTCCCTGGTGCCAAAAAGGTTGAGAACAGCATGTTCCATATAGTTATCTTAACACCTTTGTAATTCTTTCCTGCTTTCTTCTTTTTGCAACATAAGAACCCCTTTTAAGGGATGGGATGGAACAATAGATAGATAGGCAGGTAGATACCTGATAACTAGACAGGTGATAACAGAGATAAGAAAATTCACATTTGAATCCAATGAGCCAGGAATCTTCTATTCTTGGTGCCGAGACCACTGTTTTCTGTTCCATTCAATAGATGGTTTTATTTCCGCTTCTGTCAGCTTTCGTGATTTAGACTACATCCTTGATAGGCCTTCTTTCAGGTTTATATCTGATGTTAATTTAAAAATTAAAACGCAGCAAGAGCTCATTTCCAGTTTTACCCCAGAAACCAGGTCAGAATACCAAAATTGTGGCATCTCCCTGTGTGCATGCTAGCCCGGGTTCTTAAACAGTCAAGTCTGGCCTTTGAGCACTTGAGATATCCTGTCCCATAAGAGCCCATTGGCAAAGAGTGACTTTGAGCTTCCTGGTCCCCAGATTTCACATCCAGGTGGAGACAGTATCGTGGCTGTCCCTGCTATCCCACCTGAGAGCTATTTTTACTCCATTTTTCCTGGGGCAAAACTAATAAGACTATACAGAAAAACATGACATTTCTTATTTTAATTTGCTTTTTGGGTGATTTTTAAAATAGATATTTGAACCTGACCAACCCGACAAGCTGCAGCCAGTTTTAGGCAAGTGATATCCGTATATTTTGGGCAGAGAAATATTAGCGTATGCAGCCCTACCCCGTAGGATCAGAAAAAGAATTACTGAGCGGGAAGCAGAGTCAGTAAAATGTATTCGCCTATCTTCATCCCAAAATAAATGGATAATTAAGGATCTCAGGGGCAAGTCTTGCTATGCAATAAGTACATTTTGTTCAGGAAATTTGGAATATAATCTTAGAATGTTAGCTTCAGAAAGCACACTCCATCATGCGAAAATGGAATTGGTAGCAAGCCTATGCATCAACTCTTTTCGTATACTTGGTTAATTTCTTCAAGTTTAAAGGAACCATGTGTAGTATGCATTTTCAGGTCAACTTTGCAGACATGGAGAGGCACAGTGTTGTGCTGAAGGTTGCTCAGCTGTAGAACCAGGATTCGACCCACGTTTATTCCTTTGTACTACATGGTTTTCCAGGTTGGAAACATTCTTCGAAATCAATGGTCTTACCTAATTTGCTCAAGACCGCCCACCCGGGCAAGGGCAGGGTCTAGGCTGGGCTTCGTTTATCTGAGGTCTGGTCCAGTGCCTTCAAGGCGGATGGTGACTCTCCGAGCCTCAGTACTTCTTGCTCAGTTCCCTCTATTGGTCACACCTCCTGTACATTCTTTCTGTCACTGCTGGAGGCACCCACAGAAGCAGCCTGCCTTAGCCGGGTGAAAGGTCAGAACCCAGAATGCCAAAGAGAGCTTCCCTTGCCATAACCACGTCTAGCATTCAGTCCTCAGGTTCTGTGCAATTCAACTCCAGAAAGTTAACTGTGTAAGAACCAGAAATGTTTCTCAAAGATAGGGCTTGCCTACAGAGTCACTCAGCATGTATGTGTTTACAACCTGTTTACAAGATCAGTGATTAAATACATTCTCAGTGATCGATATTTACCTCTTAAGAATGAAGGATTCAGTGTAGTGCTTTTATTCTTTTTTTTTCTGTAAGCAACTATCCTGCAAATTGATAAGAGTCCCTTTTGATTAGATGGCGGGGCTGTGTGTTTAACATTGCATGCAAAAGGCCTATAAAAACGAAGTTAAATTAATACACAGGCTGCCGCAAGCAAGCTCAGAGCCGCAGAAATCAGGTCATTCTACGAGGAAGGGAATTTAGGACCCTCTCACCACTAGGTTAGGATTAAACTCCGCATCTTTCACTTCGAAGTGAAGAGAAGGAATCCCGGAGGTACAAAGTATTTTCAGCAGGCGCTTTGCTCGGTGCACTCCTCTAGATAGCTCAACGAGGAGCCAGCCCCGTGGCTCAAGCACCTGCTGGCTTGCCCAGGTGCTGCTCGCCACGAGTCTGTTCGCCTTGTCCTCACGCCCCTGTCCACAGATGGATGGAGTTACCGAACGGCCTCCACGCCGCGCTTCACTTATCCCCGCTCACAGCCCATCTTCGGGCTGTTCATAATGTTCTGACACTTTTATGAGTCCCTTGCTCTCTGCCAGGACAGGCGGTCCCTCGAAATGTGCAGTGAATTCCACGGACAACGGAAAGGCAGCTCTATCTGAAGGTGAAACTGCTCTAGCTAACAGGGAAAGCTCTTTAAAAGACCATCAAAGAGACACCCTGCACAATGCCTGCTTTCCGGAGGAGCCTCGCGCCCACAAGGCCATCCCCCAAATCCGTGAGTCACTGACCCTGCTGTCTTGGTGGTGCCATCAAAACCCGTTTCCAAGGGGTTGGGAGAGGCTTTTCTGGCCTGGAGATGAGGGTTTTAAAATTAATGTTACTAAATTCCGGCTGTGGCCTTTATCCTCAGAAGGAGAAAGTTCGTGTGACCTGGGTGTTGGGGGGGGTCTATGTTTGAAGGAAGAAGCTCTGAGAGGACACATGATTTGCCAGGATCACACAGCTCCGTGGGTGAGAAGGGGATTAGAATGTGGCTGATTGGGCTTTTTCTACTGTGCTGTATCTTTTGCTCCAAGAAGAATTGTGCTCTGATGGATGTGTGTTAACGATGAAAGCCCATCTTGGCCCCTCATTCCCCACCGTGCCCTGTCTCAGACTGGTGCAGGCTGATGTTGCTGGAGGGAGGAACTGGGGTACCATTCTCACTGTAGTCTATGTACATGATCCTCCCATTCTGGCTTCTGTTAAACCTGCACCCTTGGTGGAAACCCTGAGCGGACCTCCCCCTGCCCTAACCCCCCACCACCATTATATTCGTCTTCCTGAGCAAATTACCTTGTAACTCAGCCTAAGTGGAAACAGAGGAGAAACATCTGAATTTTCAACCATAACAAATATAGGCAGAGAGCTCTTTTCCTCTATCTTTCATGCCTGTCTTTGTGTACCTGTGGAAACATTTATGATCAAAGGTGCCAACCATTGAAAAGGGCATGAGCCAGTGAGGAAACACCGGCAGGGGCTCAGGGATCAGGAAGATCAATGTGTGAAGACTCACAGCCACAGAAATGGATCCAGGCCAATTTGTGAAGCTTTCCTATCCAAAGCTTTGAGAATTATCAGTGCATTTCCTGTCCTGGGATTAAAGTCAGAGCAGGATCTAGTGAAGCCATTCTTTCTTGATTTTATGAATGAAGCACATGTGATATTATTAGGAGATCAGACCCACCTTGCCCTCATTTAGACTGATAGTTAATGGGTGAATTATTTGGATGTTTCTTAGGTATTCACGCTTTCCTTGTAGATGGCATATTTTTCATTCTTTCCCTTCAAATAGTTGTTACACAAGTCATGAAATAACTTTAAAGTTCAAAAATAATGTGGCTGGGCAAGGTGGCTTATACCTATAATCCCAACCTCCCTTTGGGAGGCAGAAGCAGGAGGATCACTTGAGGCTAGGAGTTGGAGACCAGCCTGGGCAACATAGCAAGACCTTATCTCTACAAAAACTAAGTACTTAGCTGCGTGTGGTGGTGCGTGCCTATAGTCCTAGCTACTTGGGAGGCTCAGGTGAGAGGATCGCTTGAGCGCAGGAGTTCAAGGTAACAGTAAGCTATAATTGTGCCATAGCAGTCTTGCCTGTGTGACAGAGAAAGACCCTGTCTCAAAGATTTTTCTGAAAAGGTATTATTCTCAGATTCCAAGAAAGAAGTTGTGGTCTACACCCAGGATTTCTCTCCACTCAACAGTTATATTGACATTGCTGATATTTTTTAAGTCTAAATATTTCAGGTTTTTTTGATGAGGATATTTGTTTAGAGTAGCGTAAAATGTATTATTTTGTTTTCCAATGTTTAAAAACTTTATAGTAGCAGAGATGAGATGGGCAAAAAAAAAATCAATACTTCAGCTTATCATTTAGTTCAAATTTTTAGCAAGTAGTAATAAAACAAAACGTAGAATGGGGTTTGTCATATATCCATACTCTGGGTGTGGCAAAATCTGGGCATGAATGTTCAAGGTTAATAGGAGTGCACTGAGGTGGAGACATGAGGAGCTAAACAATTACAGTACCGTTACTCGACCATGGCAGAATGTCAAACTCAAGTGGAAAAAAAGTCTCTTGTTGAATACTGACCTGGCCAAAGTCACAGGGAGATGGTGTTCATACACACACAGCAATGAAAGGTAATTCAGACAACCAGCCAGTTGTTTTGTTTTGTTTGTTTGTTTGTGTGAGACAGGGTATCCTTCTGTCCCCCAGGCTAGAGTGCAGTGGCACAATCAAGGCTCACTGCAGTCTTGACCTCCCAGGCCCAGGCGATCCCCCTACCTCAGCCTCCTGAGTAGCTGGGACCACAGGTGTGTGCCGCCATGCCTGGATAATTTTTTGTAGAGACGGGATTTGAGACCAGACTTTTGTAGAGATGGGGTTGAGACCAGGCTCATCTCAAACTCCTGGACTGAAAGGATCCTGCTGCCTTAGCCTGCCAAAGGGCTGGGATTAACTGGCCCAGCCAGTTATTTTGAAACAATTAAGTGACCCAAAATAATCCACCTGCTTTTATTTTTTTCAAATATATGTTTCTTGGTGCCATGTAGCCCTAAGGTTCCCCATCCTGTTCCTGGGAAACTTACAAGCCATTCCATTTCTGTCAGTATGTCAACTCAAGAGTACTTTCTGGAGGCTCCATGACTGGACCTGAGTCAGCTCACAGCCGTGCTATAATACTCAATAAGGCAGCTGGGCATGTTTTACAAGCACTGGCATATTTTGTCATCATTTTTCTAAATTTTACTTTTTAAAAACTATTAGAGCATACCTTTATCATAGAAAATGTGGGGAATATAGATGAGCCTAAGAAAAAAATGTCATCCACATGTCCTCTACCCAGAGATAAACATTATTAGCACTTTTTCATTCATTTTTTCTCTCAATACGTATTTGTAGGTACAAAGTCATGAATGTAGGTTTAACAAAAATGGGATCATACCCTACCAACTTTTATAACGTACATTTTTCATCTAATAGGTTATAAACATTTTGTTTTTAAATTTTTTTATATACTTTAAGTTCTGGGGTACATGTGCAGAACATGCAGGTTTTTACATAGGTATACACATGCCATGGTGGTTTGTTGCACCCATCAACCCGTCATCTACATTAGGTATGTCTCCTAATGCTATCCCTCCCCTAACACCCCACCCCCTGACAGGCCCTGGTATGTGATGTTACCCTCCCTTGTCCGTGTGTTCTCAATGTTCAACTCCCACTTATGAGTCAGAACGTACAGTGTTTGGTTTTCTGTTCTTGTGTTGGTTTGCTGAGAATGTTGGTTTTCAGCTTCATCCATGTCCCTGCAAAGGACATGAACTCATCCTTTTTTATGGCTGCATAGTATTCCATGGTATATATGTGCCACATTTTCTTTATCCAGTCTATCATTGATGGGCATTTGGGTTGGTTCCAAGTCTTTACTACTGTGCACAGTACTGCAATAAACATACGTGTGCATTTGTCTTTATAGTAGAATGATTTATAATCCTTTGGGTATATACCCAGTAATGGGATTGCTGGGTCAAATGGTATTTCTAGTTCTAGATCCTTGAGGAATTGCCACACTGTCTTCCACAATGGTTGAACTAATTTACACTCTCACCAACAGTGTAAAAGTGTTCCTATATCTCCACATCCTCTCCAGCATCTGTTCTTTCCTGACTTTTTAATGATCACCATTCTAACTGGTGTGAGATGGTATCTCATTGTGTTTGTGATTTGCATTTCTCTAATGACCAGTGATGATGAGCATTTTTTCATATGTTTGCTGACTGTATAAATGTCTTCTTTTGAGAAGTGTCTGTTTATATCCTTTGCCCACTTTTTGATGGGGTTGTGTGGTTTTTTTTCTTGTAAATTTGTTTAAGTTCTTTGTAGATTCTGGATATTAGCCCTTTGTCAGATGGATAGATTGCAAAAATTTTCTCCCATTCTGTAGGTTTCCTGTTCACTCTGATGATAGTTTCTTTTGCTGTGAAGAAGCTATTTAGTTTAATTGGATCCCATTTCTCAATTTTGGCTTTTGTTGCCATTGCTTTGGCTGTTTTAGTCATGAAGTCTTTGCCCATATGTCTTTGCCCATACCTATGACCTGGATGGTGTTGCCTAGGTTTTCTTCTAGGGTTTTTATGGTTTTAGGTCTTATGTTTAGGTCTTTAATCCAGCTTGAGTTAATTTTTGTATAAGGCATAAGGAAGGGTTCCAGTTTCTGTTTTCTGCATATGGCTAGCCAGTTTTCTCAACACCATTTATCAAATAGGGAATTCTTTCCCCATTGCTTGTTTTTCTCAAGTTTGTCAAGGATCAGATGGTTGTAGTTTTGTGGTGCTATTTCTGAGGCCTTTGTTCTGTTCCATTAATCTATATATCTGTTTTGGCACCAGTACCATGCTTTTTAGTTATTGTAGCCTTGTAGTATCCTTTGAAGTCAGGCAGCATGATGCCTCCAGCTTTGCTCTTTTTGCTTTGGATTGTCTTGGCTATGTGGGCTCTTTTTTGGTTCCATATGAAATTTAAGGTAGTTTTTTCTAATTCTGTGAAGAAAGTCAGTGGTAGCTTGATGGGGATAGCACTGAATCTATAAATTGCTTTGGGCAGTATGGCCATTTTCACAATATTGATTCTTCCTACCCATGAGCATGCAATGTTTATCCATTTGTTTGTGTCCTCTCTTATTTCCTTGAGCAGTGGTTTGTAGTTCTCCTTGAAGAGGTCTTTCATAATCCCTTGTAAGTTGTGTTCCTAGGTATTTTATTCTCTTTGTAGCAATTGTGAATAGGAGTTCACTCATGATTTTGCTCTCTTGTTTGTCTATTATTGGTGTATAGAAATGCTTGTGATTTTTGCACATGGATTTTGTATCCTGAGACTTTGCTGAAGTTGCTTATCTGCTTAAGGAGGTTTTGGGCTGAGACGATAGGGTTTTCTAAATATGCAATCATGTCATCTGTAAACAGAGACAATTTGACTTCCTTTTTTCCTAATTGAATACCCTTTATTTCTTTCTCTTGTCTGATTGTCCTGGCCAGAACTTCCAATACTATGTGGAATAGGAGCAGTGAGAGAGGGCATCCTTGTCTTGTGCAGGTTTTCAAAAGGCATGCTTCCAGTTTTTGCCCATTCAGTATGATATTGGCTATGGGTGTGTCAAAAATAGCTCTTATTATTTTGAGATACGTTCCATCAATACCTAGTTTATTGAGAGTTTTAGCATGAAGGGTTGTTGAATTTTGTTGAAGGCCTTTTCTGCATCTATTGCGAGAATCATGTGGTTTTTATCATCCGTTCTGTTTATGTGATGGATTACGTTTACTGATTTGCATATGTTAAACCAGCCTTGCATCCCAGGGATAAAACTGACTCGATCGTGGTGCATAAGCTTTTTGATGTGCTGCTGGATTCGGTTTGCCAGTATTTTATTGAGGATTTTCGCAGCAATGTTCATCAGGGATATCGGCCTCAAATTTTCTTTTTTTGTTGTGTCTCTGCCAGGTTTTGGTATCAGGATGATGCTGGCCTCATAAAATGAGTTAAGGAGGATTCCTTCTTTTCCTATTGTTTGCAATAGTTTCAGAAGGTATGGTACCAGCTCCTCTTTGTACTCCTGGTAGAATTTGGCTTTGAATCCCTCTGGTCCTGGACTTATTTTGGGTGGTAGGCTATTAATTACTCCCTCAATTTCAGAACTTGTTATTGGTCTATTCAGGGATTTGACTTCTTCCTGGTTGAGTCTTGGGAGGGTGTATATGTCCAGGAATTTATCCATTTCTTCTAGATTTTCTAGTTTATTTGCACAGAGGTGTTTATAGTATTCTCTGATGGTAGTTTGTATTTCTGTGAGATCAGTGGTGATATCCCCTTTATCATTTTTTATTGAGTCTATTTAATTCTTCCCTCTTTTCTTCTTTATTAATCTGGCTAGTGGTGTATTTTGTTGATCTTTGCAAAAAAACCAGTTTCTGGATTCATTGATTTTTTGAAGGGTTTTTTGTGTCTCTATCTCCTTCAGTTCTGCTCTGATCTTAGTTATTTCTTGTCTTTTGCTAACTTTGGAATTTATTTGCTCTTGCTTCTCTAGTTCTTTTAATTGTGATGTTAGAGTGTCGATTTTAGATCTTTCCTGCTTTCTCTTGTGGGCATTTAGTGCTATAAATTTCCCTCTACACACTGGTTTAAATGTGTCCCAGAGATTCTGCTACATTGTGTCTTTGTTCTCATTGGTTTGAAAGAACTTTATTTCTGTCTTCATTTTGTTACTTACCCAGTAGTCATTCAGGAGCAGGTTGTTCAGGTTCCATGTAGTTGTGCAGTTTTGAGTGAGTTTCTTAATCCTGAGTTCTAATATGATTGCACTGTGGTCTGAGAGACTGTTATGTTGTCCGTTCTTTTGCATTTGCTGAGTAGTGTTTTACTTCCAATTATGTGGTCAATTTTACAATAAGTGCAATGTGGTGCTGAGAAGAATGTATATTTTGTTGATTTGCGGTGGAGAGTTCTGTAAATGTCTATTAGATCTGCTTGGTCCAGAGCTGAGTTCAAGTCCTGGATATCCTTGTTAATTTTCTGTCTCGTCGATATGTCTAATATTGACAGTGGAGTGTTGAAGTCTCCCACTATTACTGTGTGGTAGTCTAAGTTTCTTTGTAGGTCTTTAAGAACTTGCTTTATGAGTTTGGGTGCTCCGGTATTGGGTGCATATATATTTAGGATAGTTAGTTCTTGTTGCATTGATCCCTTTACCATTATGTAATGCCCTTCTTTGTCTCTTTTGATCTTGTTGGTTTAAACTGTTTTATCAGAGACTAGGATTGCAACCCTGCTTTTTTTTCTTCCCACTTGCTTGGTAAATCTTCCTGTATCTCTTTATTTTGAGCCTATTTGTGTCTCTGCACGTGAGATGGGTTTCCTGAATACAGCACAGGATGGGTCTTGACTCTTTATCTAATTTGCCAGTCTGTGTCTTTTAATTGGAGCATTTAGTCCATTTGTATTGAAGGTTAATATTGTTTTCTTTTTTTTATTATTATACTTTAAGTTTTAGGGTTGTTATGTGTGAATTTGATCCTGTCATTATGATGCTAGCTAGTTACTTTGCCCATTAGTTGATGCAGTTTCTTCATAGTGTTGATGGTCTTTACAATTTGGTATCTTTTTGCAGTGGCTGGTATCAGTTGTTCCTTTCCATGTTTAGTGCTTTCTTCAGGAGCTCTTGTAAGACAGGCCTGGTGGTGATAAAATCGCTCAGAATTTGCTTGTCTGTAAAGAATTTTATTTCTCCTTCGCTTATGAAACTCAGTTTGGCTGGATATGAAATCCTGGGTTGAAAATTCTTTTCTTTAATAATGTTGAAAATTGGCCCCCTTTCTCTTCTGGCTTGTAGGTCTTCTGGCTTTTAGGGTTTCTGCCGAGAGATCTGCTGTTAGTCTTAAACATCATTTCTATTAAATTTCTCCCACAACGTTATTTCATGGTAGTCAGAGAGCTTCGCCCCAACTGTTAGACATTTAAATTGATCTCCGGTTTCTCATGATATTATTTTTACTGCTTTAAGAAAAACGTTTCTCTGTCTGTGTCCCAGGGAAGTGTATTAACAAATAGCTAATGAAAAAAAATCAAAGACAAAAACAAAGCAGTGGCCTGTGTTCAAAGGATTAGGGTTAAACATAATTAAATTGTTTTTAATAACAGAACTTCACAGATCTATTAGTCTGTTCATGCGGTTTTTGAATTCTGAAACTCCTGATATCTACACATACATGCACACACACACATACACACACAATCACGTATACGTACACACGTGCACACACACACATACACAATCACATACACTCATGCACATGTACACACACATAATCACATACACTCTTATCAGCTGTCCAGATGATGAAGATTGCCTTGTTTTAGGATTAACTGCTAGAATTTGAATTTCTGGATTAAGAAGCTCTGTTTTGTATTATTAATAAGGATCATAGTGATTTTAATACTTTAAACAGTGGTTTTTACTATTAATATTTGCTATTCAGATTGAACATGAGATATAGATGTATGAGTGTTCATTTTTTTCATGTCTTCTGCTCCTATATTTTGAAAGTGCTGAGCTGTGAATGCTTTGGGAACACATAGAGTGATTTACACAGGCTTCTGGAAGGTTCTGGATTCTTGTTCAGAAAACGGTAACATGACTGAATTTTTTCCCAGGGAGGATCTGCTCAGCCTCTCTCCCTAAAGTGGGTTTGAAGGCAGCCAATAATAAGAAGAGCACAAAGCCAAGTACTTCATCATAAAGTCCTTCAAATCTAGGCCACACCAGGTAAAATTCCCCGGAACCAAGTTTAAGGGCAAGCTCTGTCTTAGCAAACCAGGCAAAGAATTCTGAACATTTCCCAACGCAGTCAAGAAAGTCTTCGAACTTTCTCAGTAGGTTCTGAAGCAGCAGAACAATGAACACTATCAAAAGGCTGGCAAAACGAGCTGACCCAAAGTTTAGCTTGTTTCTTTCTGCTTTCCGCATTCAGCCTTTTTTTATTTCGCTGACACAATGCTCCTGTCCTCTTCTGTCTTGGTTCCAGACGGGAAAGAGAGTTGCATACCCAGGAACTTTAATGGCATCTCCCGGTAAGGTTAACAGTGCTGCATGCCAGACAGGCAGGTCATCTGGGGAAAATAAACTGATCAGCAGCATATCCACCTGGGTGAAACATACCTACTCTTCTCAAAGAAAACCAGCAGCAGAGATAAAAGCCATCTGTGTAGGCAGCACAGAAAAAGTATCTTGCCAGTAACTACCCAGAGCCTTAAATATTTTCATGTTGTTTGACCCCAGCATTCTCCTTGGAACTGATGTTAAGAAAATAAAGAGTTCCCCCAAATCTTACACAAATATATTTACTAAACCACGATTTATATTAATGAAACATGGTGGTGGTAAAGGGTAGAAATTTTAACTCTCCAAGAATAAAAAAATGATTAAGTAACTACCATATATCTATCTGTTCGCTAGATACAGGATCATAAAGGCATTAAATTATTTTAAAATAATTTACTTAGTTTGAAATATATCAAGGTGTATATGGAATATAATCACAACTATATAAAATGAAAACTACAAGATACATGCAAATTTTCTAATGCATAAAAAATGTACCACAGTATTTACACTAGTTGGTTCTTTTGAGTGGTGGGACTATGGGCACATGTGTTTTTCTGATCCTGCCCCCCAAACTTAAATGCTGGGCATGCATTTTAACTTTAACTTTTTTTTTTTTTTTTTTTGAGATGGAGTCTCACTCTGTTGCCCAGGCTGGAGTGCATTGGCACCATCTGAGCTCACAGCAGCTTCCACCTCCTGGGCTCAAGCAATTCTCCTGCCTCAGCCTCCCGAGTAACTGGGACTACAGGTGCCCACCACCACACCCGGCTAATTTTTGTATTTTTAGTAGAGACAGGGTTCCACCATGTTGGCTAGGCTGGTCTTGAACTCCTGACCTCAGGTGATCTGCCCACCTTGGCATCCCAAAGAATTTTAATTTTTTAATAAAAACAGCAGTACATTTTGTTTAACAGAACATTAGTTACCAGTTATTTCCAAGATTAACTCTATTTAAATACGATGATACAACTTTTTATATAACCAATATCACAAATCATATTGAAAGGATATAAACATAAAGCCACATTCAGGTAAATTACCAATGGAATTCCCACTTGTTCAGCTTAGAGAAGCCTAAACAAGTCCTACATTGAAAATAAAGCACGGTAGGAATGAAGTCTGAGGTACAGGAGATCACAGACGCAGAGTGACAGTAGGGAACGGGGTCAGAGACAAATGGCCTTGGAGTGGAGACGTACAATGGTGGCACAGCGTCACACAGGAAGTGGTGACCCCACGATTCAAATGGTTTGCTCATTGGTGAAAAGGGGACAGTAACATTCACTTCAAAAGCTGTGAGTCTTTTTTTTTTTTTTTTTTTTTTTTTTTTGAGGCAGAGTCTCGCTGTCGCCCAGGCTGGAGTGCAGTGGCGCGATGTCCGCTCACTTTAGGCTCCGCCCCCCGGGTTCACGCCATTCTCCTGCCTCAGCCTCCGGAGTAGCTGGGACTACAGGCGCCCGCCACCTTGCCTGGCTAATTTTTTGTACAAAAGCTGTGAGTCTTAAATGAACAAAGACAGAATTTCAGATAGGCGTTTTGGTAAGCACTCGGGAAATGGTGCTTTATAAAAATGGACTGTCCCTCAGGGAATGCCCAGCATCAGATGAGACATTGTCACAATTCCAAAGTAACAGGACAAGCTCTTGGTGAACATCAGATAAAATCAGGAAAGCCGGAAGAAGACACAGAGCCTCCCTCATCTGAATGAGCCATGGAGAGCCTCTATTTGCGTAACTCTGTTTTGAAAATTAAAAGGAGCTTTTATTCTCTCACGCCTAAGATGCAGCAGGGCATGGCCTTGTAAACAGATCAGCTTAGAGGCAAGACACTTCTTTCTAAGTGGTGTGGCACATGTTTATAAAAGCAGACGGTGCATCAGCTGGGAAGAAGTAACCAGCTAAGGAATCCTGGCTAGTGGGGTAAATACCTAAGCCAGTATGAACCACAGAGGCTTGGGGTGTGAGTTTTGGGCTTTGCACTGCATTCAGATGGAATCTGTGTAGTGCTACAACTGGAGATTGAAAAGGAAAAAAGGTAGGCTCTTCACTGGTGCAATAATCTAGTAACAGTGCAGTAGCTTGGATGGACTGGTATTTTTCTGCCCAAACTGAATGTAGACTCACTTTGAATTTCCACTCTAATTAAACATGTGAACTCTGTCCTGTGGGAAAATGAAAGACAGAATGCTTATACTTTAAATAAGGAGGCTGGCTGCTTGGGAATACCATATATAAATAGTTACAGGTTGTGACAATGTGAAAATCAGTTTAAAATGTTATCAGTGGGAACACCCTGTGTTGATAAGGTTGTAAACAAACAGTAATATGCTGGTTCTGCCTGTGTAACCCTTCCAGATAGCATTGTGGCTCTCTGTGGCAAAGGCCAGTAGGAGCTGTTGGATCAAGGAACTCCAGTTCTACGCTCTACAAAGGTATGCTGAGGAGATCAATTGATAGAAGGAAAAAGCTGTATGCATAAAGATGCTAATTGAACCATTAGTTCTAACAGAAACTAGAAATAACCTAAATGTCCCACAGTAGGGGAATGGGTTTCCAAATAATGGCCCATCACCTATGTGATATATGAGGTAGCCATTAAAATAATGGAAAACTTTGAGAAATAAGATGACTTTGAGGGGGGAAGGGAAAAAAAGGGGGGGCATGAAGCCAAATACCATGAATCCTTGAAAGGCAATAACATAACATCTATAGATACAACTCAGAGCTGTTTGTTCAGTGATTATATGAATAATAATTTGTGATATTACTTAGTATTCTAAAGTGACCTCAGCTAAACTAGCTTGGATATATTGAAAGACACAAAGAGTTAATAGACAGGGTATTGCTATTTTAGATTTTTTTTTTTTTTTTTTTTTTTTTTTTTTTTTTTTTTACATAAGCTTCTAAAAATGGTGCCTGCTGGTGAACAGAATGGGCAGTGATATTGCAAGCCAAGTCTTTCTGGCCTAGTGTTGACCTTGATGAACGTCATCAGGCCTCCTTCACTGGAGTTCAAAACAAAACCACTCATAACCCCATTTTAAAAAGCAAAACCACAAGCCACAGCCTTCAGTCATTGCTGGGGAATGCTTCAATTTCTTGTTTCCTATTGATAAGTTGCAGCAAGGTCTCCCTTAATCAGGTGTGAAAGTGGAAACTGGCCACCTTTGGAGTTGAAAGAAACTTAGGGAGAGAGAGGGACTTGGAAGAAAACGACTGCAGAGAAACTGGCCTACTCTTCCTGTTTGGGTGGATTCTGTAGCATCAGATGAGCGCGAAGAACTCGGGATGTTGAGTCCATGAGAAGGTGCAGACCAACTTACAGTCAGAACAGGAGAGAGGGCCTATTGAGAAATGTAGGCAAGGCTGAAGCCAATATTGCTGGATAAATGGCATGTACAAAAATGATTTGTAAGGTTTATACTGGACATTTCGGTATCAGGAGAAGAGCCAGAGCTCATTCTTAAATAGGAAATCAACTGGTCTTCCCTTGCAGATAATTCACCCATTGTATGAATGTAATGTATATATGCTTCTAGTCTATAGGCCACACATAAAAGTAGTGTGTAGTGGAAGGCCCATGGGCTTCAAGGCAGATGGAGCTGGCTTCACATCCTGACTCTGCTGTCTACCAGCTATGAGACTGTGGAGAGGTTACTTTCTCTCTAAAACTCACTTTCATCCTATGAGCATAAAGTGATTTGCCTAACCCATCAACTGGCACAGAGTATGCTCAGTAAATAGCATCTGAAATTAGAAGTAGCAGATGACACCGGGTGCGATGGCTCATGCCTGTAATCCCAGCACTCTGGGAGGCTGAGGCAGTTGGATCACTTTAGGGCAGGAGTTCGAGACCAGCCTGGCCAACATGGCAAAACCCTATCTCTACTAAAAACACAAAAATTAGCCAGGCATGGTGGCGGGTGCCTGTAATTCCAGCTATTCAGGAGGCTGAGGCAGGAGAATCTCTTGAACCCCGGAGGTGGCTGTGGCAGTGAGCAAAGATCGTGCCGCTGCACTCCAGCCTGGGTGACAGAGCGAGACTCCATCTCAAAAAAAAAAAAAAAAGTAGCAGATAGAGTAGGATCATTATTACATAAATCATATACTACAAATACACACATATATGTACACAGAGGCTCCTCAACTTACTATGGGGTTACCGTCTAAACCCATAGTAAGTTGAAAATATAAGTCAAAAATGCATTTAATACACCTAATGTATTGAACATCATAGCATAGCCCAGCCTACCTTTAATGTGTTCAGAAAACTTAAGTTTACCTAGAGTTGGACAAAGGCATTTAACACAACCATTTAACACTTAGCCTGATTTATTAGAGGGTTGAATGTCTCATGTAATTTATTGAATGCTATACTGAAAGGAAGAAACAATAGTCATATGGGTACTCTAAGCACAGTTTCTACTGAATATCACTTTTACATCATCGTAAAGTTCAAAAATCATAAGTCAAACCATCATGAGTTAGGGATCATCTGTATACATATATGTGAATATACACATATATATGCAATACATATATGTGCATATGCACATGTGCCACATATATGTGTTATACATCTATAATGCCTGTGTTTTACATGTATGGCACACATATTTGTGCATGCATACATGTACATATACACATATAGATGTGCACATGACACGTATACATATACAGATGTGCACGACATATATACATATACACGTGCACGACATACATATACAGATGTGCATGACATATACATATACAGATGTGCACATATGACAAATGGGGAGAAATAGGGTTGGCCATAGAATAAGCTAAAATAGGAATAATAGGAATTATGCCATGCACTTGCTCACCTGTCAAGAATTTATCACAGAAATAGCCAAGGAAATAAGATTGATGTGTCTGGCAAGAGAAAATGGCCCATGGGGACTGACAGTGTCTGACTGAGTGGGTTCAGGGAGAAATGGGCATGAGGGGGCAATCGCTACTGTTACGGGGCCTCAGTTCATCTTCAAGTAACGTAGATAACTTCTGATAAAGTGGAGTAGGACGTTGTGCTTTGTGAGGACTCCTACAGACCCAAGATGTAAATTCCTTTATAGCAGAGGCTGTGGAGGGGTTTACTTTAAACCTTGAATTTCCAGGATGTAGCACTTGGTATGTTTGTTAAATGAATGAATGTATGAAGCCTTGGTCTATATGACTTGGAAATCTTGATTTGGGAGAATCCTCAGCTACCCTTACAAAGTTCCCCGAGGCCTCATGTTGTCAGCCTGCAGATGTGAACCCTGCAGGATCCACAGAGGAGGAAGTCAGCATAGAGGCCCTAGACACGGCCAGGAAGCAGGAGGCCAGCATGTCCTCTCTTGGTTCTCTTTGACATTTTGCACAGCACCTTGGCTGATGATACGCCAATATCTTCTTTCTCGTGGCTTTACTTTCACTTCCACCAAATGCTTGAAGCATAACTAGAGTCAGACCCATAAAGTCACCTCTCTGATCAGCCTAAGATTTTAAGATGGTGCATCCATGGCCAGGCACAGTGGTTCATGCCTGTAATGGGAGGATTGCTTAAGGCCAGGAGTTCCAGACTAGCCTGGTCAACATAGCAAGACCCCATCTCTGTTTAAAAGGAAAAAAGATGGTGCATCCTACCAGAATGGATATAGTCAACTTATGGAAGGAGCAGTGGCACTGGTGCAGGCAATCTGCATGACCTTGAAATCAAACACTCCTGGGTGTGAACTGCAGCTCTATCAATTTATGAGCTGTATGGACAACAGCAGATTGACACTTCTTGGCCTCAGCTTTTTCATCAGTAAAATGGGGAGAAGGGGTGAACTGGCAAGACTGTAGTCATATTAGAAATCAGATGTAATAGCCAAGCATGGTAGCTCACACCTGTAATCCCAGCACTTTGGGGGGCTGAGGTGGGTGGATCACCTGAGGTCAGGAGTTCGAGACCAGCCTGGCCAACATGGTCAAACCCATCTCGACTGAAAATACAAAGATTAGCCAGGTGTGGTTGTGGGCACCTGTAATCCCAGCTACTCTGAAGGATGGGGCAGGAGAATCGCTTGAACCGGGGAGGGAGGTTGCAGTGAGCCAAAATCACGCCACTGCACTCTAGACTGGGCAACAGAGTGAGATTCTGTCTCAAAAAAAAAAAAAAAAAAAAAAAAAAAGCCAGGCACAGTGGCTCACACCTGTAATCCCAGCACTTTGGGAGGCTGAGGAGGGCAGATCACAAGGTCAGGAGTTCAAGACCAGCCTGGCCAACATAGTGAAACCCCGTCTCTACTTAAAATATGAAAAATTAGCCAGGTGTGGTGGTGTGTACCTGTAATCCCAGCTATTTGGTAGGCTGAGGCAGGAGAATCGCGTGAACCTGGGAGGTGGAGGTTGCAGTGAGCTGAGATCATGCCATTGCACTGCAGCCCGGGCGACAGTGGTAATGTAGCCTGCTTAGCACAGTGTGTGGCTCGGGATCATTGTCACAATGATGGAAATTATTTTCCTGAACATAAAGCCTAGTCACCCAGAATCATTCTTTCAGTGGTTATTTATTAAGTCAGTAAGTTTGCTGTGTGACAGGAGCAGTTCAAGGTACTGTGGCCAAGTTGTGAAGAAAACAGACAAATTTCATGGAGTTTCTTATAGTGGGTAGACAGAAAAAATAGACACATAATGTGTACAATAATATTAAGTGTTGTGGAGAAAAAATAGAGGGGAAGGGGAATAAGAATGGGGTGACACCATGAAGACAGGGATAACGTGAGCAGAGACTAAAAATCAGTGAGGAAGAAAGGCATGCTGGTTTCTGGAAGGAAAGCATTTCAGCAGAGGAAACAGCAAATATGCACCCCTTGAGTTGGGAGTGTGCTTGGCATGTTCGAGGAACAGAGGAAGACTAGAGTGGCTTCTAGTGGATAAAGTGCTGGAAGTTGAGATTAGAGAGGTAGCTGGAGACCAAATTATAAGAGAAGTAGGGTAGAAAAAAATTAACCTTAGTGAGCTGAGAAGCTGTATCAGTTAGCTTTTGCTGAGTAACATGTAATCCTGAAACTTAGTGGCTTAAAATAAACTTTTACTATCTTTTGCATTGCTGTGAGTGAAATGTGCAGTTTCTTCTCCTCTGAATTGGCACAGCTGGGGCTGGATAGTCTGGGATGGCCTCACTTACATGTCTAACTAACTAACTGCTGGATGCCGGTTCTGGGAGTGACTACGTGTCTCTCATCATCCAGCAGGCTAGCCCAGGAGCCGTTCCCTATGATGGAAGTTGCAGGGTTCCAAAGATCAACAAGGAAAGGCAAGCCCCAGTGCAAAGCACTTTCCAAATTGGCCAAGGCCAGTCACATGGCCAAAGTCAGAGGTCATATGGGAGGGGTGATCCCCTCCAGGTGTAGATTCTGAGAGTGGAGTTCTGACGGCTGCTTTTGCAAATGACAATAATGTCTGAAAAGTGACATTATCTGATTCATAGTTTCAAAGGTCCTGTGATAATAAGGATTACGTAAGGAAGACTATAGCCAGATGGGAGGATGTGGCAAGGCTATGGGCCACTGGAGGGCAATGGTGTTTGTTTGTTCGACTGCTCTGCACCACAGATGCAGAGGCACAGAAGTTCAAGACATTGTCTGGCCTGAAGCTGCCATGATCAGGAGGGGGAACAATGACACCCAGCCTCCACACCTTCCTGGTATTTCAGCAGAAGCATTTTCTCCGTCTTGCCAGAGTGGACTTTCTCATGTGCTTGCTGGAACGGGCTGGAAATCATGGTGTCCATGAGATGGGATGCGCAGATAAGAGCTTCTGCACAGCTCCCATTCTCAAACATAGAGATACCCGCTAATCACTAAGTACTTGCTAATTGCAGGGGAGCAGACCATTGAGGACTAAAATAACTCACTGTAAGTAAGTAATAACAAAACATCTTAAGGTGAAATGAAACAATAGTCATTTTTCTTTTTTCTTTCTTTAACAGAAAATATGCTGGCATGCTAATCGCGTGAGACAACTTGGCCCACGGACAGCCACAAAGCACAAAAACAAAACACAAACTCACTCAGAGAAGAAACAAGAATCGTGTTTTCCTGGCATCTACGAGAAGCGCTTTATTAGAAGCGCTTTATTTTTCCTCTAGATTTCTTTTCTAAAAAATGAAAAACAAAAACAAACTGAAACAAACATTTAAAGAAACAATACAAACTTCAGGTGATGATATTCAAGCATGTTCTTTTATTAAGCATAGGATGCGAGGCACAGCAGGAGGTTTAAGTACAATGTGAAAGCAAGAGAACTGAGACTGTGATTGACAGACAAAGGGATTAACTAACGTTTTATTCTCTGCCCCCCAAAATATCCTGTGTATTCTTAAGTATATACGCTTCCCTTCCTGCCTTTCAAGGTATCTAAGGAATGATTTGAAAAATTTGTTATAATCTCTAAAGAATTTTTTGCATAGCATTAGCAAAGGAGTCTATGACAAGTACTTTGCCACCTGGTAGTTCTGCGTATTCTACTCCCTCTGGGTGTCACTGTCATCCTCACTGGCTGGGACAAGGTTCTGAGATTTGTCTCCCCAGCAGTTGCTAAGCTGGCTCAGTCTTGGTCAGGATGAATGAAACAATTATCTCCTGGATCAATGCAGCAAGGAGCAGTGAACACTTGCTTTTTCTTCCCTAAGTAGGAGAAGGCCAGCCCCCGGCTGCAGTGGTGGCCGTGGTGGTAGCTGGATGGGACGAGGGGACCTCAGGCTATTCTATAACAGTAAAAGAAAGAGAATTGCTGGTGCTTCTCCAGGGAGATACGGAACCTACACACCAAGCAGGTTTTTACTTTCAAACAGGCCACCACCAGAAAGCAAAGAGACCTATGCCTAGCCCAGCCCCAGAAAAGTGATACTTTACCCCAGGAATTCCCTGCTTCCCATTGGTACTTAAGATTTTTCACTCTGTTGTGACTGCTCTTATTTCCTTTACTCTTGCGGATCTGTGTTGGAGGGACATTTGGAAGGGGCCCAGCCCTGGCACTTGCGTGAGGGGACACACACAGGGCGGGTGTGTGTGCCCATCCGCTCTGAGCTCCACTTAGCCGGACTGGCTGCCAAGCCGTTCTTGGATCAGCCTCTCGCTGAGCGCCCACAGGGTCCGGGCCGTCTCTTCGCTCTGAGCTTCTGGTGAGGGCATGCAGCGGCAGCAGTTGTTGAAGTACATCCCTCCCAGACCCTCCAGTTCTGGGACAGCAGCACAGTACACGGTGGTGGCAGCTCCCTGTTGCTGGAAATCCAAGAAGAAAGACAAAAAAAAATTTTAAGAAAAGGAGTGATGAGATGGCGTCATTTCGACTGCCTGGGCATTAGCAGGCCTCCCCCACCTGGTTCAGTTTCAGCTGGATCTTGGCATAGCAAAGGGTACTGGGCTGAAAGCACATGACTGTAAAAAGTATAATGTGACTATCCTGGAAAAACGAGTTCATAAACTCCGCTTGTAAAGCTGGTGTAACTTTTGACACCTCATACAGGGACAGGCTTGGAAAATAAATACACATATCAATACGTCGTGGCAGGCGCCTCTTCCACACAGAGAAAAAGATGGTATCCTTCTGAACGTGCAAGAACAAATTCATCCAACCCCTCAACTTCTCCATGTATAATGTAATTCGATACCAAATCGTTTGTAGAACCTTCTGTCTGACAAACCAACCACTCTTAATTGTGGTCCATCAGGTAGAAAACCCAAGTGGGGCTGCTGCCAGATCATCCCTTTATGCTTTGCCCACGGTGCTGCTAGGGGAAGGGTTGGCAATGTTGTGTTAAAACATTTAATGCACACACACACACACACACACACTCCTCACCATACATTCATACTTAGCACAAACACATAACACATTAATTCATCCAGATCCCATGAAAACCTTTTTCTAAATGTCATATTTGACCCAGATTTACAATGGGACCACAGGTAAGGGGGTACATTTCCTCCCAGCCCACTTCAAAATGTAAGTTGCAAAGAGTGCAGCTGATCACTTTCATTCACCTTTTGAGTAACAGTTGCGGCTGTGGCTAGGGACGTGTGCAGTGATGAGGCATCATATCATCCAAACTGACAGAATACTGTCAGGGATGCTATAAAGAGGGCAAGAAATCACTTTGCTTTGCAAGCCATAATTAAAAATAATAGGCTGCTGTTCAGAGGGAGACATGGTCGGCACGTCTCTAATTTAAAACCAATACAGTTTATCTGGCATCTTATGATTATTTATGTGTTTCAGAGCCCTAGCTGCATCCACTAATTTTCAGCTGATGAGAGGGAGAGGGGTTGCAAGAGAGGACCGGAAAAGGTAACTGAAGATAAGCTCGCCCCCACAAGGAAAACACTAAGGAACTTTGATTGTGGGGGAAATGGCTTTCCGACCCGACCCAAAGCTTATCATTTTTCTGCCCCTGCAGGGTTTACATTGTGACCATGCAGGGTGCTTACTGGAGGAGTTTCCCTCAAATGGTCTGGTTTGCAATCACTATGCTTGCATTCTAGGATCCCTGGGAGAGTCAGGTCCATACTGAGAAATAGGGTCCCAAGGAAGGTGTTACGACGTGAAGAATCTGCCATAAGGCAGACTTGGGTTTGTTGTTGTCATTGTTGTTTGGTTTTAGCTTCTTCAGTGTCAGGATATCTAGTAACAATGGAGTTGGTCTGAAAACTGAATGGTCAAATGCAGTCAAGTGATACGACTCTGGGCGGGGTGTGGACCGTGAGTGAGACAAAGACTTGGGTTTTGATAATAACTGGCTGCTTGATGATACTGGACAAGTTCCACTGGTCCTGAATTTGAATAACTGACATGACTTGAACTTAATAGTAGCTGGTTTGTTACCTCCCCAATCTCCCTCCATTATCATGCCCACTCCAAATAGCCAGATATTATCCTGGATTCAGCTGTTTCTTTTCCCATTGATTTGTGTGGCTCAAGTCTAATGGAAATGAGTTCATGTCATCCAAATTTCCTTTCACTGAATTATTATTCCTAATAACCCTGAGCTTAGCACCTGGCACATTTATCTAAACAACTTCAAGGGGTTTATCTGGCTCTTCTGCATCCCATGTGGGGAAAAGGGAAGCAGAAGTGCCTCTAAAGACAAATTGGAGAATTGAGATGCTCATCCAGCTAACTCAAGCCAAGTATTATTTTGGCCTGGAATCTTAGAGTTCTGGTGGAGATGGTGTTTTGTATCAACTTCCAGATATCTGTCATATATTTTCATTTTACCTTGCAGCTGCCAAAACGACCAGAGTGGCCAAGTGACTTGCCATTAACTCCCGAGTGGTGGGAGAATCCAGCTCACCCATTTCAAGTCCAGCCTCCCGCCCTCTATGCCACAATGGTTATACTATTCAGCATTCAAACGTCATGACAGACTGGCCTTTCACTGTTCTGCCAAGCGTGAGGAAAGACCAAAGCAGTCCGTTTGGGAAAGCAAAAAGCAGAATTCTTCCTAACCTGATAAAATATTTTGCCACTATGACCTACTGTAATGATACCACGTTGCACTCTTGCATTACTGGAATGGTATTTTTGCTAAGAAATTCTGCAGTCCCATTGATTCAGAATGCCATTGTTGCAGGAGCTGGGGACCTACCTTTTCCTTCCACGGAATCTAAAGGCAATTACAACTGGCTTCATTTCATGCCAACCTACATTTGGCTACAATGCTGAGAGCCATACCTTTTTGAAAAGCCTAACTTTTTATCAGGAGATGGCTTTGATTCCTTTGCCACTAGGCTTGGGGTGATTTACCATCTAAATTCCATCACAAGTGGCTCTGGCTTTGTAGAACACAGTACACAGGAGGGGCACCCGAAAGCAAAGACGACCTTCTCTACTCCAAAAATCAATCGTCCACCTTTGGCAAATTCTCCTTCTCAGATTCATGCTTGGTGCTCATGGGTACTCACTCTACTTTCCTCCCTTGCTGGACAATTAAGCAGTAACAATATCTTGTTGGTCCCATACACACCACACCTTTGGTCTCTTGGAGAATTTTCAGCCGTACCAATGGCAACCTCTGAGTGACATCTTAATATGATCAGATGTGATGACAGTTTAGTAACAGGTTCTCATTTTTGGCTCACCAGCTTTTCGGCCTACATATCATCAGAATAAGACTGAGGCACATTAGTGAAATCTCAATAGTAAACAAGCAGGTACTGCCAATAAAAGAGAAAGCATTCTTAAACTGATTAAAAAAAAAATTTAAAGAGCACTTTAATCACCATCAGATGACTTTCATTCATACCACCTTTTGGGGCATCAGTTCATAATGCAGAAAAGATGAAAGAGCCATCTAAAGGAAATAATGTTAACAACTCCGTTATAAAATATCTGAAGCAATACCTTGCCAGTTGTCATCAATGCTTACTGATCCATTGTGATAAATAATAATACCTTGACATACAAACACTGGCTGGAGCTATGGGTTCCCCTAAACGATTTTTTTTTTTTGAGAATCAATCATTTATCAGAAGCCTGTAGGTTGTATATGGTTGCTAATCATGGGAAACGGGGGAGGTGTCTATCCCGCAGCAATGGCAATGAGTTAGGTTGTTGACGACACAGGACTGAGAATTTCTGGGAAGCCCAGAAGAATCTTTTTAATCATGCCCGAATGCCATTTCCGATCTAGTCAAACATTTGTGAGCTGCCAGAGGAGAACTGTGCAATCAATCTTGAGAGTATATGTAAAATTACCCAGGACTCTTGTTTGGGATTAAGAGTATCTTGGTAATAAGGATTCATCATTCTCTTTCAAAAATCATCTGTCAGATTTGCAGCACAATCTTCAACTACAGAAAGGTGGGATTTAGAAAGCAGTTGCTGTTTATTTATAGTTGAGGCCCTCAGATCTAAATTATCCATCCTTCCAAAACTCGGTGTTGGGATGAAAATGTTAAGTAGCTGCTTTTCATCAACATTCATTTGATAACTGCTAGCCATCAATTTATAGTTGTCAGCACAGAATACAAATGCATATTGACTCCTTTAAAGGAAAGGGTACAGAGGTTTCTGATAAACAATATATGGTAAAGAAAAAAAAAGCACCCACATATTGATATTTGTAATGCATTGGTTAGTACTCTAATATAATACTCACAGGGACACATGTTACACCGTGTTTTGCTTTCAGGTTTTTCTATTTTAAAATGCATGCTCATTTAAAAGAAAGAGGAGATTCCTGTCTTAAAGTAGACTTAACTATGAGATATATAAAAAATAGACACAATATCATGGCATATCTATATATTCAATGATTGTGAGAGAGTAGATGTTCTAAGATTGCTTTCTTACAGGGACATTGCACAGCAAATGCTGAATTAATCCACTTATGCAAAAAGTAGAGTTATGAAAGGAATGAACCCTGGAAGTTAGATTAGGCTTGGAACACCAAGAGCAGGGAAGGAGAACAGCCCTTTTGAAGACGGCAGTGTTCCCATGACTAACGTCCCAGGACAAAGTGGTGATCTGAAGTGAGCAGGTTTGGCTAAAAGGAAAGACACATACCTCTTCAAACCCTGCCTACTTCCATTGTTACTCATCTGGTGTCTGTTGGACAAAGCAAATACTTCTCAAATGCAAAGCCAGCCACCTTATCCATTGACTCTGTGAATACACCACTAGGAACAGAATCATTTATCAGAGAGCTACATTTATCAGAGAGCTGCTGCGGTGGAGATGAGGGGGTGAGCCCTCATGTCACAGGTGGAATAGATGGCCGTCTACACGCCCTGTCTTTCCCTGTCTCCCAGTAACACTCCCCCAGGAGAGGCTATAACCACTCTCCCAGAACAGTGCAGAGGTCATCTCCAGATACCTCGGTGCTTGGGATACAGCCATTCCTCACAAACAATTACAGCTTCAATCTCTCATTGGAAACACAAATGAAAGCAAACTGCTCCAAAAGGCCACTTGTTCCCTACTCACTATCCAAGAGCAATCTTTTAGGGGACACATTTGCCACAAATTGCATTTGTTCATAAAGTAATGCAGCCTATACAGGAATGAGGCTCATAGGCCTCCCTGGCTAGGTGACCACACCAGTAAGTCACCCTCTTCTTCCACCGTGATACTTCTATAATGAAATTATACAATTCAATTTGGAATAAGTGCTAACCAACGAACACACCAACTTCCACCAAAATGATGGGAAGCAGCAGACGAGAACAGAGATGTCTACTCCAAAGTCCTCAGCCCTGCAAACTGCCCGGCTTTTTCAGTGAGTTGTAGCCAACGAGTACTATTCAAGTGACATCAATGACTAGCATTTATTGAGAGGTTACGATTTGCCAGGCTCTGCATGGAGAGCTTTGTAAGCATTGTTGCCTAACCCTCACAGAGCTCTATGAGCCAGGGACAGTTAGTATTTCCATTTATTTAGAGAGAAGCCTACCTGATATCAGAGATCAAAAGCAACTCGTCCAAAGCCATACAGATAATTACGTAGAGTGAGTGACTTCAGACTCCGTGTCCGTTGGTACATGAAACCTGCTCCCCAAATATGTGACACAAATATTTGCACGTGGCCCATTTCCTCATCTATGTCTTCCACGGGGCTCCGGCTTCCTATGCCTCTCTGCCTGCTCTGCCGCCTTCTCAGCCAGGCCATGTCTGGCCATGAGGTGATGCCCTAACATGGCCTAAAATGAAATGTGGGGGCTGTCGTGTGTTCACCCGAGAAATGTTAAAAGGAGATTTTTTTTTCCATTGATTTACTCATGGAGCTAAATTGAAATGATATCCATTTGGATGAACAAAAATGAAGACTCAGCACCCCCTTCGATGATCCAACAGCAAGTGACCCTTACTAAAAAGGTCGTCCGATTCAAAATGCCATCTCCAGGTGCCAGATTTGCAGAACTAAGAAACCTACTCTTTGATGATAGAATTTTTTCAAAGCACCGACATCCCATACAAGTGAAGTGGACACAACCCCCATCTTATCAGTTCCCACGCATGTAGGTGCGGGCTCTGGAGTGTTTCATCAGGTTTGCAGAGAAAATACTGATCCATCCCTCTGACTCCCTCTCCTCCAATGATTCCTAACACAGTCATTCCTACAAATTCCTGACAACTGACTCCCACAAAGGCCTTCAACAATCCAGCCTTAGACACATGCAAATACTTCCTGTAGGTATTGAAATGTAACTTTCTTCATAAACCTTTGGGAGTTTTGCTAACTCACAGGCTATTCTTAACCTTTATTATAGAAGAGGAATGCACTCAATTTCCCAAAAAGAAACAATGAAGATGATCAGGAAAGCAAATATTTGTTTTCAGGCTTTAGAAGTGTGAGAAAGTGTTCTGGAGAATCCATTTAGATCCCATGCCAACTCTTAGCCCTCCAGAAGAGAACATGCCCTCCCTAACAAATTAGACGTGGACAATGTGTTTAGATGTTGATCTTTTGCCACAAGGAAAAATATTTCTTTGCTAGCAACAGGTTCACAAAGGTAGAAAAACCTCAGGCTCCTTTTCAGTTGCCTCTCCCATGACAGGTGAAGAGTGTCATTCCCCAGGTGACACTAGGGACAGTGTCTATGACAGGGGCTTGATGGCCGTGGCTCAGAGAGAGTAAAGTGCCAGTCCATCACCATAAATGCAACAGGTTCAAGCACAGACCACAACCACAAATTACAAGGGACACCTTGAGAGAAACGCATGCAGGGGGAAGAGTGCCATGCAGCTTTTAAATGACAGGCACGTGCTCACAGGCTTCTGTTCAGAGAGAACCTGTGAGCTGTCCTGTGGCCTTTCCTGTTTACGGTGCAGCCATCCCAAATATGATGCCCCCAAATCCGAGTCTGGCTAGAAGGAAGTGTCATACAAAGGCCATGCCATTCTCCCTGACAAAAGACATGAGTTTCTTGCAAGAGCACTAAGAAGTTTTAAGAGGTGGACTCGAAGAGAGGAGAATGAATTGGAAAGCCAGCAAGAATGTGGCTCTTACTCCTCTGTGAAATATTTGCAGGAACGAGCCTGGAGACCAGCAGGTTCAGGATGGAAAGCTGGAAAGAATTCTTTCCTAAAACTTAAGTTTTAGAGAAAAATAGGCAGCCAGTCCCAACCACCCAAAGGCGTCCAAAGCCATGTTTGTTCTGGGAAGGCCAAGGCATGGGAGGATGTTAACTTGGGCTATCAGCAGGATTGAAGGGCAGGGTGACCTTGGTACGCTCTCAGGGCCTGTGTTTCCAAGTCGACAAACTGTTCTGAGCTTTTCCATGAAACGAGTGAAGCCCTTTTCATACCTCCTTCGTGTTCCAGAATTCTTGCCATCGATGTTCCAAAGGATCTGTGATAGATTTATGTCTAGCCTTAAATGGGACGAGTTGTAACATTCAGAATTATTTTATCTTTCTGAGACCTGCTATTATTGTGAGACCCTAGACATGCTTTGCTGGGGTTAGGGTGAGGGTACTCCTAACGAGGGAAGGAAAAAGAAACGGCTTCAAGGCAATCCATGTGGGTCATTACATGCACACTTGTTCCATCTTCCATTTGTGCCTGCCCAAAGCGTTCTAGAACTGACCGGACCTGAGAGGCTGTCTCATTAGAACTAAGAGAAGGTATTGTTGATGATGTCTTATATCCATGGAAGAATTCCCTGGGCATTCCCTCTGATGCTGCCTGGGATACCTACATTGCTCAAAGTACAGTTTCTTTATGAATAGGGATGAAACATCGCATTGGGGTATCTATTCTTCCATGGTTGGTTTGAAATAGCCAAGCAGAAGTGCCATAGAAATTTGCCAACAAAATAAGCATCTAACTGATAGTGTCGTCCTTCTACATGGAACAAATCTGATGGCATGTCACTGAAATTTTCCAACTGGGCCACCTTGATGCCCGTGCTAAAGGACTGCTGGGTGTTTATAAGATATAAAAGAAGATATTTAGTGTGTGTTTATTTGAAACATTTTACATTTTTACTCTACTTCTTTAACCTCTGTTATGGTTATAGCTAGCTCGTGTACTGCGTATAAATGTATGCATCTGTATTCGCCATCTACACCAAAATAAACCTTTGAAATTATTGCCAGGCAGAATTAATGAGCTCAGTTCTAACAGCGCAAAGAATATCTTCATACTACAGGTAAAACAAACAGCTTCTCCCTTCCCTTCTTCTGCACAGAATGGCTCTACGAAGTCTGCCTGCAAAATTACGTCTTTTAGAAAACCAAGTAGCTGGCTGTTTTGTGAGCAGGGAGGATTTCAGGACGAACCACAAACAAGCTGTTTGTTTAGATTTTAAGGTTGACAGTTCATTTACACGTATGCCCCATAAGTATTCTATAACATAGTCCTGAAAAAGCACTGAAGAAAAAAAAAAAAAAAAACACAAGGTCTCCGCTGGGGCCACATCATGGGAAGGAATTAACTCTTAACTCTGCCTTCCAGAAACAAATTAAGAGGATGTACTTTGCAATAATTCAGATCTCACAGGTAGGCCCCCAATGTCCAGCCCCGCTATTTCAAATCGGGCATGTCTGAGTTAGGTGTGTGGATTTCCATACAGAGCTCACTGGAACAGACCATTTCTCAGGTTCCAAGACGCTGGCCTTGTTAATATTTCATTTAGAACATACTGTGGAGAGTGTCTCATTTATATTACTTCCATAATTAATGGTGATAGCTTAGGCACTGCCTTTACACAGAGAGATCTCTTCACAGTGGTCGATGGGTAATGAGAAACAATAGATATTTCATTCACCAGCAGCGTGTTGCTAGTTAGTAGGAAATGATCGTGTGTGCTGTTGCTTTAATTGCCCGGGTAAATAATTCTGCCTCGGTGTTAGTGAGCATTTTAAAGCACTTGATGCCAATAGACTAGAAACAAACAAAAATTAACCTTGATTATGCAACACCTTAGCATAGAAAGTTACAAAGGTATGTCTTTTTTAAAGTTTGCATTCTATCATGCAAATATTATCTAAATATGCATGTGCTGACTACTCATCTACTGTATTTTAGGAAATACAATTAGGCTGCCTTTCTCTTCCCCTATGTAGACTGTAAATAACTGTAGATCTTTCTCTTGTTTCCCTATGTAAATATATGTAAATACTAACAAGCTATGCATGCTGCTATTCTAGGCAATTTCAGGTACTTTTATAATATGAAGGCATGTACTTGAACTCGTTTGTTAACAGAGGGGAAAAAACTCTCTCAAACTCTTTAAAGCTGAATAGAAATTAAAGATTTCTTCCTAGACTGTTGTGGCTTCTTTTGTTTGCCTTCTCTTGCCGGAATCGAGTGCCCCACTCCAGCTCTGACCTTCTCCCAGGAAAGACACACAGCACACACAGGCCCGGGAACAACAGTGGAAGGACTTGGCTTGGGCTTTTTCATACTTTCTTTGGGTTTCCTAAAAAACATCTAGAATCACAAGGTAGGTTTCTTTGGATCTTTCTAGCAAAAGAATCTCGACGGAATGTAATTCCTATTTGTTGTTCCTTTACCGTGTGCCTTATATCCCAAAACACTACTGAGGGTCCCGTCATTCCCATCTCAACAATACGGAGACTGAGTCAGGTCAAGGCCAATGACAAAAGTGACAACACTACTAAGTGCCACCCAAGCCCTCATTCTTTCCTGTATATAATAGGTCAGTAAACTACTTCTGCAAAGGGCCAGAGATTAAGTAATTTAGGCTCTGTGGCCCATATAATGTCTGGCACGATCACTCAACTCTGCTATTGTTGTGAAAGCGGCCATCGACAACGTCTACCCAAATGAACGTGTCTGTATTCCAATAAAACTTTATTTATAAAAAAAAAGGCACTGGGCCAGATTTAGCCGGCAGGCCATAGTTTGTCAATCTCTGCTCTACACACGATTAAGACTGTTATTAAAGACTGAGAGCATTTCCCTTTTTAACTTGTGTGTTTGATGGATCATGGAAATGATTTGATCAAATGAAAATTCTTCTTTTTCCTGCAAGTGTCATGAAATAAACAGGTGAACAAAAATGAAATCACCTGAGCTTATAAAACAGGCTGCCTTCCTCTGACAAATTACATTGTCAGGTTTCAATTTAGTTATCTTTTTGTTTTCATAAATAGGGATGGAAGAAAAAAGTCAGGAAGACAAAAGTGAAAAAAAACAGGAAAAAAGTAACTGAGCAACATTCACTCTTCAATGAGAGGAAGGAGGCTATTACCTCAGGTATCCATGGAAACCAAGCAGCGCATAAACTTTTTAATGGTTGGAAAACAGCGTTTGCGTTTGAAGATGTTTTTCCCAAATATGATGCTTCAGTGTAAATGCATTAATTGACAGTTTCCTTCGGGACTTTTTTATTGAAGTTTCCAAACTTAATTTGATGGCACAAGGGACTCTCTGGAGCCCTTGAAGAATGCTGCAAAGTTAGGTCTTTAGAAAACCGAGCCAGCTCAGGCATCGTGTACAAATCCAACTCTCTTGCAAAGCAAATGAAGAAACAGATCTTATTCCCTGTAAGTTTCCCATTTAAAAAAAAAAAAAAAAAAAGAAAAGAAAAAGGAAACCCTCTCTATTCAGCTAGGGAAGGGAGAGGCCCTTTCTAACCTCTATCAAGTGAGAATCAATATCATCTCTTCAGTCCTGGAGGGAGCTGAGAATCAGCAGGAGGAAGATAGATCCAGGTATTTTTGCAGATGGGGTGGCAATATGGGATGGTAGGAAAATCCCCTGTGCTGAAGCCAGAAGTCCTTACATTGGACTCCTGTCTTTGACACCTATGACAAGCCACTGAGCCTCAGTCTCCTCATCTGGAAAGTCGACATAATAATATAACCTTCATGTGTTTCTTGGAAGGATGAGTGATAACATTTGGCCATTTCCTGGGCACACAACAAGTACTAGTTCAAAAGCAGCTATAACTCTGATTTTTACAAGTTTAAAGCAGCTATAACTCTGATTATCACAAGTTTAAAGAAGGAAGCATACACATCAAAGTATAGATGAAGCCTGCACCTCCATTTTTTGGGCCTGCCGTATAGAGACTCGCCTGTCACCTGGCCCCAGCACCTCTCCTTTAGCCAGACCACTGAGCCCAGGTACAATATCAGCACAGAGGCACTTGCCAGTCCTTTCACCATTTCTAGATCTCCCTTCCAAATCATCCAGAGTTTTTCATGTCTTTGTCCAGGGAGTGTGAGGCTCAATAGCTGCTTAGGGAGGGTTAGTCTAATCCCAACTGTAATGGCCAAAAAAAAAGACGACGACGGTGGTGATGACTGCTGGTTACTGAGAGTCTCTTAGGTGCCAACGACCTGTTATTACTTCTGATTCGCACAATATCCTCACTCCCCACCAGGCAGGTGTTATTGTAGTGGAGGGGAGACAGAGGCTAAAGGAGGTGAAGTAACTCACGGCCAAGCAACGGGGCAGTGCTGGAACTCAGATTCAAACTGAGGTCTGGGTTCAAAACCCATATTCTTGTTGACGTGTAATGTTCTAACTCCATACTCTATACCCTTTGTAGCACCCCAGAATCATGCATACACTTGAAAATCTGGCCTCAGATCTGAGAGCGGGATACTTATTTCCTGCCTGGGCCATTTGATCCCTCTGGTGGCCAAGGCCCTCTCCACAGACCAGCAGGGACCTTTCTCCTCCTTTCTGAGCTCCATTTCTAGTGCCTAAAACCCTGGCTTCCCACCAGGCCTCTGGCGGATGTCATGTGATTTTGAACAGTACAGACCAGAAGGGGTCTATGGTGCCTCCCCTGCAGTGTTCTCTTCTGCAAATTGCTCTTCGTGCAAAGGAGGTCCTGAAGGCTGGCAGGGCTCAGGTGAGGAGCTTGGCATTTGTGGATCATCTGGCAGCAACCACCGGGGCAGTCTCACAACAAGCCAGTTGCAATTGGAACTCTCTGCCCCCACAGTTAACAGAAATGATGAACTCATGACAATGGGGTACACCAAGGAACATCTTATTCTTCTCCCTGCCCCTGCCCTCTGGCTGCCATACCTGTTAGGATTCATCCTCTTAGAAATGCCTGGCAAAGGGAAGGCACACAAATGCACATTGCTACTCAGGGAGGTGTCAGCGAGGAACACAAGCCAGTTGTGTAGCTGACCTTCGAACTGTCAAGGGGTTGAAAATCTGTCCTCTACCAGTACACCCTCTGGATCCCTAATCAAATGACTTTACAAGGCAGTCCTCTTCATGTATGAATCCCATACAGGGGCCAGGATACCTTCTGTGACATGTTCTAGGTGGCAAGGTGGAGAATTTTAGCTGAACTCTTGCAAGAGCCCTATGAAGTTACTACAGTCTCATTGTATTAATAGGAAAACTGAGGCTCAAGTCAGTAAATGACTTCATAACATAATTCTCAATGATGCAGTTTTGATTTTGTGCCACCTGGCGGCCTCCTGCTAAGAGATTCGTGTGTCTTTGACGCTTTCTGTGAGGGTCCACCTTACGCATGATAGATCCTTTAGGGGGAATTCTGCACACATTATCCCCAGTTAAAGACAGGAGAGGCCTGGCACCATGGCTCACACCTGTGATCTCAACACTTTGGGAGGCCAAGGCAGGTGGATCACTTGAGGTCAGGAGTTCGAGACCAGCCTGGCCAACATGGTGAAACCTCATCTCTACTAAAAATACAAAAATTAGCCAGGCGTGGTGGCGCACACCTGTAGTCCCACTTACTTGGGAGGCTGAGGCGGGAGGATGGCTTGAAGCCAGGAGGCAGAGGTTGCAGTGAGCCAAGATTGCACCACTGCACTCCAGCTTGGGTGACAGAATGAGACTCCATCTTGAAAAATAAAATAAAATAAAAACACCGGGGACTGAAGCCCAAAGAGGCAAAGTTTTCTGCCTAGGTCAAAGAGCAAGTGACAGAGTTAGGAGCTGAACCAAATCACATGGCTCTAGACACCCAGTCTCAACAACTGCACTATGATAAATAGGAACATGTCCACAGCACAAGTGAAGCAGGAACATAGCACACCTTCAGGTCAGGATTTTGAGCCATCATCATAGTGACCTTTCAACAACAAAGACTAGCAAACATTTTATGAGGGTTTCTGGTTCACATTAAGTGTTTGATGGGTACTATTTACAATATTTATAATAATATGGTATTTCCATCTAACCAATGTGGAATCAAAAGTCCAGAAAAGTTAAGCAACCTGCCCCAGGTCACACAGCTACTACGTAGGGGTGGGGAAATTTGGACCTGTGTCATCTGTGCCCTTGACCCCACTGCTACTAAGCATCCTGAGCCACAGAAATCAGACACTCACAATGCATTTGTCAATTATCCCGTAGTATGATTAATGTCTCTAGTTAGGTTGCTCCACCAAGGGGCACCTGAGACTCTTAGGTTTGATGTGAAAACTGCAGTGGAGGCCAGGGCTTTAATTGCCCATGGGAAAATAATAACTCAAACCAGTGAGCAGAGGATGCAGCCATACCCATGAAGGAGCAAAAAAAGCGGGAGGATTTATTTTCTTTACTTGTTTTTAATCTTACTCTTTTCTTTTCTTTACTTTTCTCTTTTTTTGAGACAGTCTGTCTCTCACTCAGGCTGGAGTACAGTGGCGCAATCTCGGCTTACATCAACCTCCGCCTCCCAGGTTCAAGCGATTCTCCTGCCTCAGCCTCCCGAGTAGCTGGGATTGCAGGCACATGCCACCATGCCCAGCTAATTTTTGTGGTTTTTGTTTTTTTTTTTAGTAGAGACGGGGTTTCACCATGTTGGCCAGGCTGGTCTCCAACTCCTGTCCTCAGGTGATCCACCTGTCTTGGCCTCCCCAAGTGCTGGGATTATAGGCATGAGCCACCATGCCCAGCCCATTTTCTAAAGCTGCTCTTGTTCCTCAGATTTTGGTAGATGACCAATTGATTTAAACTGTTGTACACATAAGGGAAGATTTATAACTGCCCCAGATTTCAGTTCTCCTTAACTCCTATGCTTTCCTAGAGGCTGGGAAGCATAACTTCCTGCTGATTGGAAAGTGAGAGCCTTATATCAGGACACAAGATCCCTGGAGTCCTGATATAAGGACTTCCCATCATCATGGTGGGATGAAACTGCCTCCCATCGTCATGGTGGGATGAACCTTGCCCTTTGTCCTGGGTGTTTGTGTTTTCACCACAATCCGTAGCAAACATTGGGAACAAATAAATAAATTACCAAGCAATATGTTTTTCATGTCATTACAGAACTGCCTTTCTAAAGCGATCAAAAAAGCCCAGATTATCACCACAACCACCTGTTTGTGGCAGTGAGGAATCTAATGAAATGGTCTGATAATTAAATTTACTTTCCCATGAATTGCTTTGCTTAAAGGACATGTCTACAAAAAGCAGGGTTGGTGACAGTGGTGTACCAGTAAGTGTTCAAGAACTCGCTCACTGGAGGGGGGCAGTGCAGGGGGTGGGTTTGATTCACAGTGTCTGCCAATTCCCATGGTATGAATACTCTCACCACAAGCAATTTAAACTGAATGCAGAGTTGGGAGGAAATGTACACACTCAGCTCTTGGAAGCTGCTATGATCCAGTTCTAGCAGTCCCTTGGTGATGACCTGTGGAATACAGCTGTAAGAATTTTTGAGGAAGATCAAGAGCTATGATAAAACAGATCAGGACCTCAAGGTCATAAAGCCATTGGGATGTGGTAGGCACTGTGGGAATGTATAAACCCAAACCAGCTTAGGGTACCTGAAGGACAGAATGGTACAGACTTGTGAATTTTAAGCATGTTTCAACTTGGTCCCTATAACCTAAAAGTTGACTCCACTCAGGTAGCTCCCCTGGCCCAAGGTAACTATACTTCCTACTGGGTCAATATGAGCCCTAAATATCATTCTAGAAACGTTGCAACGTTGCCTCAGTTAATACTGCAGCACCTCTGCAGGTAGATAATAACCCCATTTCAGAGATGAGGAGACTGAAGTTCAAGGAATTGAAAGATGCTCAGGGTGACACCGAACTCCCGAAATGCATTGCCAGGATTCAGATCCAGATCTGCCAGACCTTAGACTTCATTATTTCCCTAGCTCTCCAGGGAATTGTGCTCCCTTTGAGCTCTGTATCCTTGAAAATAGAACATCTCTACAACAAGTGAAATCTACATGTTGTAACAAATAATTTGGCTCCCCCTAAAAAAAAAAGTCTCTCATTGGGGGAGACAGGATCTGAATCCCTGGGGGTCTGGAGGTAGTGTACAGGATGAGAACTGGAGGGTGGGGGAAGAAGGAATGGAGACTGGGTATGTGGAGTATCAGGAGAAGAGAGGCTAGGGCTGCTTATGGGATTGGAAATCTTGCGATTTAAATTATTTCTCAGGCATTAATGGAAGTTGGGTCCGAATAGACTCAGCATTTTCTCCTTTTGCCCAACATCACAAACCTAAGTGAGCAGAGATAACCCTGGGGCCTCCAGGAGCTTCCAGCACACAGAGCACATGTTCCTCAGCTGAAGGTCCCTCGGTTCAAACTGGTATAAACCCAAACCAGCTTGGGGTACCTGGAGGACAGAATGATATAGACTTGTGAATTTTAAGCATTTTTCAACTTGGTCTCTCATTGTGAAATCTGCACGTTATGACAAGTAATTTGTATATGTGTAATACACAATGTATGTTGTATACATGTAATATACAATGTACATGTGTAATTTCCGAGTCTCTCACCTTGGTCTCTCACTGTTCACCAACAGGTGAAGAACAGAGAAGAGGATGATTTTTGCTCACACTGCACTTCTGTAACTTTATCAGAGGTGCCAAACCTCGAAGCTACTTTTGGCTTTGGTACTTCCTCAAATGAACATGCAAACAGGTTCCTACTGATTAAATTGCATGAGAAGCGTCAGTACTAGAAATTAGTAGTATTATTGTCCCCACTAACAGAAGAATATTTTAAACAAAGGCATCTTTACCACCTGAGATAACCAAATTTTTCCCACTTGAGAGGAACAGCATCTCCAAATAAGAAAAACAGTGACGCAGGAAATGAAAAACTGAAATGTTCTTTCCCCTTTCAACTATAATTCCTCACACATTTGCATCTACAATGTCAAACTCACCCAGTCACTGATCTTGTGCTAGGATTCTATGTACCACTACCTGGAGTGTTTCCCCAAAACACACTTCTTGAATCTGACTTAACCATTATCATTGCCATTCCTTCACAAGGAGCTAGCTCCCGGTCTAGACAAGCTGGCTTACCTTTGTAGCTTTACCTTCTCCCTTTCCCCCATCCCTGCACCTCACTTACATGAATATACCCTGAAGTTAGAGAGGCATGGCTTCAGAGCAAGCCCAAGAAACTGTAGTGGATATTGTAGTGTGCTGCTGAGATCCCCCATTCTGGGCCAGGAGGCACTCATTTCCTCAGATGCTAGGCTGTCCTATGAGTCCCTCCTCAGGAACTGCCCACAGCCAAAGCGAGCTCCCTACCAAAGCAACACGCACTCCAGGAGGGAGCCCACATCAATGACTTCCTGACCTCCTTGCATCTCTGAAGAATAATCCAGCTTCAGAGTTTCCTTGGGATTGACTGGAGCATTCGCATCTCCCACAGCACAGCTCAATCCTCCCTCCACCCCATCCTGCTTGCTACGTTCCCCTACAGGTGTGGATCCTAGAACACTCCCCAGTAATCTTCCTACATGCCAATCTCAGTTGCAGAATCTACTTCCTGGGGTACCCAACCTACAACAAACAATAGCTGGGGGACTTAGAGAAATATACATAACCAGTCTGAGCCTCTGTTTTCTCCTCTGTAAATCTGAGATACGGGTATGCTCACACTTTAGCCATCCGGAATGACCAAATCACACCATATGCATAATGTTCTCATATGGAACAGGCATATAATCCATACTCAGCAGAAGACAGCAGTGGCGGTAGTAGTAGAACTGACAGCATTAGCAGTAGCATCTACTCATCTCATTCTGCCTGCATGGTTCTTTCTCATCCTTTAGTTTGGGGAGTATGGCATGGGGGAAAAAAGCATAGACTCTGGGAGCATCTGCTTAGACGTGGTAGATTCAGTTAGGCGTTTTTGTATGCACTCTCTCCAGAAACTCTACTGAATGTATAATACGGGGAAAAATTATTTAACTCAGTGATCAAGAAACATCAACAAAAATTTTGGACGATGGAAAGCAGATGGAGAAAGTAGCACCTCCTGACTCAGCAGAGCGGGGGCTGTAGAACAGAAAGGCAGTGAGAAATGAGCCAGTTCACACAAGGGGAGCCTGGGAACTGAACGGGGGTGGAGAAGGATGGAAGTGGGAAAAGGTAAGGTGAGGCCCCACACTGCTGCCTGTAACGTCGGAGCCGAGATCTCATATGGGCCAGGAAACTTGTTAAACCACTTGTGTCCTTACAAAGTTCAGCCGTCACTTCCTCTGTGAGTTCATAACCAGAACCTTTCTTCATCTTCACAGTCCATCTATATTTCATAGTTGGGTGTGTGCTGTTAGACTGTGATCTCACTGAGAGGGGTTCCAGGTATCCAACCCAAAGCTTGGCGCACGGTAGGTGCTTAGAGAATATTTCTCTAAAAGGATGAATGAATGAATGCTCAAATTTCCTTTGAAGGCCAAAGGAAAAATATATCAATCCAACTCAGTTGATGGATAAACAAAATGACCAGTCAAATTATTTCCTTTCCAAATCGTTTTTGGTGTGGTTTTGACATAGCTGTTCTCTACAAGTAACAACTCACATTGGAGCTACACTTACATAATATGCATTACGTGCCACACGCTGCTCTAAACTTTCTTTGTACACATACACACACACAGACACACACACACAGAATCTTCATAACAACCACGTTAGCTAGATTTACTAAGATTTTCCCCAGTTTACAGAAAACTGAGACAAAGAGAGGTCCAGCAACATGTGCAAATCTACACAATTACTAAGTGGCAGAGCTGGGATCCAAACTCACGTCCTGTGACTCCAAAGGCCATGTTGTACAGAAGGCAAGGAGCTAGTTGCTTCTGTAGGTTACTGGGGCCTTCTCTTGTCCCTGAACTCGTTAAACCACAATCTTGTCTGTCTACTGATTCAGCTTCTCCCCAGCTGCCACCCCCTTTGTGAGGAGCTGGGCTTTGCAATCTTCAGGTATCCTAAATTGTTTTTGCCCAAGTGGGGACTTTCCTCTCCTTCCTCCAAACCAGTGGGATCTCACCTGGGGTCTTTGCTGGCTAGGTGACCGGCAGTAAGAAAAGATGTGCGAGGGTCAATTTGCAATATTTTTAAAAGTTGAATGAAACGCTTACTTTATCCACAGAGACCACGCAGATGGATGACTGGACTAAATCTCATCTGCTGGGTAAGCAGCACTTTCATACTCTGAGGTCTCCCTGAAGAAGGGAGCAGAAGGCATCTCTGTGACGCAAGACCCAGCAGTACTGCCCGGTGGCAAAGCTCTTTTTCCTCCAGCCGCTTTTTGATTCAAGTTTCAGTGAGGCATAAAGAATAAAAGCAGTTTGGGGAGATGCCCTACATCGACTGAAGTCTCCTCTGTTCCAGGCTTAGTGCTGAGATCTTCTGTGCAGACAACAAAGAGTTCTTCCAGTGAGCCTCAGAGGTGCTTACTATTATGGTCATTTTACAGGGCCCCCAAGGGTAAGCAACTTGTATGCAGAGGGAATCAAATTTGGAGATGAACTTTGGTCTATCTGATTCCATAACCTGTGCTTTCTGTTCTGTATTGGGAGATTCCAGCAGAAAGCACCCACAAGAGAATGAAGTCTAATGGAATGGAAAGTGCTGGCCTTGCCCCTGGGATCACAGAGGTCAAAGATCGTAGAGAATTGGCAACTCTTTGGCAGTTCACAGCCATGGACACAAACTTCTGTCTCCTTTTGGTGAGCCAAAGAGAAGTAGCAGAAAGGAATGTGAGACAAGGAGTAAAACGAGGCCCTTCCTTCATTCACCTTTTCTTCAACCACTGTACCAGTGACAGCAGGTCCTTAACCTCAGTCCTGCGGCCCTGTGAGGAAATTAGAGCTCAGAGAGGCTAAGTGACTTTCCCAAGGATGCACAGCTGGTGAATGACAGAGTTGCGATTCAAATGTGAAACGGGATGGGTGGGCTCTGAAGTTCACGTTCTTCTCACTCTACTGCCTCTTTTGTGCTGAGAATAAGCAAAGGGGCTGGACTCCACAAAGGAAATAAAAAGTGAGAGGCAAAAGAAATAAAGCAAAAATGAGGGAAAGGCTCCACTTGTAAGCATAGGGCCACACAAATCAGTTTTAGGGGTGCTTCTGAATACCTAGGCACCTTAAGAGAAATCTCTCCATGCTAAACCTTTCCTTGACCAATAGAGACCTTACCAGGTACAACCTCACATCTTTTTCAGTTGTTAAATTATTTCTTGCACTAACGAGATGAGGCTAAAATGTGCAGCAGGCAATAAGCTCCTTGAAAATGAGATTTTGTTCACACACATCTCCCCAGTATTTGGCACTGGGTCTGGTATACAGGGGTGATGAGTTGCCATGTGATGAGTGAATGAATGAATGGATGGGTGGATGAATGAATGAATGAATGAATGAATGAATGAATGAATCACTGCGAAAATAACAGCTGTTTGGGGCACTTTCTGCCCCATTTCACGCCAAAGGGAGGCGTATTGTGGAAATGACTCACAGTGCTTACCCAGACTTTAAAAATACACACATTCCCTATTAGAGCTGGCAGGAGCAATTTTGGTCCTGAGAGCAGAGCTCCCTGCCCACCTAATATTACACGAGGTGTTAACTACATTATCTGGAAATACCCTATGACTAATTCCCCATCCCTTATCTTGAGGAGAAGAAAATTGTCTCTAACGCGAATGCCCCAGATTCCTGGTCAGTTTATGTAAGGCGTTTCAAGTGATTGCGGTATTTTAAGCCATTTTTAGCTTAAATCACCTGATGTGTGGTGAGCCCAGAAGACCTGATCTCTTGCTCCCTTAAACTCCCTGTTTTTCCACTAATTTTGTTTAAACTACTTATGCGCATAAGTAATTCTCCATTGAAGAATGGGCTTAGAAGTGTATATCCCCTAGACGCTATGATTTTTTTAAATAGACATTTATTCAGTGGATTTTCCAGTCACATCTCCCTGAGCTTGAGGCTCCACTACTTTTGGGTGAGCACACATTTGCCAGGTTGGGGTAGGTGGTATTTATTCTTTATCATGGCCTATTTGGTGCTTCTCTAGTTTGAAAACATTTCACTGCAGTCCAGCTAGGATTTGATAGAAACCTTCTCCAAATTATGTCTCAAATGATCATCAGTAATTGAGAAAAACGTGAGCTCCCACAGGACCTTCGACCAGCTAGAAGCAAAAACTTGGCTTTTATAAAGTAGCAGGAGAGGACAGCCCATTCTTTGTGCAGTTGTAGCTACTTTGAAATAAGCAAAATGTATGGAAATGCAAAGATAAAGGTGTTAGATTTAATAGAATCCATGTCCTGATGTCCACTTACTATCTCGGTGGCCTTTCTCTCCCATAAAGAGAAGTCATGGGCTGGGCGCGCTGGCTCACGCCTGTGATCCCAGCACTTTGGGAGGCAGAGGCGGGCAGATTGCCTGAGCTCAGGAGTTCGAGACCAGCCTGGGCAACACGGTGAAACCCTGTCTCTGCTAAAATACAAAAAAAATTAGCCAGGTGTGGTGGCAGGTGCCTGTAGTCCCAGCTACTCGGGAAGCTGAGGCAGAAGAATCGCTTGAACCCGAGAGGCGGAGGCTGCACTGAGCCAAGGTTGTGCCACTGCACTCCAGCCTGGGCGACACTGCAACAGAGCGAGACCCCGTCTCTTAAAAACAAACAAACAACAAAAAAAAGAAGTCATGCTTTGCTCATCTTCCCAGCATCTTATTATACACACATCACCTTTGATACATGATTTTATTTGAATGTGTAGACAAATGAGAGATTTAGCCACAATTCACAAAATTTAGGTAACACCAACTAATTAGCTGTCTAACTCAAGAGTCCTCAAATTTACCTGCAAAAGGGCAGATAGTAAATATTTTAGACTTTGCAGGCTCTACATTTATAAGTACTCAACTTTGCTACTGTAGTGCAAAAGCAGCCATAGACAATAGGTAAACAAATGCACCTGGCTGTGTTCCAATAAAACTTTATTTACAAAAACAAACAGCAGGCAGGATTTGGTCCATGAACTGTAGTTGGCAGAGCCCTCTTCTACCTAATGCCAAGTAGTTAATCATCTAAGTAACACCAACTAGTTCATCTTCTGAATGAGTTCCCTCCCTTGACAAAATGGACTTGACATTTGACTGAACTGTCGTGCCAGTTTAATCCAAGTTGGAAACGTGAAGTGAATTTCAGTGGAGCCAGAGGGTGTGAGGCCTCTCTCTTGGGGCCTCTCTGTAGCGGGGTAAGGCCTCTGTGGGTCTGAATTTTCAGAGACCTACGAATATTCCAAAGTCCAGTGGTCTTTGGAATTCATATCCAGACCTTAGGCAGGAATCTACGCCTAATAGCTACACGCTAATTCCCGATTTTTTTTTTCCATAAAAAAGGATATGAGGCCGGGCACGGTGGCTCACGCCTGTAATCCCAGCACTGTGAGAGGCTGAGGCAGGCAGATCACTTGAGGTCAGGAGTTCGAGACCAGCCTGGCCAACACGGTGAAACCCTGTCTTTACTAAAAATACAAAAGTTAGCCAGGCGTGGTGTTGCACACCTAAAATCCCAGCTACTCGGGAGGCTGAGGCAGAAGAATTGCTTTAACCTGGGAGACTGAGGTTGCAGTGAGCCGAGATCACACCGCCGCCCTGGGCGACTCAGTGAGACTCTGTCTCAAAAAATAATAATAATAATTAAAAAACAAGGCGTTATGAAAACATTTCCATGGGAAGATGATAAAATAATGGAGCAATCAAATGCTTCCAAATTAATATCTTTATCCCCCCCCCCTTCCCCACCCCATACCAGCTGTCACCTAAAACTAGGTAGAATATGAAACCACTGGAAGTTTTTAAGGAGTTAAACTACCTACTAAAATCACTCAGCTCCTATCAATTGCAAGATGCCAAATAAATATCCCCCCCCTCCCACCGGGAGCAGGTAACAACTGTGTATTCGCAATTTCAGGACAGCCAAGCAAATGAACACGGCGGGATGAAACCCCTCCCTTGCTCCATTTCTTATCTCTCCTAGCTAACATCTATTGTCAAAAGATAACCTCAAACCCCTTAGATTAGAACAGAAATTACTAGAAATAATTATTCCTCAAAAATATGCTTTCCTAGGCTGGGCACAGTGGCTCATGCAGGTAATCCTAGCACTTTGAGAGGCCAAGGTAGGAGGATCGCTTGAAGCTAGGAGTTTGAGACCGGCCTGGCCAACACAGTGAGACCCTGTCTCTACAAAACACACACACACACACACACACACACACACACACACACACACACACACACACACAAAGCTGGGAGTGGTGGTGCATGCCTGTAGTCCCAGCTACTCGGGAGGCTGAGACAGGAGGATCACCTAAGCCTGGGAAGTCGAGGCTGCAGTGAGCCACAATGGTGACACTGTACTCCAGCCTGGGTGACAAAGTGAGATCCTGTCTCAGAAAAAACAAAAAGAAAAAAAAAAGAAATAGGCTTTCCTAATAGATGCCTGTTCCAAATGCTCAGGCAATTTTTCCAAAATTAAATGCCATTATGGAAGACGACAGACCATGCTGGAAACAGAAAGTCCAATGTCCCAGGGGCAATACCATCTCTCTCCCTAGGTTTCTAGCAGACAAGTTTTTGTCTTTCTCTATATATACACGTATCTGTATTTTTTTTCTTTTCTTTTTCACCTGCAAATCTCTGTCAACTCTTCCACACAGAATCCAAAAGCTTTCCACTATGTGTCACAATATAGATTTGCATGCAATAAAGACTATAATTATTGAGCATTTATGAGAAGTAATATTTTCCCTCTGGTGCATGTTAGCTCAGCTGCTCACACACAAGTGTGAATACTAATGCCTTCAGCTTACCTTGGCGCCACAGAAATGCAAGGTGAGAGAACCGAGCAGCCCCAGGAAAAGCAAACACTGAACCCCACCGTTGTCTGTAGGGAAGAATGTGGATTTCGAGGAGAACTTGGAAATAAAGGTGGCAATTCGCTTGCAGGATTTAAACATCAGGACTTTGTGCTAAGAGACTTGGAGGACCCAACCCAGCACATGCAACCAAGAGGTCTGCAGATCCTGCCTAGCAACAGATGGCTCAGAAGAAATGAATTGCTAGATAAACATTTAACTGAGAGTTTGACTTCGTAAGTGTGGAAATTAGGTGAAACAAAAGGAGAATGATTCTGAGGCATTCCAATTAGTCATCTGTGATTTCTCTGGCAATGCGTGCTGAACCTCCTACTGGTCCTGACATTCTCAAAGAAAGAAATTTTGGAAATCCGTGAAAGGAAATGTAAAGTATCTAAGAGAACTTTAGTAACACAGTTACCGAAAAAAGAGAGAGAGCATTTGCAAGGGAAATAGGTCTTGGCCACACCGGTCACGACTCAAAGCTGTGTCTAAAACCACAAACACGAGGCCAGCTTGAACGCCTGCCTCCACCGACATTTCCTTTTGGGTACAGAGGGCAAAAGTGTGTGTTTCCATTTTTATCCCATGCAGCACCACTACCGCCTCCCACCTTGTCCCTTCTCCCATCTCTGCTTCGTTTAGCTCAAGACTTCGTGGGTTTTCTTCTGTGGCACATTCCAGGAAGGAGATGAGAAAAATCAAAGTGACTCTACACTGTACTGCCCACAATTAGCAACCTCAGGGAAGAAAAGAGCATAACTACCCAGGAAGTGGGAGAAGGAATTTGTGTTTGAAGAGCACAGCTTGACTCCCCGTGCATGGGAGAGAGAGTGGACATTTCGAGATAAGAGGGAACATTATCAATCGTGCCTTGCCATCCATGCCTGGTGCACAGGAAGGACTCACAGCTCAGAAGAATTCATTCATAATTCTTTCTTTCTCTTCTCAAAAAATACAAGTGAAAGGGGGCCAGGCATGGTGGCTCACGCCTGTAATCCCAGCAATGTGGGAGGCCAAGGCCAGTGCATTGCTTGAGCCCAGGAGTTCGAGACCAGCCTGGCCAACATAGTGAAACCCCATCTCTACTAAAAATACAAAAATTAGCCAGGCATGGTGGCGCATGCCTGTAATCCCATCACTGTGGGAGGCTGAGGCAGGCCGATCACTTGAGGTCAGGAGTTCAAGACCAGCCTGGCCAACATGGTGAAACCCTGTCTCCACTAAAAATCAGCTGGGCGTGGTGGCGGTGTGCGGTGTGGAGGGGCCTGTAGTCCCAGCTACTTGGGAGGCTGAGGCAGGAGAATCGCTTGAACCTGGGAAATGGAGAATGCAGTCAGCAGAGATCACGCCGCTGCACTCCAGCCTGGGTGACAGAGCGATACTCTGTCTCAAAAACACAACAGAACAAAAGCAAGTGAAAGGAGTGGATTTCTAGTACCTGGTTCGTAGGGGCATAGGAGGTATTTGATCAATGCTTGTTAAATCCATGTTTGGGGGCACCACGATATTCTTTCTAGTAATAATAACCACTATAGATAAGCACGTTTAGCTTTCTCAAAAACTATGTGATAAGTGCTGATATTAACCCGTTTTACAGGGGAGGAAAATGAAGTACGCAGCATTTAAGTAACTTTCTCAAAGTCATTCAATTCGTAAGTGGTGGAGCTGGGATTTGAACCCAGGGGGTTCGGCTCAGTGTCTATGATTTTCTAATGACCCCCCTAACAAACACAATACCCAAAGAGTCATTCTACTTCCTGCTCTGCACATTTAGGGTGTTTTCTTTTACTGCACAATTTATATTTTCTCAAGCACTTCTGGCTTTTGAAATTCTTCATATTATGATATAGTGACACCTGTCACTCCACATGTCTACTTTTGGGCTTGGGAGTGAACATTCACTGCAGTGAGCATGTGGTGAAAAACCAATATGTTGAAAAACTGGCTGGGGGATGGGAGAAAAGGAGAAAAGGTGAGAAATGTGGACTAAGCTTCCCTGACCCCCAGTTTCCTCATTACTAGAAATGCTAGCGTGAGGATTGGAGAAAAATTCCCAGACTAATGTCCCAAGTATACTAGATACTTGAGGTATGGCAACTGTACTGTTTACAGGAGTGAGATGATTACTAGTATTACTTGTTATAGGTTGAATCATGTCCCGAAGAATATATGTTCAAGTCCCAACCGCCATTGCCTCAGAATGTGACGTTACTTGGAAATAGACATGTAATTAGATTGGAATACAGAGTTAAACAGTTAAGATGCAGTCAGACTGGAATAGGGTAGGCCCTTAATCCAATGTGACCAGTGTCCTGATAACAAAGGAGAAGAGATCCAGAAACACACAGGGAGAAGGCCGTGGGAGGACAGACGCAGAGGTCAGATAGTTGCAGCTGCAAGCCAGGAAACACCAAGCGTTGCCACTGAACCACCGGAAGCGAGAGGAGCAAGGAGAGTTCTCTAGAGAAGGAGCATGGCCCTGTCCACACTGTGGTCTCAGACGTCTGGCTTCTAGGACTGTGAGATAATATTCCTGTTGTTTGAAGCCCTCTAGGCTGTGCAGTTTGTTACAGCAGCCATGGGAAGCACACACTGAATTATTCCTGTTATCATCTGGCTCATGTCTCTTCTCAGCCACCCCAAATAAGTCAGCACAGTCCTGGATGTATCCTTTAGGAACATATGACCATCTGTGTGAACACAGAGGCCCACAGCCACAGGCAGAAAACACCCAACATCATTTTTTGACAATACAGGCCATGTGAAAAAGACTTCAGAAAATTCTCTGAATGTACCTTCTCAAGGCCAGCAGACATATTAATAATACACACACACACACACGCATGCACACACACACACACACAGACATGGCATCTGTTCTAAATGTATGCCTTACCGTATTTTTCCTAATATCAGGCCTCAGATATCTGAGCACTAAATTTATCTTTTTTATAGTACTTCCTAGAAAACAGATGAGTCCCTTCTCACACTAGGCAGTGTCCGATGCATTCTACCCTGAGAACCACACCCTCTCGTTTATCCTCACTCTCATTTCTTTCCTGATTCCCTTTAACCTGCCACCTTCTCTGCTCTCAAGACAACACAGAAGGAAATCTATGATGTCTTAGCACAGGCTCTGCCAAACGCTCATCGGCAGGTGTTTGACAAAAGGCCCTCCCTGCATCCTGACAACCCAAGCCGTGAAAGACAGACGCGCCTGTCTTTGACATGAGATCTGTGCGGCGAGCTCTCAATCCGTTCTGAGGCTACCTGGATGACAAATGGATCTTGGCTGGCCAGGGGGCAGGAGGTGTCACATCTCCTTTAACTAACAAGTAATATGTCCAAAAGTAATTGTTAAAGAAAAAAATTGTCTCCCAGTTAGAAAATATGGTCAAATACACTTTCAAGTATTACCTCTTTTTTCCCCTCAAACTGTAAATAAGTAGAGGTGAGAAGATGAACTGCCTGCCACCAAAGCGGAGGATGGGTTGAAATTTTGTTTTTTATTGAGACTGCCTCTGCTCTTATTGAAGAGAGGCAGTTTCCTGTCTGGTTCAGGGGGCTTCACCAGGAAATGATGCTATTTGGGACTGTAAGTCCAAGTATTCTGAAACTAGGAGAAAAGAAAAACAACTTTTCCCTATATTTCACAGAGGGAAGGGGCCTCTCCCCCTCAGCCATTCTCAATTCAATAGTTCAGTAAAATTCATCCACAGTTTTTCTTATCTCAAGACCTCTCAAATCACAAAAGGACCAGAAGGTGAGCGTTAATCAAATTATTTGTGTGTTTCCTGATTTTTATAAACAGCATAAATGTTTCATTGTCAGTGCTAGGGACAGACTCAACCTCATCCCTCTTTAAAATGTAAAGGAGAATCCCTACAGCCAATGATTATCCAAAAAAGTAACACGTTCTTGATTGTTCCTTGACTGATTCCTTTTTATCACCTTCCTCTGGAGCCAACTGTCTCACTGCCAAGAGCATGGGGAAATCAGAACTAAATTAGCTGGAGGAATTAACAACCCAAATTGCCATTGGTGCCTCCTCTTCAAACTCCTATCTTGGCTATTTGTCTTCCTAGACTCCCACTCTTCTGGGAAAGGTGGAAAATTCTCAGGGTCAGATATGAATCACCACGGGGTGGGAGACTTCACCAAGGCTGGATGCCATATTGACCCTCAGGAGAGGCAGGTACAGGCTGGCACTACAGGGCTGGAGCTTGGAGAGTTGCAGAGTGGGTGCACAACACCAGAGTCAGAGGCAGGGTCAGGGAAAGATGCTAAAATCCAAGTGGACAAGAGTTTGTCTTGTGCTTTTGGTCAGTCTGCAGCAAAGACAACAGAAACATACAAGGCGTGGAAATTGGTGGTCTGGTGAATTTCCTTACATGGTGACTGATTATTCCAGGTCTCTGCCCCCATGGACACACTTTGTTCCTACATGCATTGCCACTGTCTGTCACAGTGATGGGTGTTCAAAAGCATTTGTTGAATAAATGAATGGTAGGCTCTTTGTGCAAAGAAAATTGGACTCTTCTGTGTGGACTCTACAAACTAATAGTCTACACTGTTACTATAGACTGTTACACTAACTGCATCTGACTCAATGAATTTGAATTAGTCAATTCAACAGTTCTGAGCATTTGGGGGAGGGTTTAATTTACAATCCATTCAGAAGATTTTTCAGTGATTGTGCTGGCAATTGCTGCCACTTTTCCCCATTTTGAGTCCTTTTGACAATGTTCATGCTTGCCTCCTCCAGCAAAAGCACTAATAAAGGAGAGTTATAAAGATGCAGTCACAGAGGTGAGGAGAGTTGAGAAAGTGACAAGGGCAAAGGCAAGCACGACACCAAAGCGTGTTTTCTTCTGGAGTCATCTGAGTGGCAGGTCTCGAAGCTCTAAGTATAGAGACCAGAGCAGTGAGAAAAGGACTGAGTGACAGTGTTAGTGTGATGCAGAGATAAGAATACAAATTTGGGAGGCACAGAACCTTTGGTTCAAATTCCAGCTCTGGGACCTAGGGCAGATGATTTAACTTTTTGTGCCTCCATTTTCTCATCTGTAGAGTGGGTGCAATAGTAGAAACCACCTCCGTAGGTAATGGGTATTAAATGGGCTGAAACATGCAGAGTTCACACATAGTTATTTGATACATTTGTTATAATAATTATTATTGCCACTTAGTATGTTATTAAGTATAAGGAACACACTGATTTACTCACAGCACTGGAGAGGGAGAGTAAGAATACAGTAAATTAGCACAATGATTATGGTTGGATGCCAATTCAGAGACACAGAAAAAAATAAAATGTGTATCTTCCAAAAGCAGAAATAAGACATTTAATCTCTTTGAGCCTAAGCTTTTATGTCTGCTCACAGGGCAGTTCTGAACGTCATCTGCGCTAGCATTTCATAGCACGGTGGCTGACAAAATGCATCTTCTTTTCTTGTGTCCCTCCCTCCTCTCATTTTTTTCCTTCTGGGAGGACAAAGACTAGAAGGTTGAAGGTGCTATGCAAGCCTCACAGGGAGCCTTGACCTTGTACCTACATTAGGTTTGCAAGAAAAGGAAAAGAGTCTAGCTGGTCAGCCACAGACAGTGGGCAAGGCTAGCCCTGCCTCATGGTGCCTGCCACCTGCTCTGCTCACGCCTTCTCCCCTCGGCTTGGGTCTTCCCGGTGTGGTTCCACCTGCATGAAGGCCAGCAGTGGAGTACCCATAGTGGGTTGCCAGAGAAGAGCACCCCAACATGGAAGACGGCAGGGGTGACCCCTCCTGAAATATGTGTGTCAGACGAGGGCCACCACTATGCTGACCCGCCTAGTACATGTCTTTACCTTCTTAGTCCTGCTGCCTTAAAAGAGCTCCCTCAGCCTACTTTCTGAGGATGCTCATCAGCCCAGAAGGCTTTTGTTAAATATGTCTTTGCCTAGCTGGAATTACGGAAAACAGAAACACACCCACCCACATATATTTCTGTAACACACACACAGTGCTCGTTCTGTGCCAGGCACGAAGTGTCTCAGAAATAGTGACTCATTTACTCCTCATAACAAAACTATGCAGTAAAAACTATAATTATCCCATATTTATAGTAAAATAAAGGCATAAAGAGGTTAATAACTTGCCCGGTGTCACAAGCTTGCAAGAGGAGGGGTCAGGATTTGAACCCAGGCCTTCTGACTCCAGAATCTTGGCTTTTAAACACCCTGATATTCTACTTTAAAAGCACAAATAACCCCACCAACCCCATTATAACAGGCCCCGCTAATTACTTTCCCTCCTTCTGATCCCTTCCAATCCCAGTGAAGAATCACTGCATTCTCAGAGAGTTCTTACACCAAAAGCCCATAAACAAAGATGGCACATATTTAGATAACATATATTAACGGGATAAGGAAAAATATAGATGTGAATATCGAGACCAAGGGCTGACATGTTAAAAAGGGAAGTAGGGAGACACAAAAGGCATTTCCGGTCGTTTTGATGACAACATGGCGCTGGTATATCATGGGGCAGGGCCAGGAATCCTGGATACCCTACAGTGTGCAGTACAAAGACGTGTACAGCCCCAGATGCTAATGGTGCCTGAGTCAGGTGACACAGGGCATGACCTGAAGATGAAAACGAACCACCAGAAAGAACAAGAGTCCCTCCCTTGCCACCGAGAAGTAATGCTCTAATGTCTCCAGCTGGCTGGTGTGAGCAGGAATCATCCTTTGGGTAGGGTGGGGATGTTGGAAGGTTCCCCTGCGGTACCCTTCAGCACACGATAACCTGTCTGCTGCAGAATCCACAAACTGCCCCGGGATTGTCAGAAGGTTCACTAATGAGCTGTGGTGAGGCTGGATAAAGCTTTCAAACGAATGATGTTTGTAAAATTATATTAATAACAATGCTCTATCCCAGTGGGGAACAGAATTATTCCTAGGGTTTATGCTGTGGTTTGTAAAATGCTACAGCTGCAAATGGATGAAACATGCAGCCTAAACCTGCAGTGGGATTGTTTGCAGGCTGAGATTTAAAAGACCTCTCCATTTGTGACCTCCGACCCAGTAATTCCACTTCTAGAACTCCAAGTATGTCAAAAGAAGGAAAAAGAGCCATGCAGAAAGATGTTCATCTCAGCATTATTTATCAAAGCAAAGAACTGGATACCACCCAAAGGCTGAGTAATAAGGGGGATGTTAAGCAAACTTTGGTACAACTATATGATGAAGTGCTTCCAGCCAATTAAAAAAAAAACCCCTACCAAGAGTTTTCAACAATACGAGGAAATCGTTCTGCATAGTGTTAAGTAAAACCACAGGATACAAAATTATGTCACCTGACCTTTGACTCAGAAATCCCATCTGTCCTACAAAATTAAAACCAGCAGTATATAATAACATATATTGCTGTAGTATTCATAAGGGCTAAAACAACAATAATATCAAAATTGAAAAGAAATGGAATGCCCATAAACAGAGGAATGATTGATTTAATTAGGGCTACTCCACAGCACAGAGCAGTATGCAAGCATTTTTAAAAATTTTTGTTTGATCTATACGTGTTCCGTATGTCTTGACCAAATAAAGCAAGTTTTAAAATAATGGACAAAATATTACGCTATTAAGTCACATACATTCCACTCCTATAGTGCATGTATAATCTGCATGTTTGCACGGTCACAGAAGGTCCAAAATTGCCACTTAGCAAAGGGAAGAGGTAGAGCATAAATTACGAGCGTTTTCTTCTTATATATTCATATTGTTTGACTTATTTAAATGAGCATGTATTAACTTAATAATGTAAAAAATCTAATACGCTAAAAAATCAGACATACAATATGATCTCAACTGTATTAAAATGCATGTGCCTGGAATAGGGAAAAAGACCAGACACAAATGTCCTTGTATGTAGCAGTGGTTATTATTAAGTATTGGAATTAGAAACAGTAGCAATTTTGTCAAGGTTTCTTGCATTTTCCTAGTTTTTCATTTTGTATATCTATATTAGGTTTCTATTCAGAGTGGATAAATGGATTGATGAATGGATGGATGGATGGATAGATGAATAGATATACACAGACAGATAGACAGGGAGACAAGAAAGGAATGAAGAAATGGAGGGAGGGAGGGAGAAAGAGAGAGAGAAGAGAGAGAAAGAAGAAGAGAAAAAGAAAGAAGCAAATTAAGCAATTGAATGAATGACTGACCTTCCTTTTCTCTTTCCACTTCTTCAGGGTTTCTAAGGTTCCTATTTCCCCAATTCCTCCTGCCCCTATCTCCTTCCCACATTTGAGGGTCCACAAGGAGGCTCACGAAGACACACAGCTGAGCCTGGTTACAGAGGCAGCACCATCACCACCCCAGGCTTTATGTCCATTTTATAATGGGTGAAACCCTCTGGAATTAATATCTGATGAAGAAATAAACCTGTTAACGGATAGATTTATAGTATTCAAATCACTATTGATCCATTCAGTACACAACTAATAAAAAGCTTCCTTGCGTGACCTTCCACCTTGTGCACACTTAAGCAAATTATCTGTAATAAACAAGTATTATAAGGACCCAAGGAAAATGTCAGCCTATAAATTACTGATCTCTCTCTCTCTCCTTCTTTGTCTGGAACTAGAAGTTAGGCACCAGCGTCGTTTTGATGTACCCGTGACCAAGACTCTGGATTCCCCAGAGTCTCTTCTAACATAGCAAAGATTCTTTCTTGTTGAACTGGGCAAAAGTGCACAATAGAATCTCTCAAAAAGCAACTCAGTGGAAACCTCAAGACAACAACCATCTTCTATGGGATAAGGGGAAAAAAAAAACCTGGTCTAGGAATCCAGTAACATGGACTTAAGTCTTGTATGTAAACTTCATCACCTGTGTGTCCTTGGACAAGTCACTTCACATCTATGCTGTAATTCCAACCTAAATCAAATGTGTTCATAGGGTACTTAGACTCATTTGGTTAAGTTCCATGACAGCTGCTGAAATGTTTAAAAACAGCTTATACATCTCCATTACACATCCCAAGGAGTTAAGGGATTCAAGGTTGAGATCTTTCAGTCCTTTCCCATTCAAACATCTACTGGATTCACTGAGCCTGGCCATACCCAACTAAAGAAGGATCTGGTAAAGAAAGATCAGGTAATAGATTTCCAGTGGCTCAAATACAATGGAAGGGAAGCTCTGCTCCACATGGTCACTCAAGGAACCAGCCAGAAGCTACATTGCTTTCCACACCTAGATTCTAACATCATTCTGAATGTTGCCTTCATTTTAGCTAGGCTGAAGGAAAAACAAAAACAAAAGCATGAAGGATTGCATGTTTGCAGGTTTTCCCTTGGTTCGGACTGGAGCTGCCAGGCGTCACATACTGCATTAGTTAGGATTCCATTAGTTGGTCAGGCATTACTGCTGGGGAGGGTGGAAAGTGTACCCAAGAAGTCTGCCTAGGAATAAGGCGTGATTTGCTAAGAGTACCTCTCATGGCTGGTTTCAGAGGAAACATAAAAATGGAAAAATGTTGTAATCGGTTTTTATGTTCATTCACCACCCTGGTCCAAGTCAAGTAAGCATTGCTTACCTGGCATTTAGACACGTTGTTTTACATCTCTGAGTTTAATGCTACACTTTTGGAAGACAGGACTTTTAATTATGTCCCTTCCAGGTTTTGTGAGTTTAAATGAGATGATGAGTTTCTGGTAGTTCCCCCATGTGTCCTTAGCAGGACCTTGGTCCCCTAACTCTTGACCTCCAGGCTCACAGAATATTGCTGAGGCAGGGCCAGGTTTAGCACAGTAGACTGATTCTTCTCACTGCTGCATTTACCTTGCAGGAGTATGATAAACTCACATTTCCCTAGAAGGTCCTGCATAGTCAATGGGAAATATAATACTCAGTCTTCTAACTAAACAGCTCTCTGTGCCACCATGAAGTTATTTCTTAAGTGAAGTACTTCAAGATATATTAAACAAAAAAAATTGTTTCTATTATTCAAAAGAAAGCAAAGAGGAAAAAAATTGTAGTTGGAAACTGTCATAAAATTAGTCGACCAAACGTTTTTGGTAATATTCTCCCATCCAGGAAGAGCATTAGGTAGGCACATCCCATACCTTTGGAAGACAAGAGCTACTTAAAAATGGACTACGGATTCTTCGAAGATTGGAGAGATGAAATTTTTAATATGTAAAACAGGAATCAGGCTGGGTGTGGTGGCTCTCAACTGTAATTCTAGCACTTTGAGAGGTCGAGGCGGGAGGATCACTTGAGCTCAGGAGTTTGAGACCAGCCTGGACAACACAGTGAGACCTTGTCTCTACAAAAAATTTAGAAAATTAGCCAGGCATGGTGGTGCTCACCTGTCATCCAGCTACTCGGGTGGCTAAGGCAAGAAGACTGCTTGATCCCAGGAGGTTGAAGCTGTAGTGAGCTGTGACCGCACCACTGCACTCCAGCCTGGGTGACACAGTGAGACCCTATCTCAATCAATAATATTAACTAATTAATAAAACAGGGATCAGCAAACTGCAGCCCATGGGTCAAATCCTGCCCACTGTTTTTTGTTTTTTGTAAATAAAACTATTAGCAAATAGTCACTTGTTCATTTGTGTATTGTCCATGGTTGTTTTGCACTATGATAGTGCTATGGTCTGAAGGTTTGCATCCTCAAAAAATTCAAGCGTTGAAAAGGAATCTCCAATGTGATAATATTAGAAGATAGGGCCTTTGAAAGGTGATTAGATCACAAGAGTGGATTTGTGCCTTTCTAAAAGAAGCCCCAGAGAGCTGCTTTATCCCCTCCCACTAAGTTGACACAGCAAGAAGTCATCATCTATGAGCCAGGGAACGAGCCCTCAACAGAAGCTGAATCTGCCGTTGCTTTGCTCTTGGACTTCCCAGGCTCCAGAACTTTAAGAATTACATTTCTGTTATTTATAAGCTACCTAGTTTATGGTATCTGTTATAGCAGCCTGAACAAAGTAAGGAAAATGGTAACATTTAGTACTTTTGACACAGGCCCTATGGTCCACAAAGCCTAAAATATTTACTATCTGTCCCTTTTCAGAAAGTCTGCTGACCCTTTTTGTAAAAGAATAAGTAAGGCTGGGACTACTGAATATGGCTCAAATGTAAGTGCCAAGCATGAGCCAGAACTGAACACACATTGAGAAACCTTAGTCCAAATAAAGTGGGTTTTCAGCTGATGCTCCCACTTTTTTCCCCCACTCCATCACCCATTTTCAAATAAAAGAGCCGGTGAATTGATTAGAGACAAGAGAATTATTGAAAGCTGGAAGGAGAGGGATTTGAGGGATCTGTAATGACCCCATAAAAGCTTTGTTGGGTTGCTTTTATGAGCCTGACCATAAGAGGTTAGCGGAAGTGTGTAAAAGCCTTGCCTTTTGGATAAATGCATATCCAAACCCAGCCACGGAGGGAGAGTGGAAAAAAGGGAAATAAATGACAAGTACAGTACTTTAACAGGGAAAATTTCCTCCGAAACGAAGCGAGCAATGAGGCCAGGCGAGGAATAAATGGTGTAGAAATGACAGTCGCTTTTCAGTCGGCCACAACGGCACTCGCGGCTGATAAGATCCAGCATGTGTCAGTTGCCACGTCTCTCTTTTCACACTTCAATGTGAACTTCACAGCAAAAGGGGAACCGGAGGCAGCGAAGGGGAAAACAGTGCCTCAGAAGGACTTGTGCACTGAGTGTGAAGCCATTTCAATTTTATATTCGAAAGGACTTTGTAGGTGATCCCATGAATGCAATTATGCCCACCTAATAAAAGCAACATATGCTAAGACAATTAAAAGATTTTATTATACATCTATTCATTGTACTCCATTTTCAGCAGGAGGGGTGGAAACTGATGAGAGGGAAAGGGTGCATTTCACAGGAAGGGGAGCCAAAGTCGGCCTGGATTATGCCAGTGGGGAAATAAATGGATGATGATATACTTTTCAAATAAAGATGAATTACTATATTACTCTTTTCCAGGGGTCTTTTTGCCTTACAAATGCCAAGGCTCAGGTTTCCTATGACTCTATATTATGAGAAAATACAGCTGAACATACCACTATGCCTCCTTAAAGCCCTCGGTGTTTTGTATTCTATCATAAAATGAAGACCTCCAAACTATGCCAGAAAGAAAAAGACATGTCCATAGATTCAAAGTTTAATGACATGAAGACACACAGACATCAGTTTAACTTTCTCACATCCATACATTCTATGTATATTTATCAGGGACCAAAGAGAAGACTCAAGTTTATACCAGAGACTGCAGATGCTAATGGGGAGAAAACTGTGTGTATCCTCAAGTAGCTCCTGTGACAGACTGCCAGCTTCTTAACAAAAATCCATTTGCTCTTCTTCCTGAGCAAAGGGCTAGAGGATATTTGACATCCTACTTTTCAGTGGGAGATAGCCATGTGACTAGTGCTTACCAATAGAATGAGGTTAAGGCTGGTAAGAAATACCAGATGACTGGATGCAGATATCAGCAGGGAGAATGGAACCACTAAGTGGCTGCAGCCTGGATCCCTGAGTCACTTTGTGGAACGTAGCTGCCATTGGCCAGGACTACCCACTTATGTTGCTTTCTGTGTTAGAAATCCCCCTTTGGGGGTTTCAGCTATAATGCATTTTGGGGGCTATTTCTTACTGTAGCTCAGCCTATCCTAACTAATACATTTGCAACACAGGTGTGCAAACAATCCATATAGGGGTCACTTCAAACTGTAACAGCTGCTCTAATGTGCAGCTTAGGGAATGGAGACAAAGGGAAAATCCAGTTTCATAGAGCAGGTAACATTTCTGCTAAAATTCAAAGGCATGAAGCTAAGGAATTTGACAGGCAAGGGTGGAGGCAGGAATGGAACTCAGGTAGAGATTACAGCATGACCAAAAGCTCAGAGGTGTGAAAGGATGTGGCTGTTAGTGCAATCATGAGTAATTAGGGGAGTGGGGAGCAGGATGTGTGGGAGGAAGGAGTGAGACAAAAAGGGCACATTGGGACCAAACAGAGTTGGAGCTCCCATGGGAATGTGTAAGTCGTATGAGTAACTCTGAAAGGATCTTTTTTGTTAAACATCGGTGCCAGGACACAGAACAGGCACACAGGCCTGCCTCTAATGCTAACATCCTTCATCAGAATCAGAGCACGTCCTCATCACAGCTGAGTTAGACACAGTCCATGGAAGGTCAGGAGCCCTATGAACTACCTACATTTTCCACTCCCTGGGATTCTTTCACCCAGGAATGAAGATCAAAACAAGGACAAGTGAGAAATCTACCTAGTAATATCCACGGAGCTAATCACAGACACAGATTGTCACGTGATTCCTGCTAAAGAGAGTCAGACTGACCAGAGCCACAGCTTTGTGGCCGACCTGGTGGCCATGTGTAAACATGAACAAAGCTCATCCAAAATATATTTAAAACCCACACCCAGAAGTCTTAGATACCTTACAGTAAGTGAAAAGGTCAGTCTTTAAGCTCCAGAGTATATAGGCTTTCTTATGTTGAATAAAGTTGGATTTCAAACTGATCTGTAACATTTCATCACTGAGAAGCACTTCAGCAATTTTCAAATGCCTTCGTTCAATTCAAGCAACTAGAATGAGGCATATTAAAAATTAGCGCCATTAAGGCAGAGTTGTTCAACTTTTATGGGGTCATAGCTAGACCCAGTAGGTTGCCCCAAATCCCAAACACTAGAGAAGTGATCTGCACAGTTGATGTGGTTGTACTGGCAGAGATTGGTGGGATAATGAGAGGGAGGTTAGAAGTTAATAAGACACGGTATGCTGAGGGAGAGAACGCGTGCATGTTGATATAAGACACATCCAGGTAAGAATACCAAGTCCTCAGGGTTACTGCTAATATTAGATGGAATACATTTTGCAAAATGACAACCATTTATGCAAGATGGCATCTAGTAAAGGCTCAATAAGTGAAGCTACTTTATTCATCATCTTTTTACTCTTAATTAGTATTAATATTTCTGTTAAAGTTATCAAATATATACTTATTAGCTTCTAAAATTAACCATGAGTACTGCTCACTCATATTCTAAAAGAACCATCTAGGCTTCATTTCACCTCAGTGCTTAGGGCGGACATAGAAATTCACTGGACATCAGTCCCTCTTAATTTTTGTTTTTGAGATGGAGTTTCACTCTTGTTGCCCAGGCTGGAGTGCAATGGTGCGATCTCGGCTCACTGAAACCTCTGTCTCCCAGGTTCAAGTGATTTTCCTGCCTCAGGCCCAGAGTAGCTGGGATTATAGGCATGCGCCACCACGCCTGGCTAATTTTTGTATTTTTAGTAGAGACGGGGTTTCACTATGTTGGTCAAGCTAATCTCAAACTCCTGACCTCAGGTGATCCACCTGCCTCAGCCTCCCAAAGAGCTGGGATTACAGGCGTGAGCCACCACACCCGGCTAGTCCCTTCTTAATCTTGAAGGATTTGCTGTAACTTGTCTGGCCAAGGCACTAATTATTGTATTTGGGGGAAAAGATAATTTTTCAGTAACTGCCTGACAGGTAAGGAAACAGAAACAAAGTGTACAGCATTGGTGGCCAAGAGGCATTTGCCACTGAAAACTGGGCTGAGGGAAGCTTGCTTTATCAACCTGTCTACAATACGTGTCCCGGTATCGTCACTAACCTGCCTCTCAGGACCTTTCACTCTACAAAGCCATGGGAACCAAGCCCTCACAAGATCAAGGTCAAATAAACATTCTGACTGTATGTGAGCACCACTTACAATTGCGTATCTTGAAAATACAGTATCCTGCCAGTTTATAAGCTGCCACAGATTTCACTAGGGAGGCATTTTAAGTTAGACATTTTCAAATTCTAAAGGCTGTGCAACACATTAAACACTTTGAAAAGTGAAAAAAAGTATCTATGTAGATAATATATCACCCACCGTCCTCTCCCCCATCCATCTTTCTTTTAATATAGTTCTAGTCAGAGAGTATCTCTCATTTTGAACCCCACTTTGTCATTAAACCTTTTATCATAAGTATTTTTTCCAACTGTCATTTTATTTTAGTGGCTACCTAGTATTCCATTAAGTGAATATACTATGATTTATGGAATCATTCACCTGCTGTTGAACCTTCAGGTTGATTCTAAGGTTTCACTAGGTGGGTTTTTTTTTTTTCTTCAAATTTTTCAAGAGAAAGGCTTTATTTGATAGGAAATAGTTATTTCCAGTGGCTTTGACTGTGAGTGTTGTGAGCTACAGTCTCTTTTTGTGTGGCTGAAGACTTATCAAGGGAAACTGCTTCTCAGGCCATCAGAAGCCACCAGTTCAACTGCTTGCTTAGAACCACAGTGAGCTTCTGGTCCCAGTCTCTGCCTGTTTGCTCACTTGGGTCATGCACGTGGGTGTGTGAAAGAGACCCATGTGGGCCATCCTAAGAATCACATATCTGCACCAATGGGTTACTGAGTTGTACCCCAAACATACAAAGTGTTTTTACGTCTCTAAGATGGCACATGGCACATGGCACATGGACATGCAGGGTTCCCTTCCTGTGGAATGTGCCACTCTCACACCCCTCAGGAGGCCCAGGAGGGGAGCAGGTGATGTGAACCGAAAGGGTTCACTCTGCAGTGACGTAGATGCCTATGGACACAGGCCCAGAGACATGGGCACACATGTGTGTCAAATGTGATTAACAATGGATTTTATGTTGGGAAAGATTCTTCTGCAGAGAATCCTGGAGGTCTTTCCAATGCAATGAAATGGATTCACAGAGGCATTTATTTACTTATTTAGAGATGGGGTCTTGCTCTGTCACACAGCCTGGAGTGCAGTGGCACCATCATGGTTCACTGCAGCCTTGACGTCCCAGGCTCAAGCAATCTTCCTGCCTCAGCCCCCTGAGTAGCTGGGACTACAGGCGCACACCACTACACCTGGCATTTTTTTTTTTTTCTTTTTGCAGGTAGTCTATATTGCCCTGACTGGTCTCAAACTTCTAGGCTCAAGTGATCCTCTCATCTTGGCCTCCCAGAGTGCTGGAATTACAGGCGTGAGCCACCATAACTGGCCGTGAAGGCATTTAGGTTACAATTTTATATTTCCATGGCCTTTTTACACACACACATACGTGCGCGTGCACACAAACAAAAAAACACCTCACAGTTTGTCTTTGCCATTGGTAGTGAGATCACCAGATTCCGAGGGAGGGCAAAAACACACTCCTAAAGAGGCTCCACAGGTTCTTTCCCAGAGTAGACATGCTGGATGCAATTCATGCAGCCACTCAGTGAGGAGGAGCAAACATTTATGTAGGGCCTACTCTGAGCCAGACACAGGGCTCGGGACTACAGGTACCAAGATAAGTGGTTGCTGCTCTTGAGTTTGCAGCCCAGAGCAGAAACACAAGGCATTGAAGTGACTCAGATACAGGTTTAAAAGGGCTGCCTGCTCTGAAATCATGGATCTTTGACCAAATCTGAAGTCCGCGCTTCCTGCACGAAAGCAGCTGCATTTAATACATTCCTACGTGCCAAGTGCCATGCAAAGCTGTGGGATATACACAGTTCCTGCTCCCTAAGGCTCAGTGCCAAGTGGGGAAATAAAACAAGGGCATTATTTTGGATATAATTAAGGAAATGAGAGAAGTTCATGGGGCGTACAACTAACCACCAGGAACCCAAGAAAATGTAGTTCCTGGCCTCCACCTGCTACATGGTGACAGAGGACAGTCACGTGCTAACACAGGGGAGGATCCCAACTTGCCCTCGCTCCACAGGCTTCTGCAGGAGCTCCGTGTTCCTGAGAGTCAGGATGACCTGTCTGACTCATGGCAAACTGCCAACTGCATCTGAAACCCAAGCTTATGCGTATATCGAAATGCAGGAAGCCATCTTAAAAGGATGCACTAATTAGCTTCCTGGGATTTCAGATTTTAAAAGCTTCTGTGATCATATTTGTTTTGGTAATTTTTTTTTTTATTGAAAAGGATTCCGAAGATTGATTCTGCTGTCAGGACATCAGAAAACAAAACAAACAAAAAATAAGACAATGAACTTTACTCGTTTCCATAGCGAAGTGCTTTCAACGTGAATGAAGAAAGAACATCTGCTGATTGGATGATAAAAAAGCAAAATGGCATTAAAAGGCCATGATGCACAGTGAAGAACCAGTCTCCCTTGGGTGGCTGGACTCAACACTGAGATACTCTTGAAGAGCATTTGTAAGCCCACTGTGAAATCAGCACCCACTGTTAGGGGACCTGGGGGCTACCATTCTTATTTCAAATTAAAACAGCAGCAAAAAAGGAATGTTTAAATTCTGGGTAGCAAACTGATGTGAAAGATGACACCGACAAAAAACTTCTTATAAACCACCAACCACTGTTTTCATTAAAAATGGAGAGAGCTAATAATGGAAAGGGTGTATATGATAATTATATTTGTTCAGTGTGGGAAATAAATAACAACTATAGTGCTACACTATTAAGAGAGTATGTAATCATGTTATTAGATATGTCCTATAATTGAAAGCCATTATCAGAATACTTCCTTATAGAGTTAATTCCTCCTCTGAGCAACCCCTAAACCTCGTCTACATTTTCCCCGGGTGTCCCTATGTTGTAATTATCTGTCGCTATGTGTGTCTCCCAAGTCAGTGTGTGATATCCAAGGCAACTCCTGCAAGCATTCCATCCCTCTCACTCTCACGTGCCTAGCACTGGGTCAGCAAATAATCACCACTGAATAAACATAGTTCCTCTTAAAGTTCACTTCTCTAGGCTGACTAATCCTTTGGTCTATTCTTGGAAACATTTCCCAACATCTCACATTTTTCTTAGATTGGGGAGTGTGCATGCAGGAATATTTAGATAAGTCAATGTATTAAAAATTTGTAGGCAAGGCACTAATAATCAGCACACAGGAATCCACGAAGGTTTGGCCAAAGTTGATGAAGAATCACGAGCTATCACCCTCAAACCTGGAAAGACCTCATCTCCTGCTTAAATTTCTTTAAAAAAGGATGACCTTGCAAATTACCTCCTTGTAAATGTAACTTCTAAATTTAGAAACATACAGAAAAAGAAAAAAAAATCATGAATTGAGCTTGCAACATCTTAAAGAGCGCATTTACTGTAAAAAAAAATAGAAGTAACTCTTGACTGTGAAAGTGAGTTCCATTTTTTAATTTGTGTGGTTTAAGTAAAAAATTTTTATTTTCTACAATAGAATCAAGCAATCATTTGCTCCTAGAGAAGTAATTTACAGTCAGATTTCATTTTCTTAATCTGGCATAATTTAGGGTATGAAACTCATTGATTTATGAGAGTGGTACCATTTTTAATCCAAAGATAACATTAAGTGGTCTTAACAGTTGTATTGCAGGATGCTCCCTATAAGAAAATGTATTAGGAGGCAAAAGAGGAAAGTGCTTCTGGAGTCAGACCTGGGTCAAATTCCATCTTTGCTACTTCCTAGCTGGGGGACCTTGCATAGATCACGTAGCTTCTCTGATCCTCTATTTCCTCAACTATAAATTGGAGATGACACTATCAGTTTTGTGGTGAGGATTAAATGAGATGATGTTTGTAAGGAGAAATGTGCAAAAGGAACATAGGACATTCTACCGGGAATCATTTCCACTGGAAAAACATGGTTAGACTGGGTTATTGAAGGACATGATAGCAACTTTTCCAGAGATGATGAAAAATACTCCTGTATTTTCACCAGACATGTTAGGAGATCCTAACTTGTTTGAGCTGGTTGGCGCTCATTATAAAATCTCCTTTTAGGAGGGGTAATGAAGGTGTCCTAAAGATTGCAATGCCCTGCAGGAGAGCACCCAAGCCTGGTCAACAGAGCCAGTTCTGCTGAGCCACTGTGCATGGCCATCAACATAGAGGGTTGTTTTTTTCCATCTTGATTTCTGGGCCCATCAAGCCCGCTGTAAGAACTTCCCTGCAATACAGCAATCTCAAACCAGACTTTTCCCACTATTTAGAGTCAGGAAAAACGTCTGGGGAGGAAAAGGGTAGTCCCTAGAGTGACAAAAGGAGGCTGTGGCAAGGTTGGGCACTGGCGATCCCAGCCATCCTGCCCACCCACCCATTTGGCAGGTCCATTCTAAACTGCAATTTGTCTTGGACAACCTACCTTCCTAGTTGTTGGTTAGGGCTTGTGCCATCATTTCTGTCTTTAGCTATTTGTGTGAAGCAGGAAGCACATTCTCAAAATTCCTCTTCCCCATCCTTGATTCTGGGTGCTGGGGACTTTACCCTGGCTTTAAAAGGACAGCCAGGAGGTGGCTGAAAGGAAATGCAAAAAAGGCTTACAGGCCCAGCTTTTAAGAATTCCAAGAATAGTGCTCAGTGAGACCCTCTGCAGCTGCAGGGAAGCACTGCATTTCTCCAAGTTCCTCCAACTTGCAGATGAAGACGTGACAGGCAGCCACGCAGTTGTTGTGGTTTATGCAGTCATGGCCCTCTGGGGCTTGATCTTGTGATCAAAGTCCTTTGTGCTTTCTAACACATCACAAGTCTCAGACATTTGATGTGCTAAAAACAAACTACTGTCTAGAGTCAGAAAAACCTGGAGCCAAATGCCCCTGTCTCTGAAATGGGAGACTTTGGACATGTTATTTAATGTTTCAAGTCTTGGTTTCCTCCTCTCTACCATGGGCCAAATTTGTTGACTTTTCAGAATTGTGAAGTGGAGGATTAAGTGGGATCATGTTTATAAAACAGCTAGCACACGCCTTGCCCGTATTAATTTGTATCTAATAGATTCTCCATAACTTTCACTTTAAAGGGGTGAAAAGATTTTTAAGGAAGCTCCGGAATCAAGATTTTTACAGTGGGCCAGTTTTCAAAGTGAGATAGTTTGTATAAGGAAAACCTTTAACTTTCTAAAGGGATTTTTCCCATGCAAAAGTTTTTTGTTTTAAAAAATGTTAAGGAACTCGAGGCCACAGCTGATGGAGGTGTGGAGAGAGTGAATTCTGGTCTCAACTGGATCTCAGCTGGATACAAACAAGCTCCGGGATCTTGGGAAACTGGAATGACTTTCCTGGGACTTGGTTTACCCCTCCCCCTTGCCCAGCTTTCCTCCTCTTCCCTGAGGGGCTTCACAAAAGCCAGGTAAGAGCCTAGAGGTGAAAGTACCTGGAAATTCTAGTCGACAAGTGTAGATGGCATAATTATCACTCTCTTGCCTCCCTCCACATTTCTAGGCCCCCCATTGTCCCTTCCTGGGTAATATGGAGCTTCAGAGGTGTGGGCAGGGAGGCGGGGAGAGACTGAAATAACAGGGACTGGATGCCTGCCAGATATTTCAGTTGCACATGCACAACTTGAGTAAGTCCCTGGGGGTTGATTATAGTTACCTGAGAACACTCCTTAACTCTTTCTGCAGAAATGAACTTAATGAAAAGCCTAGTGCCTTAGAACACATCCAGAAGTATTAAAAGCAGAGATTTTCTGTAAAATGGTACAGGCAGCCACTGTGGATAGCAGTTTGTCAGTTCATCAAAAAGTTAAACCTAGACTGATCATATGACCCAGCAATTCCACCCCTAAGTATATACCCAAGAAAAGTGAGAACATGTCCACACAGAAACTTGTATACAAATGTTTATGGCAACACAAGTCATTATACCTAGAAGGCGGAAACAACCCAAATGTCCATCAATGGATGAACAGATAAACAAGATGTGGTATATCCATGCAGTGGAATACTATGCAGCCATAAAAAAGAATAAAGTACTGACACATGCCACAACTTAGACAAGCCTTGGAAACAGCATGCTAAGTGAACGGAGCTAGACACAAAAGGTCACATATTCTTTGATTCCTTTTATGTGGTATACCCAGAATAGGCAAATCCACAGAGACCAAAAGCAGAGAAGTTGGAAGAAGGGAATGGGGCAGTGATGACTTTATGTGTATGCTTTTCTGGGGTGATGACAAAGTTTTGAAACTAAAAAGAGGTGACGGTGGCATAACACTGAGTTCACTAAATGCCACTGAAGTGTACACTTTAAAATGGTTAACTGTATATTACGTGAATTTCATCTCAACTAAAACAATGTTTGCAGGGAAACGAAACAAAACAAGGATACAAGGGTTTTTGAAGTCATTGTGGCCTGAATTTGAATCTCATCTCTGTCTTATTTGACTTGGATAACCTTGGGCAAGTGACTTGGGCACTGTGGGCATTCGCTTCGCTGCCTTAAGCTGATGGGAATTACGATGCGTGGAGGCCATGGAGCATTCCAGGAGACTCTGGAAGCAAAACATCTAGTGCAGGTCAGTGCATGATGGACACACCAGAGATGCCAGCTCCTTACCTCCCATTCCTTCACTAAATGTCTCCCTGTCTCCAAGGTCAGAGCCATCTGAGCCCTCAGTGTCATGGAGGGAAACTACACACTACAGAAAAAAACCAAATACTAAGAATAATATAATAATCACACTTATACTCACCACTCAGAAGTTATTAGCATTTTGGAATTGTTAGCATTTTGTCATATTTGCTTCTTTGCTAATTTTTTAAAATAGTGAAATAAAATATTTCTGATGGCCGGGCATGGTGGTTCATGCCTGTTATCCCAGCATTTTGGGAGGCCGAGGTGGGTGGATTGCTCGAGCACATGAGTTCCAGATCAGCTTGGCCAACATGGCAAAACCCCGTCTCTAATAAAATACAAAAAAATTAGCCGGCCGTGGTAGCACACACCTGTAATCACAGCTACTCAGGAGGCTGACGCATGAGAATTGTTTGAACCTGGGAGGTGGAGGTTGCAGAGAGTAGAGATCAGGCCATGCACTCCAGCCTGGATGACACAGCAAGGCTCTGTCTCAAAAAAAAATAATTATTATATATATGATGAAGTTGAAATTTACCGAGTGTTGTATACTTAGCTTAATGTCTCTTCTGAACAAATAAGCAAGTTCACTAAAGAATTAATACATGGAAAAATAGTTTATTTGTTCAACTGGTCTTTATTCAGGGCCTACTATTAACAAGATATATACTAAAGAATGCAAACACAGTGTTAAAGAGCTTCATTGTAATGAATAATCTGAGCAGGTGCTGGAAGTGGTAGTTCAGCGGTCTTGAGGGACAGTAGTCACCATGTGCCTTGGTTAGCTCATTCTATTAAATGAAATTGGTAGTTTGCTTCCTAAACTTGGATTGCAGTTAACCAGCACAACTCGAAAAATAAGTCTACCTGACATAGTCAATTCAATTGTTAGCTACCTAACAATTGTGCTGTTAGGAAATGTTGAAAATGCGGACTACTGCCCGTATGGTGTGGTTCTGAACTCTCGTTGAAAAATAGGATGGTCTATGAAAGTACACAGTGGCTCTGTGACAAAGGAGGGAGGATTTATCATTGGAATGAACTAAAGAGGAGGCAAAAGGGAAGAAAAGCTGCAAACTAAGAAGGATTTAAAACACAATCTTTGTGGTGGAAATAATGTAATTCCATCCTCCTGTGTCAGAGAAATTAAGGCCTGGAAAAGCCCTGGCTGAAACACCCAGGTTGCTGAGTTGGGAGTGAGGGGAATGAGGTGGGGAGGCAACTCAGTGCTCTGCCTCCAGAAGTGATTGAAGTCAATTTCTTTATAATTTCATGTTTTCCTAAAAACAAGATGATTTGTTTGCACTATTAAAAAAAGTCAAGAATGGACTTCGGCAATACCCCAACTTGTCTGAAGACTACGCTGGGAGGTAAAGCTGGTCTATGCTGCTGGGACGCAGCCTTTTTAAAGGAGATCACTGTACCTGAAATGCAGATAGTTATGAAAATGACATTAATTTGCTTAGACCGAAAGATTTTCACAGGAGAGCAACTACCAGAAAACATTATGAAAATGTCTGAGAGGGCTGGTAATTGAGTTGATTAGTATGACCTTGGTTATGAAGGTAATAGAAGAGGGACGGGTGCTTAGACTGAGTTATAACCCTGTTCCCGGTTCGGCGACCGAGTGAGGGATGTAATTTGTTCAGGCTGACTCGGAGAAGCCAAGCCTGCCTGTGACAAAGTAATGCTTTGACTAGCCGAGCTTGGCCTGTGCTTTTCACCCTGACAGAGTAAACAGGACAGAGTCAAATAAGAAATCATGGACTGGGTTTGTGTGCTACTTCTCTGCGTAAAACCAGCTGTAGGCAGAATCTTCTGGACAATGAGTCCTGAGAAGCACGCTTTCACTGCCTCTGAACTAGCAAAGAGGGAACAGAATACAACTGCACCCCAGCTGAAACAACACAAAACAAAACACCAACATAAACAAAGAATAAACATCCCAAGGAGGTCTATGCTGAATTTGCTCTGATTCTATTTTTCGTATTTTTTTATAGACATTTATGAAGCAATATGCTACCGGCTGCAGTGGGAAATTTAGCTGCATTAATCATAAGAAAGGATTCCATGTCTGGCTCTAAAGCCCATGTTGTTTCCACGACACCTGCTTCAAACAGGCAAGTTTCCCTCTGTAACATATACGCACCCATGTGTGCACACACACATGAAATTGACCTCCGCAATGGCAAGGTCATTGGATGCCGGAAGCCGTTACCATGAGTATATGAGGTCACTAGCATTGTAACTACTTCTACAAAAGTTCATGTCCAGGGAGATTTATCTAGTTTTTTTTTTTTTTTTCCTTCGTTTTAATCTGTGAAGACCTTCCATATCAAGTTTACCCTAGGAAAGAGATCTTACATGGAACGTAGGATAAGTGATACTTCAGAAACAACTATGGTCCTCCCAGAGACCCTCAAATAGAGGTTAAAAGTCTATACATAAGGGTGTGGAACATTTTACACTTACTGTTTATACATGAATTAGAGAGTTGTACTGGGTGAATAACAACAGGGTATCTTTATGCACACTTTGCCTCTTCTCTGTGGTGTGTGGGTTTGCCTGGTTTGTGTTTGTGTGTGTATTTGTAGGTTTTATGAGTCTCCGATTTCAGGGCTGGTGCTACATAAATGACAAAGGGCCCTGAATCCCTTGTCTCCTTGCCTCTGTCACTGAGTTTGCTGACCCTCTAGTGAAAAGGATCTGACCACCACATGCGAGTGGAATAAATTATCGCTGACACTCCAGTATTTAATTATGCAGCTGTCAGAGCGGCCCTTTCGAAATTCATTTTAATAAAGTGGGAACTTTCCCTTTCAAGGTTAGAGTGAGGGGAGTCACCTTTGGTGTCAGCCGGAGGTCTCCACCATGAGCTCTGCATTCTTGCTCTGGACGCCTGTCACTTGGCCTGATAGAAGGTCCTGATAACAGCGCTGATGCCTGGTGGCCTCCCCCCATCCCCCCATCCCTGCCTGAATGAACATCCTTCATTTAAACCCACAATAATGAGGACCTCAAAGTCAGAGAGGCGGGCACAAGGGCAGCCTGTCGGGGAAAAAATGGCTTCTTATTATAAAATTCACTCAATGTGGAAGTGGCAATCTAAAAGCAATCATGGCCATCTCCCCGTTTTAACTGGTTAACCAGCAACATTTCACATGGTGGAAGGAAAAAAACAAACTCTGAGCTAAGTGGCGTGGTAGTGGTGGGGCATCCAGACACTGGCAAGCCTCAATTGCTGTAGCTCCCAAACACGTCAAACAGACATGAAAGTATTGATTTATATTTTTCTATAAAATAAAAAGCAGTATTAAAGTTTTTGTAGCCTTGTTTCTGGGCCATAAAGTGGCACCGAGGAAAAGCTTTTATATGGCAAACTGAATGGGTGAACGCGATCACGCCTGCCTATTATGTATATGCCTAAAGTCTATGTTTAGCTTATACTTCTCACTGTTTATTTGCAAACCATGCCCACAGACACCCTGCAGAGGGAAAACCGTGGGCTGGGCTAGAAACGGCAGAAGCAACTCGACAGATACAGCCAGATCAGTTCCTTTTTTTTTTTTTCCAATTCTCTTCCTTACTGTTGCTTTCACTTTCTCTCTTTTCCCCCTCTGACCTTATTCTCTCTCTCTTTTTTTTTTTTTTTTTTTTTTGAGGTGGAGTTTTGCTCGTTGCCCAGGCCAGAGTGCAATGGCACGATCTCAGCTCACTGCAACCTCCGCCTCCCAGTTCCAGTGATTCTCCTGCCTCAGCCTCAAAAGTGGCTGGGATTACAGGCATGCACCACTATGCCAGGCTAATTTTGTATGTTTAGTAGAGATGGCGTTTCTCCATTTTGGGCAGGCTAGTCTTGAACTCCTGGCTTCAGGTGATCCACCCCCTTCGGCCTCCCAAAGTGCTGGGATTACAGGTGTGAGCCACCATGCCCGGCCTTTCTCTAACATCATGATGAATATGCATTGATTACTGACTGTGTGCAAGGCACTGTCCAAAGTTTTCTGTATGCTTATCTCTTATAGAGCTCAGAGTAACTTCATAAATTAGGCGCCTTAATGACGATTCCTACTTCTACTAAACTGAGGCTCAGGGAGACTAATGGGCTTCCTCAAGACCCCCCAGTTAGTACATAGCTCCACCACGCAGTTTTCAATGCTTGGATGTTTAACCACCCTGCTAATGTTTATTTCTTTTCTCTTTCTCTGGTCTCTTTCTCACTAAGCCTATTCCTCACTTTCTTCCCTCCTCCCAATCTCTCCCTCCTAGGTTTGTATACACAGTGTCTCCCCCAGCATATATAACAGCTCCAAGTAAACACACACAATGAGCCATCTCCTGCACACAAATGTCGCTTGTCAACAAACACTGGTTTGACAAAGAGGCCTCATCCTGTGTGTTTGGATAAATGCCTGAAAGAATACTTGCATGTGACTGTTGAAAGGCGCTTTCTCTAAACCATAAGCAATAACTAAATCTATCCATAAGGACTTTTTCTGGGGGACAACATTCTCTTCCCAGAGATGGGAAAGATGGTTGCTGAGATGAATTACAGAGCAACAGGAGGCAGAGAGCAACACCTTTGCTTTGGCTTAGAAGCTCTCTGGGAAGACATGGTTTGCAGAAGGTTGGGGAAGGACCTCCAGATCCACCTGAAGTCTCTACTGGCTCCCCCAGCACAGCTTCCAGGGCAGCAAATTTGCAGGATGCCCTTTTGTCTCAATTCTTGAGCCTCTGAATGGGGACTCAGGAAGGCGGTGAACACAGGACCTTGGCATGATCTGTTGAGAGCATAAGGATGAAAGCAGAAGACATGGTCCAAGGGCAAACTGTTTGCATCTCCCAAGGCCTGATCTTTATTGTCCTGTCCCTAAGGTCTCCGCCCCAAGGGTATCCCTGTGTCTTCAGGGCTAGAGGTAACTGAGGCCTTCCATGACTTTCTATGTTTACCATCAATGTTGCCTACTAGAGGAACACCAGTGGCATCAGGACAGCTGAGAGTCAGCATCCTACCTACGGAATCCAGAAGAAGCCCCTAACTTGAATCAGGCAACCAGGGACAAGAGAGAGTATTACAACCTGTGCACGTAACTCTGGTCTGCGTGGCCTTAACTCCAAACTTGCAAGGCAGGAAACTGTACTTTGAAGAAGTAAATTCCGCCTTAGAGCCCCAGAATCTGTCACAGAGGCAGACTTCCGTGATGACTTACTGAAAGAATGGCTGAACGAATGATACATACCAGCATCTCATCAACCCAAAGGCAAATATAAAAATATCTCTTGGGCCAAGAAAACACTTGTGCAAAACCAGGCACCCTTTACTCACAGGTAGGAACACTCAGTAAAAAATCAGGTAATGATTCAGGGGGTAGCCAGTGACCAATTCAATAACTACCCGTAACTTCAAGCTATCCAAGAAAAGGACAGATCTGGGAGACAGGTGTCCTGGTTCTGGTCCTGGCCACTGCCAATTTACTGAGACACTCTGTGTAGGTGGATTCCTATCTCCAGGCTTCTCTTGGCCTTTCCAAGGCCTGGGAGGGAAAATTAAAGCCTCATATTTCCCCTCAAAGAAACAAATCCAAGACAGTCCAGGGAGGTGACAGAAAAAGCATTTCTTAAAGTGAAAAAATCTCAACCACGTGAGGTGGCTCATGTCTGTAATCCCAGCACTTTGGCAGGCCAAGGCGGGTGGATTGCTTGAGGTCACGAGTTTGAGACCAGCCTGGCCAACATGGTGAAACCCCATCTCTACTAAAAATACAAAAACTAGCCGGGCATGGTGGTGGGTGTAATCCCAGCTACTCGGGAAGCTGAGGCAGGGGAATCGCTTGAATCCGGGAGACAGCAGCTACAGTGAGCCAAGATCACGCCACTGCACTCCAGCCTGGGCAATGGAACAAGACCCTGTCCTGAAAACAATAAAAAATAAAAAGTGAAAAAACTTAGACATAACTTATTCAGAAACATTTTCATTTCCTCTCTTCTCTCCTTCTCTCCCCTACTCCTCCTCTCTCTTTAGTCAGTATTCATCGGGTGCTTATTTTATGTGTCAAGCTTATGCTGTGGACTTTTCATTTCATCCTTAACAACAACCTTAGGTGGGATGAAGGGAGTACAATGACGTCCATCCTAGAGATAAGCTGAGGCTTAGGAGGTGAGGAGCCAGCACAAGGTCATTTAGCTGGGAAAAGACAGAGGGAGGATTTGAAACCACCTTCACTTGCCTGTGTGCACTCAAATGTCATGTCATATTTTTACCAAATATATTGGTACTTGTCTTTGCCTTCTATCCTGGAAGTGAGTCCAGAATTGCCTTATCTAATCCATGGCAAACCTATTTCATGAGGTCTGTGTTAAACAATACCTAGAGGTGTTTGTGCGGAAAAGTGATCTCCTATATCAGCAGTGTTGCCATAGTCAGAGTAATGGAAATTGTAGTATAATCCCAGCAACATTATTGAACCAAACAAGGTGCCAGGAAACGTGCTACATTATATATAGCATGTATACACATATATGTACATATGTGTATCAGAATATATGTATTGTATGTGTATATGTATATGTGTATGTACACAATTTATGTATGTGTGCGTGTATACGTACACACATGCATCTATACATGTCTACATATACACAGAACATATACATATATGTACACACAGACATATGAATGCACAAATCACATTTTTTTCTCTAATCTGCACCATTACTACTGTTCCCATTTTATCACTAAATCGATGGAATTCAGCTAAGTATCTGCCAAGATTGTATGGGACGTGATCAGTGAGCCGAGTGTGGGCTGCAGATCTGCTTGACCCATACCTCTTCAAAAAAAGAATAAATGAAATAAAATAAAACAAAATAAAATGCATCCATAATGCCTCCACTTCACCTCAGAATTTATATGACACTTTCAAGTAGGTTACATCATTGTATTTAATCCTTAGAGCAGTCCTATGATCGGCTCTTATTGATATTAATATCGAGGGTTCATCTGATCTCTGTTTTACAGATGATGAGATCAAGGATCCTGAGGTGCTGTGATTTGTCTAGGGGAATGCAGGTGACAGTAGGTGGAGCCGGGACTAGGTAGCAACCCTCCACCTCCCGCTTGGTGCCACACCCACTGTGTTGCATGGAGTCTATCTTCCTTCTTTCTCACGAAATAGTCTGCCTTGCTTGGTGGCTCTGTGGACCAGGGATGTCTATACATCAAAACACTCTTCCCATAGGAGCTCTCACAACTGACAGCTCCCATCTTGAACAAACAGACCAGTGTTCATTTGGATGTTCTCGGCCTCACGTGGCACCCACTCCAACGGCTTCTTGCCGAGTGAATTTAGACAATGTGCTTGATGCCAGCACTCTCACTGCAAATGGGAACAGATTCACAGAGCACCCAGCAGCAGACATTTGTCAGGAATTTTGCAGTCAGAAATAATGACGGGTCAAAGTCAGCCCCAAATCCCAAAGCCCCCTAGGTATGAATCCCGGTGCTTTCACCTGGGGAGGGTTGGGAGTCAGATCACCCCTCCAAATGAAGATCCTCTTCAAAGAGGAGGTGCGGCATACACCCCAAGCTGACAAGCCCAGGCTAGAAGGCGAGAATGGAGAAATAAATCCTGACTCAACTAGAAGGATTAGAAAGTCACCTAGCATGAGGAGAATTCGCACTCCACAAATTTTTCTCGACTGAGTAAATTTGAAGAAATAAAACTAGATTGAGCATGCGTTTAATACTGCCTGCTATCTTTCCCCCTGTTCTGCTCAGTGGCTTGTTAAATATGAAAAGATTTGTCCTGCAAGGGGACACGGGGAGAGACAATCTCTGGGGGACTCATCAGCTACCCTGAGCCTCCTCTTTGTAACCCAGGTAAGAAAGAGAGCATTTTCCAATTCCAGCATCTGAGTGCCCTGGTCTTGTGTACAAGTCTCAAATATAATCAGTGGTATAACAACCGTCTCCCAGTAGAAGGTGTGATATAAAGAGCTCATTCGAGATGCCAGGAGCTTCCCTTTCTGACCCTGGCTGCCTGAGAGGCAAATTGCATTAGAAAATGACATGCCATTCATCTAGCCAGTACTTGCAGGAACATTTAGCTAATTAAATGATTAATAAATTTAACACTGCTTTATAATTTCATTTAGCTGTGTTGGAAATCACACGGTGAGCTGCGTATGCACCGAATGAGATTAGGTGGGAGTGAGGGTTTCAGAGGCTGCCCTGGTAATTGAGATTAGTCTATTACTACAGTGACCTTTTTAACTTTTATATTCTCTTGTTAAAGCGAAATAAAATTTTATTCACTTTTAAGGCATATTTACTTAGAGAAATTTACATGAAATTAAAGAAACACCAAGCCCAGAAGCCTACTGGGGCTGGAATCCATGCACTATTTCTTTCGTAATTTTCAGAGCTGCTTTAGGAAATTGTTCTTGAGTTGGCTGCAGGCAGAGTGAAGAGCAATGTGGTTTTTACACTGTTCTTTCATCTATTCAATAAATGTCACGTTCCTGGTGTGTCCTGGGCACTGTTGTAGGAACTGGGACTACAGCAGTGAAAATGACCTAGGTCCTTGTTGTCACAAACTTGAGTTCTAGTGGGAAAATACAGATGACAAGCAAATGAATAAACAACAAAATAAACGAGAGTGAGAAGCACAGTGCTGAGAACTGGAGGAGGTGGCTTCTTTAGACTGGAGAGTTAAGAAAAATCTGTCTGTAAAGGCGACAATTAATCTGAGATCTGACTTACAAAAAGCAATCAGGTGTGCAAAGCTGGGGAGGATAGCAGGTGGGGACAGAGAGGCTGAAGGTGAAGGCCCTGAGGCGGGAATGCAGGAACTTGGTGTGTTCAAGGAATTGAAAGAACAGGGAGGCGTGAAGTGATCCAGCATATGTGGAAAGGGTCAGATTAAGCAAGCCCCTGCTGACAGGATAAGGAGTTGTATTTGTAAGTGTGGTGGGAAGCCATGAAGGGGTTTAAAGCAGAGTTAAACGCCATCCGCTGGGTGATTCCATCTAAAGCAAGTGATCCTGCAGCTGCAATTCAGAATGGTGTTAAAGCCTGACTTGGTTTCCCTTACCTTCAGTCTCCTGTCCAACGTGTGATTTTTCCACCTGAAAACTCTATTTGCTAGTCTTGTTTCTCTGTCTTTTTCTTGAAATGTGGTTCTTTGTTTGTTCCAGGTATTTTGAAAATGTTTCTGATCATCTCCTCCTTAATAGTTCTTCCCGGCCAATTTTTTGCTCACCTCATCTATGAAATCCCAACATATATATTTTTAAACTTCCAGAGGTCTCTGTCTACTTCTCTCTTGTGGGAACCATGCTGTTTCTTTTCTGTCCTCCCATGCTTTGACATCTGGGATCTCCCCTCCCAGGGTCAATAAATTCCTAGAGGCAGCAAACAACTCACTTGGGGGCACCCCTTTTGAATGCAACCCAACCAATCCAGAACTTACACCCCACCACCTCCTTTATTTCTCATGCCCCAGGCCACCATCCACCCTTTCTAATCACCCAGGGCCAGGTACCAGAAAAATAGGGACAGCCCCTCTTCCCCAGAGCCTGCTGAACTTACTCAAACCCTAGTCTACTTACCCTGCCTCGTTCAGTCCTCCCCACAGAACCCACGGTTTGACCCTCTCCCTCTGCCTCTTGACCAGTCCTGGTGCCTCCCCATGTCCCTCCACTCTGACATAGCATGTCCCCTTCCCTTGCAAACTGTAAAGGACACAGATCACAATCATCACAACTCTCACAAACTGTCTTTTCAGTGGTCATTGTCTCCTGATCTGCTGGTCTTAGCATACCTAAATAATAATAAAACCTGTATTTTAAAACATCTCCAGATAGCCAGTTTCATCGTGCACCAAATAATAAAAACTACTGATTACTGAGGTTCCACTACATGCCAAATGCCTTAGAGATGTGATTGACTTCAACCTATTCTAGTTCAACCTTCCTTTACACAACCCTGCAAAGAAGGTATGGTTTTGTGGTTTCTTTCTTTTTTTTTTTTTTGGCCATTGTATAAATGAAAAAACTGAGACACAGTTTATGAGACTTGACCAAGGCTCACTGTTTTCTAACTGTGAGAGCTAAGAGTGAAGCCCAGAATAGAGATGGTATAGTTCTTAAAATCAGAAAAAGATCAGTTTTCTTGCTACTAAAATGAACTAAAGGCCACCACTTCCTGACAGACTCTTGAATGCTCTTGTTTTGTCTTTTTGGCTCATCCAGCCAAACTGGTTTGGAATTCATAGTCACAATTTCTTGCTCACTTTTTCTCTTCTCCCTGCTTTGCCTAGTGTATCATCAGGAATATTTCTACAGAATTACTCTGTTTTTCCTAATACTTTCTCTCAAGTTAATATAAGTACAAACAAAATGTCTAAAGGAATGGCCAGGGCCATTTTACCATGTGCCCTGTGCCATTCTTCTACAACAAGGGCCAGTTCTTCAGGGTATCTGCAACAATCATCAAAGAACCTCATTCTTCTGATGATAATTCACATATTGTAAATCTACATATTCGACATGAAAAGTTTTTCTGTTAGTTGTTAGTTTTGTTTTTTCTTTCCTTCAGCCTGTAGAGAAGATGAAATAAAAGGTCTTCTTTCAGCAAGTGTTTAAACTACAGTAGTTTCAATTTCAGGTAATTATGCATACATCATACATCCCTTGGATATTCTTAAGACTTTGAACACAGGCCCCCACCCCCCTCTTAAATTTGAAATCCTGTGATACCTGCTGTAAACCCTAAAATCTGTGAGCAATTACCTCTGTAAGCAGTGTTTCTGGAAGATAACAGCTGTGTGTGCTTCACAATTTTTTTTTAACTTGTTAATTGTCTGGTTTTTAACTCTGACTACTAATCTTCTGAAGCTTAAGAATTCCTAATTTTCCTTCCAACACCTTCTACTTGGTGTGGCAAATTTGAACCCACCTGTGTAATATTTTCTGCCTTTAAAAACTGCAATTGTTGCTGGGAGCGGTGGCTCACGCCTGTTATCCCAGCACTTTGGGAGGCTGAGGCGGGTGAATCACTTGAGGTCAGGAGTTCGAGAATAGCTTGAGCAGCATGGCAAAACCCCATCTCTACAAAATGCACAAAAATTAGCCAAGTGTGTTGGTGCGCACCTGGGTCTTAGCTATTCTGGAGGTTGACGTGGGAGGATTGCTTGAGCCCAGGATGCAAAGGTTGCAGTGAGCTGAAATTGTACCACTGCACTCCAGCCTGGGCAACAGAGTGAGACCTTGTCTCAAAGAAACGAACAACCTCCAATTGCTAGACCTACAGACAATCACATTAGCACTGTTAGTAGTAACAGATGGGCCTATGAGTAGTGAGACTGTGCAAATTCCAGTCGTTGAAGAGGTGGTGGTGACCTGTCTGATTTCCTGGAAATTGTAAACTAACTATTTTTCTCTTTTAATAGTGAAATGACTAAGTGAGTTATGAGTGCTTAGGTGCTTTAAGTATTTCCTTCATCTTCATTCGATGTTTAGAAATCAACAGAGAGACTTGTACCTAGATTAAAAAAAAAACAACTGGAATTCCTCCTCCCTCCCTTTCTCCTTCTTATATGTATTAGTCCTCTATAAACCTGACACCATGCTAGGCACCACTGGTATAAGACAAGGGAAAAAAAAACTCTGGCTTTTTGCATAATCCTTTCTATTCAAAATGCGATCCATGGATTATCAGCCTGTTAGGAGCTTCTTAGGAATGTAGAATTGAGGCCCCTCCCTGACCTCCTATAACCAAATCTGCACTTTGTACACAATCCCCCAAGCAATTCATGCGCACTGTATCATTGAGTAAAAGCCCTGCTGGAGATGAGGGATTGGCTCTCTATGTCAACTTGGCCAAATCCAGCCAACCATGTAGTTTTTCCTGCTGTTTTTTTATGGTCTACGATCTAAAAGTGATTTCTACATTTTAAAATGATTACATTTTAAATGCTATATGAATACCTACATAATAACCTCAATTTTGTCTCTTAGACTTCAAAGTCTAAAATATTTTACTCTCTGCCCACCCCCCCACCTTTTTTGTTGTTGTTGTTGAAACAGAGTCTCCCTCTGTCGCCAGGCTGGAGTGCAATGGCGTGATCTCAGCTCACTGCAACCTCTTCCTCCCTGGTTCAAGTGATTCTCCTGCCTCGGCCTCCCGAGTAGCTGGAACTACAGGCACACGCCACCATGCCCAGCTAATTTTTGTATTTTTAGGAGAGATGGGGTTTCACCATGTTGGCCAGAATGGTTTCCATCTCTTGACTTCATGATCTGCCTGCCTCGGCCTCCCAAAGTGCTGGGATTACAGGCGTGAGCCACCATTCCCGGCTTGCCTTCTTAAGCAAAAGCTTGCCAGTGCCTGCTGTAGAATCTAGAAGAATCTAGAACCCTAAGTCTGGGTGAAGGCACAGATGAAGCTATCTTTTGAAATAAGCATGACATCATGACCCTAATTCCACTGAAAATACTTGTCAGAGGAATGACAGCTCTTCCTCTTCTTTCTTTCTTTCATTTTTTCCAAAACCATGATATGTATTAAACAGGAAACAGGCACTGAGAGCCTAAACCTTGGATCAAGTTTATAAAAGCACAGGTGTAATAGGAATTTCATGGTTCATGCTCAGAGGTTCATGAGGACCTAAAAAATGGTTATCTTCAGACTCAAAAGGACCCAAAAGACATGAAAACTGGTTTAACTGGCTCCATCCACATACACTATGAAAGTGATTAACAGTTTACCAAACGTGGTTGTTTTACAGTGTACATCCATCAGCATAAGGGTTGTATTTTTTTTAAATGTTGCAAACTTTTTAGTTTTTCCAAGTGAAGAAAACACAAAATTGCCATCGAATATCCCCATCACTTCAGAAAAGAGTGGCTATATCCTTTCAACTAAATTCACCTCTTTTTTTTTTTTTTTTTGCAAAAGAGGATTTTAAAAAATTATTTATATGTCCATGTCTATCTTTGAGAGGTAGATTTAGCTGAGGAAGTGAAATGAGGGGCCAGTATTGAAAATGGATGAGAGTGAAAGAAGAGGAGACAGGAATCAGAGTCACAGAGAACAGAGAACTGGTGTCTAGGACAGGCAATCTTCAGAAAAGGAAACTCAGCTGGAAACAAAAGGCTTTGTTCCTGCCCAGCCATTCCCACGGTGACCTCACCGGTGTCCAGGGCAGAGGACACTTACACAAATACTTGTTGCACTAGACTAAATTAAAAGGATTTAGTGGGTGTCGATCTGTAGTGGCATGACCCAAGTTGCCTATTTTTCATACCATTTAGGGCTCTGACATTGAATAGATGAGAACTTGTTTTTAAAAGACTATCCATGATGCATCCACTCAGCATGTTAGAATGGAGGCCAAAGGGAGCCAAAGTTGTTTTGGATTTGGGCAGTATGCCTTGCTCCTTTTTCTCCCAAATTCTAAATGCTTCTGGGGTGCATCCATGGCTAGCATCACGGGAGGCAGGACAAGAAATTGTGGACAGTCCAGCCTGGCCTGACAGCAGGCCTGGAAAACGCTTTCAAACCTTAGGGGCCATACCTTGCCAAGAGCATCTCTTTTGAGTGTAGGTTACAACCTGTTCTTATTTGAAGAGATGTCCCTAAAAGAGCACGCATTCTCCTACCCATAAACAGCTAAACAACAACAACAAAAAACCCCCCCCAAAAAACAGATGATACTAAAGGTTGCTTTCACTAACCTTTAAATGGTACTGGGAGGAATAGAAAAGTATGTACAATGAGATTAAGGCCTTCTATGATCCCCAATTTATGATTAATATGGTGACCACAAAATCTAGAGGTTCTTTATTGCTTTTTGGACAGGCAACTGATTGTGTGCAGGTATTATTAGGATTGTTACTCAGTGTAATCCACAGTCCGAATTTCCACAAGTGCATTGCCGTGGGCTGTTCTCCAGGGGTCTAGACATAACGACAAAAGGCATTCCCGATGTAAACCAAATGACTTGGTATGACCCCACACACCAGTGGCTACCTGAGGACACCTCCACAGTTCCCTAAGTAAGTACCCACAGCAGAGGAGGGCTCTGCTTGGATTCCTTCGCACTGAAAGGGCGGCTTGGCGTGACTCATGTGACTCTAGACCCTCCAGAAAAATTGTACAGGGGAGTCTCACAGCTGGAGAAAGGAAGTCAGGTAGGACTGGGGTCAAACTTTAGTGCTGGAATCTTTTCGCAAGCCACTACGCTGGGCCTGAATCTCCTCCTCCTCACATGGAGATGATAAAGCTGCCTCTCAAGATTTCTTGGCGGTTGAATGAAAAATATAGCAAGCCCATGACCCTGAGCGTGTACTCAAGTGAGTTTGGATTTTCCTGCCCTGTGCTTCACAGAAACCAGGCCTCCGCTCGCTCTGCAGGTCTCCTTGCCCGGCTCTTTTGAGCTGCCTGCATTCTCTTCCTTCCTTGTATTTCCCCCAGCAAGCTTCCCTGACACTCTCACGCTAGGAGCAGTCCTCTCTTTCCACCGTCTCCTAGACCCGGAGCCCACTTCTATCCCTGCTCTTCCCTCAGTGCAACTGGGTACTCCGTTCTATCTCCCAGGGAGTGAGCTCACAAGCTGTCTCGGCCTCCACCCCAGTGCTGGCCCACCTGACACAAAGAAGGTGCTAGATGTTAGCTGCACTGCAGAATAATTCCCTGAGCTCTGCCCACACTAAGCTGACTGCTGGCCACTCTGTTTGGGCATGGCTGGGCAGGGCAGGTTTTTGTTTTTTTTTTTTTTTCTTTGAGATGGAGACTCACTCTGTCGCCAAGCTGGAGTGCAGTGGCGTGATCTCGGCTCACTGCAACCTCTGCCTCCCGGGTTCAAGCGATTCTCCTGCCTCAACCTCCCGAGTAGCTGAGACTACAGGAACACGCCACCACGCCCAGCTAATTTTTGTATTTTTTAGTAGAGACAGGGTTTCACCATGTTGGCCAGAATGATCTGGATCTCTTGACCTCGTGATCCGCCCGCCTCATCGTCCCAAAGTGCTGGGATTACAGGCATGAGACACTGCGCCCGGCTGGGCAGTTGGTTTTTTAAAGCTTAACTGTCTTCCCCTTGGCTTCACCCCAGACTCCTCTTCCACTCCTGATTCAGGAGGAAGCCTGTTCCACCTGCATTCCCCATCGCATGGTCCAGCCAGCCTGTACCCTTCTCTGCCTCATCCATCACCCGTTCTGCCAGCATGGGTCAGCGAATCCCGCTCCTCAGGGCCTCGCCTCGCGTGGGGGAGGGATGCAAGCAAGTTCCAAGGCAGTGCCGACAGAAACAAAATCGATATCTTTTACTCTACAGGAAAAAGTAGAGGATAAACTTCTCAATAGTATTAGAGGAAATTTAACAAGGGATATGGTAAGATCAAGGTCTTCTATGATTCCCAACTTCTGCTTAATACAGTGACAATGAAAACTAGTTCCCCCTTCGTAACAGAGACCTTTCTGTTGCCTTTTAAAGACTCAGAGCCCAGATATCCTCGGCTATTTACATGTGATATTTCATGGCTAAAACAACAAAAAAAGATAAACAAAGGCAAGTCCCCAGTCAAAGAAAAGAGAATTATCATCACATTAGCGTCAAAACTTCAACACTGGGGCTGGAGGCCATGGATTTTCTTGCCATTACAGCAACTCCAGGATCAAATAGGCCCATTAGGTGGCTCTGGCTGTCAGGCACCCTGGCAGGCCGTTCGGAGACTAGCATGCTCTCAACACGAGATAGGGTGGCCACTTACTTCTTGCCTATCCTCTAGCACCCCTGATCTGCAGGCATGGCCTCTGCATTCTGCGTTATTTCACTGAGAAAGGCATGCAGCCCATAAGCAGAGGGTGAGGTCTCAGCTCTGTCGCCTTCTAAATCACAACATAATTGGAGCCCTGTTTGTCTTCAACCTGAACACTGATCATGTAGAAGGAGCGGTATTGGTTACTGTCCTCTCCCTCTGCCACCTCCTGCCAATGCAAGCCAGTGCTGAGGAATGTCTGGTCCAGGGTAACCAAAAAGAAGGCGCACATACTCTTCATGTCTAGGAAATAAGAGCCTACGGATTTGGGGGAATCCACACAACACCTGCTGGAGACGTTTTGTTAGTGACCTCCAGGAGCACACCACAAAGAATAACGCCTTTACTTGGAAAGAACCTCAAAGGCAGTGAAAAGTCAACCACCGTAGGAAAGAATGTTCCAGATTTCAAATGATCAGAATAGCTGGCTGTTTAAGAGGTGGTGCCACTTTTACAGTTAACTATATAACATATGGAAAGCAGGAGGGGAATTTTCTGGGGAAATGAGTCAAATTTGTGTTTCCTCTTTAGTATTAAAATGATAGCTTTACGTATTTCATAGATGTGCCAATAGCAGAGTTGCACTGGTAAAATGAAAACTAACGTTTAAAAGGGAAATAATTCCTGTGCAACGTCCTACAAAGCCTCAAATCAGGGAGAAATGAAAAGAGCCTAGAATAAACTAGGCTGAAAAAGTCTTCTACACCAGTGACAGCAGAATGATGGCCTGCAGGTTGAATCTGGACTGCGGATGTATTTTATTTGGCTCACTCCAAGTGGCCTACGCAATGATTTCATTGCCACCATTTACAAATCGGATAACTTAAGCTGGATGCAGTGACACACGCCTGTAGTCCCGGCTACCCAGGAGGCCAAAGGGGTAAAGTCACTTGAGTCCAGGAGTTCCAGGGTGGCCTGGACAACATAAACGGTGGCCTGGGCAACGACGTGACACCATCTCAAGAAAAAGGGATGATTTAATATTTAAAAATATATGAATTTCTAATCTAATCTCTCCAGAAAAACTGGAGGTTCTGGCAAGTTTATAGCTAATTTCCACGTGGCAACATTCAGCTGGACGTCAATAATGGCTGCCCCTTAGAGATGAGGCATGCACACTATCTTTGGCACTTTCTCCTGTCTTCCCTATATTGGGGACATAGATTTAGCACCATTTATCATCGTATACACAGCAACTTCATTCCTTTATTCTACCTACCTGGTAGTTGAAGCATCTGAAACTGCCCTATGCTATGCTATATAATTATGAATTATTAACAGGGCTTTATCTCCAAGTTCCTGATGCATGAGTCAGAGAGGTGAAATCCCTTGTTTAGTGTGAATTATCCTCAACTGGAAAAATTAAGGCATTGAGTACAAAGTTCAGTGCTGCTCTTTGACAGTTCCATGAATCTATGGTTTGGGAAAGGATCTCTTCTACCTCTAACAAGAAGAGTTTTCATTTTTAATCTTCTGCTAAAGGTAGACTGAGCAGAGCTAAGCTTGGTGAACCAGAGCCATTGCCAGTGAATCACATCTGTGAGTCTTCTCAACTGCCTTAAAATGAGAGGCCTAATCAGAGAAGAACGTATTTGACCAGAAAAGCATTTCCTTCTTAGGTTCCCATAAAAAACATAAATGGGCTCTTTTGTGCCCACAGATGTGGTCTTACTGGTCATCGGCATCTGAGAGTCCCTTTTTCAGTGATGTGGATGGGTGGGTTGATGGATAGAAGGATCTGAACCCTCTTATCTGAATCCCTGTGTGATCCACCAAACCCATACTGCAAGATGGCTGATGGGGTATAGGAGGAGCATCCATGCCAACAGAACTGAGTGATGTATACCAAGCAACGTGAGGCCAGAACTTGGAGTCTGGTCTCCTGCTGTAACCCACTGGCTGCGGTCCTAAATGTAGTCTGTGGCAGAATGCCAGCTGAGAGAAGTACAGATGAAAATATAAGCAGGCAGATTATTTATGAGACATGAAACTAAATGCTCATTGGTTCTTATGCAACTAAAGCTGAGCTCCCTGGTGGCTGATGGGGACTCATTTGAGACCGTCCCTAGGAAGGGAGCTATATTCTTCTCCTAACCACAAAAATGGAACCCACCCAACAAACAGTATGCTTTCCTTGTTGGGCACTAAACTGAGACGGATGTTTTCTGAATAAAAGTTGGTGAGCTATCCACAAAATGTTAGCAAACTGTATCCAACAATGTATAAAAAAACATATATGCCATGACCAAGTGGGATTTATTCCAGGTCTTCAAGGCTGGTTCAATATTTAAAATCAATATAGTCCACCATATCAAAAAGCTAAAGGAAAATCATATGATCATATAGATTGGCATACAAAAAGCAGTTGATAAAAAGTACACACCCATTATCATTTTCAAAAGTTTCTTAGTAATTTAGGAATTGAGAAGAATCACTTCAACTTGATAAAGAACATCTACAAAAAATTTACAGCTAGCATCAAATTTAGTGGTGAAATGGTAAATAACTTCCCCCTCCCTAAGATCAGGAGCAAGGCAAGGATGTTCTCACTACTCTTGTTCAACATAGCACAGGAAGTTCTAGCCACTACAATAAGGCAATAAAAAAAGGGCACACATATTATAAAGGAAGAAATAAAATTCTCTATTTGCATATGACATGACAGGCTAGATAGAAAATCCCAAGAAATCTCAAAAAAACTAACAAATACAAACAAAAATAAAAAACTCCTGGAACTTTATAATAAATGCAATCAGCAAGCTCATAGGATCAAGATCAACACACAAAACTCAATCATATTTCTAGATATATGTAGAAGTTGGAATTAAAAACACAATGCCATTTACAATCGCTCCAAAGAAAATGAAATGCTTAGGTACACACTCCAGTGGGTTTATACTAAATAAATAGAATTACATACCATGTCCACAAACTGGAAGACTCAACATAGTAAAGATGTCAATTCTCCCGAATTGATCTATAGGTTTAATGTTAGACCTATAGATTTAAACCCCATTAAAACTGCAGCAAGGCTTCTGGTAGACATAGACAACCATATTGTACAATTTATATGAAAAAGCACAGGTCTTAGGAAGCTAAAATAATCTTAATAAAAAAGAATACAGTGAGAAGAATCACTCTACCTGACATGAGGCTTACTACATAGCTATAGTAATGAAGACAGCGTATAATTGTCAGAGAGACAGACACATAGATCAGTGGAATAAAGAAGCCAGAAAGATACCCACACAAACATGCTCAATTCATTTTGAATAAAGGTAAAAAAATTCTCTGGAGGAAGATCATTTTCAGCAAATGGTGCTAAAACAATGAGATGTTCCTAGGCAAAATTTATTAGACTTGACCTTAACCTCACATCTTATACAAAAATTAACTCAAAATTTATCATGGGCATACATGCAAAATGCAAAAATATATGACTTTTAGGAAAAAAATATTAGAAATTATTTGGGATATATGGTTACCCAAAGAATTATTAGATTTGGCAACAAAAGCTCAGTTGATGAAAGGAAAAATTGATAAATTGGACCTCATTAAAACTAAATACTTTTATTTTGCAAATGTCCATGTAAAGATGATGAAAAGACAAGCTGTAGATTGAGAGAAGATATTTGCAAACCACATATCCAACAAAGAACCAATAACTAGAATATATAAAGAATTTTCAAAATGCAACAATAATACAACAATTCAAATAGAAAATGAGAAAAAAACATTAATAGACATTTCACCGAAGAGGATATATAGATGACAAACAAATGAAAATATGTTTAAAATTATTAGCTATCAGGGCAATTTAATTAAAACCACAGTGAAATATCACTACATGTTTACCAGAATGGCTAAAATAAAAAACTGCAACACCACCAAATGCTGGTGAAGATATAGTGAAACTAGATCACCAAATGCTGGTGGAAATGTAAAATAGCATGGAAACAGCTTGACAGTTTCTTATACAAACTAATCATGTCATTACCCTACAACCCACCAATTGCATTCATGGGCATTTATCCCAGAGAAAAGAAAACTTCTATTTACACAAACACTTGTGTACAAATGTTTATAATAGCATTACTTTCAATAGCCAAGACTAGATTTCCTTCAGCGGGAGAGTGATTAAACATACGATCACTTATATGTACAATACCATGGAATACTACTGAGCAATGAAATTAAACAAGCTACCGACACGTGCAACAACTGGGAAGAATCTCCACGGAATTGTACCGAGTGAAAAAAGTCAGTCCCCAAAAGATTACATACTATGCTATTCTGCTTATATAATAATTTTGAAAAAACAACATTTTAAAAGTGGAGAACAGTTTAGTGGTTGCCAGGGGTCAGGGATGAGGCAGGCGCAGAAGGAAGGTGGGTGTGGTTTGCAAGGCAACGCAAGGGAATTTTGTGGTGATGCACTGTTCACTGTCTTGATGTAGTTGTGTATAAAGGAAGCTACACATTTGATGACACTGTATAAAACTACATATGTAGACACAGACACACATATACACACTTGAGTACAGGTAAAATGAGAAATCTGAATAAGATCCATAGATTCTGTAAGTGTCAACACTGTGATATTGCACAATTGTTTTGCAAAAGCTATCACTGGGGGAAACTGAGCTAAGAATATGAGGAATCATTGTATATTATTTCTTACAACTACATGTGAGTCTTCAATTAAAATTTCAATTAAAAAATCAGTGAACTAGACATGAAGGGACACATGTAGAAGTACAAGCGAAGGTGCCTCCAACCTCCTTAAACCTCACACAGTATTTGCTACTTCTGCTGGGGTCTCCAATCCTAGCACTAAAATCTCTTGTTCAGTAGTCTTCGCTTCCTAGAATGTAAGCTCCTTGAAGGCGAGGACCACACCTTTCTGACCACCTAATTCTCAAAACTTCCCATAATATAAACCAGATGCTTAGTAAGCACTTGCTGAGTGAATGAACCTTAATTCTCAGGGTACTGGCTGCATTCTCCCACTTAAATATTAATACGAACTCTAAAATGGCTGTTATTATCCTTATTTTATCCTGTGTGGGAGAGGAAATGAAGCTTCAGATAGGTTAAATGACTTGCGCAAACTGTAATATAGTTATGAGTTTTGAAAACTCGTTACGACTCCAAATCTCAAGACCCTTCTACTACGCTGCCCAGGTCAGCCACAGACCTGTGATCGGATGCAGCAACACAGGATGATATAAGCCAGTTCTGGAGGAAAAGTCTCTAAAATAGAAGCCTCAGAGATGGGAAAACATGGCAGGTTGAAGACGGGGCATCAAAGAAGGCTCTGCTGGTAGGAGAATACCTTCAGGGTCAGGCTGACATTCCAAGAAAAAGGGACCTATTGATAAGAAATAAAAATGCAAAAGACTCTTTTTGTTTTCTCCTCTGCATTATATTCAAGGTAACATAATCCAAGAGCTCATCTGACTAAATTATAAGCCTACTTCATATCATACACTTCCTTCCTTGAAAAATGCAAGTTACCAGGAATACAGATAAAACACAGCATGTTACTTTACTTGAAATATTCCAAGTTCTACCGGTATTTATGTTATCAAAGAACTAAGGGTTAGAAAATAATCTTAATTCACAGCTGAGCTTTTGCTGACTGCCCCCTTTTTAGCTGATATTTTATGGTAAAATTATATCATTTTATGGGTGACTTTCAAAAAATTCCTTTCAATAAATTATATAATTTTAATACAGGTATTTGATCACTCTTATACATTTATTCTTAAATATCTGATAGTTGTGTTAATATTTTGAATGGGGTTTTTTTCTATCTCCATCTTAAATTATAACTAGTATATACCAGCTAATTTGTATATATTTACCTTACATCTAGCCAACTCTTCAAATTATTTCATTGCTAGTAATTTTTACTGAATATTTTAGCTTCTCTAGGATTATAATTACAGAAGTTTAAAACAAAGAACATTTTGGTTTCATCCCATTACTTAAGACTTTTTTTGTCTTACTGTATTTGTTAAAACTTCTAAAATAATGTGACAATTGACAGCTATCATGAATATTCTTGTCTAGTTTCTGATTCTAATGGAAAACATTTCACGATTTTACAGTTTGGAATAATATTTGTGGGCTGGATGCGGTGGCTCATAACTGTAATCTCAACACTTTGGGAGGTTGAGATGGGAGGACTGCTTGAGCCTAGGAGATCGAGACCAGCCTGGGCAACATAGTGAGACCATCTCTAAAAATAAAAATAATTAACAAAAAAATCCTTGACTCTACTGAAAGTGTTTTCCTTTCTCCCAATTTTAGTTACAAGTATTGCTGTTTCGTTGGTTGGTTGGCTTTATCACGACTTCTGAATTTGAGCAAATGCTTTTTTGGCATCACTGATAGAACCATAAAATTGTTCTTTAATTGGTTGCTGTAATAAATTACACTGATAGAGAATAAAAACAATAAGTAAAGAAATGACATGAAAATTTAATTAGTTTTAGTAAATAATGGATTAATACCCTTTCAACAAGCTCTGACCCATAATCAGTGGCACCATTCAACAAAATCCAAGAACGCGCTCACTTACAGGCAAATTTATGTACAGTAGCCTCCGCTTCTGCACAGGGGATATACTCCAAGACCCCCAGTAGATGCCTAAAGCCTCAGATGGTTCCAAACCCTACATATATTTCATTTCTTCCTATACATACATACCTACAATAAAGTATACTTATAAATTAGGCACAGTAAGAGATGAGCAACAATAATAGAACAATTATAACAATAAATTGTAATAAAAGTTACATAAATGTGGTCTCTCTCTCTCAAAATATCATATTGTAAGTAATATATTTGTACCACAGTTGACAATGTATAACTGAAACCTTGGAAACCAAAACTGTAATTAAGGACTACTGTACAGAACATTAGGTCAATAAAATTTATATAAGAATCTAAGAGAGATATGAACGAACTTAATATTATAAAGTCAAAAGTCGGGTTTTTCCTCCCTAAGAAATATTCCTTTTTCCACTCGATATTTTTTTTAATGCACTCCAAAATTCAATAGCTTAGTGCTTAAATCATGTTACAAACAGGAAGCTGAAATAGAGTAGAAAAGGAACTAGCAGGAGGCAAGCGTGAAGCCAGGTCTTTTCATGGACATTATTATCCCATTTCATCTTCAGAATGTTCCAGTTCTCTCTGTACAAGGAGATAAGCAGCAGCTATCACCTGAGAAGTGCTGGGCATTCGTAACTCCTGGGTCCCCCAAAAAGCTGGCCTTCTCAGGCAGGTGCTATTAATTTCTCCCATCTATCAGTTGAAGGGACTGAAGTCTTGACAGGCTAAACAGGTTGACCAGGCCCACACAGCTGGGGGATTGGAGAGCTGGGATGAAAATCCTGGTGTGCTGAAGTGAAAAAGCTGACCTTGGCTGTGTGCAGTGGCTCATGCCTGTAATCTCCACACTTTGGGAGGCTGAGACAGGAGGATCGCTTTGAGGCCAGGAGTTCAAGACAAGCCTGGGCAACATAGCAATACTCCATCTCTACCAAAAAATAATAAACTTAGCTGGGTATGGAGGCCTGTGCCTGTAGTCACAGCTACTCAGTAAGCTGAAAATCACTGGAGCCCAGGAGTTCAAGATTGCAGTGAGCTATGACTGTGCCACTGCACTCCACCCAGGGTAACATAGCAAGACCCAGTCTCAAAAGAAAAAAATTAAGCTCATCTTATTTTCATGACTATGGGTGGGTATAACATGGTGGCTAGCTGCATCGGCTTCATATCAGCAGATCGAGACTGGAATATTGGCTAAAACTCCTACCAGCTGTGTGTTCTTGGGTCACTTACTTAACACCTCTGTGCCCCAGTTTCCCATGGGCGCATAGAGACAAACCGGCACCTATCCCTCAGGGCTGCTATAAGGTTCAAATGAGTCACCACACACAAGACATAGGGTGTGAAACATAATGGGCACTCTATACATATTGGCGAATACTCTATTTATTGTCAATATTATTATCATAATTTTTATCATCCCTAAAACTATTTTTTCTAACGGATCTGAGTAAATCATTGGTATGTATCAAGAATAAAACTCCAACAGAAGCCACTCAAATGGTTTGTCCTAGCTAGTAAAATCTATTAAAGTCGAAGAATCCACTTAGCCGAGCCACAGAATACACCACCGTTCAGGTAAGTCATAAAGCCTTCCCTGCAGCTGTTACAATGATTGATCTTCAGGCACAGTTAAAATTCAAGAAATACACTGACATTTTAATAGAACAAATAATTTAAATACATTTAATGTGTTAGGCGGTAACAGTTTTTGTAATATATACTGACAGATTTGGGAACTTCCCAAAAAAGAGTGTAGAGAAAGACTTCATCCAGGAGGGGGAAGCAGGGAAAGACAATAGGATTGACATTCTTTGAGAGAAACTATAAAATCTGCAGCTACCTGGAATGAGGCATTAAATTTGGAAGACCAGACCCCATGACAAACAGTCCCTTAAACTTTTTTTTCAAAGCCAAATACTTCTGAACCTTAAACTTCTATGAGCGTTCTCTTTCCTTTATTTTTTTTTCTGTCATCTCCAAAATGCTATTTAAAAAACAGATAAATGGCTGGGTGTGGTAGCTCACGCCTGTAATCTCTGCTCTTTGGGAGGCTGAGGCAGGCTGGTGGCTTGAGCCCAGGAGTTCAAGATCAGCCTGGGCAATAAGGCGAGAACTTGTCTCTGTAAAAAAATATATATAAAAATTAGCTCAGCATGATGGTGTGTCCCTGTAGTCCCAGCTACTTGGGAGACTGAGGCAGGAGGATCAGTTGGGCCTGGGAGGTCAAGGCTGCAGTAAACCATAATGGTGCCACTGCAGTCCCGCCTAGGGAACGGAATGAGACCCTATCTCAAAAAGAAACAAAACAAAAACAAAAACTGATCCAGGCACTTCTTATATTTCTATTAACGTTGAAAAAATGTTTTGAGATATACTGACTCGAAGAGGAGAAATAAATGGACTCTGTGATTTTTCATGCTACAACTGAAATTGAAAATTCTCTCTAATAACAATTAAGATCAATGTTACCTCTTCCCAGATGCCTTCCAGGTATGTTCTAGAAAATGTTTAATGATCAGCTTTGGTGGGGAGGAGGGAGCCCTGATGTGTAGCATGTGCCAATTTCCGTGGTGAAAATATTCTCACTATGGCTGAAATCAAGCTATCAACATGATGTCACTAAACATGGGAGATGGGTAATCATTGGCTCCTGCTGGTGCAGCCAGTTCCAGCACAAAATTGAGCCATTTCTACTCTAACTTCCCATCTCACTACCCTGTTTTATATGCTTGGAGGCACCCGTCACTACCAGGAATTATCTTCTGTATTTGTGATTTGTGCTTCCTTAGCCTGTCACTATGGCCATGTCTGCTTGGTCACCTCCATCCCTGGAATATCTACACTGTGGCCTGACACAGAGCAAGGACTCACTAAATATCTGTGAAAAGAATAAATAAATGACAGGCAGGAAGAAGTAAGGGCAGGAGATGGAGAAGAAGGAGAAAAAGAGAAGGTAAGATATATACCTCTTAACTGGGCCCCATCCTGTCCTTACTGCTCTTTTCTGAGCAGTTTGGAGAACACCGTGTAGACATCTCCTCCCTGCTAGACGGGCTTATCACAATAGCCAAGAAGCACTGGAGAGTCATACTAACGGACACTGCTTCCTTCTGGCCCGCCCTGTTAGACGGGCTAATCACAACGCCAAGAAGCACTGAAGAGTCATCCTAATGGACACTGCTTCCTTCTGGCCCTCCGTGCTAGACGGGCTTATCACAACACCAAGAAGCAATGGAGAGTCATCCTAATGGACACTGCTTCCTTCTGGCCCTCCGTGCTAGACGGGCTTATCACAACACCAAGAAGCACTGGAGAGTCAACCTAATGGACACTGCTTCCTTCTGGCCAAATATGAACAAGAAACTGTCATGTGTTTTCACCCCAAACTTCTTTGGAGGACATTTTTGAATCTCTTAAATTTGGAGAACTCGACCTTCTACAAAGCCAAAGAGCTGGTAAAACTTCCTTCCGATTAAAATGAGACTTGAAAACGGGTGCTATCACCACTGACAGTTCATGTTGACAGGTCTGTGAACCCTGAAAATCTGAGCCAGGTCTCAGCTAATTTAGAAAGTTTATTTTGCCAAGGTTGAGGATGTGCACCTGTGACACAGCCTCAGGAGGGCCTGATGACACATGCCCAAAGTGGTCAGAGCACAGTTTGGTTGTACACATTCTAGGGAGACATGAGACATCAATCAACATATGCAAGATGAACACTCGTTCGGTCTGGAAAGGTGGGACAACTCAGAGCAAAGGTAGGAAGACTTGAAATGAGGAGGGGGCTTCCAGGTCATAGGTAGATAAGAGACAAATGTTTGCATTCTTTTGAGTTTCTGAATAGCCTCTCCAAAGGAGGCAATCCGATATGTATTTATCTCAGTGAACAGAGGGGTGACTTCGAGTAGAATGGGAGGCAGGTTGGCCCTAAGCAGTTCCCAGCTTGACTTTTCCCTTTAGCTTAGTGATTTGGGGGCCCAAGATTTATCTTCCTTTCACAGGTCCTTTCTAAGCGTACGCCTATATTCTTCCTTTAATTTTGATTTCCTCCTGTTGAAAGTCAGAGGTCCAACCATCTCTATTTCAAATCCCAGACATCAGCATCCTTCCCAACAGAGACATGCAGAACAGAGGTGTGAAACTGACGTACGGAAACTGTTTGAGTGACAAGAAGACTCTCCGGATCCCCCTACTTACTCAGAAGTATAAACGTCAGCTTGATGAAACAAGCAGACTTGCCTCTGCACAACTCACCTTGAAAGCTTATGTTTAACAGACAAAAGACCATGTCCCATTTTGTGTGAATGAGATGTTTTCTGAAGCCAACTGGCCTCTAAATCCAGATCTAGAGAATTGGGAGCAGCGCTTCTTGCTTCTTAATTACCACCTGGTGGCTTGCCTGCCTCAGGGCACCCACCCTTCATGCGGTCAATGCTGAGAGAGGTTTGCAAAGTTCAGGGGAGATCAAGAGGAGGCTGCATTGTTTTCTGCTGATTTTCCAGAGACAAGGAATCTACTGAACTCCAAAAGGACTGGACTTCTCAGGTGTCAGTGCTGTATGGTAGGAGAGAAAGCAGCTAAAAACTCACCATCAGCAAAGGGCAAGTGATTATAAGAGCTGGCGGATGCTGCGGTGGAAGTTCGATTCAATTCTAACTCCCTCTGTACAAATGAAGGGAGATGTCACTTGCCTAAGAATGTAGCAAGTCCAAGAAATCGGCCACACCACCGCATCCAATAGACTGCTCAGAGCGTGCATTTCAGGGCAGGGTCTGCAAGTTTATTTTTGGTTTAGCCACGAGTTAGAATGTTAACGTAAGTCAATTTGTTAGGACTGCAGATAAAGTCCTTTACCAGAAAGAAAAACAATAACAACAACCACAAAACACAGGTAAGGAGCTTAATGTTCTCAACAGCATTGAGACCATGGGGGCACTGTGAGTAGGAAAAATCCAAAAATGCTTTATCAGGCCCCATGGTGCTGACAGCGCAGCAAAGCTCAGCTGGAACTGTGGTCGGCTGCCAGAGTTTGAACCAATGTTGGTGCTAAAATGATCAGAAATGTACAAGTCCGTATTTGGAGAATTACAACTTTGCTTCTTTCAAATAGTTTATGGGGAGGGTCTTGGGTATGCGCCATAACACGTAACAGAATTAGTATCAGTTTTAGTAGATACTGTCACTAAAGTCATTCGGGCAAGTGCCCAGGGACATTTTTCAAGAGCCCTTTCTGCCTCTTTTATTGGACTGCCCCTCTGCCCATGATGCATATAAATCATTCTGGTGAAAGTCAGCTTTCATAAGCAAACACCCTAAACCTATTTTATTATTTGGAGATTTTAAAAACATTTCAACAAGATCGGCCTGCTTTTCTTCTGTGATCCTTAAAAAAAGAAAAGAAAGAAAGAAAGAAAAAGAAAAGAAAAAAGAAAAAGCCCACGTGACTTCCACAGCTCGATTCCAAAGAAGCTAAAGACATCGTGTTTGGACATCAGTAAAAATGATGGACAAATCTTTTTGCAAAAATTTCACCCTGGCTTGCCTTGAAAAATATAAAGCAGCTCTCTGGCACTAGATGTCAAATTAACTGCAGGCAAAGTGTGTTACAGTAATTCACTTGGCAGTTTAAGCAAAACCAAGAGAACAACATTAAAGTGGATCCCCACATGCCAACGGGGCACCAACACTTTGCTTCTGTAGCTGGAATTTGACTGTAAATCTCTCCTGGCTTAACGTGATCAGCAGCAGCACAAAGAAAATCTGTCCTTCTCTCTGCATTGTGTAAAATGGTTTATTTGCCCTCTTAGGAGGCACGCTGAAATATAAATCCCAGGTATGATTATTATTATTTTGAACTATTATTATGAGTTACTATTATTACTTTCCTGAGACAGAGGGAATGGGGCCGGGGAAGCTGGTGGATGAGACGGAACCATGTGTGAACGCTGAGGGGGGACCATCTATCTTCGTTCAGGGCAGTTTCTGTAATATTTCAGGAGAGAAAGGTCATCAATACTAAAGGGAGTTATATGTGTGGATGGGGGAAGACTCTGCAGTGAATGGATTGCCTGTAAGCCTTACCCTGGTCGAATTCTCCTTGGCATCCAGCCTGCTGTGCTCTCTGCTCCTGTGGATAGCATATCTTTAAGGCATCTATGGACAATTCCCTCACCCTGCCACATCTGGTGAGTCCCTACTGTGGGCCTGCATCTCTGCTGTGACTGCAAAGAGAAATGAGATGTCAGTCTCACCCTCTGGAGACTCACAGTCTAATTAACAGCAGGGCAGAGACATCTAAACAAGTGTGTGCAAGCAAGTGACCACGTTAGAGAGTTGTGATCATGGCTGTACATGGAGGACCCCTCTAAGTGTTGGGTTAAAAAGGTGCATCCCTGGCACAGGTAAACTTACTTGCCCAGAGCACCCTAATAACGGGCCTAATCAAGACTGCCTGCCAGGTCTGATGCCAGGGCCCATGTTCTCTAACCTGTCTATGGCACAGTGGGGCCACAGGAGTGAGGCAGTTGTTCCAACAGGAAAGAGACGAGGAATGTGTCTGGCAAGACTTCATAGAGGAGGTGATACTTAAACTGTGGCAGAAAATCTAAGTCAAATGGGGAAGGCACTGGGCAGCGTACTGAAGGATACATCATGAGTCACTAAGGGACTCCCAAGTTGAGAAGTGGACCACCGCCATCCTCTCCACACAAAAGGATCATGACGAATTACACATTTTCCTATGAGTACAGCACCTTGCTCTTAGAACATAAAACCTTCCCCAACTGGAATGACTCCCTGAAACAATTTCTGGCCTTTGGAAAGTGGGGCATCCAAGAAAAATGATCAAGGACCATTTGAAGGCACACGCAGTATTCTCGGGGAATTATTTCTGGCTGTGGCCCCTGCTGTGGATCACAGGGCTTGGGCTTTCAATCACAAGGTTGAACAGTATTAACAAGAACCCACAGGGTCCATGGAAACAGTTTGGGTAAAACATTTCCCTTCCTTGGAATGTAAACGGGTCTATCTTCATCTAGAATTATTTTTACCAATTTCATCCTCAAAACTTCAAAGTTTTTTTTTTCTTCCTCTGATGTTGTACTTCTGGAGTCCCCCACCCCCTAACTTTGGTCTTGTGTTTGTGGAGGCACAGACCCAGCCTCCCCAGGACGGGGCCAGAAGCCTGACCCAGCAGGCACACCTGGAAGTCATTAAGGATACAAGGAAGAAGGGGAGGAACACAGAGGGGACAGAGGCCAGGCTGGAGAGCAGGAGGAGTGGGGGCAGGAAGGGGATGGAGGAGGGTCGGGGGAAGGAGACGGAGGAGGGAGGAGAAAAGAGAAGCAGCCCATTTCTTTCCCAACACATTGACACTTTTTTTCCATGATGGCAGGTCAGAGCCAAAGGTGAACATGTTCAAAACAAACAGCTAACAGACAAACACTCTCTAAAAATTCCACAACGTTGCCTCGGGACAATGCCACGGGTCCAACATGTCACTCCAAGTGAGAGAAAGGAAACTACCTGAAGAGAATCCTAAACTTTCTGACATTTTAGAACATTCATAAGTGAATTCTGTCTCTAAATGCTTACATCTCCAAGTTATCAGCTGTGATAAAAACTGAATTTAATAAAAGTAGTGTTAACTTAAGGCTAACACATGAATTTTCTTTTGATAAGCCTTGCCAAGATTGTCAAGCTCCTCAGCTCGTTCTCCATGTGATACCATCATTTTCTTCTAAAAGGAAGCATGGTGATTTCTATAAGGTCTATCGAGGAAATAGAGAGCATGGGTATGGCATGCATAATAAAACCGCCACATTACCAGCAGGGAAGCACTGGACGTTGCATGTGCCTGCTACAGAGATCCATAACATTCCAAGAATTTCCTTCTGGAAGCGTGAGAATATTCATATTAATGAAACCGGAATTAGCTGGCAGATGGAGGGCTACGACTAACCCTTGGCAGTTTATGGTAATAAAACATCACAATAGCCTCCTCTCAGTTGTCTTTTCCTCCACCTTGGAGCTCTATTTTCTCTCCTATTCTCTGTAAGATAGGGGGAGGATTAATCACATGTAATTGATTGATCTACTGCCTCCTGCAGGTTGGACAGTTTACACATAATTTCATATTGCATGTAACAAATATGATTACACATATTCTGGAAATGTTAAGAAGTTCCCGGCATAACACAGGCATGTACATGGCATGTGCCTATTGAATTTTGTTGGCTTCAAGGGATATTATTACTCCTGCCATATGTCAGGAAGCTGAGGCTTAGCCACATAAAGTCACCTGCCCCAGGTCATGCAACTAGAAAGGACCCGGTGAGGAACTGGTGCCCACCCTGTCTCTGGAATCCATGCACTGACCACCAGTGAAGGGCAGGTAGCTTTCCTCTGCTGGCTTTAAGTTCCTGTTCACTTTTTCCTCCCAATCACAATTTCACAGAAATTAGCCTAAGAAGTGACATCAGGGCCAGGCATGGTAGCTCACGCCTGTAATCCCAGCACTTTGGGAGGCCGAGGCGGGTGGATCATGAGGTCAGGAGATCAAGACCATCCTGGCCAACATGGTAAAATCCCGTCTCTACTAAAAATACAAAAATTAGCTGGGTGTGATGGTGCATGCCTGTAATCCCAGCTACTTGGGAGGCGGAGGCAGGAGAATCGCTTGAACCAGGGAGTCAAATGTTGCAGTGAGCCGAGATTGCACCACTGCACTCCAGCCTGGCAAAAGAGCAAGACTCCGTCTTAAAAAAAAAAAAAAAGAAGAAGTGACATCAGTATGCCAGTTGCACCTTCATGGCTTTCCTGACTCTCACCTGGACGCTTTCAGGTATAAATATTTCCTGTTCAGGCAACATTGGCAGTTGGACGTTGACTAGCTTTGGAAAATACAAGACTTAAATGGTATTCTGCCAAATTCACTGTGCATTCAGAGTATATTTGAATATAGAAAGTTAAAATTGCTGCACAGGAAAAAATTACAAGGTTGCAAACAAACGACAAACATTAAAATATTTACAATAGTCAGCCATTCGAAGGTGGTGATGGTTTCCTTAATTTACACAGAGCTCTCACCAGTAAATGAGAGCAATCTTATAGAAAGCTGGACCGAGAATATGGAAAGGCAGTTCAGAAAAGAAGAAATGTGAATGGTCAATAAAAGTACAAAAATCTACCCAACATCACTCACAATTACAATGTAAAATTAAGAAATAATGGTGAGGATTTTTTTTACACGACTGATAGCTATATTATTTTTTTAAAATGGTAATACTCCAAATCAGCATCTGTGTGTTACACAGACACTTAGATTTGGTGGGTGTGTGAATACATTTTGGGAGGTCAATACTGAAATATCTGTTAAAAATTTGAAGTACATCTCATTGGTCCACAATTGAATTTCTAGGAATATACTCTACCTATTGATGTATATGTCAAAGAAAGTCAAGGTATAAGCTGAAATGCAACTTATAATATGCAAAGATTAGAAATAACTTAAATCTCTTTTAATAGATGGATAGATGAATAGATTTATATTAAAATTATTTAACAGATTTATTACATAAGTAAATGATGGTGAAGACAGACAATGGGATAACAGGCAGCCTTTTAAAAGAATTAACTAAATATACAGAAATGAAAATAAATGTAATCCATAAAATTATGGGAAAAGGAAAGGTATAGAACAATGTATATAAATCAAGACATACATGTAAATTAACAAGTGTACTCATACACAAAATATGAATGCATATTTATGAGTATGCATATTTACGTGTATGGATCAAAAATAAATATTTTTTTCTAGCAAGGTTAACAATACACTGTCAACAGTGGTTATTTTGGAGGTATAAGAAGAAAACATTTCCTGAGAAGAAGAAAAAAATTGTTAGAAAATTCAAGCCACAGTGAAAAACAATGTTTATGTATTATTTGTATATATTTTTTATTTATAAGAGAGAAAAATTAATCCAATGAACAGCATAAGCCCTCATTTCAATTTCAAATCATCCTAATTTTCAAATGTATGTAGCTCCTGTCTGCAAACACATACCCTGTTTGGAACTCATTATTGGTGGCATTCACTCCACTTTGCTACAGAACACCTTCCAGTGGGAATGCAGTTGCTTTCTCCTTTCCAAGCCACCCCTGGTGGGGACCCATTAGGCCATCCCGTGTCAAATGAAAAGAAACAGGCAACTGGAGCCATCCCTGGGTGGATTTCTAAATCCCCTGGCTAAGTACTGTACAGACTTAGCTGAGTTACTTCATTTCTCTGAGCCCCAAGTCCCTTCATGACATGTCTATAAGAATGTCCTTGTGAAGAAATCGCGACCTAAATGTGTATATGTTTCTGTGTGTGTCTGTATGTGTGGGTGTGGGTGTCTGTATGTGTCTGCATTTATAAAAAATCTACTGTGGAGTTCTAATAAGTAAGCAGCAATGAGGAAGAGGCCCCAGGTAGGAGTGGGCCCCGGGTAGGGAAGAACAACAAACAATCCGCAGGCACAATGACCTCGACCTCATTCTGCACATAGCTCCCTCCAACAGGACCCTGTATAACTTCAGTCCCTCCAGCCCCTGCCTCTTTGCAGACAGCCCCTTCCATGCTGGGCTGCCTGTTGCAACCTTACAGTGTACTTTCTTATCTTCTCCAATAAATCCACCTTTCTTTACCTACAACTGTCTTGGTGAATCCTTTACTGCCTGTGCCACCAGTCCCAGATAGTGACTACCTGCAACATGTACTGCCCTCAGCAGTTATTTATAACAAATTGGATTCTTTCTTTTTCCTTTGTAAGAAAATTAAAGAGAAAAAAAAATCATAAGATAATCCCAATTATTCCCTCCACTGAGAATAGCAAAATGTGACCTCACCCAGATCAGCATATTTTTAAAAAAAAACACAGGCCCATTCTTCATAGTGACAACCAAACCTCTATGGCCATAGCAGGAAGAAACAAACTCTTCCTACATGCTTGCTTAGATAGTCCAGCATGAGATCCTGGCTCACATATTTGCTCCTTAAATTTTTCTTCTTGAGGACTTGCCTGAATTCACTGAGTATTATATTAATCTCTTCCCTGACAAATGCCCCCAAAAAAATCTACCTCCAAGATTTTGCACATTTTTTGTGCCAAGCCTTTGAAAAAAACATTTACTGAGGATTGACCAATGTCATTTCATTACATCCTGCATTTCCCCTCAATTCTATACGCCTAGTTAAGTAATACGTTTGACCAGCCACCATTAGGAAAACTTCTTCAGCTGGTAGAACACTTGCTGGCTTTTAAAATTACTGATACAATATACAACTCCCCAGTGCAGGCCACCGGCAAGGACAGCAGAAATATAAAGTAGCACTTAGCTTTTATAAGGCCACATTCTACATCTTCAAAAAGACTGCACCTTGCACTCCATTAAAATAATAAAGAAACAGAATGAAGGAAAAAGAAAAGAACATTTAAGGACCTGAAGTTTAAATATACTAAAATGAGAACCACCTGTTCTGTACTTTACTGTTAGAGACCGTACTCGTTCTGTGTAAGGATTTCTTACCCTTTCTGCAATATGAATGTGTGTCATAGTTTATATTGACATCAATCTTTGCTCCCATTTAAGGAACTGATATTGGGTTCCCCGTTAATGTTGAGGGGGACCTCAAATTTGGCAAGGTGGAAAATTGTTAAGTGGCGTCTCATTGACGAAAGTAAAGGGCTGTGATCTGAAGGGGAAGGTCAGAAGATGAAGGGCAGGAGGAACCATGAAATGCGTTTCATTAGATCAATAAAATGTATGACTTCACTCGCTTAATTACATAAATAAAGTTGTTAAAAAGAAAATAAACTCGGGCACACACCATGCTAAATTAGCAGGGGCTTTATGTAAGACGAAGAAACTAGAAACAACCCTAGAAAGGTCACTTGCATGTATGTGTTTTCTTTTCAAAAGCTTCATGCAAAGCCAGAAGGAAAATCTCACAGAGCTGTGTGCCTGCCAGGACTGGTAAGATCCAAGTGACAGAACAGACCCAGGCAAGATCGAGGAGGCGAAACTCAGATCAGCCAAGAAGCCCCACCACTAATCCAGTGCTCCATCCATCTGGTTTAAATCGTGGTTTGAAGCATATTTATGTGATAAAGAATTAAAGCTGTTTCTCTTGGCCACCTAAATAATTGGGACACTCTCTTTTGAAAAGTCATTGACATCAGTACAAGCATATTCAAAACTGAATTTAGAATTAAAGAGGCTTGAGTGTGCTTAACTTTTTTAAAGTATGCCAGAGCCTCTTTCCAAAGTTTTTTTTAAGCGACAATATAAGTAATAACTTAGCAAGGTCCTAAGGGATTTATTCTTGTTTTAAAAAAAGAAAAGCGATGTTTGAGGGAAAAAGAGAGACACAGAGAAACCAGACAGAGAGCAAATGGAAAGGTTGCTGCTATCGAGATCAAGAAACAAACTCAGAATATTCCTGAAAAGACTACCTCCCAATCATCTGAAACGTGGCAAGTAACTCTCCCAAATAAGTACCATTATTTTAATCACGAAACACTATTTCTGTAACACTGGCTGTGGCTTTATTTAGGTTGTCTCTCATGAAGCGTTAGACAAAGAGAAAACTATTCTTGAGCAAAATCCACCAACCGGAAGTCCCAATACTGGGACCTAACAAAATCTTGCCTGAAATCAAAGCCTAGGTGCCCTCTTCCAGCTTCACCACTGCTGCCTTTTTATGTAAAATGTAACTTATAAAGTCAACTAAAGTTCCAGCAGCAATGATTTAAATATGATTGCTTTCCAAGTACAGGGATGTAGGACGTAGGAAGGGGTGTGTGTGTGTGTGTGTGTGTGTGTGTGTGTGTGTGTGTTTCTGCAAGTGTTGGGTGGGAGAGTGATACGGTTTGACTCTGTGTCCCCACCCAAATCTCATCTTGTATCTCCCATAATTCCCATGTGTTATGGAAGGGACCTGGAGGGAGACAACTGAATCATGGGGGTGGGTCTTTCCTGTACTATTCTCATGATAGTGAATAAGTCTCGTGAGATCTGATGGTTTTAAAAACAGGGGTTTCCCTGAACAAGCTCACTCTCTTTGCCTGCTGCCATCCGTGTAAGACGTGACTTGCTCCTCCTTGCCTTCCACCATGATTGTAAGGCTTCCCCAGCAATATGGAACTGTAAGTCCATTAAACCGATTTTTCTTCCCAGGCTAGGGTATGTTTTTATCAAGCAGTGTGAAAATGGACTAATACAAGGAGTAAAGAGATATACTGCTGCTTGATCACCCATGTCCTGTTTTTGAAAAGTTAAGACACCCTGTGTTAATTCACTGATGCTGACACCATGGCAGAGATAAAGCCTCAATATATATCCTTCCAGTGTGACTTTAACTATGACAAGGTTATCACTTAATACACCATCATTCAAGAGTTGATTTACTGGCTCCTGGGTGTCCCCGTCTTGCACTCAACTCTCAACTTTCCTGGGACTAGGACATTCAGGGGTATTGCTTAACATTTCATAAATTGCATAAGAGTATGTGATAGATCTAATTTCCATAAATGAACACAAACAACATTTTTTTTCCCTCCGAATCAGGAGGGAAAAAAAGACCTCAAAGCCTCCTGCTTTTCAGGCTCTCTTTGTGTCCTCATGTGCAAACTAATTTTTTCCAAGCACATAACTCACTCAAGGATCCATGCCTCTTGGGAGTACAGCTTCTTCTTTTGCTTCTAATATTTTGTGTCTCACTCTCACAAATGGCCCTGGAGGAAGGGAGAGACCAGCAGTCTTCTTGCTGAATCACCTTGCTTGTTACATGCAGAGGAGAGCTCATCCCTGCTTGGGAAGGAAGGCCCGGGAGGCAGGGGCAGCATGGAGTCTGTCCAACTCTCACAGAAAGCCCACTTTTCAGGAGTGAAATCAAACAAAAAAAGAGAAGCCTGCTGGTCATTGTGTGTTCTGGTTGTGATATAACTTCATCCAAAAAAGGATTATGTCAATGTTCTTTTTATGATATCCCACACATCTCACTAGTTTCACTTATGGCCAACAATGCAGTGGTCTCTTCGGTTGGCATGCAGCCATTTCCCCCTTTTCTATTTCAAGGGTCACAGGGCCCCCTTGGCTCACACACCCGCAGTAGCTCCGCACTGTGCGGAGAACATGGAAATCTCAAAGAACTGCTGGGGAGCATATGTACTTGATCACAGCCCAACAAGATGAAGACTCTGCATCTGTAATACATTGTGGCGATTACAAGTCAAATCTGGAAGGACGCCAGTACCGCAGCACTTCATTAGGGTCTAATTAGTCATTGTTTCTTGTTGCCCTGGGTTAATTTGTTCTTGGCTTCCTAAGTGATCAGCATAGGAGTTTCAACTCCATGGGGGCAACCTCAATGTCCCTGGAGTCTTCTGAGCAATGTAAGATTACCAGGATGTGAATGTACAGGTTCCACAGTCCTTGAGTCCTGATCTCTGGAGTCTCAAGACTCAGCTCAAAGGACATCTTCTCTCTGAGGCCTTTACTAACCCTGTTTTTACGTAGAACTGACCCTACCCTCCTCATGATCTGTGCTGTACTTCATACTGTCTTTTGTGCCTATAATACTAATGCACTATTTATTAGTTGTATTAATCATCATGCTGTATGTTATTTTATATTTAATTATCCAATGAAAACAATATATTTTGAGGTCTAAGTGGCAGGCACTATGCTAAGCACTTTATATAGAAATTATTTTGTCCCCTCTGTTGTATGTGGTACTGAAGGAAGAGACAAGAGCACAGGTTCAGGAATCAGACACTCTGGGTTTGAAATCCCAACTCCACCAGCCTGTGACTGTGAGCTTGGGCAAATTCCCTTTCTATTACACATCTCATCTGTAACACACAGATGGAAATAAAAATGGCAACCTTACACGGTTATTCCAATAAATACACCCATTAATTAATGAAAACTGCTAACAAGGAGTAAGCTCTCTGTAAATATTAGCTGTTTTTATTACCTCTATTTTACAGATGAGGAAACGGAGACTTAAAGTGGCAAAGTGGTAAAGGGACCTACCAAAGATGACTCAGCCAGTGAACAGCGACGCTTACACTTCACTCCAGGGAGCCTGACCCCTGCCTGTGTGCTCAGCACCAATTTGACCCAGGCTGTCACCCTCCTTCGACTGGTCCATGAGCTCTTTGAGGGATGGACTGTGACTGTCTTTGAATGAGCTAGATAATTCAATGCATGGATTGAATAATTTATTTATTAATGGCTTTAGATTTTAATAAATCATAGGCACAGTGCCAGGCATGGAATGCAGTCCATAAAGGAATGTTGGGATGCAACTAATGTGAAATGAATTTCATTTGAGAATTTATTTTCAGTGTATGCTTTGCTTGTCCCTGCAAATATACCAGGTAGAGGTAATCCTAATTATTTAAGCATAAATACAGCAGTCTTTCGGAATAAACCGCCATTTTCTGCAGCTTAAACCTAATGTATGTAGCTTTTAAAACACAATCATGTACTCCTTTATTAATAAACTTTTTACACATTTTAAGTGGTTTTTCTCCCGTGTTTGATAGATACATCAAGATCGTTCCATACGAGATAGACTGCATCATAACAAATTTTAAGGCACTGAGAGGTGTGTGACTATGTGCATAACGAACATATCAGGAAGTGTGCCCCCCTCATTTATACAATCTTTTAATATTGGGCAGCACGCTAAAACTACATCTCTATTTTGCGTTGGAGGTTTTCCAATCCTAGGCCCTGATGGTCTCTCCCCACCTTCTCTTAGACTTGTCTTGATACTTGATGAAGTTCAAATGCTTGAACAGTGCCTACTGAGATACAGGAGGCAACATTTTATAACTACCGTTGTTTGCAAGCATTCCTATCAAGATCCATACTTGCAAACTCTCAGCATAAAAGAAGAAACAGAGTTCTGTGTCAGGACAATGAACTTGGACTGTTGTTTACCAGCAAATGGAAAACAACATTTCTAACCCAGAGAAGGGACGCTTGGCCCCCTTTGGTGATGCCTCAGCTCCCTTCACACTGGGCAACAATGGCACCTTTGTGCGGGTTGTGGGATCGTGACACCAGTCAGGCCTTACTGCTTGGGCAACTGAATCACAACCTTCATACTCTGCAGAGTGTTCTAGTCCCATTGTGAACAAAATATGTAAGGAGACCTAGCCTCCGCCCCCGGCTCTGTTATCCCTGACTTCAGATTGAATCCTACTGGCTTACAAATGCACTTTTCAAACCTTGGCAAATTCACCCCAACACTTTAGAAATAAGTAGGATGCTGTTAAAACATTAGAATTCCTCAGTTGAGTGAAATCATTCTTTGGAAATAAATGCCCAGACCCTTCTGTGCCACTGCATTTGCTACTGAAATCAAACCGTTATAAAGCTCAGGATTTAAAGTTAACCTGGGTCCAAGACATGGTACCATTCCTTAATAGCTGTGTGACCTTGGCCAAGTTATTTAACCTCTCTGAGCCTTAATTTTCTTACCTGTAACAGGGGGATGATAATGACTTTACAGGGTTGCTGAAAGTGTTAAAAGGACAAATTTGGGGTTTAGTGTTTTTTTTTTTGTTTTTTGTTTTTTGTTTTTCACACTTCTAAGACCTATTTTTTTTTTAACTCTTAGCTATTAGGGGACGTTGTACTAACAAAATTAGTGTTTGTCTGAACACACGTGGATTGGAAGTGATAGGAAAGATTTCTCCAATGGGATCAGGAGTAAGTGACATTGCCACAAACAACATTAAGCTTTTGCTCAAATGATTCTGGCAGGGCGTTTTATCTTCATCAAACCACAGCCATTGTCTTCTTCTTAAATCTCTTCTTCTCTCCTGGTCCTTACTGGATAATAACATCAGTGGGTGGTGGGGGATGGAGAAGGGGGTAACCAAATCATCAGCATCTCCCCTGCTCCATTCCTCACATCCAGTCACTCATCAATGATGGGTCTTTGCCATGCACTTTCTCTCTCTCTTGTTCCTCTATCAGACCAGGCCTTTGCGTAACTGTCATGTGGACTACTGCAAGTTGTACTGATTTCCTGCCCTGAATCCAATCTTCTCCTTCTTGCAGTCTAACTTCTGTGTCCCAACAAAATATTTCTCCTTAAAGCACATTTTGAGAGCATTCACTTGCACCTTCCCATCCACATGTACTCTCAGTCCACCCCTCCACCCAGCTACAAAGCATGGAGTCAGGAAATGCCACCCTAACTGTCGTATGTTGCTTAGTGGGAATGTAAATCAGAACAACCTCCGTAGAGGGCAATTTGGCAATATCTATGAAAACGACCGGAGTGCATACTCTCTCAGCCGATGCTGCTATTTCTAAGACTCAATCCTGCAAATACATGCATGCACGTGGGAAGCGATGTCGGTGCAAGGTTACACGTTGCGGCACAATTTGCAATAGCAAAAGGCTGGGAACAACCCAAATGTCTATCAATAGGGAATTGGTTCAATGAATTATGAAACATCCACACAGTGTAATACTCAGCAGTTGTTAAAAAATGAAGAAATAATTTATATGCTGATTTAGAACCATCTCTAAGATATATTGTCAAGCAAAAAGAGCAAGGTGTGTATAGCAAAGTGAAGGGGAGGGCAGAAGAATATACAAACATATTGCCTTGTAAATGCATAATAATGTCTAGAAGGATGCACCAGGAAATAACATCGGTTCAGAAGAGGAATTAGGTGCTAAAGGAAAGGGGTAGAGGGAGATTTTAACACACATAAAGAAAAACATAGGTGTGTGTGTGTATATGTATACAAGGATTTTATATATGCACATAGGTATATAAATATATATACATATACACCTTGTTTTTATCTTCTACTTTTGATTTTTGAACCATATAAAAGTATTACCTATTCAAAAATAAATATTTTATGTGTATATGTACATTTTTTAATCCTAATTTAAAAAAAAATAAAATTAAAGAAATAAGTTTAAAAAAAAAGCAGTGGCCACATAAGCCAGGCACCTATTTTCTGTCTTCTCTAGGCAACTGTGATACATAAATTACTTCCCACTCTCTCCTTTTCTCTGTCTTACACACAGAGGCTGTATTTACCTCCTCAAAATTCAGCTTTGAGCACAATTTCCTGTTCCAAAATTCCCTGTGGCTTTGCATGTCCTATAGGACATCCAGTCATTCTGCATGGAGTCTAAATTTATGTAGGCTGGAGTCTAAATTTCTTAGTCTAACCTTCAGGGTCCACCACTGACCCCTCAACTCAGTTTTCCAGCCTGTGCTCCATCACTGCTCCCTTGCTGTATTAGTCTGTTCTTACACTGCTACACAGAAATACCTGAGACTGGGTAGTTTATAAAGGAAAGAGGTTTAATTGACTCACCGTTTCACATGACTGGGGAGGCCTCAGGAAACTTACCACCATGGCAGAAGACGAAGGGGAAGCAAGAACCTTCTTCACAAGGCGGCAGGAGGGAGAATGAACACAGAACGAACTACCAAACACTTACAAAGCCATCAGATCTCATGACAACTCACTCACTAGCATGAGAACAGCATGGGGAAAACCACCCCCATGATCAAATTACCTCCACCTGGTCCCTCCTTTGACACGTGGGGATTACAATTCGAGATGACATTTGAGTTGGGACACAGAGCCAAATCATATCACTTGATCAGCTCCCAAAGCTAAATCACTCATGTTGACTAGGTGCTTACCCTTCTTACCTCTGTTTCCAGCATTCTGTCCTCCCAGCACCCCAAAGCCCAAGCTCTGCTTGGTTCCAAGCCTCAGCTCACATCCTCTTTCCCCATCACATCATCCAGAATGACAGCTCACCTCCATCCCCAAGCTGGAAGAAAGCCCCTTCTTCTGTGAAACTCCAGGGCACATTATGTTGCTTCCCTACCATATTTAACACAAGGGATCATAATTTTGTACATGTTTATCCATTCATTCAGTAAACATCTACTAAGCACCTACTGTATGTATGTACTGAAAGAGGTGTTAGAGTAAAAACACCACCAGCCGGATTCCTGCACTCACAGAGATGACAGTCTCCTGGAGAAGACAGATAGTAAAGAAACCACGCCTTCGACGATAATCTTTGATAATTTCAACATGGAGAAGTAAAAAGCTATGGCAAAAATGCTAATTGTTTGCTCAAAGCAACACCATAATGTTTCAATTTAGCACAAGGGGCTCTGAAGTCCAAAGAACCCATATTAAATCCTGGCACTGCCCCAAAGCTATGTTCCTCCAGATCAGGGATTCACAATGTCAACATTGTTGACACTTGGTCCATGGCCTGGGGGTTGGGGTTGCTCTAGAGTTATGGCCCAGAACTTGTCTCCTTGGGAGGATGCAGGAAGGGTCTTCATCCCAAGGGTCCAGCTACATTTGCCACACGGATGGATTCAAAAAGTTGGGACTCCCTACACTTGGATGTAGGAGTTGAAATGTCTATCATTTGAGCCTGGGCGTACTGGATCCCATAAAAATGCCACATGAAAGAAAGCGTAATTAAGAAGCTGTTACAATGTCAGGCTTCAGATAATGCACTCTCTTCAAAGGCTTATTTTGCACATCCCAAATTCTCCTCATAAACCATTTACTTTCCCATGCTATTGGACGCTATGAGCATTTAGGAAATGTTCTCAGGGTGTTTGAAATCAACAAGACAATTACGGAGGTTTGGAAGATTCTAAAATACAATCAACAGTACTCTGGAAATGCCAATCGAATTCTTGGCCTGGCAGACTACAGCTGTAATATACATCTATAAGGACATTTTAAGATGATGTTAAAATGAATATTCATCATTCTGAATTCCAGGATTTCTTTTCAAACTGAGAAATGGATAGAGGGATGGGCAGTCTCTAGCAGGATCTGCATATAGTTTGGGAGAAATTTATCCCTAAAAAAAAAAAAAAAGATGGGAAAATAGGTTTCAGAGTCAGACAGGCATGGATTATAATCCCAGCTGTGTAACAGAAATGAATGTGAATGATCTGGAGAAAATCATTAACTCTCTCAGAGCTTGGTTCTTCAGCTTGAAAATGAGGACAGTAATACCACCTTAAATTAAAATATGTAAGGGTCTGGCAAGATGTCTTTGCAAACCTTCATTTTCATTCCTCATCCCCTTTAGGGAACAGAGTCCAGACTCATTGGTTTATACTTTTATAAAGCTTGCAAAATTGCACACTTTCTAACCAATTTAGTTTCTCTTGACCAAAACACTTTAAGACACAAATGTTTCACATCTGTTTTGCTCCACTAAACAATATAAGCCCAACCCATCACCCTTCTTTTCTTGCCATCAACAGCCTCCCTGAACATATTCATCATTCCACAAGAAGTCTCGCTTAAAAATAAAGGCATTTCTTTCTATGGCTGGGACAGGGCCATGGAATGCACTTCGGGTATAACAAAAGATGCTGAATCTGAACAAGAATGAACTCAGTCCTAACGTGACAGGTCAGACAGAGCCGCCTTTGTGCCACACCACCCTCCTGCCCTGTCTTCCTTTCCCTTAACGTATCATGATGAGGAACCTCGGTTGTATTTTAAAAAGCATAATAATTACTTATACTTCTCTATGGTTTCCAATAAACCAGTGATTTTTTTTTCAAAAAGTCCATGAATAAAACAAACCCCGTCACCATTGGAAATGCATTTCCATGCAAGCGCGGATGCTTTTAAGACCATTTGCCGAGCGCTCTGCACCGTTTGACCAGTTCTGGGGCAGGGGGCACGCTCTAATTACTGATTGTGGAGTTTGGTATCTATAGCAACGGGCAGAATTGACAACAGGAAGCTTCACCCTCTGGGGCACCATCCGAAGTTTATAAAATCAACTTGAGGCCAAGGCTATAGTTAATCAGGAGGGCTTTCAGAGCACGAGTGCTCCGAGTCCACACTTAAGAGGCAAAGAAATTATTTAATAAGACAATCAGGGGCTCGAGAAGGCAGAGTTTATTTAGCTTGGCTTTGCAGTGCCTCTTGTAGTAATTTATCCTAATGGTACCAATTCGCCCATGATTTGATACAGCAGGAGACCCAGGGTATCGGTTTAATCAAACCTCCATCGATGCTGCCTGTTTCTTAACTATTGTTGCTGTATATCAATCAGTTTCTCTTGATTCACTAATCGGATGGCACGGGGATATGAATTGTCCTGGGATTCAAGAAATCAGGTTGACATAATTCTTTATAATGTGCCTGCTTTTAAATGGCATTATTTCACCCCACTCACATTATTTCATGTTCCTACAGCTGACAGGTAAAGGGTCCAGATTGCAATTGGCTGTGGGTGAGAAAGAAATAGGGAAAAAGCCTGGAGCCTTGGGGTCAAACTATTTTGACTGCTGGCTCTACTACTGCCTGTTAGATGAGACCCTTCTGGGTCTCAACGTCCTTAATCCTTACATAAGGACAAGAATCTACTCAGGCACAGAACTGTTATGAGGATGAATGAACTGGTGTATGAATGAGCCTAGATCAGTGTCTGGCAAGCAGGAAAAAGAGTCTCAACAAACGACAGATTCACTCCCCAGCTGCCCTCATTTCCACTCCCGAAAACCTGGGGAGTTACGAATGTATCTGCATTATTTTTATAGGTAAGATGCCAAGATGTGCAGTATTTTATGGGCCTGATCACGCCTACGTTGGTAATCCTAGGAGGGCGTCTAAACTTAGATCCTTATGCTCAGCTCTCCTGTCCCCACCGAGGACAGAGTCAGGCAATTGCCATCATGCTTTATTCATGTGGTGCTGGCCTGGCTGTTGAGCACAGACCAGCGGTGTCCTCCCTCTCACTAGTGGGTACTCTGTTGCTTCCCTACCCAAACCTTCTTCCTTATACAGCACGCACAGACCAGAAATTACAAGACCAGACCTTTTCCCCTTGGAAGGCAGCAACTTTTGAAGGCGGAGAAGGCCCATCCTCACCTTGCGTTCACATTGTTCAAGAGAGAAGAAGGAAAAGGGCAACTGGAATCCCAAATTTTGAGGCAATGACCATGTGGATGGCGAGGCCCCGGCAAGGGTCCCATTGCTGCCTCAGAGACCTAAAAGTTGAGGTGGCCATTGCAAGCCTCAGTACAACAGCCCTCAGTTGCTGCTTCTGTAAAATGGGCATATGAAGATGTATTTCATTGAGCTCACTTCCCAAGGCAAAAATGGGCAAGGTATTCTGGCCCTTTTTCCTACAATGAGAACTAAATCTGGGCCTTTCACCATTCAGCTTAGCTGTACAAATTTTACCTCAGTTATCCTAGCTTACGGTTATTTCCTGCGAGCAGACCCAAAAACAAATTAAGGAATTAGCGTGAAAACAAAGGGAAGGGAAGAAGAAAAGTAGAGAGTATGGGAGGGAGGAAAGAAAGACGGAGAAAGAGAGAGGGAAAGAAAGAATGAGGGGAAGGAAGGGACAAAAAGGAAGGATAGAGAGAAGGAAGGAAGGAAGGGAAGGAAAAAGAAAGAAAGGAAATAGCAAGAGAAGGAAAGAAACAGAAAAAGAAGAAAAAGAAAGAAGAGATGCCGTGCTTGCCCACACCTTTTCCACACTCCTTTTCTCCGTTCTTAATATTGGAGGATTTTGTGCGGCTTTTAGAAGCGCTATTGTTCCAATAGCCAGGGTAAGGGGGTTAATGCCGCCTGAACAAGGGACTCGTTGCTTCCTCCCTCCCACCTCCTCCCTTTTCTTTTTTGGCTCAGCCTAAATTTCTAACACTACCTGATGAAATGTAGTATACAGCTTTTAATTGTGCCCAGAGGCGGTACAACTTCACAGAGGTTTAGAAGCAAGTGGCGGATGATTTGAGAAACAGCTGTGTTCCCGGCCCACGCGCTCCGAGGTGGAACAGCCCCGTCAGCACCTGTGCCCGCTGAGCACACACCCTCACACCCTACATGCGTGTGCACAGCTGGGACCCATCAGGGTTGTAAGGAATTAATGCTCTTAACTTGGTATTTTATTGTACCTAGAGGAGCCTGACGCTATATTAAATCCGTAGCACGTAAGTAGGGTTTTGTTCAATCTTAGGGTTACTGGGGCTGGGGGCTGGATGGGATATTAAAAAAACACAAACACACACACGACCTCTTTTCTGATGCTGAGAACGAATTGTTTTAATATCCCAATGTTTGGTTTATTTATTATTAGGGATGAGTGGCCACTTTTAAAGAGTAATGGACCTTATCTGGCACTAACCTAGTTTTCCCAATTGAATCTATCTCAGACTCCCAGCAATTGTGGGAAGCCACCAGTTCGGATTCTTTTCTCTTCCCAAAGCCCAGCTTCCCTTGGCGCATGCCCCAAAACACACCTCCCACCTTTTGGACTCCATGGAGTCTTTGAAATCCTACTGCAAACTCCACCTCTCACCAGCACGGTCTCTTGTTATTCAACTGCAGGCCTCCCGAGTCCCTGGAAGTTCAAGTAGACGAGTGTCTATGTACCCATCCCACAGCCCCGTAAACAGAGCCGAACAGAAACCAATGCCCAAGTCATGGCAAACCGACATCGGACCTTAGAATTCCATCTACTGGCCATAAGTAAAACACTTTGTCTCTAAGCCATGTTATATATTCTGTTGTAAACACAATGCGTAAAATTTTTTCCACAGCAGCTGGTACTGACTGCGACTATGGAGAAGATATCATGAGCGAGTTTTCACAAATGCTGTACTCATGTAATTAGCAATGCACCTCAGTATCTGTGGTAGGCAGAAAAGTGCCCCCTGCCCCAGAGGATACCCATGTCAACTCCCCGGAACCTGTAACTGTGACTCTATTTGGAAACAGGGTATACGCAGGTGTGAGTAAACATTTTTTGATACGATAGTTCTGGATATTCCAAGTGGGTCCTACATTTAAAGACAAGTATCCTTACAGAAGAAACGCAGATAGCCAGGCATGGTGACTCACGCCTGTAATCCCAGCACTTTGGGAGGCCAAGGCAGGTGGATCACCTGAGGTCACGAGTTCGAAACCAGCCTGGCCAACATGGTGAAACCTCGTCTCTACTAAAAATACAAAAATTGACCGGGCATGGTGGCGCACGCCTGTAATCCCATCTACTCAGGAGGCTGCGGCAGGAGAATTACTTAAGCCTGGGAGATGGAGGATGCAGTGAGCCAAGATCATGCCACTGCACTCCAGCCGGGGCAACAGAGTGAGACTGTGTCTCAGAAACAAACAACAACAAAAAATAAACGCAGAGGGAAATTTCAGACAGACAGAAGGGAAGTCCAAGTGACCATGGAGGCACAGATAGAGTAATGTGACCACCAGTTAAGGAATGCTTACCGCGACCTGAAGCCGGGAAGGGCGAAGAACAAAGTCTCCTCTAGTGTCCCCAGAAGCAGTGTCAATTTCAGACGTCTGGGCTCCAACACCGTGAGCAAATGTATCTCTGCTGTTTTACGTCACTCAGTTTGCCGTTATTACAGCAGCCACAAAAAACTAGCACAGGGTCCTTTGCTCTGGGCACCATGTGAGATATATTTTGCTGCTAATGGGGGCTCTTGGCAGGAGGGGCGCCTAAACTTCGGGTACTGTGGAAGTGCAGAAAGGGCCACATTGCCCACTGTTACCCCATCTGTACCTACTTTTGAGGAAATGGTAGTTCAGCTCTGTAGGGTAAATGCGCCTGACAGCAATAGCTTGAGCATACCTTGAGAATGACTCTCTGAAGGGTATATGTACCTGAATGTCTGTTCCTAGCTAGGGAATCTGGGAGTGGCCAATCAGGAGATACATTCCCTGTCTATGAGGAACAACTGAGCCCCCTGGCCTCACAGGCCGTATGGAAAATCCAGTCCCTGAGTTTTGGATTAAATAAAGGTTGCCAGGTGGAGGTCATTAACGGCAGGATGTTAAGTGAAAATGTTATCTAAATAAACTGCACTCTTCCTGCAGGCAGTTGCGGTTTCCCTGCCCAGGCCACGGCCACTGGGCTGTGTGGTTATGTTGTCCAGCCACTGACACTGGACTGTAGGAAAGTGGAGTCTTGTCCATTCCACGGCCCCTGAACCATTTCTGTACATAAGGCAGTTCTCCTGCCCAGCCCACTGCCACTAAACTCTCTCCTTTGTAGGTAAACCCCTAATAAAACCCTATGTCTTGTTTGCTGGCTCTGGGTCTCTTCTCTGGCCTCTTGATCCTAGTGTCTTCCCTATGAGGTTAATAGGGTTCAGCACAACAGCATCGTGGAGAAGCCAGCCACTGCCATCATGATTCAAACCAAACAGTTCTCAGAGAAGGGTACAGAGGGAGGTGAAAAGCATACTGTCCTCCCGGCTGGACAGTCCCGTTCTCTTCGTGGCTGGACCATTTGCTATGTGTGTGCCGCTGGCACATTATTGAATCCATGCCTTAGTTGCCTTGTTGGAAAAATGAGATTCTCAATGTAAAACCCACTTTGAAAAAACTGCAAAACATCATATGAACGTCACTCATTTGCTTCAATCCATATTTATAAAGCACCTACAAAGTGTCAGACTCATGGAGCGCGGATGGCACTCCGATTTTGAGGGAGGACACAATCTCTAGTAGGTATTATTGCAACTTTCTCCAAAATACACTTTTTCTTAAGTATCCACTTGTCATCCATTAATATAACGAAACCTCTTTAGAAACCCTCCAATCCAAAATGCTGGGTTAATGTAGCCCATAAATTGAATTTCCGCTGTGTTTCTCTGGATTCTCCAAATTTGCTTCTTTCAACCCAACAATAACACACCATTTGTTTGTTTATCATATTAGTAATGATTTTTTTTTTTTTAATGAGCACTCAATACTGGTTAGACGAAACTGGACTTCAGTGCTGCTTCTGATCATTTAAATTGCTACAAACCTTTTGGAGAGCAATTTGGCAATATGTCTCACAAACCTTTAAAAAATGTGCCCAACCTTTGACCTAGTAATTCCATTTCTGGGAATCTATCCTAAAGACATAATGGGAACTATAGAAACTGCTTTATGCACAGAGATGTTTATCACAACACTCCTTATGACACCAAAAGTATTTAAAACCATATAAATGACCAACAACATAGAAATGGATAAATAAACAGCAATGCTTCCCCTCTGTGGACTATCACAACCACTAAGAATTGCAGTTAAGAAGCATTTAGAACAACATGATGAAATGTATAAAGACAGGGAAAAATAAGCAATGTGCCAAATGGGCGTATGGCAATGATCTCTATGTGGGACAAACACCACACAACACAACACGTGGTAAAAAGACTGGAAGGCAGGCATGGGTTAATTGTGGTTGCCATGGGCAGCAGAATTATGAGTGATTTTCTTCCTTCTTTTTAAATATTTTTAAGATATTCTTCACTGAGCTGTATGTATTATCGGCATACCTCATTTTATTGCATTTCCTTTTATTGCACTTTGCAAATACTGTGTTTTTTACAAATCGAAGGTTTCTGGCAACTTTGCATTAAGGAAGACTATCGGCACCATTTTTCCAATGGTACCTGCTCACTTCATGTCTCTGTATCACATTTTGATAATTCTTACAATATTTCAAGCTTTTAAATTATTATTATATCAGTTTTGGTGATCTGTGATCAGTGATCTTTGATGTCCCCATTGTCATTTTTTGGGGCACCACAAACTGCACCCATATCAGATGGCAAACTTAATTGATAAATGTTATATTTATGAATACCACACTGGCTCCAGCAACCTGCTGTTCTCCTTCTCTTTCCCCCTCCTTGGGCCTCCCTATTACCTGAGACACAACAGTATTGAAATTAGGCAAACTTACAACCCTTCAATGGCTTTTCAGTGCCCAAGAGAAAGTCAGAGTTGCATGTCTCTCACTTTAAATCAAAAGCTAGAAGTGATTAAGCTTAACGAGAAAGCCATGTCGAAAACTGACATAGGCTGAAAGCCAGATCTCGTGCCAAACAGGCAAGTTGTGAATGCAAAGAAAAAGTTCTTGAAGGAAATTAAAAGTGCTATTCTAGTGAACACACAAATGATAGAAACCAAAACAGCGTTATCACCCATATGAAGAATGTTTGAGTGGTTTGGATACAGGATCAAACCAGCCACAACATTCCCTGAAGCCAAAATCTAATCCAGAGCAAGGCCCTCACTCTCTATAATTGTGTGAAGGCTGAGAGGGGTGAGGAAGCTGCAGAAGAAAACTTGGAAGCTAGCAGAGGTCGGTTCATGAGGTTTAAGGAAGAAAGCCGTCTCCATAACAAAAAAGTGCAACATGAAGCAGCAAGTGCTGATGCAGAAGCTGCAGCAAGTTTTCCAGAAGATCTAGATAAGACCACTAAGGTGGCTACACTAACAGATTTTCAATGTAGACAAAACAGCTTTCTGTTGGAAGAAGATGCTGTCTAGGACTTTGAGAGCTAGGGAGGAGAAGGCAATGCCTGGCTTCAAAGCTGCGAAGCACAGGCTGACTCTCTTCCCTGCTGGTGACTTCAAGTTGAAGCCAAGCTCATTTACCATTCCCAAAATCCTAGGGTCCTTAAGAATTATGCTAAACCTACTCTCCCTGTGCTCTATAAATGGAATAACAAACCCTGGATGAGACCACGTCTATTTATGGCATGATTTACTGAATAATTTATGCCCACTGTCGAGACCTACTGTTGGGAAAAAATTTGTATTCCTTTAAAAATATTCTGCTTGGTCCAGTGTGGTGGCTCACACCTGTAATTGTGGCACTGTGGGAGGCTGATTTGGGCAGATTGATTCACCACAAGTTCAAGACCAGCCTGGGCAACACGGTGAAATTGTGTCTCTACTAAAAATACAAAAATAGCCCAGCCTAGTGGCATGTGCCTGTAGTCCCAGCTACTGGGAAGGCTGGAGTAGGAGGATAATTTGAGCTGCAGTCATGCCAGTGCATTCCAGACCAGGCTGTCTCAAAACAATAACAATAAAAAAAATAAAAATATTCCACTTGTTGACAATGTACCTCGTACCTAAGAGCTCTGATGGAGATGTACAAGATTAATGTAGTTTCCATGCCTGCTAATACAATGCCCAGTCTGCAGCCTATGTATCAAAGAGTAATTTCAACTATCAAGTATTATTATTAAAGAAATACATTTTAGAAGCCTACAGGTGCCACAGATACTGTATTCTTCTGATGGATCTGGGCTAAGTAAATTGAAAATCTTCTAGAAAGGATTCAGCATTCTAGATGCCATTAAGAACATTCGTGATTCATGGCAAAGGATCAAAAATTAATAATAACAAGAGTTTGGAAGAAGTTTATTCCACCTTCTTGGGTGACTCTGAGGGGTTCAAAAGTTAGTGGAGGAAGTAAGTCTTGAGCCCCTTCAAGACTCATATGTGGTAGAAATAGCAAGAGAACTCGAGTTAGAAGTAGAGCCTGATGATGTGACTAAATTGCTGCAATCTCATGAGAAAACTTGAATGGATGAGCACTTGCTTCTTAGAGATGAGCAAAGAAAGTGATTTCTTGCAATGGAACTTGCTCTTCCTGAAGGCGAACACTGAACATTGTCATGAACAACGTCATGAATGTTGTTGAAATGACAACAGAGGATTTAGAATATTCCATAAACTTAACTGATAAAGCAGTGGCGAGTTTGAGAGAACTGATTCCACTTTTGAGATAAATTCTGCTGTGAGTAAAATGATGTCAAACGGCAGTGCATGCTACAGAGAATCCTTTTGTAAAAGGAAGAGTCAATCCATGCAGCAAGCTTTATCCTTGTCTTATTTTAAGAAATTGCCACAGCCACCCCAACCTTCAGCAACCGCCAACTTGATCCATCAGCAGCCATCAACATCAAGGCAAGACCCTCCACCAGCAAAAAGATGACAACTTGCTGAAGGCTCAGATGATCATTAGCATTTTTTAGTAATGAAATATTTTAAAATTAAGGTATGTACATTGTTTTCTTACAATGCTATTGTACACTTAAGAGTCTATTATATCGTGTAAGCAACTTTTGTATGCACTGGGAAACTCCAAAATTCATGTGACTTGCCTTATTGAGATATTTGCTTTATTGTGGTGGTCTGGAACGGGATCTGCAATATCTCTGAGGTATCCCTGTACTTTTAAATAGAGAAAAATTCATTAAAAAATAAGAGACTCTTCATTCTAACACATCCGAATTGGGTGGCGAAAGCTGGTGTATATGCTCTCTGTTTCCTTCAGGACTTTAAGGATTTGGATCCTGTGAAGTGTTTTTCTTGTAACTTGAAACTTCTACACGCAGGTCAGTCCTATCACTGTTTTTTTCTCTTATTTAAAAGTGCAACCAGTGCGGGGGCTGGGAGAGGCCCCCTGCAGCTCATCACCAGCTCAGAAAATATTCTCCATGCATATACTCTCATATCACACTTAGATCTTTCTTTGTGAGAAGAACTGGGCTTTTTCTGAATTACTGGCTTGTTTTGAGTTTAGAGATATTGTAAACTGCATAACTGATGGTTTCTCCCAGTTTGTGGCAGCTGCTAAAAGGCTCAAAGACAAATGTGTGGCTGGCTTATAACAAGAGCAGCACCTGTGGGTTTTGGGTCCTGGCTTCACTCTGGGCTTCCTGTTCACTTCCATGCCCCGAGTTTCTTTCCTACTTACTGACCACCCTGCACCATATAAGTCCTGATGTTGCTGTTTCCAATTCTTGTTGGAATGAGATGAAGTATACATTGAAAGTTTCTTTTTCACATATGAGACAGGCTACATGCATCCCTATGAGCTGTGTTTCCATTGATTGTTAGAGAGAATTCCAGCCAAGTAAAGGGCAAATCAAATCAAGCAACCCCATTTGAATCCATGGCACAACAACCATACTGACTAAGAACATGGGGAACACGAAGGAGTTAAATCCACGTGGCAGCACAGGGTGGGAGGCGGCAGCATTGAGGGACCTGGTCCCTTCCCACACTGGAGGCACAAGAGGTCATCAGAGCAGGCAGGAACTTGCACTTGGCTTTGCTGGGAAAGCAGATACTGTGCTTATTGCAATGTTCCTGTGGGCGAGCTAATTGTCTAACTGCCCTTGAGATGTATATAATTTAGTCTGCAGCCCCGGCTCCTGCCTCTGTGTCATCACCAATGGGCTGGGAAACATGAACAACAACATCTACGCCCATTAAAGGCAGCAGCAGGCCAGCCCTGTCACCCACGGCCCCTTGATGAGTGATCTGGAAGCTGTGCTCCTGCTCGGGGCAGCTGGTTTACTTGGCTAAAGGGTATATCTTTAGCTCCCCTTGGTTTGTTGACAGGGGATGCTGTGTTCCTTTCCTGGGGCTGCCATAACAAAGTGCCACAAACTAGGTGGCTTGAAACAATACAAGTTTATTCTCTCTTTATTCAGGAACTCAAAGAGTCTGAATTCAAGGTGTCTCTGGCGCTGCGCTCCCTCCGAAGGCTCTAGGGCAGAACATATCCTTGCCACTTCCAGCTCCTGGTGGTGGATGGCAATGCTTGCTGTTCCCTGGCTTATGGCAGCATCGCTCCAGTATCTGCCTCCATCTTCACATGGCCTTCTGCTTGTGTGTGTGCACACGTGTGTGCATGTAGGTATGTGCATGCATGTAGGTATGTGCATACATGTAGATACGTAGATATGTGTGCACACACGTGTGTCTCTCCAAATCTCCCTCTCTTTTCTCTAATAAAGACACCAGTCACTGGATTGAGGCTCCATCTTAATCCAGCCAGATCTCACATTAATTTGATGACATCTGCAAAGACCCTACTTCCAAATGAGGTTACATTCACAGGTAACAGGATGGGACTTCAACATATCTTCTGGGGGGATGCAATTCAACCCATAATAGATGCACTTAACAAGCAGCAATTAAAAGCATGAACTCTGTAGTCATCTGGGTTCAAATCCTGGCTCTAACCCTTACTAGCAAATGACTTAACTTCTTCCAGCCTTCCTTCCTCATTTGGAAGGCCTTAGGCCAGCACCTGGGGCTGTCAGGAAGTCAAACAGGATCATGTGCCATGCGAGCACATCGCCAGACATAGACATGGCTTGTCAAGAACACGTTGTGGCTGGGCCTTAGGACTGCCACTCAGCCCTGCTACTCCGATTCAAACATTCCTTCCACACACTGAGAGACCCTGGTTCAAGATTACAGAAAGCAAATTGTCATTAAGGGGGTCTAGCTCTTCGCATCTGGTGTTTAATGTGCACTTTGCCTGGAAATCTCTCCTTTGCCCTCCTTAACCCTCCCTCTTCCCCTCCTCGGGTGAAAAGTTGGCTCCATCCGAGCCCTCAGGACTTGCCTTAATTGACATCTACACTCCAAGATCTTCCAGGTCACCCTGCTGAGAGCAGTTTAGTGCAACTTATGGTCAGCCCTTCCTTCTCCAGCCAACTGCTATGCTGGGGACCTTCTTTGGCGACAGGGATTGCTCATTCCACCCAGGCGTAAGCCTAAGTTTGCCCTATAAAATATAGGACATTCCATTTAATTTGAATTAACATATACAATGAATAATTGTATTAGCATGTCCCTAATATTGCAAATGTTGTACCAAGGTGTGGACCAGAAGTGCCTGGATGTGAATGTCCTGAGAGCAGTCCTCAACCAACGACAGATGAGGATCTGGTGGGTAAGTACTCCAGTTTCTTTGCCCCCTGATGGGGCATAACTCAGAGACGGCATGTTCCACATGGTCTCCCCAAGTTTCCCAGGTGAATTCTTCACCCGTCATCCACAGCAGTACCTGCTCCCTAACGCACCCTGGGATGGCTTTTGCTTCCCCTTCCCTTTCTCCACTTCCTGGGAAAATGCCTCTGCCCTCCCACCACTAGTCTCCACATTGAGCTTGTATATTCCCCACAAAACCCTTATCACAACGTGTAATTACACACACATATGTTTTTCTGATTGCTTAATCTCTCTGTTCCACCAGACCGAGTTCTGGTACCATGACTGTGCCGTTCACCATTGTTCTTCAGCACCTGGCACTGGGCTGGCACTCAACAAGAACTTGCTAGATCATGAAGATGAGCAAGAAAATGAACCAAAGCACAGCCATCTATGCCAGCAGAGAGCAAAAGTGGTTTTCAGCTGTGCTGAGCTGCGCTGCACAGAGGCTAGACTGTCCAAGACTTGAGTTTGGGTCTCACTTGGCTCACTTCAGAATCTGACCTTGGACGGTCTCCTGAGCTGTCTTCACCTCAGTTTCCTCATCTGTAAAACGAGGCGGCGAAACTAGATGATTTCTCTCCTGTCTTCCAGCTCTAAAATTCTACGACTCTATATTCTAGGCAATAAACTTTACGACTATGAATAAATTAATGAAAATGAATATTTAAATGATGTGCAAACATTCATGCGAGTGCTTTCTTAATCTTTTATGCAGTGGGAGAGTGAGAAATAAAACCGAGATGAAAAGATCAGAAATATCTGCATCAGTGAAAAGCTGGTGTCTTGCTCCCGTTTGCCGGGGATGTTGGTTTAGAAGAGTATTTGTTGAAGAACTCGCAGGGTGGGGGAAGGAGAAGGGTCAAAAGGCACGCAGGCATCTGGGGAAGCTGGAAGCCCCCAGATGGATGGATATTCCTGGCAACAGTTCTTGGTCCAGGGTATGAGCAAAGGAAATTATGTTCCCCAACTCTCTGGCTCTTTTGGTCTGTCATGAGCCTCAAAAATATTCAGAATGAAGGTTTGGTGACTTGACATCTGAGTGCCTCATGTACTTATCAAGATGATCTGTTGCCTGTCCGTCAAGTGGACAGCCCTTTTGTTGGGTCAGTAGACACAAACCAAGAGTCTGTTTGGCATGTATAATACTTACAAAGAAAGAAGAATTAATTATTTAAAGATGAGACCCCCTAGCTTCTCATGTTGGTAGGAGGAGCAAAATGGGAAGGAGGGAGAGAGAGAAGATTCTCAGAATGAGCCTGTTCTGTGTCCAGCCCTGGGGATCAGGCAAGTCTGGACATTGAGGTATGGCTGGGGAGTTTGTTGGGATATTCACCAAAAAGAATGGAGTTTGGGGATGGTGCTTAACAGGGTCCTATGAGACAACTCATCATCAAGAAGGAGACAGGCCTGATCTTGACCCAGTTGCAAAGCTTGAGTTTATTACCCTCAAAGCTTGAGGACTGGAATTCAGGATGGAGTCTGTTACATAAATTTGTCCCCTGCCAGGCCCAGTGGACACACATCTGGGCTCATGGGATGGTGTGGTCTATAAATCATAATCAATTGTTCTTTGGATGAAATTCTAATATGATGAGCCTAAATACTTTTGTCACTGTGACCTCCTGATCTTTTTCTATCCTGTTTGCCTAGACATTACCCATGCTGATTTGCCTCCAGAATTACCTACTGCCCTTTTTACAAGACTTTTTGGTCTCTTGACAATTGCAGCTCTTTTCTATTTTTATTTTTTAACTTTCTGGCTTTTATTCCCCCATCGTACTCTTTCAAAAGAGTACATAAAAAAAGTGAAACCATGATGACTATTCATTATGAATTTAAAATAATTAGGATACTCGAGTGCTTGATTTCAGTTAGGTCTACATTTTCAGTCCTAAACAATACAGAAAACAGTGTCTCCAAACCAGTAAACGATTAGGCAAAAGACCCCAGAAAAAGGAATTGCTGCAAAGCCAGAAGTCCTGTGAACACACTGGTTGGATTTTCTGCTGTTTTCAAAACCAAAAATTAAACATGACAGAGAAACAATGAGAAAAAGGAATCTGCAGATACAGTGTCACCTGTGTCCCGGGTCTCAGTGCCTGAACTGCTTACAAATCATGAGCCCTTGGTCATACCATAAAGATGCACGAATAAGAGATACTTACTCCTCCCCTCTAACTTTGTGGAATACTTACATGACTTGGCATTTTTATTCCCTGCCATTGAGTCTTGGGACACCCTCCTTCAGTGAAAGCATCTGTGACTCTCTGTGGGTGTTAAGGGTACAAATGATCTCTGCTGGTCGATTACATCTACAAATACTTGCTGAGAACCTACTATGTGCAAGGGTGGGAATGGAAGGGGGAAAATCTGCCATTTCTTGACCATGAAGAAGAATTAAGGCCTTGTGCCAGGCATGTCTCGATATCTCATTTCTCAAAACAATCCCGAAAGACCAATAACAGTGTTCTCATTTTAATGATGAGAAAACTCACAAAAGTCAGCTAACTTGCCCAACACCCAGCTGATAAAAGGCAGAGCTGGGATTCAAACTGGGTACTGGCAGACTCCAGAAACTCCTGCTCCAGCCTCCATCCCGAAGCAAAACATCCCATATTTCTTCTTCAGAATTGTTGAAAGTGGCTCTTCATTTCCCTGACTACAAGAGAAATGAACGTGAGTTTAACAACAATGAAGAGAAAAACAGCCAAGAGAGACAGAGTGGGGACGGAGTGTGTGTTGGAGGTGGAGGGAAATGACTGCTTCTCTTCCTTCACACAGGGACAAGAATGACTTGAGGTACAAACTATTAACTCTCTTTACTAGTCAGAATTGGGTCAGATATTCTAGCAGAGAGAACAGCATGTTCTCTGCTCCAGCTGTTATCTGAGCTACACAGCTGGAGGCAGGACTCCAACTTGCTCCTTGGGCTCAGAGCTCAAGGTTTCTATAGCTCTCCAAGCTACATTTGATGGCCTCTCCCAGCTGGAATGATGGGGGGAGGTTGGCAGGGGCATGTCGGGGAGAAAAAGGTAAGAGGAGAAGAGGTGGCGGGGAAGTAGGAGGGGCATTCTCATTTCTAGTGGTGCAACCAATTATCACATGAGTCAAACCTACCTGCCTGGTGGTTGCCAATCAGTGAAAGTTTTCTGACAGATGTTCATGGGTGAGAAGAATTATTTGAAAGAGAGCCCCCAAACAGCCATAGGAGTCGCTGATTAAATGGGGGTCCTGGGTGCAATGAGGTTGCTAAGCGAAAGTCTGAAAGCCCAATAACAGGATCACACCCTGCTCAATATCTACCAGGCTAGCAATAAATTGAGATTTCCCAAAGCCCTTGCGACATAACGGGCTGGACTCTTGATTTGGAGGGTTGGCACTTTCATTTCCATGCAACTGACATTTTAAGCTCACATACTACTCCAAAGTTTCTGTTTCTAAACAACCCCAACATGCAGAATGCCAAATCTTGTACTGCAGTAACATGCATGCTTGGGAAACCTCTGCTTCTGTGCAGGTATCATCGAGCCTGCCTTAGAGAGAAAATGACTCTGATTTCTTCCTAGTTATCTGATGCGAACGCTCAGATAATTCTAGATTCTAGATTCTTGGTGAAAAAGCAAGGAGTTGTTCTATGAATATCATAATTTAGAGATAAATAATGAACACCAAACTTGGAGCGAAATACCCCAGTGTTCATTTTATTTAATATTCTCCATTGGTGGAAATAAATTAAAAATGAACAAGGCTTGTTTATGCCTGCCTTACATTGCTCTCCACTTTTGAATAGCAACTGCATATTAATTTGCCAAGATCCCATAAATTATAATTAGCCCGGAGGATTAACAACATAAATCCTTGAATTTAAAACCAACCTGCCCGGCTCTCTCTTCCCTATGCCCTAAAGTAAAAAAGAGCCATAAAACCTATCACCGCTACTTGATCCATTAAACTCCGGAGACATTCTTATTTCAGCTTAGCTAGTGGAGGTAGTCTTTGTTAAATCTTTTTAAAGTTACAGTAGCTCGATAGAAACTGGGGGTCTGGGAGACAAGGATCTGTGTCAACTCCCAGCCACAGTGCACACTGCCCAGATGTGGATTAGGAGGACAGCGGCAAAAGGGACAAAGGAATACGTTTCGGCTTAGTACAGTTTACACAGAGTCCTGGAACTGGCCTGAGATGAAAAGTGCCCCCTGCCTCTATATTGTTCTCATTTATTGTCAAGAGCTCTGGAGTACCTGGGAGAGGAACCCAGGGCACACACACATGCTCACGGACACAAAGACAACACACTCACACAGGTGATGATCTGAGCTTGCATCTGCCAAGCTCATGCCAGGCTGATGGGGAGAAGAAGGATAATGTTGCTCAGATGACCAAGTATTTCACACAAGATTATGGCGATTAAAAAAAAAAAACTTTTTTTTTTAAATTTTTTGAGACAAGGTCTTGCTCTGTCACGTATGCTGGAGTGCAGCGGCATGATCATGGCTCACTGCAGTCTCGACCTCCAGGACTCAAGCAGTCCTCAGGCCACAGCCTCCCAAGTAGCTAGGATTACAGGCACACGCCACTACACCTAACTAATTTTTTATTTTTTGTAGAGGTGGGGTCTCACTGTGTTGCCCGGGCTGGTCTCAAACTCCTGGGCTCAAGCAATCCTCCTGCCTCAGCCTCTCAAAGTGCTAGGATTACAGGCTTGAGCCACCATGCCCGAATAACTATGGAAAATTTTAAAGCAATGTTTTTCTTGATGATGAAAATAGCCAATCACCCTTAAGTATGAATGGCATATGAAGTGCCCAGATGGTGGTTCATCCAGGACTGCACAGCTCAGCCTGGACAATCCCTTCATCTGCAAACATACCTGCACCTTGCAATCTTTCGCTCCCATACCTTTTTCTCCCCTTTGAGTTTATCTCTCCCCTGGAGGGGTGGTCAGGTAGACACCAGAAAAATGCATGGATGTGTGGTTAGCCATACTTAATACGCAGCTCAGCTATTTAGAAACAAGAGCTCTGGGTATACACTGATGTGTGTGTCAAGAAGGCACTGCAGGACCCCGCTGATGCTTTTGCAGAGGATATAGTCTTGCTTGTAAGAGGGTCTAGTCAAAGCCAGAATTATGAAGCTAAAATCCATTTAACACTTAGACAGTGGACTAGTGGGCTTCCTTGCCACCAACAGAGTGCCTATTTTATGAATTTAGGTTTCCCCCCAATTATAAACCAACAAATGTTCATTGTAGAAAATCCTGATAATAGATAAGACAATCAAGGAGAAAATGTAAATGTCAGCATGCAGTTCTCATTTATCCCAGATATTTTGTAATACATATGCTGAATAGGAATAAATATATTCTACACTCAACCTGACTCTTTTCACTTAATTTTATTCTATGACGACTTCACCATGTCCCTAATCATTTTCCAAAATCCCCAGTTATGACACTTCATCCTATAACTGTAGTATCATCTCTGTCACTAATGTCGAATTATTAGACATTATGGCTATTTTAATTTGTGATTATAATTTTGTGATCATTACCTGATACATAAACTTTCATGTAGCACCTAATGATTTCCTTGGGAGAAATTTATAAATCTAGAATTTCTGGGGGAAGGATGTGAACATTTTCAAGAAAAATTTCATTTTTAAATGTGACATGAAAATGTGCATGTCGCCTATTACGAAGGGTGAGGGTGGGGTTTCAGTGGAGATCTGCAGAGTGTGATCTGCCTCCAGCAAAGAAAAATCAGGCTGCTAAGTCAGGCTGGTCTTTGGGCTATCCAAAAGATAAAAAGTGAAAAGGCAGTCATTTCACACTGTGCTTGGGCAGTATGCCCAACAGACCCTGAGTAGATTTCTTTTCTTTTCTTTGTTATTGATATAACTGGGAAAAACAGAACAGCAAGGATGAGAACAAAAATAACAAATAAAAAGTCATTTTGGGCTGGGCGCGGTGACTCGTGCCTGTCATCCCAGCACTTTGGGAGGCCGAGAAGGGCGGATCACTTGAGCTCAGGAGTTGAAGACCAACCTGGGCAAAACAGAACAGCAAGGATGAGATCAAAAATAACAAATAAAAAGTCATTTTGGGCTGGGCGCGGTGATTCGTGCCTGTCATCCCAGCACTTTGGGAGGCGGAGAAGGGCGGATCACTTGAGCTCAGGAGTTGAAGACCAACCTGGGCAACATAGTAAGATTCTGCCTCTACAAAAAGTTAAAGGCTGGGAGCGGTGGCCCATGCCTGTAATCCCAGCACTTTGGGAGACCAAGGTGGGTGCATCACCTGAGGTCAGGAGATCGAGACCAGCCTGGCCACCATGGTGAAACCCCAACTCTACTAACAATACAAAAATTCGTGGGACATGGTTGCGGGGGGCACCCAGAATCCCAGCTACTCGAGAGGCTGAGGCAGGAGAATCGCTTGAACCCGGGGGGCAGATGTTGTAGTGAGCAGAGATGGTGCCACTTCACTCCAGCCTCGGCATAAGAACAAGACTCCATCTCAAAAAAAAAAAAAAAAAAAAGAAAAAAAGTTAAAAAAAAATTATCTGGGTATGGTGGCACACAACCTGTAGTCTCAGTTACTCGGAGGCTGAGGCTGGAGAGTTGCTTGAGGCAGGAGAGTTGCTTGAGCCCAAGAGTTTGAGGTCACACAGTGGAGCTATGATCCTGACACTGCATTCCAACCTGGGTGACAGAACCAGACCGTTCTCCAAAAAAAAAAAAAAAAAAAAAAAAAAAAAAAAATTATTTTAAGAAAGAGTCATTTTAGGGTCATGAAGTTCTTGAAAATCTGATAGGTATACTTTCCCCAAATACGCACTCATACTCCAAAGTTTGCGTATTTTATTTCAGGGACCAAAAAGTGTCCCCAGATTCATCCCAGAATCCCTCAATCTTGATTAAGTCAGTAGAATTTAGAGGTAAGAGGAATCATGCCATGAGAAGTAGGTGAGTGTGAACACAAGCTTCTGAATGCCAAAGATTCTTTCACCTGAACTGAGTGAGCACAGGTAAAAGTTTTGAGGTCTCAGGTCAAAAATTCAAAATGTGCTCCCCTAGGAAGTTTGACAAGGGATGAAGAAGTTTATTTAAGGCAGTAGGCATCAAACTTTAGCAGGCACTGAAGTCTCTTGGAAGGCTTGCTGAAATATAGACGGCTGGGCCCTGCCCCCAGACGCAGTAGGTCTGGGGAGTGGCCTAAGAATTTCCATTTCTAACAAATTCCCAGGTGATTCTGATGCTGCTGATCCAGGAACTTGGCTTCGAACTTATTACTGAAAAGCATATAATGGGATACTATGGTATCACTGAAAATGATGTAAAATAATATTTACTGTCATAGAAAGATATTCCTGGCCCAGTGCAGTGGCTCATGCCTATAATTCCAACACTTCGGGAGGCCAAGAAGGGCAGATCGCTTGAGTCCAGGAGTTCAAGGCCAGCTTGTGTAAAAAGGTGAAACCCCGTTTCTAATAAAAATAGCAACACAAAAGAAATTTAGCTGGGTGTGGTGGTGACTGCCTGTAGTCTCAGGTATTTGGGAGGATGAGGTGGGAGGATTGCTGGCATCCAGGAGATGGAGGTTGCAGTGAGCCAAGATTGCACTACTGCACTCCAGCCTGAGTGACAGAGTGAGACCCTGTCTCGCAAACAAAAAAAAAAAAAACAAAAAGACATTCACAGTATTCTATAAACAAAAGAAAGCAGATTATATAGGACTGTGTACAATATAATTGTTTCTGTGACTTTTTTTATAAAAGCAAAAATAGCTATATATGCATTTCTAGAAATATCTAAATACACAGATTTAAATATAGATATTGATATGGGTATAGGTATAGATATAAATGTGGATATTGGTTTAGGTATGGGTGTGGGTGTAGACAGGGACAGGGATAAGGGAAGGTGTATAGATATGGGTATGAATACGTACATGGGTACGAATATGGAGTTGGTGCCCTTTTCTCTGAGTTTTGAGATGATGACCGTTCTGCTTTTGTTATTTTCGCTTATCTGTATTTTCTACCCTTTCTACATCTAAAAGAAATTGTTTTCACTATCAAAATAAAAAAATTCCTTTGAATGATTCAAAACAATAGCAGACTGCTGTTACTGAGGACCCTTTTGTCACTGTCACCACTCGGGGTGCTGGTTCTGTTCCTGTTCATAGCTCATCGAGAGGCTCTGGGGCTACAGGACCCACCCAAAGACCCCCAGCAGGTGAGGGGCTGCGTCCCTGTGCTGGTTCCAGTCTGTCATATCACATTTTCCACTTTTGTAAACTGAAAACTCTAGACCCAGCCCCGTGCTGACCGGAGACTGCCTTCCAGTATCATGAGGAAATTGGGGTGGCGGACAGGTGCACCCTCCCCCTGACCCCTAACGACCTGCTTTGCTCCTGAGTAATTAGCCAGGCGCAGAGTCTATGATGGGGCCTTCTCTGGCCGCTGTCTGTCGAGGTTTGGACACCTTTGGTCAAGTGGGGATTGCAAGTACGCACAGTATTTCAACGTCCTGAAATCTCTTAATGAATTCCCAGCGTGCATTCTTGGCATTTTTTTCTGTAGGTCTCCAAATGACTCTCTGAAAAGGACTCATGCTGGGGCCCAGCATTTGTGTTCACTGATCAACAGAGGAACGGGGATTACACATCATGACCTGCATTTTTAAATGCAAGGAGACACAAAGGTACATGGTGACATACATATGTGCATCTATCTGCCTCAACACTTAATATTCGTGCGTATTTTTGTATCAATACTTAACCGTACATAATTTGATGTCAAGTTGTCAACTAATATTTCTCGGAAATTACTGATCTATCCTTTGTATATGTTTGGCATTAAAATATTATTTGTTTTACAAATATGATAGACGGATGAATGGATATATGATAAAGCCATTATAGCAAAATGTTAATGGTGGTTCGCTGTAAAATTCTTTCAACTTTGATGTATGCTTATGAGTTTTCATTGTAATTTTGAAGGAAAATGATGTGTCTTATGAAATAACAGTAATAGCAGATGATAACTGAGGTTTTACCAAAACATTATTAATGTCCTTACAGACCAAAATAAGACACAGGCAACCCTATGTTACCACATTTTTTTTCAATGTTAGGATATTTCAAGGTTTGAAAACCATTGCTTTAGAGTAGTTCACCTATTTGTGGGGTTGTGAATCTTTTTGATTCCAGCTTTAGAGCCTCCCAGGGCTGAAAAAGAAAAATTGTTGATTATCTTAGGCAAGGTCCTTAGTAAGTACCCCCACCACCCGCCCCCCCCCCCCCAAAAAAGGGCACCACCACATAGCTGTGCCTACCTTTGCTCAGGATTGGTTACTGACTATAGTACATAAATCTCCCCATTCCTAGACTTCTCTCTTGAAATTTCACACATCATTTTCAATTAAGGAGCTCTTTGCCTGAAGGACAGAGCCACCTGGTTTGTCCTACAGAGTGTATCTACAGGCAGATGTGTAGAAACGTGCATGATGGCATAAGATGCCTTTGCTTGAGAAGGGAGCCCATTTGCAGCTCTCCTTACCATCCTTGAGGACTCAGAAACTGAATGCCTTGAACGGACTTAATAGTTTAAGTAACATATCTAGGATTAATAATAATGTTTAAAACCCTTTATGAATAGCTAATATGCATGGACTGGATAGGTCATTTTAAATGTTACTGGATTTGTTAAGATCTTAAAAATTAATTCCTTTAGCAAAGTCAAACTACAGATTGAATCAGATAGTATGGAATAAATTGGAGCTGACAATCACCCTTTTCTCCATGTTCCATAATGAAACGGGTGTTCTCCAGCTAAGGGTTCCCAGTGGGGGCCTCAGGAACAGGGGAAGAGGCACAAAATCCAAGGAAGGAGTGAATCCTTGTGGTTGTGCTTGAGCCCCTAAACATTTCCCACTAATGCGTTTGCTTTGTGACACTCTAAGCATTTTTCCTTACTGAGGATTTCAGCTGCTGGATTCCCCTAAAGGTACTTTAATACCTGTGCTGGGAGGAGAACAGTCACTTCATACAGAAATTAAATACATAAATTAATAGATGCCTCTTCAGAAAACCTTTCAAACACGGAGTCCAGCTGCTTCGGCAACACTGCAGTCAATAGGTCAAGGCCTTGGCTAATGGCTAGGGAGAGGCAGAGGAGGGATGAAAACGGGCTGAGAGACTCAGCAGAGATCAACAAATATGCCCAGAGACTTAACCACTTAGGTGAATATTTGCCTTTGCCAGAGGGTTATGGTGAGAACTTGCCCAAAGCAAGAAGCAAATGGAAACAAGGACACAAAGAAGAGGGAAGAAGAGGATGAGGAGAAAGGAGAAGAGGAGGAGGAAAAGGAGGATGAGGAAGAAAAGGAAGAGAAGGAAGAGAGGGAGGAAGAGGACAGAGAGGAGGAGCCACCAGCCAGGGTTGCATGTGCGTGCCCAAGTACACAGGACATTCTGCCCTTCACCTGTCGTCTTCAAAGACCAGAAAAGAATGCCACTCTCAAGTTCTGCCTTTGGCAGGAGTGAGCTAGAAAGAGTCTTTAGGTGTTTAATGAAACAAATAAAATTTAAACATGTACCCTTTAGCTTCAGAACCTCCGAGATATTAGGATTGTGTCCAAAAGACTTGACATCTTTATGCAGTGGCTATTATATGCCTGGCTCTTTCCTAGGTAGGCACTGTATATATGTTTCTTGTTTAATGAGATCATTTTCAAACTCTTAGCAACTCTTCTACCCGTTTGCTATATATTGAGCTTCAAAGTATGATTTCCTTCAAAGAAGGGTTTCAGCAACTTTTAACAATCTTGAAAAGCATGATGTTTGGTAAATGCGACAGACAGCAGGCATTCTCTCACATTTCAAATCTCCAATGGCTCCTAGCAGTGTATTAGCACACACCAGCTCAATAATATTCCATACATTCATAAAAGTTTTCAAATGGAAGGAGATGTTGCATGCAGATAAACACCCTCCCAGTTTGCCCATTTAACAGATGAGGTAGCTGAGTCCTAGAGTCAAACACCTCTTGTCCATAGTCACAAGACGCTGACCCAATACCTGAACTAAGCAGACAGCAAGCTTTTAATTTTATGTTTATAGGCAAGTTATCTTTCAGAAAGATTGAGAAGAGACATTCAGATGACATTTCTCACTGATTCCTCAAAAACTATAAGCACTCCAGTACATTGTTTTGCTTCCGGCCTCAGTCCCTGAACCTGCCCACCCCCGCCCCACCCTCCCCACACCCCCTCCCCCCCTCCCCCCTACTCCCTGCCCCCCACCCCCACCACCCTCCACCTTTGGTCTTCATCTGCTGGGAGGAGGAAGATGATGCAGCTTGAATTAAGTGTCAACTTCAGGTAACTCTTCCAGAATTGTTTAGCTTGGATCTCATGGATCTCCTACCTCCCTGAGTGTTTCATGCATGAAAGCCTTCCACTCTCTCCAAAACGCTGTACTTCTTGAAAACCACAGCCATAAAACACGTTTCTCTTATGTACCTCCTACCTCTAGAAAAAACTATCTGGAAAGTAGATGTGAAAGCAGGAAGTATTAGTCCTTTTTTTTTTTTTTTTAAGGCTAAGTAATACAGAGAAAGAGAGAGAGGATGAGAAATGATCCCAGGTAATTCCCTTTGGAAAGTTTCTGTCTGTTGCGTCTTCTGGAAAGCACGGCGTGTTCTGTGGACATGTATTTCAGAGGACTACTTCCTGCATTGGCTTGAATGAAAAGATTCACCAGGGATGCTAGATAAGAAGCAAATTCCCAGGACCCACTGTAGACCCACTTAAACTCATTCCCTTAGGCTGGGATATGGGAATAGGGAGTAGGCATTTTTGAAAGAATCTCTCCCAAATGATCTTTGTCATCAAGTAATTTTGGGGAATTTACCCAACTTTCATCTATTTGTAAATTTGGGGAATTTACCAAATTCCACCTTACCTGACGTGTTAAATCCTTCTATAACCTGCGAACGATCTTGTGTCAGCAGAGAGACCAGCAGAGTTGTTGGATTAAGAAGGATGGGTAAACAGAATCAAGCTCATTTCAAAACATTCCACTGTCATACAAGCTGCGAATATGTTTGAATAAAAACCTTTCTGAAATGTCTCCAAAGATCTCTCTTTGCATGAGGTCCTTTCAAACGAGGCCAATTTCTGGAGACTTTTCTCCATTTGTCCTTCCTGTACAGAATGCAAAATAAAAGACACCATTTCTGAGTGGCCGTTTTGGAAGGATAGCTTCTGTAAATGGTCTTTGCTGAACTCTCGTCCTGGGTCCTGGGTCCTGGGTTCCCTAGTTCTCATTCCCCCATTCACACCCCCCTGCCCACCACAAGACCTTTCTACAGGTGCCAAGTTTACCAAAGACGTTACGCCTAACCCCTATGGAGAAAACCCCGTTGGGTGCAACATACAAATGGAGCTAGTTCTTGCCAGTGGACATCTTGTTAATACATTCCACTGCCCTCTGCTCTAAAAGGATCTCGTGTGCTCCACGGGGAGACTGGAAAATGCATTGTATGTTCCAAAGGGAAGAAGGCCTATTTCTGCAAGCCCAGCCCCAGTCCCTGAATTATTTTAATTGCAGCCTGGTGACGCCAAGGTGCTGAAGCACCCCCTTAGGCTGAGTGCTTAGCTAGGAGGTACTGAATTAAACTGTCAGAACATGCAGAAAAATTGCAACGCGGCCTGTCAACAACATTTGTTAAGAGACACGGGTGAGGCTGGTGACTTGTATAGGAAAAGAGCTGTCTGTGCAGAGCCATCAAAGCACAGCCTGGAACTAACGGGGTATTCAGAGGTCTTGTTCTACTTCATTGGTCAAAGCCAACACAAGCCTGTAAGATTTGGGCCCGTTTGCTGTTTATTACTGTGGTAATAAAGGCCACTTAAAGATACAAACCCATCTCGTATTGGCTTAAACCCAGGGCTTCTTTTCTGAATCGGATCACTAATGTCTCGTTTCTCAGGCTTTTAAAAATAATCTTATGTTTTAGGAACAAAAATTCAGAAAAATCAGACATCCTATCAAAAGAAGACATTCTAATCTTGATCTTATTTATCTTTGGTGGGTATCTTTTTTTTAACATCTACCCTGGGATGGTCCATTTTGTTTGCCACCCTGGCTAGGCTATAGTTTCCAGTTATCCAGTCAAACATGAATCAAGGTGTTGCTGGGACAGTATTTTGTAGATGTGATTGAAGCCCTTATTCAGCTGCCTTTTAGGAAGGGAGATAATCTTAGATGGTCTGAGTGTGACGGAGTCAATCATTTGGAAGATTTTAAGAGAAGAACTGTTTCTTTTCCTGGAGAAGAAGAAATTCTGCCTGTGGATAGCAGCTTTAGCATATGCCAAGAGTTCCTGTCTGCCTCTCTCGACTGCCCACTGTATGGATTTCAGACTTGCCTAGGCAACCCTACTATTGCATAAGCCAACTCCTTGCAATAAATCTGTTTCTATATATCTCCTACTCATGCTGTTGCTCTGATTTAACCCTGAATGATCCACAACCTTATTTTAGTCCCTTGTCTCTCATACTGTAACCAAATATCTTTTCATTAGAAGTCTCAAATTAGAGATTTGTACACTGCAAAAAGTTCATGTTATTTTCGGCCCATACCCATGTATTTGGTGCAATATGTTAAAAACAGAAATAAATTGAATTAGTTGCCAATATTTAAAACTCCTAAAGATTTCTCTCTCTCTCTCTCTCTCTCTCTCACAAACACACACACACACACGCACACACAATCTACATTTCTAGATTCTGTTAGAAGAGAAAAAAAATTAAAGAAACTGGCCAGCATAGTTGTGTATCCTCATATGACAACAGTCAGCTAGAATGGAAAGTGACCTCCTCTGTTAACAGAGTGTGCGCGCTGCAGTTTACCACAGTCTCCACCACTCCTTATGGTCTCCCCGGCAGTAAGGCTAATTGTCACGGGACCTTACATTGTTTTTCTTTTTGTAAAGAGAAATGTGAAAGATATATCATAGTCACTATGGTTTGGATCTGGTTTGCCTGTCCCCACCAAATCTCATGTTGACATTTGATCTCTTGTGTGAAGATGTCAGGAGATGGAGCCTACCGGGAGGTGTTTGGGTCATGGGGACGGATCCCTCATGAAGGGCTTCATGCCATCCTCATGGTAGTGAGTGAGTTCTCCCTCTGTGATTTCCCACGGGAGCTGGTTGTTTAAAAGAGCCTGGCACTTCCCTTCTCTCTTGCTTCCTCTCTGCCCATGTGATCTCTGCACACACTGGCTTCTCTTTGCCTTCTGCCAGGAGTGAAAGCAGCCTGAGGCCCTCCCCAGATGCTTAATCTTGAACTTTCCAGGCATGAGAACTGTGAATCAAACAAACTTCTTTTCTTTATGAATTACCCAGTCTCAGGTATTTTGTTATAGCAACACAAAACGGACAAAACTATACCCTTTACTCTATCAGAAGTAGAAATTTTAAAAGATATACAGAGAAGGCAACATATTGCAAGGAAAAAAAGGAGAATGTACATTTTTCTTTGCAGAAATGAAGACCATTTCTATGCATTCCACTTTCCAACAAAGTGTATCTGGGTTATTACCTGCCTCTACTCATTTATGTTGACCTGCCTAGTAGACATGTATTGTGTGCAATTCCTTCTTCTACACCCTGCACATTTTAGGAAAAATTCACTATGAAACCATTCTTCTTACTCTTTAACAAAAGAAAACGCTAAGGTGATTACAAGGGAAGTTTGCTCAACACACAGGAACACTGTGATAATTGCTTTTGGAGAAATCCATTGAAATGCAACCATCAGTACCAGGGAAGGGGTGAAGAAGATTCCAATGACCTTCTTTTCTTTCCAGACAGTTCTTAATATGCACTCCTTTGCCCATGGTGACCCCTGAGGGGTTAGTTAATGGGCTTTCTTCTGCTGGTTAAGAAGCAGAAATGCACTCTAGGAGAAAATACCACCCACTGGGAGTCAGGTGTCTGTGTTCAATCCCCACTGTCTGTCTCAGACACTGAGACTCAGTTTCCTCCTCTACTAAATAAAAGGAGTCCCCAAATGTGACTGTGCCTCTGCTTAGAGCTTCTGGATTCAATCTGCAATCAAATGAATGTCTCTCTGGATGGTGAGGCCCAGGCATCTGTGTGTTTTCAAGCTCCCAGGTGATTCTGATGAGCAGACAGGTTTGAAATTTGCTGGACTAAAGAGCGTCTCAAGTTTCTTCCAGCTCAAAAACTTGATGTACCTAGGAATCAAATTCTGCAGGCGCCTCTCTAGATATTGGACAGGCAATGTTCCAGACATATTAATGCTTTGGGGCCACTGGGATATGGTTTTAAAGGCTTGAAGCATTGCCACACTGCCTTAGTCACCCGGCAGGACCTGACTTATCATTTTGCCTGTAATGCATGTTGCCTGGTGGTTTGAAACTTCACCTGAAGTTCAGATGTGAGGCAAGATGCAATGGTCAAAATCAACAGATCTGAACTGCGATCGACGGGCAAAAGGCTTGAATCTCCTCAGTTCCCACTCTCAGCCCCGCTACTCTCTTATGCCCTGTGCCAACATGATCGCCTTCCCTAAATAAAAGACAGAAAGTATCCTTTATCCTCCAAAGATCTTTTGGAAACAGAATTAAATTGCACAGCGTTCACCCCTAGCACACAAACCTAACCCCCTTTGGAGTACGATGTTGAATGTCGTCATTCTCAGAACCTGAGGGGCTCTCTCTGGTTCTCAGTAGGAGAGGGTTATGTTTTTTCCTAATACAAACAAAAGACATTAGAAAGCATGTGGAGCATATGATAGCGCTGCGGTGCCACTGCGAACAAAATATGGATTTTGCTTTTGTAATGTGTGACTATTAGATCACAGCGTTGGTTGCAATAAATTATCACTTTCAGTTCCTGCTAATTGCTAGACTCTTCTGCCATGGGCTGCAGTGATGTGGGCCAAAAAAAAAAAAAAAAAGTTTTGGAGCCAGATACAAATATGCATCCTGCTGGATTGCGAATGGCATCTCGGATCTTGAATAAATGCCTAAGGAAACAGCTAGGCATGAGGGCCTGGGAATCAAAGACGTCATTATGCAATTATTGAGAAAAGCAGGCTCTTTATAAAAGAGAATTCTGACTTCTCTGTGAATCCACTGACCCAGAGCAGCCTTCACCCTACATGTATTCCTGTCCATAACGAGTACCTACAGGGTATGATGGAAGCAAGTAAGTTAACTGGTGTTGAAGTTAAAAAAAAAAAATCCAACCTGACCTTTTAAATGAAGAGATCCTTCTATGCCTTCTATGCCACAGAAAGTTGCAAAACCCACGAATGACAGCATGCCCCCTTCCTGGCTTCTTCCTGGCCCCCTCCCCAATATGCCCACAGATGTCCCCACCCGACCCTGATCCTTTCTTCTCCCCAGAGTATAAAGAATCTAGTGAGATCTTCTGGGCACAAACCTCGGCTTCAAGCTCCTTCTTCTTATTCTGTGAGAGTCAATTTCTGTATTAAGATCAAAAATTTGCTAAGCACCTATGAGGTTCCTAGTGATGGGGATGCAGGCATAAACAAAACAGGTGAAATACCTGCCCTGTTGGAGCCAGCATTCTCAAAGAGCGGGGAGAAAGCAAAATGGGTAAGTAACTGGAAATTGTGCTTGGATTGATGGCAATGATAATATGGAGAAAAATAAAGCAGGTGAAGGGGGTCAGAGGTGCTGCTGGGGATGGAGAAGGAAGATTGCTGTTTTAAAGATGGTATCTAGAGAAGGCTTCCTCCGAAGGTAACAGAGAAAGGATGGGCCAGCCCTGTAGCTGTTGAAGGGCACTCTGAGTGGGATAACCAGGAGGGGCATGGGTCTCATTCCATTGAACAGCAGGGAGGCCCGCACAGCTGGAACCCAGTGAGCAGGGGGAAGAGCACTGGCAGGAAGAACAGAGCCAATGGGGGAAGGGAGAGGACGCAGGATGCCATGGCCAGCTCGAGAGCATGGCTTGCACTCCGAGTAACAGGGGACGCCTTCAGAAAGTTCGGAGCAGGAGAAAGAGGTGATCTAACATATTTTCAAAGGAGATTCTGGTTCTCCGTGGAGAAAGAACTGAAAGGGTCCCAACATGGCTGGGTGCCAGGAGGCCCTTAAAAGAAAGGACTGTGGTCAGGCTCTGTGGCTCATGCCTGTAATCCCAGCACTTTGGGAGACCGAGGCAGGCGGATCAGTTGAGGTCAGGAGTTTTAGACCAGCCTTGACAACATGGTGAAACCCCATCTTTACCAAAAATACCAAAAAAAAAAAAAAAAAAAAAATTATCCGGGTGTGGCAGCGCATGCCTGTAGTCCCAGCTACTAGGGAGGCTGAGGTGGGAAAATCACTTGAACCTGGGAGGCAGAGGTTGCAGTGAGCTAGATCATGCCTAAACAACAGAGCAAGACTCTGTCTTAAAAAAAAAAAAAAAAAAAAAAGAGAGAGAGAGAATTGAGCAGTGATCCAGGCGGGAGGCGAGGGCAACCTGGAGGAGTATGCAAGGGTGAAGTCGGCTTTCTGAGGTCTGTATTCCTATTTGTGAGGTTTGTCCCTTGCTCCTCTCACATGTAAACTCCGTTGAGAAGAACTCAGTCCCTGGCACACAGAACACATGTGACAAATAATGGTTCCATGTTGAAAAACCTGCCAGGTTAGAGCCTACTCATGTCCCAAGAAGATCGACTTCCGCTAGATGAGTGATAACTAAATGTGGCTCCATTTGTTTTATTATTTATGCAATGTCAGCTCCCCCGCGCCTCACCCTGCATCTCCTCATCTGAAGAGGACATTCTGACTGATGGACCAGGGCAGAAACCAGAAGCCATCCTGCTGCCCCCACCTCTTCTGCTGCCTGGCTCTCTGACCTTCCACCTGCCATTTATTTTGTCCGTGCCTCAATTTCTCCATTCTGAAAATAAGAATAATTCTGCCAAGGGACCATTATGAGGATTAATGAGGTAATAAGGAAATGCCTGAAAGCAGTTTGAGCTCCTTGAAGGAACAGCTATAAATGCAGGGTCCATTTTTCCATCTCTTCTGTCTTCTCCCGCTAAATAAAACAGCCAGAGGGAGAAAGCCCTGTTGGGGTAGAAAGGAAAACGACAGGTGGACAAAGACAGCAGCTCTTTCTCCAGCAAAAATACCCTTAAGTAGATTCTAAGGCATTGGGAAGCCTTTTAGAGAAGCCTCCTTTGCAATAGAACGGGGCTGGGGCAGAGAATATCCAAGAAATTGTGAGGATTATTTTGCCTCAATTTGTGGACCAGAAATCACCTCAAAGGGACTTAGAAATAAGCCAGAACCATGTCGCCCCTCCTGTGTGCCCGAAGAATTCAGAAGCTGACCAGGCGATTGGCAAATCCCCTCAGCAGTAAAGTGAAAAAAATCGCCCACGACGCTGATCTGGTTTGGGCTGATGACACTCTGGGGTAGACACAGTGTAAACCTGTTGGCTCAATAAATATTGGGCTCCTTTTAATGAAAGAAACACTGTCATTCTCTTCTCGTTTCCTCCCTCTTGTCTCTTTAAAACTCCTTTAAATGAGAGGTTGTTATTCCTCATTCCAGGTTTATCTTCAGATGGTCACTAAGTTTATATATGTATCCTTGTACATATTTTATACCAAAACTTCTAGAAAATGCTAACTTAAAAAAAAAAGAAAAAACAGACCTGAGATGGGTTTTTGAAACGGTTACTCTGATGCAGTTTGTTGTTGTTTCTTATTTGCTTTTTAAAACTGAGGAAATGGCCTGGTGCGGTGGCTCACACCCGTCATCCCAGCACTTTGGGAGGCCGAGGTGGGCAGACTGCCTGAGGTCAGGAGTTCTGGACCAGTTTGGCCAACATGGTGAAACCCAGTCTCCACTAAAAATACAAAAAAATTAGCTGGACATGGTGGCGGGCGCCTGTAATCCCAACTACCTGGGAGGCTAAGGCAGGGGAATTGCTTGAACCAGTTGGAGTTTGCAGCGAGCCGAGATCGTGCCATTGCACTCCAGCCTGGGAGACAGAGCGAGACCCCGTATCAAAGAAAAAAAGAAAAAAAAAAAAAAAAGAAAAACCTCAGGAAATGCAGACGAGAGCGCTGGCAAAAGTGGTAATGAAATATCGGCACACGACGAACTTTTGCAAGCAACCCTACATGCACAGTTGTTTGTAAATGAGGAATTGTATTTCTGCATTCACAGGATAGAGGAGTGAGGAGGTGGGATGAGTGCTAGGTGGGCACTTTATCTGGCTAAATTATGCCACTACTTCTGAGTGACCCCATGGACATTCATTCATTCATACATGTATTCGTTCATTCCCTAGCATTTGTGGAAGTGGTATATGACACGGTACTAAGTGATAGAAGGCTCTGGGCTTCCTCCCCTTTCTCTCTTGGAAGGAGAGAGCGAGAAAGTGGCCAGGAAGCTGCGGTGAGGCCCACTCTGGGCTGAGTCACTCGGTTCCCCTTTTCCCTTTTTACTTCAGGCCTGTCACTCTGTGTCGAAGGGCAGGGGGAGGGGAAGCAAGAGAGAAAAGTATCAATGATTGGAGAAGAGGAACAAGTTTAACTAATATCTGATTATCCTTTTGATGTTCATTCAAGTTACCAAAAAGGCTGAAGCACTGCCTGTGCCTCGACAGGAAGTGTGCGGTAAAAGTAATGTCGTGATGTTTGTTGTGGGTGCCAATGGGCCACCCTGCACCGGGCACTGGAGGCCTGCTGGGAAGGTGAAGTGGGCCCACTGCCTGCTGCGGGTGGTGGCTGAGCCACTGTGACTGTTAAATGACTCTTTTTCATTTAATAAAAGAAAAAAAAATCATCATATATATTGCAAGCACAATTTTTAGGCAAATAAAAGCTCTATCTAAATCAAACAGAAAAATGTTGGGTCACAATAAGCCACTGAACATTTCTTTTTGATCTCATAATTGAAAGGACTCATTTTTTAAAATGAGAAAATTTAAATAAACAAATTTAGAGTCTCATCCCCTAAACGCAACTACTGTCAGTATTAATAGACAGGTATTTAGTGTTTCTGTGTATCTTTCGCCTCCAAAATCTGCCTCTCTCCCCACCTCCTCCCAACCACACCGTGACATTTGTTTTGTTTTTCTGATAGATGTAAACACATAATTTTTGCCCATTTTTTTTCCTTTAGAAGTGTCATTCTTTTCATTGATGTAGACTTGTCTATGAAATGGCTGTACCACAGTTACGTAACCAACAGCTCAGCATCTTTCTTTACAGCTGTTGAACTGCTAGGTAAAAAGTAGTGGTGCAAAAGTAATTGCGGTTTTTGCTATTGAATATAATGGTGAAAACCGCGATTACTTTTGCTCCAACCTAACTAGAAAATAGCATTCTATATTATAGATGAAAACTCACATGTCCATCCATGAAAATGGGCCTTATCTAGTTGAAATCCAAACTCCACTCCTATGGAGCTGGGGGGTTATGAGGGCTGAGGGGCCTGAGTGAGACAGCCTCGGGATGGCCTAGGGTTTATGAAGGAGCCATAGAATAATATGTTTTCAACAACGTTTACATTAATTCCAGAGAGATCTCCAAAAACCCTCATTTTTGTGTTCAGTCTTGGGGAAATTATGTCCATGAAAGGTACATACATCTGTCTCTGTTTCCATCACAATTCACTCCTCGCCAACGACTTTTACTGGAAAAAGGGGTTTCGCCAGATGAATCAGATCAGGCTAAAGACCAATTACACAAAACAAGGAACGTGGCTGCTGGCCTTTTCCCTGAACTGCAGCTGAAACTCAGAGAACCATTTCCAGGGGAAAGAGCTGGGCTCCTGGAAGATGTATAGGGTCAGCCTGGTGGTGAGATGGTGATGAGCAAGGGTGCACATCCATGAGGAACCAATCATGTTGGAACAACTAAGTGATATCGCCTCTGGCTTTATTAATATTAAAGACCACAGGCTAGGCGGCTGCCATTTTACTGCCCTGTTTTCAAGCCACCCAGCACGATTGATTCCTAGCTCCCAAAGGCTTCCCCTCTGTTATCTCTTTAGGTTTTAATATTGTTAAAGCCTTAATAATCGGTGGGCTAAACACACATGTAATGAATCCTATTAGTCATAAATGGCTCCCTGCACACAAGAAAATGAAGTAGGAAGCCTTCTCTTGCACACAGGCAAACTCCCCTAATTCAGACTACCTGAAAGCAAGACTGATCTGAATTACACATTTCTTTAAAAGAAAAACGTGAGGCCCGGTGCGGTGGCTCACACCTGTAATCCCAGCACTTTGGGAGGCCGAGGCGAGAAAAGATCACGAGGTCAAGAGATCGAGACCATCTTGGCCAACATGGTGAAACTCCGTCTCTACTAAAAATACAAAAATTAGCTGGGCGTGGTGGCATGCACCTGTGGTCCCAGCTACTCAGGAGGCTGAGGCAGGAGAATCACTTGAACCCAGGAAGTGGAGGTTGCAGTGAGCCCAGATAATACCACTGCTCTCCAGCCTGGTGACAGAGCTAGACTCCGTCTCAAAAAAAAAAAAAAAAAAAACAAAGAAAAGAAAAGAAAAAGATGCGGTCGGGTGTGTGCAGAAACCCTCTTGAGAAAACCAACTTTTATCTAGCAAAGTCCTTAGGCGAGCTGCTTTAACGAAGAGGTAAGAATATCCTTGAGTCAGTAGGAGCTTCTAAATTGCCCGAGGGTACTTTAAAACTGCTCTCTTGCAAAGGGCACAGTTCCCCCAGATTGTTCTGGGGTGTTCTTTGCTTAGTAAACCCTCTCTCCAAGATGACTGCACAGGCTAAGCCTCAAGCCAAGAGCCAAATCCGAAGATCATAAATCCCAGATTCCTGAAGTCCACATGAACAAAAATTGGGTAGAATGAACACCCAGTGGGGAAGCTGGTATATGTTGCTACTGCCTGGCAGCCTTCAAATTCATCTGTGCTCACGAAAGCAGTGAAAGAGCTTCAACACAGGAATGAGATTACAAAAAAATTTCATGCACTGGGATCAGCATATAGCAAAAGGTGAGAAAAAAAAAAGCAGCATTAAAATAAAAATGCCCCAACTACTACTTAGTTTTTTGTTTTTGCTTTTGTTGTTCACATTGTTTGTTTTGTTTTATAGGAAGAGGAAAAAGTCTGGGGGAAGGATGTGGTTATGGTGGCTGGTCACTGGGCAGAACCAAATAAAACCTCGAGAGCCTCCCTCGCTCAATCAGGGTAAAATCCAGTCTTTCTAGGCCTGGAGCGGTGGCTTGTGCCTATAATCCCAGTACTTTGGGAGGCCGATGTGGGTGGATCACCTGAGGTCAGGAGGTTGAGACCAGGCTGGCCAACATGGTATCTACAAAAAATACAAAAATTTGAGCTGGGTGCGGTGGCATGAATGCCTGTAGTCCCAACTTCTTGGGAGGCTGAGGCAGGACAATTGTTTGAACCCAGGAGGCAAAGGTTGCAGTGAGCTGAGATCATGCCGCTGCACTCCAGATGTCTCAAAAAAAGAAAAACAAAATAACCAAAACAGAGTCTTTCTAAAAACCAACAAGGCAGGGCATGGCCAAGCCTCCTCAGTCTCTCCTCCTGGCCTTGGTGGCATGCCTGGGCCCCGCCGAGCATGTGCCTCACTCGGGACCTTGATACTTGCCGTCCCCTCCTCCCTTGCACCCTGCACCTCTTCGGACAGGAATCTGTCCACAGGCCACTCATCACAGAACCCTGTCTAGAGCCATACAGCATCGTCTTCCTGTCCTCAGCCCTCTAAACAGGAATGAATTATCTTTACAGCACTTATCCTTGCTTGCATGTCTTGATTTCTTTCACGTCTCTTTCCCCAAGTAGAATGAAAGCTCCCTGAGGGCAGGGATTTCCTTTGTTCACTGCTGTATCACTAGGTATTGCACATAGAGGGCCCTCCAGAAACGTGAGATAACTGAATGAACGGATGAATGAATGAAATATATAACTATATACTGAGCATGGCTTTAGACACCAATGCAACACATTATATCACACACACACACACACACACACACACACACACACACACGCACACAGTAGAATCTGTCAGGATGGCACCCCACGAGGCTAGCATCTTAACCCGACCCTGGCCCACTCAGACCCACCAAGTCAAGAAACAGCCCTTTTTATGGGCCTTCCAGTAACATTAATTGTTGGTCATAAAACTTCAAAGAAACAGATATTTATAGCTTGATTAAAGCCCCTTTTTTCCACACACACTCACCACAGCACTTTCCAGCTGGGTTCCCATGAGCATACTGAAAACAGCCTCCTGCCCACTTCCTGTCAAAGCCAGTTCCTTAACCGCTTAGGTCCTGAAGCTCGCCGGCCCCCCCTTTTTTTTTTTTCCAGTGTTCACTCTTTCGGTTTCTCTTGGGTTTTCGCAGTTGGGTTTTTCACTCTTTTTCTCAGGCACCCAAGCCCCCCTTGAACCGCCCCCATATCCAGCATGACAACAGGGGCCAATGAACACATCAGAACTCCGAGGAATGAAAAGGTTCCTTCTCAGAACAGCCTCCCAAGGGAAACAAACAAACACTATGAAGTTTTGCAAGGTCTGGGCAACTAATATGGTAATCTGTTTACCATGCTTAAACGCTTAGGCGACTGGAAAACATTTCTCTAGTGCACCAATTCGAAGAAGTCATTCCTGTTTTTTATGTATAAAGATTGCCACCTTAGCAGGGCGTGGTGGCTCATGCCTGTAATCCCAGCACGTTGGGACTTTGAGGCGGGCAGATCATGAGGTCAGGAGTTCGAGACCACCCTGACCAATATGGAGAAACCCTGTCTGTATTAAAAATACAAAAATTAGCCAGGCGTGGTGGCGTGTGCCTGTAGTCCCAGCTACTCGGGAGGCTGAGGCAGAAGAATCGCTTGAACCCAGGAGGAGGAGGTTGCAGTGAGCCGAGATCATGCCACTGCATTCCAGCCTGGGCGACAGAGCTAGACTCTGCCTCAAAAAAAAAAAAAAAAGGTCCCCACCTTGAACGTTCATGATGACGCTAATTTATAATCAAACCTTTGCCAGGAACTTTACAAATATTCTAATCATTACAAAAATCTTGTGAGATGACTAATGTCTCCATATAAAACATGAGTAGAGACTCATAAAAGGTCAAGAAACCAGTTATGCAGCTATAAAACGGCAGAGCTAGGCCCTGTGCCCACCATATGCGGCCTTCCTGATGAAAAGTCACATTCGCACCCTTGGTACAGCACACGAACTGTATTAACTGCATACAGAAAAGACACCAAAGGGCCCTAATTCAGGCAAAATGAAATTGGCTTCATTCCTGACAACAGCTATGTTCAAGGTACATTGAGTTCATCCTATACTCCCTCATTACACTAAACATTAAGACAAAAAAAATAGATTTTAAAAGTACACTCCAATAGGAAGTATCCTTTGGAAAAGAGGTGATCAATATGTTCAGTAAGCTTTAAAGGATGAGGGTCAGAATGCATCCTGGGCTTCTATGGACTTTGCCGTTGGGTGGACGATGAATTCTCTTTGAATATCTGCAGTATATCTAAAGCAGTCTTAGCAGCCCACGGTAAGTAGCAACTGTGGTAATTAATAAGTATTATGCGGTTCTCAATATGGACCACATATTTGACAAATGATGTACCCACAGAAGGAGCCCCCCTGCAGATGTTATCATCTGAGAAAAATGGAAAGTAAAGTGGTCTCCATGGAGTGAGTCTAGAAAACCTCTTTTAGTTTCAAAAAGAAACCCCCATAGAAAACATCGCATTTCTTTATGTTGTCATTTTTCTGACTCCGTCATATTTGCAGCGGCCCAGATAAGACTTGCTGATGACTGTGAGGTTATCCCTTGCACCATTCACCTGTGCTCATCAGGCTGCCCACGGCTCAGGGCCAGACCTACGGTGTTCAGCAAACCCTGTCTTTATCTGATCAGAGTCTCAGGGGAGCAACTCCAGCTGCAAAATTCCTGCCGCTACATGGATTTTGCATGGCTGTGCTGGAGAAAACAACCAACGGGCTGCAATGCTCTGCGTCCTCCCTTTACCTTAAAACGTCCCATCCACAGGCTGTGCTTAGGGATCCAAGTCTAGGCTGCTTGAAGGCCACCCCGTGGACTGAGCCTAGCTAGTTCAAGCCTGGCTGAGGCCCAGTGGCATGGCCTGGGGAGATGAGATGCTTCTATCTGATGGTTCTCCTTCAGGAGCCTGAGAGAGTCAAGAGTACCAGATGAGCTCACACTATACAGAGGGCTCAAAGAGGCCAAGACCAGGATGCACCAATTTCATAGGAAGCAAAAGTGATGAATAAGCAGAAGAAGCTAGAATGGAAGAGAGAAGCCAAGGAGATGGTAGTGGAGCCTTGGACTACAGACCCATGAATGCCTCCTGCCAAGGGTCCCTAGGCCTCCTTGAGTCCAGAACATCCTTCCACATCCTGTCCTTTCCGAGGCCTGAACTTTCAGCATTTCCTGGTCCCCTTGAGCATACATGCTCACATTACGTGAGGTGGCTTCAGTGATTTCCTCGCAACCAAGAGAACGTACTAAACTAAAAGAGCAGAGAAATGGCCAAATTCCAGAGAAAGTGTTGCAAGTACCAATAACTCTATAACTTAAGTCTCCTCTTTCAGCAGGACCACAAATGCAACGATCTAGGGTGTTGCCATGGGCCAACAGCCATCGGCAGGTAATTCTTCTCTGCCTCCAATATGAAGTCAACTCCCCAGTGCTCAGGACTTCTTGTCCAGCACAGAGTCTTGCTCTGGCTTTCTCCTGTTGGCTGGCTCCTTCCAAGCTTGTTGTTCTAGCACAGGGTTAAGATGAGGATTCTTAGACAAGTTATTCCAAGCCTTGCCTGACTGGCTGTGAAAATGAAAAGCTGCCTACAAACCACCCAATGTGACTCTCAAACACAGTGGTGTCTACGGAGATAAGCATTCTTTGATATGTAACTGGCTTTCTTCTCCCCTGCCCATGCTAGCTTCAGCTTCTTCCCTGCTCAACACAGGAAGAACCAAGCATTTTCTGAGAACATTCCGGAGGTCCCCATGCTTCACACGCTCCTGGCTGGGGAAGAGAGGCACTGATCCATGCCACTTTTGAAGATTTAGGTGAAGGGCTTGAAATCATGGCATTTCCCCCAGACTGTTCCATAAATTTCATGAATACTCTCCTCATCATGCCACTTGGCTTCTTACCTCTAAAATGCAATTCCCATCTCCATCCTTACTCCATCAGTGCCTGGTAGAGGGTCTTGGGGTCATCTGAGCTGTCCATCAGGAGCAGATGGGGACCCCCAGGTATCTCCATTCCCTAGGCTGCCTCTCTCACCATATCCCATTCAGACACGGGGCTTCCTAGTGCTCTGCAGAGTCTGTACTAGAGATGTGACTGCAGCTCTTACTGAACACATAAACTCTTTGTTTTATTTTGTTTTGGGACAGGGTCTCACTCTGTCACCCAGGCTGGAGCGCAGTGGCACAATCACAGTTCACTGCATCCTTCACCTCCCAGCGTGAAGCAGTCCTCCTGCCTTAGCCTCCTACATAGCTAGGACTACAGGCATGCAGCACCATGCCTGGCTAATTTCTTTTTATTTTTTGTAGAGACAGAGTCTCCCTATGTTGCCCAAGCAGGTCTCAAACTCCTGGACTCTAGTGATTTTCCCACCTTGGCCTCCCAAAGTGTTGGAATTACAGGCATGAGCCACTGCACCTGGCCAGGACACAAATTCTTTATCCACACCCCAGAGTCAGGTCTCTAACTCCAGAGGGAGAGAAGCATTCATTACTTTAGAATTTGGATAGTACTGTACTGACAAAGTCTTGCTTCCACCACAAGTTTTGATAAGTTAATCTATTTTCAAAAGGTCATCTTAAGTAAATTAGAGCTCAATACCCTCAAAATGTATCAAGAAACATACCAGAAGACACGCTTTCTCATCTCAAAGCTTGCATTTTCTTTGCACAAATTTGACTTTTGCATATCAATCAAATTAAAATAATAACAGTAATAATTTGTAATAAGAAACTAGAACTTAACAATTGGAAGGATGAAAAGTTGCCTGAACTTCTCAGACAGAAAATGCTCAATTAACATTTATTGAGCATGTAATATGTGCTGGGAATTTTCATTTTTACAAAGAGAAAAAAGTGGCAATGTGATCCGTTTAAAGAACATTGAGAGCAGCCACAATATTGACTGTTAGTTTGTTTTCTTTCTTACTGACTATACTGCTCTTTTTTTTGGAGATGGGGTCTCACACTGTTGCCCACGTTGAAGTGCAGTGCCACAGTCATGGCTCACTGCAGCCTCAACCTCCTGGATGCAAGCGATCCTCCTGCCTCAGCCTCCCAAGTAGCTGGGACTACAGGTGAGTAGCTGGGACTACAGGCATGTACCACCAAGCCTGGCTAATTTTTTTGTTTTTATTTTTTGTAGTGATGAGGTCTCACTGTGTTGCCCAGGCTGGACTTGAACTCCTGGCCTCAAGTGATCCTCCAGTCTCAGCTTCCGCAAGTGCTGGGATTACAGGTGTGAGCCACTATGCCTGGCTACTGACTACATTTCTGCTAATACTTCTGAATGCCTTTTGACTATAGGGTAACTGGTTTTGGTAAGGAATAAAATGTATGCATTTTTCTAGGTACTAACAGTTATTATAAAGATGATATAATTTTGAAAACAAAATAGAGAAACAGGTTTTTCTATGTGGACCACTTTTACCTGTCAGTCTTTGAGTAGACTCAACCTATTGAGAAAGTTGCATTTCCAGAGAAATTTTCTTTATAGGAAATTAGTTTTCTAGGTGGTGAAGGAGCAAAGGAGAAAAAAACCAAAACCTGAGGCTGTGCCCACATCGGCCCAGTGAACTGGGAAGAAGAAAAGCTCTTTTTCAAAGCTCAGCAAAGCAGACCACCCAGTGGGAACCTCCCAGAAGAGTGAAAAGCATCATCTGTCCACTTCAACCTCATATCATTTTCTTGGCCACTATTACTACTGTAATAACCTAGACAGTAGCTCCTTCATCATTGGGAAAATCTAAGAGACCTCCAGAAGGTGGTTTGGAAAGAGAAAACAACTAATATAGCTCCCAACAGAGTCAAGTGAGAGAAAGAGAGAGAGAGACAAAGACAGAAATGGTACTCCCGTGTTTTTGTCCCTAAACATGTATATGCAGATATATTTACATATGTATATTGTATATATATATGTATATTTAAGTGTATAATTGAGTGTGGCGACTCATGCCTGTAATCCCAGCACTTTGGGAGGCTGAGGCGGGAGGATTGCTTAAGCCTAGTAGTTCAAGGCTGTGGTGAGCTATAATTGTGCCACTGCACTCCAGCCTGGGAGACAGACAACTGTGTCTGTATTTTGATTGCAAAATTATATCATCTTTGTAATAACTGTTAATACCTAGACAGGGTGACCGTGTCTGTAAAATATACATATATGTACAAATGAAAGGTTGAATCAGTAAATGAATACATGTCCTACTTTATGTCACTTCCACAGACTCCTTTCTTCTTTGTATAAAATGCAGCAAACCCTAACAAGGAGTCACTGTGAGGATTAAAAGAAATAATACTTAGAAATTACTTGTCCTCCAGGTGCGGTGGCTCATGCCTGTAATCCCAGCACTTTGGGAGGCCGATGCGGGTGCATCACGAGGCCAGGAGTCCAAGACCAGTCTGACCAATATGGTGAAACCCCATCTTTACTGAAAATACAAAAAGTAGCCGGGCGTGGTGGCATGCACCTGTAGTCCCAGCTACTCAGGAGGCAGGAGAATCGACTGAACCTGGGTTGCAGAGGTTGCAGTGAGCCGAGACTGTACCACTGCACTCTACCCTGGGCAACAGAGCGAGACTCCATCTCAAAAAAAAGAAATTACTTGTCATAAGCTGTTATCACCATTTTAGGAATTATTTATATTTTACATTATTTATTCCTGGTATTATTTGTTGTTCTTATGACTTATTTTTGGTGTGATTTATTGATCTTTACATATTTTCTCTATTTAGAGTTCTACTTCTCTTTGTACAGCTCTAGCACAGTCAGTGTCCTTCCTCACCTCTTCACTAGGAACAAGAAATGCATTTGCAAATATGCACATCTTTCTTCAAGCTGGCCTTCTGAACACCAAGAGTGCCTGAGAGCTGCGGCCCCACCCTCCTTTGGTCTCCTCAATCAGCTCCTTCCTGTTTCTCCCTGGTTTCTCAGCCACTCTCCACCACCATGTAAATCAAGAAGTTCACGATGGTCTGGTTCTGCCTGTGGAGACTTAAAACTGATGCGAGTGGTTAACCAAAACAGCCCCCACAGAAACTACAAGGGTGGGCTCCGATCGGGAGTCAGAAATTCTTTCTATGAAAATGCAAAGCACGACCTCATAAAAGAAACCCACCGCAGGAAGATGAAGAAATGTCAGTTTGCATTAAAACAAAATAGGAGGATGAACATTTCAACCATCTGGCAAAAGAGTCTCCTATACAAATACATAAAAGTTGCCAAGGAGTTAGACAAGACCTCAGATGGGAACTCCGGAGCTCCACACGGCTCCCTTTGTGCCTTAGTGAAAACTTTGAAGCAAATTCAGGGCCGGGTGTTAGTGATCGGTTTACCGTAGCAGTATATTCCCTCTGTGCCGTGCAATTGTCTTTGTTTTCCTTCGAACCTAACTGTCTTATCGTGCATTAGAGCCTGTAATGCATTTTGGAAGGATGTTGCAGCCATACGCGTGCATAAGCAGATGAATAAAACAACACTGGTGTGAGGTTTTGTGAGAAAGAAAACGTTTGTGTCAGGTGAGATAGGCTAGGTTCTACTGCAACAGCCGATACCTCCAAAATCTTAGTGACTTTACACAGCTTTGTTCTTGACATTAGTAATGGCCAACAGGGAAGCTCTGTTGACTGTGGTCACTCAGGGACCCAGGAGGAAGACATGGGTTTCATCTGAACATTGCTTCCTTAATTGCTGGGGCATAGGAAGGGGTCAGGGTGAACCACACACTGGCTCTTAATATTTCCATCTGGAAGTGTCACTCACATTTCATTAGGCAAAGCAAATCACATGGCAATGGCAATGCTTATTGTCAAAGGAGGCAGCAAAGTGCCCCTACCTGCGCCCTCAAGTAGGGGAACCGCAGTGTTAGGGACTCGCCATAATGACTCACACTGGGCTCCCAACTATGGAGTTCCTTAAATGTGTCAGGTTCTTCATTCATTATCTTGTCTAGATTTACAGTGAAGATGAAAATGGCTGAAACAAGAGGCCCCAAGTTCTCTGCTGTGTCTTTGGTAGGAGTGCCAGGTAGGCATTTTGGGAACCACTCACACCACTCTCTGATGTAGATTTCCACATTTTAGGGTTATCTTCTAGTATCCCCGGCCTCCCAAAACCGAGCCCCTCCTGAACTTATTATGCACATCTGCCACGGATTACACATACAACAGCGGACAATTCATGACCTCTGTAAGCACACACAAGGTATAAAGCTGAAAGCAAAAAGAAAATACTCAATAAATATCACCTCCCTCCCATCTTCCCTACACGTCCCTTCTCAAAAGTTTGCATCACATGAACAACTCTTCACCTGCCCTGGGAACTGCACAGATGTCCAAATGTGCTGGCAGAAGCTAAAAGAGCAGACTGTGGATCTTAAATGGCCTGTAACTATAGGTATAGGATGAAATCAAAACACTCGCGACTTTCTGGCGGGCTGTGTTTCATGAAACAGTGATATGAACCACAATGATCAACCCATGAAGATGGACCAAGATGCGAGGCACACAGTTCCTTTGGGCTACTTTCAACATCTCCATAGGTCTATAAAGTGGCCAGAGAAGTAGCCATTCCTGAGTACCTGCTTCTCCTGGCCATGGGAAGGTGACCTCATGACCCTCCCCTGATGTAACTCTCATAACAAATCCATGCAGTTGGTATTATCTGTGTCTTACAAAGGAGATGGATGCTCTGGAACTCCGCTGAGGTCACACCCTGGGAAGAAGCAGAAACGGGTCTCAAATCAAAGTCCATCTGACTCTTTCCTGTTCTCCTCTGCCTCTGTTTCCCAAGGCGACATATATTAATATTGCTTTTAATTTTGCTGAATCTTGTTTCAGGTGAGTGTCAGGGAATCAGATTTGTTACAACCTCTCCCGGGCTTTACCCACTAGCTGGTGCTGAGTGAAGAGGTTCTAGGCTCAAGGATGTAGTTGATGATGCTGTATTTTCGCTTGGCAAGGAATGGCTTCACTCCATCAGATTGATTTTGACATAAACCACACTCCTGTGCTTACAGAATTTCTCACGAGTGGTCTTCTGGTTCTGGCGTATGAATCTGATATCAACCACCCCTTTGCAGTTAAGCCAAACCTTGAGGTTTTGCTACGGTTTCACTGTGAGTGAACTCGCCCATCAGAGTGAAACTAGGATAGAAAAAGGGGTCCTAACCCACAGAGGTGGGAGGAAGCAATCTGCTTTGTCACTCAAGCACGACAGGTCTTCTGCTGGAGACCAGAGGCAGCCAGGCAGGAGCATCCAGCGTGAGACAGGAGCCCCCGCAAGCCATGGTTCACACTTGGCATGGTCTAAATTCCTGTCACTGGGCTATTCCTGGTCTTGGGTTTCTGAGAATTTCAATCCATTGATACGGGTCTCACTCAAATATAATGCAGTGAGAAAAGTCTTGACCAATGAGGAAGCGAAGGCTCAAAGAGAGTAAAGATTTTTGTTCAGGGCCCCACAAAGAGCAGATAGCAGAGTTGAGAATGTTTGATTCCAAAGTACAAGGTCTGTCCTGTTATAACACATCGCCATGAAAATGACTGCAGAAAGCAGATGGCTTAATGAGGATAGTTAGGCTCATGCCTGTAATCCCAGCGCTTTGGGAGGCCAAAGTGGATGGATCACCTGAGGTCAAGAATTCAAGACCAGCCTGGCCAACACGGCAAAACCCCATCTCTACTGAAAATATAAAAATTAGCTGGGCATAGTGGTGCACACCTGTAATCCCAGCTCCCTAGGAGGCTGAGACAGGAGAATCACTTGAACACGGGAGGCAGAAGTTGCAGTGAGCCAAGATGCTGCCACTGCACTCGAGCCTGGGCAACAGATCAAGACTTTGTCTCAAGAAAACATAGACTTGTTCTCTCAGCACCCCACACTCCACTGGATCTCGATTTTCTTATCTCCACACAGGGGATGGAAACAATGACCCCTGGCAGCTATACCAAAAAACTTCTATAATATAATAGTTGTTTTCAAATCTATGAGTGAGAAGTAAAGAAGAGCCTGGTGGGTGTGCATGTGCGTGTGTGTGTTTGGAGGTATAAAAATCTTTTCATCACTATCTAACTACACTAGAAGAATTCACTTGCCAAATAAATTATTATCTTAATTTAAGAGACTGGGTGATGCATCTGTTGGGATACCTGCCAAATATACAAAATGCCTTTGCTCTTAGAATAAAAGCCATGCTTTTCCTTTTTATTCCTTAAAAAATTCTTTTAGAGATGTTGCCTCCCTGTGTTGCCCGGGCTGGTCTCAAACTCCTGGCTTCAAGCGATCCTCCCACTTCAGCCTCCCAAGTGGCTGGGATTACAGGTATGAGCCACTGTACCCGGCTAAGCCATGGTTTTTCAACAAGACCCCGATGCCGGATACAGATGACTGGACCAAATGTAGATACTGGGTCCAGATTGAGTCCATCCAAATCCAGGAATTTGGATTCGAGATTCAGTGTTAGACAATCTGGTTCTGGGTATGGTTGTGGCTATAATGTGCAAATTCCTGATCTTCTGCAACGTGCAAAGAGGAGTATAAACAGCTGATTTGTGGCAAGAGAAGAATTGAATTCTATCTCCCAGGAATTTGGATTTGGGATTCAGTGTTAGGCAATTTGGTTCTAGGTATGGTTGTGACTATAATGTGCAAATTCCTGATCTTCTGCGACGTGCACAGAGGAATACAAATAGCTGATTCGTGGCAAGAGAATAATTGAACCAGATGTACAGAGAAAAGCAGAGATGAGAGACAGAGAAAAGGACTCCTGTGTGGGTTTCTGTCTCTATCGCTAGTGTCACCCCTCCCAAGGCTTGGCTGTGTCACTGTGGGATTCCACGGGATTCTCTGGTATCCTGATGCATCATCACACCCACTCTTCCTCCTTGGCTCCCTAACCTTTTTTCCTAAGTTAGATTGAAAGGTTCCTATTACTCACAACCAATAATCCATGAGGGCCATGATTTTTCTGTTTTGTATATCCTGCTATATTCCCAGTGCCTAAAGCAGTGCGTGGTATCGTAAGAAATAAATATTCAACAAATACCCGTAGAATAAATAAAATCTGAAATCTTAATCAGCATCCCAGGGGGTGGAAGGAACAGCTTGAGGATCTTTCCGCTTATTTTCAGCCTGCCAAATTTTCTATATTCGTGCAATGGGGCAAAGCTATGCCCAGAGAAGCATATGTTGTAATCACATTTGTGTCCAACCCTCTCTCCTTTATTCCAAAGATACATGCTTGCAGAATTTGTTGTGTCTGCAAAATAATGATATAGTTCCCTGTTGCAAAGCCTGGGGTAGACATAAACAATTATGTTGTAATCACAATTACAATCATTAAATTTATGAAATGCCACAGAAGAAGGAGGTAAGATGAGTGAAGGATGGTGAAAGACTTAGTGAATGACAGGTCAAAGCCGAACATTTAAGGAAAGTTTCAGAAGGTTACAGGCAAAAATTAAAGCACCAGGTGACTAGGGGAAGTGCAAACAATGGGAAACATATGGTTCAAGAATGTAACAGGGGGTTGGGGCAAACAACCTCTAGGAAGAAAGACTGTCTCCCAAGGTCACAGGAATGAGTCACCTGGGATGCCTAGATGGATGGATGGATGAATGGATACCGGATTGATGGCTGGCTGGCTGGATGGGTGACACTTCTGTCATATTTTTTTTTGTCGGGGGGAACCCAAGAAAAAAAGAGAGGCAAAAATTGGATATGGTAGTCAGAAGTGACGTGAGTCACTTATGGGCTAAGGTGATTAAATACCCACTGTCTTATCTCCATTCTTTCCTTCTACTGTTGCTAAGACCGCGGATGCTAAAAATAAAGGTGGTGGTGACAGAAGATAGAAGGAGCCCGTGTCCCTAAATATCTACTTGGAAGAGAGCATTGCAACTAGGTACAGCTACCTTGGATGTTACATGAACAAGAAGTCATTTTATATTATGTTAAGGCACTAATTGTAAAGTTGTTATAGCAGTTAGCCTACCTTGATCAATGCAGGTCAAATGTATTATATTTTAGCATCTCTACTGATTTCTATCAAATTTGGGGGGAAAAATAACTTCAGGGCCAATCATCTTTGATCTCTGGTTGGGAGAGGCCTAACAGGGAAATAAAGGAAGTATTTATTGAGCACCTATTATGTGCCTGGCAATTGGTTTAAGCACTTTAAATGGACCATGTCACTTTAACCGTTAGGGATAGGTCTCATTATCACCACTTGGAGAAATAAAGGCCAAGAGAAGTGAAGACATTCTAAAAGATGGACCAGAAATCATCATGGTTGAGTCCAATCTGGCTATAAACTGTTAAATCTCCCTTTATCCATCAAGTCCTTTAAACACAGACAACAAATTCAGTTCAATTCAACAAGTGCTTATGAAGTTTTTACTCAAGGCCAGGAACTGTGTTAAATGCTCCCAGGAACTCAGATTCTCCTATGGCGAGGGATGCTTAATGAATGTACACGGTACTATGCAGTCAAGGTTAAAAATGGAGTTTGGACAGTGTGCAGAGGACACCTACAGAGAGAAATGTTGCGTGGCATTCAAGGGACTCTCCTCTCAACTCCAGCCACCCTGCCATCTCCACACACAGGACACTTTCTCCTTCCCGAGCCATGAGAATCAGAGAAGTGATTCCAAAGCTATGCATGGCCAGGAGCAGCCCTGTGATGCCTGCCTTGCAAGTAACAAAACCCTAACCCAAACTCAGGGGAATTTGTCAACCTATGGAATTCAAGGAAGAGTTGTGTCACCAAACTGTGAAAAGGTCAGGGAGGGAGCAAGACCTAGAAAAATACTGGAGCCACAGACTTTATCTGAATGTCTGAAATGACCTCTCTTCACATTATGGGCAGCCTGAAGGCCATCGGCTCCCAAGTTTTATGTCCTAGAGCTTTCACCAGTGCCAGGAAATGGAAACTTCCAGTTCTAAAAAAAATCTGGGGAGGGGACCTTTTTTTCCCCTGAGCTTGTGGGAAGGTGCTTAACCACACACTAACCTTGATAAAAATGGCACCTCCCAAGGTAGCCACAAGAGGAGCAGGTAGGAACAGAGTTTCCTGGAGAAGAAGGGGTCAGGGATGGGTGCCAAAAACCAACCCCACAGGCGTCCACAATGCCTCTCGGGAGAGTTGAGTAAGAAGAACGATGCAGAACACTAGTGAACGATCCTTGCACAGGACTTCTTTGCAGGAGTTTAGGAGAATACAAACTTCAATCTTTGAATTTTCTTTCAAAGATCTCTATTAGCAAATGATAACAAAACAAAAGGATTTGGAAAGATTATTATTTCTTACACCAACACACAATTCTTGCTGGTATTTCATTAGATGCTACGAGAGATGTAAATCCTGTGGTTTGAAAAAAAAAAAAAAGGGGGGACCATTTAAGGACATTGGGTGGAGGCCCTTTCAGCAACAATGGAACTTTAAGTACTTGACAATTTGTATGCTGTCGGTATGTAAGCAATGAGCCTCACAAACCCCACAGCTGCATGTTTACAGTTTAGACCATCTCTGTGAATTGCATCCTTATGTTCTGTATTTTAAAAGGCCATTTTCAGCTCCTACTTAGCTTCCACTCAGAAATACCATTCACATCAGGTCTCTGTGCATGCATGTGGTTTTTTAATCCACACATTGTCGGGACCGGCCACGGCAATTTTCCCCATTGTGTTTGCTTTCCATGCCCTGTTCCACGCTGAAATTCAGAATTCGGATGTTTGTCAAAACGCAGGGGCCCTGTTTGATCTTATTACTTTGGCACATTTTAATAGTGGGCAAAAATAAAACAAAAAAGAAACTAATGGGTTTTAAGCTCCTGATTGGTGTCAGGCCCAGGGTCAAGTACTTTAGAGCTCCGATTAATTCTACAAAGCACGGGCTTAGGGGTTGGAGAGCAGTGGGTTCAAATCCTCATCCGGCCACCTTTTTGCTATGAGACCTGGACAAATTATTACGTGGAACCTTAGGGAATTGATGATCGGCTACTGTTTTTCCCTATAAAAACAGTCATTTCATACAGTTCAACCTAATAATTGACCTCTTTAAGCCTCACCTGCAAAATAAGAATAATAATACCACCTTTCTCTCAGGGTAAGCATGAGGATGAAACAGGACAATACGCATAAAACAATAAACACTAAGACAAGCGTCTGATACATGTTAGCCATTGTTGTTATTCACATGCGTTAAGCAGTTTCATCTTCATTATAACCCTATGTGCTAGGTATTCTTATTCCCATTCTGCAGGTCAGGAAGCTGAGCAAGAAGATGTTACCAATAACCCGACCACAGTCACATAACACCTAAGTGGGGGGCTAAAGACGAAGTTCGATCCGTCTGACTCTCAAGTTTGTGGTCTTCCCATACCGCCTACCTAGCTGTGGTAGGTACAGATAGAATCACTGTGACTGGGTCATGAAGGGGCCTGGATAGGCTGAGGTCCAGAGGCCAGAGCTCATCGGAGAGTTAGCTTAGATGGTTCTAGGACAGCGGGGGCTGGCACGGAGGATGCACCGGACAAGCCAAGGAGCCAGCAGCATTTTTTTGAATGCTGTGAAAAAGATACTACCTTGAGTCTTCCATAGATTCACAATAGCTTCAGAAAATTCTCATGAAGGAAAAGGGTGAGAATGAACACTTTGTGAATTAAGATGAAAAGGCTACATTTCAGGGTTTCCAAGAAGGCCCAAGATAGTAAGAAATCAAGTCATCCAGATACTAGGAAAAAGTGATTCTTTTACTTAGATTTCTGTAAAGGGAGCAAACACGACACTGTGTGTGGTCACACATAACCCACAGATTTCACTAAAATGTGACAGTTTGTTCCCTGATATGAAGATGGGATGTGCCTCATAATATTCCTTTGAGAAAATAATACTCAGCGTAGGCTGGTCTTACTCTTACAAATCTCGGCAATGTATCATTGGCTCAAATCTTCTAAGTAACAAATTTCTAAGAAACATTTTCAAGAAAATGGTTCTACATATACTGTAAGAAGAAAAAAACCCCACTTCAACAAATACTTTATTTTTAATGTTGAAAACTGGGGACTCCACACATGATCCAACGTTAGAGCAGATGTTAACTAAATTTAAGTCTGCCCTTTACAGTCAAAAGCAACAGGAAAAAACATAATTCTGAAAAATAACTTAATATGTTTTTTTGAGATAGTTATAAGGGAAGGAAACAGGCTGCCGAGGTATATGTACACCATGTATGTAAACCTCTCTTGCTTCCATTACCTTACTTGAAAAATCACCAGATGAGACCCCATCTCTACTAAAAATACAAAAAGTAGCCAGGTGTGGTGATGTACACCTATAGTCCCAGCTACTCAGGAGGCTAAGGCAGGAGAATCACTTGATCCCAGAAGGCGGAGGGTGCAGTGAGCCAAGATCATGCCACTAAACTCCAGCCTGGGTGACAGAGCAAGACTCCGTCTAAACAAAAGAAAAAAAAAAAGAGAGAGAGAGAAAGGAAAAATCGCCAGAGGTTGTTATTATACAGAGACAAAATTATTTAACACATGTAAGCAACAATGAAAGCAACAATCATATGGCTACAACTATATTGTAAATAAAAACTTAGGTATAGGGGAAAAAGACAGAAAGGAAGTACTGAAAAGTCCTAAAGGTTTCTAGGTTAAGGTGGTGGAAGCATAAGTGATTTTTTTTCCCTTCCTGTGATCTGCCGGTGTCTTGAACATACATGTATGATTTTTACAATGGGTTAAAAAACGAATGTAGAATAAGTAACTCTGCTACTATTCTGCCAGTAGTTTTCAAACTTAGGGCTGAGCAGAACCACCTGGGAAGCTTCATACAAATGCAGACTCTTAGGATGCCTTCCAGAGATTCTAATTCAGTTGGTTGTAATCTTCCAAGTGACTCAGGAATTATATTTTGAGAAACAGTGTTGTAGTGAATTCCAAACAAAGTAATAACTATTGCACTTCCATAGTGATTTTTCATACTGAGTTTCTCTGGGGTCTTTGGGGTCACTGAGGAGTAGGGAATAGTCGAATGTGTAGAAGTTGAGAGAGCTGACGTTTCCCACTTAAAACAATGTCCTTCCCTCACATCTGTTGTATATACTACACTTTGGCAAAACGTTTATTTTTCTTTTTTTTTAAAGGTTCTGTATCTAAAAACTAAAATCAAAAGCCTTGCAAGAGATTTATCTCCATTTTCTGAGTTCAGAATGGAAATGGTTACATCAGCATTTGATTTTGCAAATAACTTGCTATTTTCTGAGCTGGGGGAGTTAGGCTATCTCAGCTTAGTTATCTTTGTAGAGGGAAGAAGAGGATAAATAACATATGCTGATCAACTTACTATATCTCAGATTCTTTACAAACATTACCTCATCTAATCCTCATGGAGACTCTTAGGTTCTTAGTATTCCTAGCTTATAAAGGGAGATACTTAAGTGTAGAATGCTACTCCATTTCCAAGTAGGAGTGTAGAGATCCCCTCATGGTCACTGTTGTCCCCAAAATCCCAGGTCTCTCCATTCCCCCACACTGCCCATTGATGGGTCAGCCAGCCTCTCCAAATGGAGAAAATATGACCAAAAAAAAAAAAAAAAAAAAAAAAAAAAAAAAAGGACTAGTGACATTTCAGTCAGGATGAGATTCGGCTTTGAGTGACAACGGTGGTTTTAGGAAGTCAGATGTTTACTTCTCTCATTTAAAGTGTGGGAAATGGGGGTGACAGCCAACCATCATTAGAAACCCAGGTTCCTGACATTTGGGGCTGGATGATTTATTATATTTTTTAAAAAAATAGAAATCCAGGTTCCTTCCACATATTTGCTCTTCTATCTTCAACACACAGCTCCAACTTGGGGTCGGAGTTGCCTGCTCGAACTCTAACTGCTTTAACGTCAACATTCTAGTCAGCCGGTAAAAGAAAAGGGCCACAAAGCACCCATCCTCAGCCTGTATACACTCGTAGCAGAAGTACTGTATTGCTGTGCTTCTCGAACTAACCATGGTGAAAGGCTTTTTTTTTCCTCAGACCTTTGGCAAATAACTTTGTGAAGGGTACCCTCCTCCAGAAGAGATTTTAAAAAAACATTGAGAATTGCTAGAAAAAGGAAATTAAAAAGGACATACAAAATATAAGCCCATTTTAAAATTACTACCTGGAACAGACATAAGCTTAATTTTGACAAATAGTTACGAACTTTTCTAAAGGTTGACTCTCAAGCTCTCAACTTATCTCTCAGTGGATCAGTTATAAACCCTACGGAAGCCCTGAGATACGACAGTTCTGCTAACGTCCCATTTACTAGAACTTCATCAAAGGATCACTCTAGCTGCAAAGGCAAGCAGGGAAATATAGTCTCTTCCCAGGCTGTTGAAAATTAGGTATTTTATTAGTAGGTAATAAAGGGAGAACAGACATTTGAAGACACTCAGCAGTGTCTGCAACACTGATCTTAAAATGAAACAAAGTCTACGGCTGTCTGTAGGAGACATAAACTCAAATCTCCACCTAAAATGATAAATCCATATAACTCTATAATAACAAAGCCAGGCGCGGTGGCTCATGCTTGAAACCCCAGCACTTTGGGAGGCCGAGTTGGGTGGATCACCTGAGGTCAGGAGTTTGAGACCAGCCTGGCCAACATGGTGAAACCCTGTCTCCACTAAAAATACAAAAAGTAGCCGGGCATGGCGGCGTGCACCTGTAATCCCAGCTACTCAGGAAGCTGAGGCAGAAGAACCACTTGAACCCAAGAGGTGGAGGTCGCAGTGAGCTGCGATCGTGCCATTTCACTCCAGCCTGGGCAAAGAGAGAGTAAAACGGTGTCTCAGTAATAATAATAATAATAATAATAATAATAATAATAATAATAACGAATAACTACTATAATGTAAAAAAGCGATAGAAAGCTCTTTTATGTACCATAATGAGGATTTCTAGATAAAGGAAATGAATACACAGATTCTGCAACTCTCACTGAGGCTAGCACACGTCTAGATATGGGTGTGCTGATGAACAGCCACATGGAAGCACATTTCAACTAAAAACAGTGATGACGTTTGTCAATGACCCGGAGTCCAAATGGGGAAAACACTTCCACTTAGCTGAAAGTGGCAACTAAACTTCTCATCATCTCAGCCCAAATTCAGGCCAGAAAACAGCTACACACATTCTGGTTCTAAAGACATGCATTTGAAAATAAGAAATCAAAGACCAAGCATTTACTAAATACTAGGATTATGTTGTATGATAAATATACAGGCAAAGTTGAAGAATTGCTGGAAGATTTAAGAGAAAAGAAGAGGCTGTTGTGGCCCTGATGATGACGATGGTGATGGTGATGGTGATGATGAAGATGACAGCTAAAACAAGTACTGCTAACTTTGATCATTAATAATTATAGCTTCGATAATGATACTGAATATCTTGTAAAGCGCTTAATAAATAAAAACGTCAACTGCAGAAAAGCATGTCAAAATGAATACAGATTAATGAGATCTAGATGAATGGTGTAGCTTTTCTCTGTCCAGAAATAAACTCTTACCACATCTCCTCTCTGAATCTTCAAGTCTATGTTGCAAAGTAGCAACACCAAGGTGAACACTCATGAAATTCTGTCCATGTGGAGGTCTCATGCCTATGGGAGGCAGTGCAACTTTGCAGGAAATGTGACCCAGGACCTCTGCAGAGTTGAGAATGCATATGATAGGAATACTGTTTTCTGTTTTTGGGGGGTTGGGGGGACAGTCTCATTCTGTTACTCAGGCTAGATTGCAGTGGTATGATCATAGCTCACTGCAGCCTCAACCCCCTAGGCTCAAGCAATCCTCCCATCTCAGCTTCCTGAGTAGCTAGGACTACAGGCACACTCTACCATGCCTAACTAATTTATTTTTCTTTTTTTGTAGAGATGGAGTCTCACTGTTTTGGCCAAGCTGGTCTCAAACTCCTAGACTCAAGCAATCCTCCCGCCTCTGCCTTCCAAAGTGCTAGGATTACAGGCATGAGCCACCATGGCCGGCGTATAAGCATTTTTAAGCTAATACAAAAAAGAACGAGTAAACGAATGAATGAATGAACAAGTGAGCCAGCTCACACAAGGTTTGGCCACCCTACCACCCAATGAGACCATCTGGTGCACCAGACATGGAGTTGGTTGCAACACTGCTGACCATTGTCTCCAGAGAAGCAGAGCTCCCAACACACTTGTCCCTAGGCAGAATCTGGTTTAACTCCTACCTCTGAATCAGAGCCACTCATTTTTAGGCCAACAGATCAATTACTTGAAGCAATCAAGGGACCAACTTAAAAAGCTACGTTTACAACGTGAAGGGGAATGCGGGGCAGGAGGCCAAGAAAGACCCAAGAGTGGTTTAGCAAAACCAGCAGAGAGTAACTGACTACAAGCCTGAGCGTGTAATGGGACAGGAGGCTGGCAGAGAGCCAGTGAAGCCTTTCTTAGGACTCTAAAAACCTGAAACAGCTCTCCTAGACAAGGAGAGTTGAAGCAATAAAAACAGTTTTCAAACTAGAGAGAAAACAAAATGAAACTTGGTTTGGGTAATTGGTGAACTCTCTTGGGTAACAGGGCTCTAAGAGATGAGGGGGGAAGAAACGCACAACCCCTTCTGTATTTCACACCCTCTCAAATGGTTGAAAAGCTTTTCTGGCTTCCTTTAACAAGTACACCAACTTCAAAAGCTCAGAGTATGTTTTCTCCAAATTAAGACAAAAAAGTCATTGTCAGGTTGTCAAAAATGTATGTAGCAAGTAATAATAAATGCTCTTAGGAGAGGAGTACAATGTGAGACTCACCTGAACAACAAAGCCCCTTAACTGTGTTCATCAGAAGAAAGTGATCATACATTTGATTAAAAACTGCTAGCCTGGAAATGTACAGGCAGACTTCACAGTCTATGGAATAAATGGGAATCATAAAAAGAGAAGGTCAGTGCTTTGCAACCTTATATGCTGCCTCCATGCATTCACGTATGGGCTGCATCCCTCGAGAGTACACTCCCTACATTCTGAGTCCCAAAGTATGTGGGGGTAGGGAGGGACATAGTAAGAAACCACCTGCCCTGGAAGTGTATTGTCAAAATGTTCTGTGCTGAGTGACGATGCTACTTCAAAAAGTTTCTGTGGAGAATATAGTCAACACACCCACATTTCTCTTCCACTCCCTCACCAATATAGAATCACTAATCTAAAGAGATGAGAAAAACTTCATCTGTGTTCTTTGAAGAAACAAATCAAATGTTAAAAGAGGCCTTTCCATTGATTCATTTGAATTATCCACTTGAAGCTTGCACCACTGACTAAAGGAAGAAGCAAGCCAGCTCCTGGATTGTTGACATCTCTCGCATACCCTCTCACGCCCTGAACTTCTGTGCCTCTTCCTTCCTCCCTAGCAGCAGCCTACCTGCTGCACCAGTCCGAACCTGACTGCCCGTCTGCCTCACTCATTGCCAAGGAGCTTTGCTCATCTGTGTACAATCATGATAGAAGGCAGACGCTCCACCCTTCCAGACTATGAGAATTTTCCATCGGTGGTGAGTAAAAATCCTAGCAATCCATCAAGAAAAAGGGCATCTGGACTGATACGTCATTTCCAAAGACAGCCAGGAGACCATTTTGCTGGAGGACACTTTAAAAGCACAATTTACTTCTCAACAGTAATCTCAGCTTAGGGCCCTTCCCAGTTGGTTTCTGGAAAACACACACACACACACACACACACACACACACACACACATCAGAAACACATTCCTAAGAACAAACTGGAGCATGATGTTCTCTCAGACCAAGTGTGGGTTTCAACATTTACAAGTTTTATAAACATTAGGCACTGCAGCTGACCTGCATTGCCTTGGTATTAGGGAAATAGCTTAACTTTTCTCTTTCAAGTCAATTTGCCCAATCTTTGAATGATAAGTCTTGAGGAGGAACTATCAAACTATATTAGGAATATTCTGCATTTATTTTGGAATAGGAAATAAATTGTTTTTCACAGAAGATGTTTCAAAATAATTCTAAATGCTTGAATACTAATTGGTTGCCTTGAACATCCTTAAATATGTGACACAAAGGTTTGGGTAACTTTTTGGTCATAGAGGGGGAAAAAATTTGAAACAAGGTGTTTTTCAATGAGTCAATTTGGGCCAAAGTTGGTTTACATAGAGCTCTTATCTGAGACTAACTAACACCAGTTAGCAAAACACAGGTTAACCCCAGAAACCTCCTCCTCCTTCCCGGCTTCTCTTCTTTCCCTAATAACACAGACATTGGCCATCTATGGTGACCACACACTGCCTCATTTAATTGACTGCTACTTTCTATTTGCACACTGACATTTAGATGTTTTCTTTATTTTTTTTCAGTCCAGAAACCCACTTACTTCAATAATGGTTGATAACAGCATACTTTCCACTAGCACTGTTTATTAGCTTTAAAAAAAAAAAAAAACCTACCAATAAAGATTCTTTTTTATGTGACCCTTTTCCTGCCAATAGGTTGTGATAAATAAGTCGGTTCTTAGTTCCTAAGTTTACGTAAATGACTACAGTAACGTGTGAACAAGACAGAGATGTAAAGGTCTTTAAACCACAGTTTAACAAAAAGGTCCTGTCTGTCAATGAAATAAAGCTGTTTTGAATTTGTTCCCAATCACTGGGCTCTTTTGCTGGAAGCTCATGTTGGCTTGGTGGTGATTAATGCGAAGCCACACGGCCTTCGCTGAGTGCGTAAGAGAACTGGCAACTCTAAACAGCATTAATCGTACTCACAACTACTTGCTACATGCTGAAGTTTTCTTTATTTTCCACCATTCCAGGTCAAGAGGATACCCAGGTGCATTTACCTTCGCCAAGCGCAGCGCAGGGCCCACCTTTCCCCGAAGTGAGATGTCACACGTGGGGAGTTCCGGCACTTTCTTTCCAGGTAGTTCATCTGCTCTGCGCTTTACTGATCAAATGACTCTACCAAGTCAAGTCGGAAACTTAGACATAACTACTTCTCAGGTGCACACCAAGATAGATGCATATCTTACGCCTGTGCGTAAGACAACTGTGAAATGTTTGGCTGGGAATCGGTTAAGCGTGGGCATCAGACCCAAGGAACCACTTTCGGCATTCATTCCCTACCTCCTCTCTCGCTTTCTTTATTATTATTATTATTATTATTATTATTATTATTATTATTATTGGGTTTTTTTGAGACAAGTTCTGGCTCTATAGCTCAGGCTGCAGGGCAGTGGTGAGGTCATATCTCACTGCAGCCTTGGCCTCCTGGGCTCGAGCCATCCTCCCACCTCAGCCTCCTGAGTGGCTGGGAGCACAGGCATGCACCCCCACGCCTGGCTAATTTTTTTTTTTGTTGTTGTTGTTTGTAGAGATGGGGGTCTCACCATGTTGCCCAGGTCTCGAACTCCTAGGCTCAAGTGATCCTCCTGCTTCAGCCTCCCAAAGCGTTGAGATTACAGGCATGAGCCACCGTGACCAGCCACGTCTCTGTCTTGAGCTTCCTACACGTGCAGTGCTTTCTGAAAACCATGTGGCACGTGAACATATGATTGTGCATTCAGGAGGAAGGAGTGTGTCAGGCAGCACAGAGCTACTCTCAGGAACACGGGTTTAAGTCCTGACTGCACCTTACCACTGAACAACTCCTGCAAACACAGACACATAACACAATGGGACATAATTGTCCTCACCCCCAAGATGGTTACAGGCTTTACATGAGCTAGTTATGGGAAGTGCTTGACACAGTCATGGCATTCTTAGGCAGTTCATAAACATCATTAGTTACCGTTGCTACTATTTTTATAAGGATTACAGGGTCATTCACCCAATGCTCTCTCCTCAATCACTCTTACCAGATTCCACTAACATAAATGGTGTGTCCACAATGGGTTAGGGATCTTCCGGAGCCCCCCTCCCATCCCCTGTGCACTTGTACATGCAGCTAATAGCCCCAAAGACTGACCATGGCCAAGGCAAAGGCAGGAAGATCAATGAGAAAATCTGTGAGTTCTGCTTTTGTGCAGGCTTTTTTCTCAAAACTAATTATTTATTGGCTGATTTAGGTGCCTTGCCTGGATCACAGGCATTCCCAGGAGACGCCCTCTCAGGAGGCTAGCCTCTTTGGAAGGTTCCAGAAGGGAAGAGAAGGAAGGACTTTTCATTTGCAGATGACTCGCAACACTGTCAGCAGCACACTCATTCCATTCGAACCACAAAGTCCTCAGTAATACCCACTTCTGTGCATTTGCCAGGCACTACCATAGGCACAGCGAATACAGCTGCAGATGAGTTTACCTTCTTGCGGGAAAGACCAACCTGAAATGCACAAAAGCATAATATGCAGGTGGTGATAAGTGCCCCCCCCCGCCCCCCACCCCACCCACACGCACAAATTAAAAACCCAGGGCAGGCAGAGGATGAGCATGAAGTATTAGTACTATTCCATGTGGCAGTGGTCAGGGAAGGTCTCTAGTGAGGAGATGTCCGGGCAGACACTATAAAGGGTAAAGGGGTAGCCCTCACAGGAGCCGAGAAGAGCATCTCAGGTGGAGGGAAGCCCAAACGTGGAGTTTTCATAAAGTTTTTAAGAAAGGTCAAGGAGGTCAGGACAGCTGAAGCAGAGAGAGAGAAAGAGAGAGAGCGAGAGCAGACAACAGCCATTTTGATGTCAAGGGAGGAACAGGGACTCAAGTCATGCAGGACCTTGCAAAGGTTTTAGCTTTTACTCTGATTTTAGAAAACTTTGATCTGATGTGTTTTAAAGCAATCGTTCTCGATAGTGAATATCAGAATCACCAGAAGCAAAGACAGATCTCACCCAGAGCAAAGGGGATGGCCGGCCCTATGAAAGCTGGAGCCCCAGACAGGCCCTAGACAGGGCCTCCAAGGATTGCATCCAGCTATGCTCCTTTCAGGGAGACCTCACTAATAACCACCTTCTTATTCATTTCGCGGATGCTCCCTTCCAGAGCCGTCCTTCAACAGAGCACTTAACTGTGGCATGCAGAATGCCCTTTCAGAGATAGTTCATATCTCTGCCATCTCTGCCATCTCTGCCAACAAGCCAGTCCCATCTGCCAGTGTCTTCGACTGCAATGGTAGCTACCTTTTCAGCTGCTACTGTAGTCTGGAATGAAATCGAGGCAGCCAAGGCTTGAGAAAGTTAAACTGGAAAATGGTGACAAGCCACATTTGTATGGTACCTCGTTTGACCTGGACCATTGCCAGAGGGAAATTCTCCAAGGAGCAAAGTCCTTCTGGTAGAAGGCAGGTGGTCCCTTGAGGCGGCAGGCTCTCATGGCACAGAGCCTGAGAAATGCAAATTCGCCGATTGAATTAAGTGGGCACCTGAATGCTTGCTTAATCCGGCTCTATTGTTCAGTTCTGCTGGCCTTGCCAGCTGTAAAGAGGTGAGCTTTCAGAAATAAGGGGGAAAGAAATCCAATGAGGCTTCCTGGAAATTATTCCCTCCTTCCTTCCCTCCCTTCCTCCCTTCTTCCCTTCCCCCTTCCTTCCTTCTGTCCTTCTTTCCTTCCACAGATCCTATGTTGAGCTCAACTGTGAGCCTAATTGCGCACTTGATAATGATGTCAAAATGGTGACGAAGGCAGATTCCTTCCCAGCCCTGATGGAGTCTACTATGTCCCACTGGGTGACACAGATAATAAACAAGTACATGAGTAAAGCAGGTACTGCCTGTGCTCAGTGTGCGGGAGGAAGCAGGGCCTCATGACTGAGGATAACCAGAGGAGGTATGGAAGGTGGGCTTAAGGGAGGCCTCTCTGGAAGGAACGTCCCACGTGGAACAGTGGAGGGAGGGGAGTGATTTAGGAAGAGAGGACGGCAAACTCAAAGATTAGTAGATGAAAAGGTTCTTGGGCAGTGCACAAAAAGAAAAAGCAGGAGACAGGAGACAGGTGTGAAGGAGAAGCTGGAGGCTGCGATTATCAAAGGCTCCACAGATCATGATGAACAGACTGGATTTGGACTTTAATGTCCAAGGCAGTAGGGAAATGTTGGAAGGTGGTACAAAGAGGAGAGACATGAGCTAATGAAACTTTCTAAGGTATTCAAGAACAATGCCTGGGAGCAATGGTCATGAGAATGAAGCCACCTTTGTGAAATTGTGACCATAAGAGGAATATGACAGCATAGCTGACTCCATCTTGCTTCTAGCCCCACGGGCTGGCAGTCCTCACTCATCCCTGGGCATAGGGCAAAGTAACACTGGGAAGAATTTAGTTTATACTTTAATCTTAAAGCAAGAATGATAACAGCCTTTCCCGAAATGAAACCACCTTTGTAAAGCTCCTAAAAGGCCACAAGGTTAGGATTAGGAGAGGGGTCTGAATTCAGCTAAGATGTAGGCATAGGAGGTCACAAGATTTGGAACTTCCCCAATTATTCCTGTAGATAACATCACTATTGTAGAACCTAAGACTGGTTTTTTTGGAATGGTTTTCAGACTTTTGCATTTTGATGACCCACTGACCCCACCTAGGCCTGGGACTTGTGATTCAACTGGAACTGAGGCTGACCCAGTGCACGAGGACCATTTTCCACACTTCAATGATTTCATCCCCAACCAATCAGCATTTTCCATTCCCTAGCTCCCTTCCTGCTAAACTATCCTGGAAGAACACTAGCCTCCAAATTTTCGGGGAGGCTGATTTGGGTAATAATAAACTCCTGTCCTTTTGCTTGGCTGGACTTGTGTTAATTAAACTCTTTCTTTCCTGCCATAATGTCATCTCAGTGAACTGGGTTTTACCTGTGCAGCAGGCAAGAAGAACCCATTGAGCAATTATAAGAACTAAGGAAGCTTCCGAAGCCTTTGTTCACTCTATCAAGTTTTTACGGTTTATCTGCATTTCCCCATAGCGAAGAGAAACAAGAACACTAATAATAAGTAAGGTGGGAAGTGGAGAGTGAGTCCTAGAGACACACACAGGCATACACGTAAGTGCTTCCCTAAACAACCGACGAACTCCCAGCAACCCATTCACCCTTCGCACACACACAGGTGCTCAGGGGCATCCATGCTCCATCTCTATAAACACAGATTCCTGGCGCCATTTGCACTGGCCATCAGAACGTCCGTTATAAACTGAGTATCCTCCCAGCACATTCTTGTCTCTCTTCCAACACAACATTAGAATGCCATTCCAGGGCAGATAATTCATAAATAAGTTAAGCTTATTTGCATCCTTCCTCACACCCAGTGCTGTGAATGCCTTAAGCGTCTCCTGACCCACACACATGGAATAGTAGCCCATGAATTGTACACTCCTCCCTCAGGGCTGACTCTCTACTGTCACCATCTCTCATTTAATCCTTGCAGGAACACGAAGAGGTTGGCAGTGCCGGATGGACGGCTAAATAACTGCTTTGCTCCATGTCTTTCCAGGAAAACTATTTCCTGTGCTTGATAAGCCACATGAGAATCCGCAGAAACAGCTCCTGAAGATGCTCCAGGTGTCTCCACATCTGCGTTCCTAGACACGCCTCAAATCCCTCAACAAACGTGATGATGACGACGCATGGGTTCTGCAGGTGCTGAGTCAGCACTTTTCACGCATTATCTCATTTAATCTTCAAAATAACCTTTAGGTCTAGATATTATTCCTACTTTTACAGATAAGGAAACTGAAACTTACAGTGCAACCCATCGAATTCCACAAGCTATGCCCTAAACCATCATCTTAAATTCTCAACCAGGTTGTCTTTCTAAATGACTAAGGATGGGTTTGTATTTTCTTTGCCTTGTATTACAACACTTCGTATATGTCAGTGAAAGGACCCCACTCTTGTACAACAATATTACAAATTGCATCTAAACCCACATTTTGCCTGTGATGGAAGAAAACTCTCTATCAGCTAGAGGATTTATAAAGATCATTTACATAAACACTAGACATGTTGCTGTAGTGCCTTGTTGAGAACTAGAAAATTGTGCACACTTCTGAGGCTTCTAAAATACAAATATTTGGCAACTTGTCCTCAAATGGCCTGGCTAGAGTCATCTCCAGGAAAATCTGGGGTTCTAATTCATGCAACATTCTGGTTAACTGAAAATTGCCAGTTTTTGCTCCATACTAGTCTCATTATCTTTGACAATTCCTACTTTAAAATTGATTTCAGGAAGAGCAGCAACAGCTATCATCATCTGGTTGTTTAGGTTTCCCAACTCTTTAGGTCCCACAGAAATGGATGTTTGCTCTATTTTCATTTTCATTTTTATTTTGAGCTATTTTTATTCTGTTTTCTTCTGGTTCTTGAAGACCTGTGGATTTTTCACAGAGGTTTCTTGAGGTGCTGGCACGTCAATCCAAAAGAGAAGGAAAAACATCACTCTAGCGCGCAAGAGTCAGTGTTTCTAGTGATGGCTTAAAGGCCAAAGTAGACCCAACCTTGTTTCCAAATCCGCTCCTGGAATTCTCCATTTGGTTTTCCAGATATCCCTGAAAGGGGCCCAAACACTGCAGGCTTTTGTTTGGTTTTGTTTTATTTCTTGCTTTTGTTTTGTAGTTATTTTGTCCCTCCTATAGCAGAGACCAAGTTAGTTTATATCGTTTTGACTAATATTCCATATCCAGACTGGCAACCTGTGGACAGCATTCAGCCTGTTGTGATGTGATGGGGCCAAGATACGCACGCCAGGAAATATTCCGATTTCGGAACAAAAAATAAGAACACTTCAAAAACACGGCTATAAAGAGCAGAGGCGGCTTGGGCTGGGTAACCATATCTAAAACACGAATGTTGCTTTTTTATCCAAAATACCTCGAGGTCTATTTCACATACTGCAAGCAATGTGAACATTTCCTATCCCACTCCTTCTACTGAAATGAATCCTTCTTCAGCAGAAGTGGGGAAATAGCTCAAAAGCACCATCCAGATTTGGTGGGAGATTTGGCGCGGCACCAACTTTCAAACAGTATAATGGTTTATCAACCTCCCTCTTCTTTGCTGCATTCAACAAGCAGGGTACCTGCCAAAATCCTGCTAAAAATATCCTCGGCATCTGTAGCCCATCAGCCATCTCTGGCTGATTTGGGTGGGTAATTGACCTTTTGAGCAGGTGGACAGCCAGAAATTTATTTTTTTTCCTGGATTGAGTCTAAGTTGACTTAAAACAGATGTTCCTTCAATGCCGATTCGACATTTATAATGGAAATACTCTCAAGCACTGTTCAAGGGGCTGTTAGAACCCAGAATGCACAAAGAAGGGCCCTGTGATGTTCCGGGGCTGAAGGAGTTAAATAAAGCCACCTTCCTCCTCAGGCTGAAAACCAGGAGGTACCTCTTGCAAGGGAAATAGGAAAGGAAGCTGTCACTTCTTATTTTCAGGTTTGCAGAAAAGCCTTTTTTTTTTAAATGTAAACATTCATTAAACTAATTTGAAGTTGTCATTACTCTCCACCCCTGCTGTTTTATATCAGATTATTCCTAAGTGCTTGGTGAAGAATCCCATAAAGTCACACTCGATTCCTCTGCAGGGGATAATCGCATAGTTTGCACTGTGATTTACACCGCACGGCACCGGGAAGTGTCCTCAACTTTGAAAGGCCTTGGTTCCCTGGCAAACAGTCTCTGCCTTCCCTATGGAAATAAATCCCAGTTGTCCCTCCACGACTATTATGAGGTCCCCATTACCTTTTCTCCATCCAACTGAAGATAATTAAAAGCAGTTCAAAGCACATGCCAGAAGGTATTGGGCATTTTATTAATAAATGGAGAACTAAGAAAATGATATGTCCCATTATGGTTTTAAACTGTAAGATACACTTACGCTTCTTCCTCGCTTTCCCTCTCCCCAGTCTCCCCAACCTTGAGTCTGGGGCCCCCAGTCTCCCTAACCTTCAGTCTGGGGTGGCCAGTCATTCTGTGCTATGAGATCACGTGGGGTGGGGAGGTGTATTTCACCCTTGCATCTTCTAGCTGAAGTTTTGCTGATAAGGGCATCACAAACCATACTCTCCCTTGAAGAAAATGATTCTAAGGTGGGGAGGGGCTGTGAAAAGAATGCAGGCACTACAAGGGGAGGCTAGCGTCTGAAGTCCCACTTTCCCAATATCACAGTGATCCTCAGTTACTGTACATTCCATGTATGTAATGGGAATCATAGTGTCTACCAAGTAAGGCTGCCAAAACCTTGTCAGGAGGTGGTGAGTATACTCAAAGAACCCAGTACAGAGCCTGACATAGAGGCATATTAGCTATGATCAGTATTGCTGTTAATATGCTCAAAACCTTAACGACTCTAAGAGAAGTAGCCCTGAGCAAAATTAGGACATGCCCAGTTTGTTTTCAGTGCAGCTATAACTTGTCTTTTTCTTTCCTCCCATTCTTTGCCCCTGAACCAATACTGTCATGGATCAGTGCTCACACAGCCTTAAAATGGATCTGTTCTCTGTCCCAGTGTCTCTGAGTGTTACTTTCTAAATAAACTAACTCTCGTCCAGAAATCAGCAGCTTCTAATTGTTGAATGGGTATCCCCGCAGGTAAAATTTGCATTTTGCAAGAGATCTGAATGCTTTACACCCAGAGTGCCAAGTGCTTTGCTACTTATACCAGTCCTCCCACACTCACTGCACACATTCCAAGTGGATCGTGGAACTGCATTCTTCTTGGTTTGCCAAGCCCTTAGACGGGAGTAATCTTGTAATTCATCACCAGTCAGTGCCGGGCTAATATAATAAGATACTACTAAGCACAAATTGTAAAAATCCAGTCTGCACCAACCATAAATTTGGAATCCAGATAGGGCTTTAGAGTCCTTCCTAACATTTTAGGCAGTCAAGTCAGGCTTTCGGGTTGGCACACAAAATGAGATCTGGTTATCATTTCTCCCTCAACATAAAGGATTGAGAGACTGTGAGCACCATGGCCACCCAATGTACCTCTCTTGCGTTCAAGGGGCACGTCCCTTCGAGAGGCTGTGTGGTATGAATGTGAGTGTATAAGTCTGAATTCCAGTCTGAATGTTCTGCCATTTACTAGCTGTGCAAGCTTCAGCATATTCCTTAGCCTCTCTGTGCTTGTTTTTCCATCAGTGAAATAACAACATCTATTTCATAGTGCTTTTGGGTGGATGGAAGTTCTTAGAATGGCCCATGGCATACAATAAGCTTTAATTAACCAATATTCATTTCAATAAAATTATTGGCCACTATCCCTCAAATCACAGCAAACACCTAACTCTCCAAAGGCACCTGCAAGGAGACTGAGAGTCTTAAAAAACAGAGAATATGGACTAAAGCTATTCTCCATACAGTGACAATGGCCTCATTGGTTACATTAAACAAAGATAAAAATTGTAGCTCCGCTCGTAATTGGGTTTACAAAATGAGACTAGAAAATACTCTTCAAGTGTCCAGTTGCTTTTGAAGACATAAGACATATGTCACTGCATTCTTCTTGGTTTGCCAAGCCCTTAGAAGGGAGCAATCTTGCTATTCATCACCAGTCAGTGCTGGTCTAATATAATAAGATGCTACTAAGCACAAATTGGAAAAATTCAGTCTGCACAAAGCATAACTTGAAGCTTCTATCCATCTTCAGTGGCATCAGAAAGCACGGGCATCCATGCTGATACCATCACTTCAGTTTTCAAGAACCTTACCAATTAACGGCCAGTGGCCAAAAGCCTCACTGGAGAGGGACATGGGCTATAAAATGCATGACAGTCAGCACTCACAGTGTGGCCGGCACAACAGCATTGTAGTATTTTTGCAATTTCCAAAACTATTTTTGGAAACACTGCAGATAGAATCTCACCAAGTTCAAGGAAATAAATTAGCAAGAAAAATGAGGCTTGGTGGGTTTTTATGTTCTCCTCCCCACCCCCACTGCCCAAGTATAGGTGAGGACAATGGTGGTTGACACAGAAACAACAATGGATTAACTATACACCTGGTTTGTACCCAGAAATATAACCAGTTTGAGCTAATTTGGTTTCAGTTATTTATCAGCTTTGTACAAAATGTAAATAAAATAAAATGGAATCTATTCAATAAGGAATTGCCAAGGACAAACTTTAAATGAATGACCTCTCAGTGTACCAAAAGCAGCATTTCTGGAGGAAAAAAAGAATCTGAACTTGATAAATTACTCAAGTTGTTAATAAAGCTATTTTTGTGTGTGCGAACCAGTCCAAATTACTTTTAAGTAATAAGAGGGTAATGTTGTCTCTGACACACGTGGTAGGATAATTAGCAGAACAACTTTTTTAAATGTTTCAAGTTTACCCATTTCTCAAGGCCTCCAAATTTCTTAGTAAAACGATTGAGATGCCTGGCCAACATAGTGAAACCCCATCTCTACTAAAAATACAAAAAATTAGCCGGGCATGGTGGCATGCGCCTATAATCCCAGCTACTTGGGAGGCAGGCTGAGGCAGGAGCATCACTTGAACCCGGAAGGCGGAGGCTGCAGTGAGCCGAGATCGCGCCATTGCACTCCAGCCAGGGCAACAGGGCAAGACTCCATCTCAAAAAAAGAAAAAACATATAAATAAAAAAGACTGAGATGCAATGGCAAATTCTCAAACACTGTTGAGTTTCTACTTTATATGCAGGTGTCAAGCTCTACATCTCAATGTCAAGATCACACCCATATTGGTGAGCTGATTGTTAAAGTGTTTGAGAACAGGTAGTTGACGATATAGTTAATGTGCTCACTTAAGCAATTACACACTAGATTAAGGACTTCAACATGAGGGTGTCTTTTACGCTGTATTTTATGGTTAAACAGAGCATTTCAGGATGACAACAAACTGTAATAGCATATTCATGGAGTTTTAGGATGAAATCCATTTCTTGCAAACACAATTATTGTTCCATAATTCTCCCACCTGTTTATGACTCCCTGTGAATTAAATTAAAACACAATTTCACATTAATTTAAAATGTCATTTTCAAAAGGAGATATTTCCTATAAAGCTTATGACTGATAACAATCTCCAGAAATCAGAGTATTATTGACAAGAAGCCATAAATCTGTATAATAGTCATTGTTTTCCTTTTAAATCAGATTTAAGGTGCTATGTGTTACCTTTACTGATCTCTATTTCTAGATTTTGACATGTCCAAAGTGTACGGAGAGGAGTAAGTCCTTCTCTGGTTCTTCTGTAAACACATTTTCCAGAGTTAGCAAATAAAAATACACAATCTTCATTGAAATTTGAATTTTACACACACAACAAATCCCTTTGTTAGTATAGAATAAAATAATATTTTAGTAGAAGTATATCGTAAACATTGCCAGGATGCACACAGATACGGTGAGTAAACCCAAAGACAGAAGTTTAGCTCTACCAAAATAAGGACTAGTTGATTGATTATATAAATCACATATCCAAGGAAATTTTTTCCTTCCAGGGATTAGGCCAGCTTCATAAAGGTCAAGTTATTTTCATTCACCACAAAACGTGAATGTCTTTTCAATTCCCTATATCATGACTAATATACTTGCCTCCTCCCTCCTTTCCTTCCTTCCTCCTTTCCATCCCTCTTTTTCCCCTTCTTCCCTCTCTCTCTTCCTTCCTTCTCTCACTACATTCATCATTCCCTTTCAATAAATGGTAACAACAATAATCACACAATTCAAAAGTATATTTATCCAGAGTTTACTACTTGCCAAATGTGATACTAAAAGCAGCTTATTTTAGCCTCACACCAACTCTAGATCTAGGAATTATTTTTTTCTCTCTCATTTTATATAGAGAAAATAGAGGCTCAGAGATGCAAAGAAAGTTGCCCACCATCACACATCTTGGAAGGAGGGCACACCTGTATCTGCCTGACTCTCTCTATACAGGTACACACTCTATCCTGGAACTATAACAAATGAAGAAGGAGTTTTTTTTTTTTGTTTGTTTGTTTTTTTTTTTTTTAAGTAAGATATATCTCCTACTCTGGCTAAGCTCACACATTAGTGTGGAGGAAAAGTGATGTTTTCAAAATCACCTTTATGCAGTGAGATTCGCAATCACTATGAGAATAGCATCGTGAGCTTGAATAAGAGCCCGAGAAGAAGCAAACAGCGATTTGAATGATTTGGCCACTGATAATGATGGTGTATCTGTATTTCTAATAACATGGAAGGATATCCTTGCACATTATGGATATGGAAATAATTCAGATGATACAACAGGTGAGTAAATGGAGTCTCAGCGGAACTTGGCAATATGGCAGAGCTGAGATGGATCAGAGCTGGGATTCGAGTCCGGGTCTTTCTAAATTCTTGACCACCTATGTCTTCTACCTTGCCTATTCTGAGCTCCCTCAGAATGCAAACCATGTGCTAGCCTGTAATACCATAGTAGGCCAGTTCCTCCAGTTCCCATTTATCAGGACCTTGAGACAAATCCAAATTGTCATTCAAGGATCAAAGGACTCACACTGGTGCCCCCCCCAAAATCACCAACTCTCTGAAGGCAATGAGAGAGTTAAAATGGATCAAATCTCCAAGTGCGGCTCAGCTCAGCCACAGGAAATATAACAGAAATAATAATGGTCTTTACAGAAAGACTCTAATGAGAAGGAGCCTGAGAATTGAACCTATCACAAGAAACTAATGCTTAGCAAAAACAGTTGGTAAAAATGCTATGGCCGGTGAATTACAGTGGTCTTCTTTTCTCTTCGATAATTTGGGGGCAATTGCATCCAAATTCTAGTCCACTGATTTCCACTGCAATTCATGCCCCCATGCTGGGGAGAATCAGCTGGAATAAACATAAGTTTGCCATTGGAAGACTGGTGATGTATCCTAAAAGAGGTCCAGGCAATTCTTGTCTCAACCATTAAAAGGAGAACTATAACGCCACTTCACACTACCCTCCAAACGACTCTCAGTGTGTTAGAGAACCTGCGCTAGCACTCCCCAAGCAGTCATAACAGATTAGTGGGTTAAGCTCTTCAATTCAGGCCCATGGCGGCAAAATCACTTCTGGTGTTTTCTAGAACTCCTTCATATTTTTCCTTCGTATTTGTAAAAGTGAACGATAATGCCAATGACATTTTCAAAAGTGATAGATAATAAATATCCTGTCCCTATAAACACACGACTATACACTCCTTAATTTTAGCACTATGTTTTGTAGGTTTGAAGTGCCCAGCCTGCCTGAAAGGCTCTTTAGCTTTGAACTATTCCTATGACAATTTGGAAGAAGCAGATATTTGTCCTTTAAAGAAAATCAAGTTCAATCTCACCGTATTTTCAAGATCACATAAACTTAGCAAGAAAAACTTCTTGAGTTAAAGGGATACGGTAGAGAAGACTTATCCCAGCCAAGAGACATGACCCTTAATGGAGGGGGATTGGCAATGTTTGGAGACATTTGTGTTTGTGACAAGAGGGGGAAGGGATGCTACTGGCATCTAGTGGGTAGAGGCCAGGGATGCTGCTAAACATCCTACAATGCACAGGGCAGATCCCAACAAAAAATTATCCAACCCCACATGTTGGCAGTGCCAAAGCTTGAGAAACCCTGTACTCAAGTTAAATGAATAAGCTTATAATGCCTTTGTCCCAGGCAACCCTCTGCCCCAGATACATTTACCTATCCTTAAACCACAGGACAAGGCACAGGCCTCATTCACGACACTACTCTGCACATGGGTCCAAGGTAACTCCTCCATGTATTACAGTCATTCTTCAAAGAATGTACAAATTGTCATGAGAATTCACTTTTCTTCAGGGGTTCTATTTTCCTCTCCAAAGTTTAAGTGTTCTGGGGTAACCTCCAATGAAAAGAAATGCTGAATTTTTTTTTTTTTTTTTTTGGTCTAGTGACAGCCTATTACTTAGCACTAAAGACCAAAGAAGGGAAACTTTAGTAAAAAGACAGGGAGGTGCTGATGGCTGGTTTTACAAGATGAGAATTTAATGGGGATAGTGGTTTTCCTTTTTTTTTACAAGCTGAGCTGTGCTAAGCTATTCAAATTAGTAATTCTATCAATTAAAGCCTTCTATTTCATGGAAAGTACTTGCTAAATAGAAGATTAGGCAACAGATCAGAGAATGAAAGAATTACTGAAATGGAGCTCAAATATTTATGAGAAATTTACATCTGGGAGACCTTCCCTCTTCTTATCCCTGCTTCCAAAGGGAAATCCATAAAGAGAAGATAAAGAGCAAAGCTTAGTCCTCAACATCTACAAGCCTAAGAAGTCTGACTCACTTTGAGTTTTAGGAAAGAAGAAACTGTTTGGTTGCTACATATACTTTGTACTGCCATAAAATAGGCTGATTCCATAGGTCACATAGAAAAATTAAATTCACTATTCATAATTTATTGCCCTTGGGTGTTTGCTCTGGTTATTCATTGCTCTGTAGGAAACAACCCCAAACATACACCTTTAAAAAATAGCAATTGTTTATTCTGCCCATGAATCTTCAGTTTGGACAGGGCCTTGAGGTGGGGAATGGGAAGTAACTTCTTTCTGATTTTCAGTATCTAGGGCCTCAAATGGGATGACTTCCAATGGATGGAGGTTGGCCATTTCCCGCTCCACAAGGCCTCTCCACATGGCTAGCTGGGCTTCCTTCAACATGGCAGTCTCAGGGTAGTCAGGCATTTTACACGGCCACTCAGCCACATTCCATTGGTCAAGCAAACGAATAAGTGCAGCCTAGATACAAGGGAAGATGAATTCAACTCTATCTCTCAATGAGATGAGTAGAAAAGAATTGATATTCATCTTTATCACAATGTGAACTCAGCAAAATGTAATGTTAATTAGAAAGGCTGGCTAATTAAGCAATATAAACCAAAATAACAGAAAACAGCAAGTGTCCTGGTAATCACTGTTACTGTTTGCTTTATTCAATTAAAAGGTGCATATCTGAGGAGGAATGTTTTTTTCTTCTACCTGTTTTGTCTCATATGGATTATTTAGTTTTATATTCACTGGCTATTATTGAACATTTATACCATTTTAGGTCTCTGACGAAATATATAAACTCCATGGGAAAGCCATTTTCAGGTTGTTTTATCAGCCTGATTAGTCAGTGGAAAACCATTGCACACACAAACTCTCAAAATACAGAAAATCTCACTTGGTATTTGCTGCAATTGCTTTTAATTCTAGAACTTAAAACACTGCCTTTTATAACACAATTTCTTCAGTTAATTTTCTGCCTCCCTTTTATGATTTTTCTTTGTTTGTTTTGAGACAAAGGTCATACTCTTTCATCCAGGCTGGAGTGCGGTGGTGTGATCACAGTTCACAGCAGCCTCCACCTCCTGGGCTCAAACAATCCTCTCGCCTCACCTTCCTGAGTAGCTAGGACTTACAGACACACGACACCACGCCTGGCTAATTATTTTTCATTTTTTCATAGAGACAAGGTCTCACTATGTTGCCCAGGATGGTCCTGAACTCCTGGACTCAAGGGATCTTCCCACCTTGACCGCCCCAAGTGTGGAGATTACAGGTGTGAGCCACTGTACCAGACCCATCACTCTTTTAAAATCTGTAATTAGTTCCAGAAATTAATGTATTCCCCTGATTAAATCTGAAATTGCAACACGCGCATTTTGGAAAGACTTCTCCCTGTTGTCATCTTGAAATGGAAATCACGCCAAAAGCATTTTCCTCCTCTAGGATGCAACTGAACAAGCTGTACAAAAGCTTGAAATTCCTGAAATATCAAGTAAGAAAGATAAGAAACCGGGATAGCTGGGGGATATGTTTTGCGGGCCTAACTAAAACAATAGCGATTTAAGTAGCTATCGTATAGACACTTGATGAATCCTTTTATTATCTCTGAAAGATTCCCCGTTGCAGCATGCTTTTGTGGGTAAAGAGCTATATATTGGTACATGCAGCTCATAATTATGTCAGCCTAACCACAGCCAACATTGACAGCCTAAAACATTAAAGATCTTATACAGCCAGTGCTGAATATAGCTTCTTTTATTGGCTCAGAGAGCAGGTATCAATTATAATGAGGTAATAAAATTTGCAAGCACTGTTCATGTCCTGCTCTGATTTTTTTTTTCCCTCTCTCCTTGAGATAATAACAGCAGAAAAAGGAGAAAGAAAAATCCTCTTAGTTCTAACCACAGATTCTTCGAAAGCTCTCACTTTCTATGGCTGGGGTACTATAAAGCTGTTTGCTTACTGGAGTTTTCGGGCTGGCAAACTCTTCCTACCTAAATAGAAGCTGCAAATTTCTGAAGCACACCTTGCAAGTCAGAGGCTCCAGGATTAATGGTTTTCATTTGCATAACTATAAACTTAAGGTACAGCTTCCCAAGCCTGCATCCTCTAAATTGCACTTACTGATGAGATGCAAAATCCTCTAAAAGCGTTCCCCAACCTAAACCAATTTGTAAAGTTGTTTTGTTATTTAAAACATTAAAGAAATTAAAGTGATCGGAATATAATTAGATTAATATTCATATCTTCCAAGTTGCTTTAATTCTAATATTAAAAAGATTAAATATCCACTCAGAGGATTAAGCAAAAAGTCAAGCCGTAGCAACACATTTACATTACCTTACTGTGCAAATTATAAACCTAATTAATCTAAAGTTTCCTACAAATTGAATTGGATATTCATTTGCAGTCTAACACAACTTTAGGTACTTAAAATTCACTCCAGGATTGTTTCTTTACGTGCGCACTAAGAAGCAGGGCCACGTTGCTGGGATGCAGGAATCACATTAAAACGGCTTCATTCGGGTTCTAATTGGTGGAAATTAAATCTCAAAATAAATTTATGTAGGGGAAAAAAGCAAAGACTTTGTAATTACGTATGTGTGCAATAATAAAACACACCCTGGCCTCCCCATCTAGTTTCTGTCAATAAAATAGAAAACGCAATCCAGTTGTTTCTTCCTAAAAGCGTTGAGTTCATGTTTTACCTCTAATATTGTGAAGAACATGATCAAAAGATTTCATCCTTTTTGCATGGTCTTTAACTAAGAGCATCTAAAGGGCATCTAATTACTTTGCTCTGTAACCCTGTTCCCACCTGCTTTTGCCACCTCTCTGACCCTCCACCCACCCCCCCATCCCAACCCCCAAATACACAAACATACTCCCAGGGTCCCCATGAATCAGTGAGATCAACTGTGTCAATTTCAGATCGATTGCAGACATATTAGTAATTATCTTCTTGCCATCCACTTCTTAAGCAATATGATTGTTAGAAATGCTTGCTCCTCAGTGCCATAAAGAAATAGCACTCGAACAGGAATTTAATTTCCTCAGCAAGGCCATTTTTACTTTCTGCAGAAAGGGTACACTCGCCAGCAGTTTTGCCATGAGAGAACACCGGACAAAGGAGACAGGCTCATTTATAACCTGACACGTGTACTCTACTGCTGTGTCCGGTTTCCATTGGCTGGAAAGGGACCTCACATTCTGTATTTGTTCCGACTGGCTAGCAACTTAGAACTTTTTAAAAGAGGCAAAGGCCACATTTTCTTAATCCAGTCTACCACTGTTGGACATTTGGGTTGGTTCCAAGTCTTTGCTATTGTGAATAATGCCGCAATAAACATATGTGTGCATGTGTCTTTATAGCAGAAAGATTTATAGTCCTTTGGGTATACACCCAGTAACGGGATGGCTGGCACATATACACCATGGAATACTATGCAGCCATAAAAAAGGATGAGTTCATGTCCTTTGTAGGGACATGGATGAAATTGGAAATCATCACTGTCAGTAAACTATCGCAAGAACAAAACACCAAACAACGCATATTCTCACTCATAGGTGACAACTGAACAATGAGATCACATGGACACAGGAAGGGGAATATCACACTCTGGGGACTGTGGTGGGGTGGGGGGAAGGGGGAGGGATAGCATTGGGAGATATACCTAATGCTAGATGACGAGTTAGTGGGTGCAGCGCACCAGCATGGCACATGTATACATATGTAACTAACCTGCACAACGTGCACATGTACCCTAAAACTTAAAGTATAATTAAAAAAAAAAAATTAAAATAAAAAAAGAAAAAAGAGGCAAAGGCAGAGGAGAACAAAGGAAGGACGAAGTAACTTGTGGAATGCTGAGAAAGGTAAAAACACCTTCAAATAAGGAAGAGGAACAGGCTATGACCTAATGCTTGCTTGGACCAGTATAAGCATGCCAGGGCAAATATTTAGGCTAAACTGTGGGAGCTAAGAACATAAAGTACATTGATTTCTTCATTACAGCTAGCAGATATTTAAGAATGTTAGCACAGGTCTTTGAATTAACTTTGCTTCTAAGAGAAGTTACTATTTATTCCTAATTAGATGGGGAGGAAATTCTTTCAAGAGGAACCTCTACTTTTTACACCCTTGTAGAGAAGTGAAACAGTGCAAATCAAATTCAATTGCTGGCATGAAAGGATAACACTAAAGAAATTTGAGGCAGCGACTGCCTGGCTGTTCACTAATGTTGACGCTCCCTCCCACCCACCCAGCACACAGCAAACTATATTTCCCAGCCTCCCTTGCAGGCAGCCATGGTCATGTGACTGAGTTGTAGCCAATGACATAAGTGTTAGTGGCCTGGAGAATGTGGCAACCTCAAAAGGTCTTCGTTGGTCAAGGTGAAGCCACAGAATGGAAGGAGCCTGGGTTCCTGAATTACCACTTGGAGGACAGCGGCTTGCTGATCACAGCACCTGTTTTGGATTTTATGTTAATGAAAAACAAACTTACTGATTTAAAGCATTGCACACTTAGGTTTTAGTAGGGTCTCCTGCGCATGATGCAAAAATTATTGGTGAGTCCACTTCCCAAGAAAAAGTTTCCCCTTCCCACAGCAAGGCAACACTTTACTCCTCTAAAGACAACTTTTTCTCCCAACAGGCTCCAACTTCAAGTCACACATATATTAACAACTGATCAGCATGAAACAACCCGAGGAGTAGGGCTGCAGTCACACCTGTTTATTTTACTGTTGTGATGGCAGCAAATATAATGGCTACAGCTTCCTTGGGAATAATCCTGCTATAAGCGTTAATGGGCGAAGAGCCGTGACGTGTGATTTGGGTCAGTGTCTTGTGTTCACAAGGAGCACTCAAGGCTGCTAATCTGGGCTGTAATTTCTCGTTTCTCCTCAACCACTTTGCCTTTTATGGGGCTTATATTGATGAATGCAGAGGATAACTGTCAGCTCACCTGGTAAAGCTCAGTGCAAGAAGTTTAACAATTCATCTCGTTTCCTAAAGGCGGCAGAAGAGAAGCAAGCTCTGGGCCTTCAACAGGTTCGACCCACCCTATTCTCCTCACTTCCTCTCTTACCTCCTTCCCCCAACCTATGTAGCCCCATTCATTTCGCCAGATTGATTTTTTCAATTGTAACGGAAGTCATGTCACTCCTGTTCTTAAAATTCCTCAGCAGCTTCTTATGCAACTCAAATACAAGTGCAGTCTTGGGTCAGGGGCCCATTCTTCACCCTCCTCTCTGGATCCATGCCCCGGGCTTTGGGACTGCAGTATCCTCCCTCTCTAACCGTGAGCTCAGCCATGTGATTTATTTGGGGCATCAGTGTGTGACAGAGGAATGGGTATGCCAGTTCTGGGTCTAGACTTGAAAGTCCTTATGTGTTTTGAGTTGCTGTCTTGCATTTCTGCCCTTGCCATAAGAAAGTCATGTCTGGTCTAGCCCTGCTGGTCCCAGGAAGATGAGAGACATGTGGAGGAGAACCACCCCAGCTAAAGTGCCCCACCCATGTCCAGCCTAGGGCAGAAAGCCCAGCTGATGCAAAGATGCAGGAGCAAAACAAGCTGACCCACAGACACAGGGGGAAGCCCCACCAAAACCAGCAGGACCAGTAGGGCAGGGCAGCCAAGCCCAGCCTAGTTCTGCTGAACCCCACACACACGTGAGAAGTAAATACTGATTGCCGTGAGCCACTCAGTTGCCACACGGTTACGCAGCAGCAGCAACCAAGTCACTGGCCTATGCTTCATCTTGAAGCTCTAATGACCTGTTTAAACTCCTCCCATTCCAGACCTCCAGGGTGCCCCATACTCTGCAATCACACTGGCCTTCCCTCAGGTACAAGCATGACATGTTTTTTTCTTGCCCTGGAGTCTTTCCCTTAATGGAACCACATGCTTTTACCACTCCATGTCCTTCTGCATGGCTGGGTACTGCTCACTCTTCATATTTTAACTCAGAAGTAACTTTTTTTTTTTTTTTTTTTGAGACAGAGTCTCACTCTGTCGGCCAGGCTGGTGTGCGGTGGGATGATCTCAGCTCACTGCAACCTCCACCTCCCAGGTTCAAGCAATTCTCTGCCTCAGCCTCCCAAGTGGCTGGGATTACAGGCGCCGGCCACCACGCCAGGCTAATTTTTGTATTTTTAGTAGAGACGGGGTTTCGCCATCATGGCCAGGCTGGTCTTGAACTCCTGACCTCGTGATCCACCCACCTCGGCCTCCCAAAGTGCTGGGATTACAAGGGTCAGCTACTGCGCCCTGCCACTCAGATGCAGTCTTAAGAGAAAGCCCCTCAACAATGCCATCTGGGCTTGGCCTTCCTGATCATTCTCTGTGGAGTGTCCCAGCTGTGCTGCAAATGGGTGACAGCTGTACCAGAATATCGATGCCCCTCAAGGTTTTGCGTCCTACAACTGCCAGCCCTGAGCAGCCTCATCCACATTACTCAATTGTGCCGAATAAATCCCCTGTGTTTGCCCCAGTGTGAAAGAGCGGGCACGTGCTGCTTGCACTATTATGCTTACTTCCTTGACAAAGGCAAAATCTGGCCCTCCTCTTGTTTTTGTAAATAAAGTTTAATTGGCACACAGCCACAGCCACTCATTATGTAACAGCCATGGCTGCTTTTGAGTTACACTGGCAGAACTGAATAGTTGTGATGGTGACTGTATGGGTCACAAAGTCTAAAATATTTGCTATCTAGCTGTTTGCAGAAACAGTCTGCTGACCACTGCACTAAAGTATAAACTGTCAGAGGATAGAAACCTTGTCGCTTTTGTATCTCGGGTATCTAGCACAGTGCCTGTCCCTCAGGGATTCTCATTGCATATTTGTCCAGGGAATAGAGGAATCATGACTCCAGTGGACACCTGTGTTTAACTCCCATCTCTGTACCAAAGGCGGGGGTCCCTTACAGTTCTGGAGGTCACTCTGGGGATGGTGGTAGAGATGTGCTATATTGCAGCTGAGCCCGGAACATCAGGGCAGCTACAATGCTGGTGACCACTGTGTGGCACTTGAATTTCTCAGAAAGGTGGTAACGAGGCTCCTGCCTCCACTGGCAGCAGCCGGAGTGCTGGGTCTGCATCTGCTGCAGGCAAGACAATTTGAAAGTTTGAAGAAATAAGAACAACTCAAAGTTTAATTTACTCAAATAAGCAATTGATGCTTTAGAGTATAATTATCAGAGAAAACAAAAAAACACAACACATTCTTTAGCATACGTTATGTTAATGGCAGGTTAGGATGGCCCACTGTGCATAATTTAGCCAAACAATTGATACCAAATTTTTATATATATATATGATTACTGCTACAGAAACGAAGCACCAAGACAAAGCACAGGAGAGCTCATAATAGACACACGTGAACTCTGAAGCCCTAATTACATCACGGGGGACGGTAATCAGTTGCTGCTGAACCAAGCAGAAAATGGGGGTAATTTGTAAACAGGTAGAGTGGCAGTCCAGGTGCACCGGCATGTGTGTGGGGCTGGAGGGCTGGGGCCCCTGGGCTTCCATCTGAGCTTTGCAAGGATGGAGAGGTTCAGGATCACTTTTCTCAGCTGAAAACACAACCTCCAAGCTCTACACAGGTCAGCTCCCTCCTGGCCTGCCCTTCAGTTCAAAAAATAGAAAGTCGAAGGCTAGCTTTTTGAAGGAAGCTTCTCCATGCTCCATGAAATAGAAAATGATTTTCCGTGTCTGTGATCTGAGGCCCATTGCCCTGTATCTTCCCCTGATATCCTAGAAGACGTGAGTCCCTGGCATCTTAGGGAGCAGAGGGATGCCAGTCTATAGCCACCTTGACCACAAGGGATATTTTCAGGAGAGGATATAGTGAATTCTCCTTCCTGCAACTCCTCTGCAGACAGGAGATTTTGTGCTAGGTAATTGCTCGGGTGTATTCTGGTTCAAAATGCAGAGTCTGTGAATCTGAATCAATGAGTTGTCAGATTTCTTTCTTTCCTTCATTCATGCAGGACTACAAATCTGCTCACGTCATGGTCCTACTGTGAGCCAGTCATCAGATCGCAACCAAGAGTCACCAAGTACCTGGAATACAGCTGCCCTGTGACGTTACCTTCCATCTGCATCACCCAAAACAAACTGACAAGCAAAAAAAAAAAAAAAAAAAAAAAAAAAAATCAGGACAGTCTCAGGAGAAAGTCACCCAGTTCTGACATCCAGAACTGTAAGGGAATCGATTTGTGTTATTTTATGCCACAAAATTTGTAGTAATCTGTTACAGCAGCCACAGGACACTGATACACATGGTGGCCCCTAGAGGGAGTTCAAGACAGGATGCAGGTATTTGTGCATTAACGACATCATTTCTATATGCCAGGCTTTCATAAACCTTGGTAGACCAGGCTGACATTCCTCAGTCGATCAATCAATTAATCAATTAACCAATGGATCAATCTTCATCTGGTCTATTTCTGGCCTTGTCAAATTCATTAGCAAAACCACCATAAGCTTTTCAGCATTGCGGCTCAAGGGAATCTAAGAAAACACTTCAGACTATTAAGACTTGCTTCTCACACAAGTATTTGTGGCCTTTAAATACATGGTGAATCCATGAGGGTAAGGACAATTTGTGTCTCTTTCCCTCCCCACCCTCAATGCCTTGCATGTGCTTACTACTCAATAAATATTTATTGACTGAATGAAAGAATAAATGAATGAATGAATGAATACATATGTGAATGGCTGGAAGGGTGGCATGCTGGTTGAAAGGAGAAGCAATATTTGTGGATGCCAAGGACATATGTAAATTAAATGGCTTTGCAAATTTCTGATAAAAGGTCAGTTGCTTTATTGTTTAAACCACGGGGTCAGGTAGCTCAGGCTGGGGGTTACTTTTACATGGAAGGGAGATAATGAGTTGTGAGTTGTTTAAGAATTTGAGTAACCAATCGTATTAGGAATATGGGAAGTACGAGAAGAAGAGAAAAGAAGGACTAGAAATGGAAGAAGAGTTGGACACAAAGAGACATTTGTTGTAGTGCAGGCCTGGGGGACAAAGAGAGCAGGGTGAAGTTGCCCACACACACCCAGCCCTGGATTTCTTTTTGAGAGAAAGAGGTGGGAGCTGAATGGCTGCAGGAAGAATCTACCAGAGTCGGTTCAAAATCTCCTGCTGGGCTGAGCCAAGCTATGCTCACCGTGGAGTCCTCCTGGTGAGACAGAAAGCTTTGTTTTTCTGTGTACTGGGGAGGAACTGGGAGAAACACTCCCCGGTGAGCTCTCTCACCCTCTTCCCACCATGTGAAGATGCACAAGAAGGGCAGACATCTATGAATCAGGAGCCCAGCCTTCACCAGACAGTGAACCTTCCACTGCCTTAATCTTAGACTTCCCAGTCTCCAGAACCATGTAAAACAATTGTGGTTAAGGCCATCCAGTCTGTGATACTTTTGTCACAGCAGCCTGAACTGATAAAGACAACAGGATACAGGAAAGGAAGAACCAGAGAGAATGACTAATTTTTCTTGATCATCTACTATGTGCTGGTGCTACTATATCCCTGGGCTGAGAGCTTTACAGTTCAAGGGAAAAAAGGGAGTTAGACAAATGCAGAGAAAATGAACTAAACACTTGGATACATACTGACAATAATAATAACAGTGGCTACTTCTCTTGAGCAATGAACATGTGCTGAGCACAGTCCTGCAAGGGAGGATTATTATCCCTACAATATAGAAAAGAAAACTGTGGCCGGGTGCAGTGGCTTATGCCTGTAATTCTAGCACTTTGGGAGGGCAAGGCAGACAGATCATCTGAGGTCAGGAGCTCGAGGCCAGCCTGGCCAACATGGTGAAAGCCCGTCTCTACTAAAAATACAAAAATTAGCCAGCCATGGTGGTGTGCACCTGTAGTCCCAGCTACTTGGGAGGCTGAGGCAGGAGAATCACTTGAACCCGGGAGGCAGAGGTTGCAGTGAGCTGAGATTGTGCCACTGCACTCCAGCCTGGGCAACAGAGTGAGACTCCATCTCAAAAAAAAAAAAAAAAAAAAAAAAAAAAAAAAAAAAAAAGGAAAAGAAAAAAGGAAAGACGAGCTCCAGAGAGATTACATCACTTGCCCACAGTTGCACAGTTAGTAAGTGCACACACACACACTGTGTTAACCCACAATGCAGTTAGTAAGTGATTGAGCCAAGATGCAAAACTCAGGTGCCTCTGCCTCCAAGCTGGTCCTTTTCATTGATAGCTGATGTGCATCAGATTGTTTTGAGGCTTTAAATTCTGCCTCCGTGTTCTATTGGGAAAATGAGACTAGGAATGGAGAAATTTCTCATCCAAGTAAGGGAAACTAACAACATAGTCTCTCTTTCTGGAGAGGTCAGCTGGCAACTTTGCCCATTTCCTGAGAGTATCCTCTCACCCACGCAGATCATGATGTACATCTCTCTGGAGTGGGAGCCAGGCCACACTCCAAGCTACAAGCTGGACAACTGGGCTGATCCTTGCCAATTAAAATGCAACTCCAGCCTGCATTTCCATGTAGGTCAAATGTCCCATGAGCTATCACTGAATCCCAGAGGCTGCATATTTAATTCTGTACCCTTAGAAAGCTCTTGCTGAAATGAGGTACATCCACCACATAAGAACTTGGTTCTAATGCATAATTTGGGGAAAAGATTTAATTTAACACTTGTAAAGGTTAATGCGATAGAATTTACGAAAGAATAAATGAATGAACGAATGCCTAAAATTTGAGGCAAAATCTAACATTTGGAGAGATTGACAGGAGCAGAGCTGATCTTTCCAGAGAACTTAGCATCTTCTAGAGCTCGCTGATGCTAATTTTAACATCTACCCTTTATTGAGCAGTTATTATGTATGTAAATCTTTATGCACATTATCTCATTGATTATTGTAGCAACTCTATGAAATGAGCACTAGCATTAGCCTCATTCTACACAGGGGAGGATGGGGGACTCAATGAGGCTGAGTGACTTTACAGGGTCACAGAGCTGTTAAGTGGCAGCGCTGGGCCTTGAGGTTGGACTTTAAGATCCACACTCTTCAGCATTCTCTGACACTGCCTTCTTTTCCATTCTTCAACATCAGTCCCCTCTACAATAATCCTGCTCAGAGACCATGTATTAGGCCATTCTTGCATTGCTATAAAGAATTACCTGAGACTGGGTAATTTATAAAGAAAAGAGGTTTAATTGGCTCATAGTTCCACAGGCTGTACAGGAAACATGATACTGGCAGCTGCCTGGCTTCTGGGGGAAGTCTCAAGAAGCTTACAATCATGGCAGAAGGAGAAGGCGGAGCAGGCACGTCATGTGGCCAGGGCAGGAGCAAGAGACAGGGTGGGGGGCTGTGCCACACATTTTTAAATGACCAGCTCCCCCAACAACTCACTCACTATCGTGAGGACAGTACCAAGAGGATGGTGGTAAACCATTCATGAGAAATCCACCCCCATGACCCAATCACCTCCCACCATGCCCCACCTCCAACGCTGCAGATTACCTTTTGACATGAGCTTTGGGCAGGGACAACATCTAAGCTGTATCAGACCGCCAGCTGGAACTTCAATACTTTCAACGACGGATTTTGATGGTAACTTTCCTTCTCCCTGAAGAGCGTTTGTTGAATGCCTACACTGTGGGCCTGAAGACTCCTCCCTGAACACAGTGAACATTTGCTGTTTGGGATTCCCAGTACGTGTTCCTTTTCTTTTGCTTATATTTCAGTCTCCCTTTGGGAGCTGCGCCTCACTGTGACTCTCAGGCCACCGGGTCTGGGCAGGGCCGAAGCCTCTTCCTGGCTCTAGGAGAGAGCACATAACTCAGGCCTAATCAATGAGAGTTTCATTGTCCCTGGCCACAAGGACCAAACCACAGAAGACAAGTGACCAGAAAGGTCCGAGCAGAGTGAATGAGCGGCAGCCCTGGACTTTTGCTACAACTACTGGCCTTGGAGGCCAGAGGTACTCCACTTCCAGAGTTTGCTCTCTACATCCCATCTAAGCCTGTCTTAGAATAAAGCTAGCAGAGAAGAGATCAAAACTGAGGACCAGAGAAAGAAAGGTGTCTGATAATATCATTTCAGCCTGGATCCAGAGATTAATTCCCTGGTTATGAATCTTCCTCTGCCCAGTCTATACTGGTCAGCCTGATCCTATTTACATGACAAAAATCATCATGTCTCAAATTACTTACTTAATAAAATGTGGGTTTGTGTGTTATTAGCAAACATTAGGGTTATAATGCAGGATGGAAATTTGGAACAAATTAACTACACATGCAAGCTGTCGGATCCTGGATCCAGCTATGCCTGAACTCACGTCTACCCCTGGACTTCCCACTTACTTATCTAATGCACTTGCTTTTCCTCCCTGAAGCTATTTTAAGTTGAGTTCAGTTCTGTCTCTCATCCTCAATGTTGGTCTTAATTTTATCCTCAGAATCCACAAAGAACAAATCAAAATTTCCTGCAGAAAAATTTTTCATAAATCAAAAACCATTTTTTTAATCCTAATTTCTGCTACCATGCCACCACCTCTATTCATCTGGTAGAGGTTTAATTCACGAAGTTCATTGTAAAGTTTCCTGGCACCCTCACAGGAAACAAGTTATACATAGATTTTTTTTTCATTTAAAAAAACACTCATGTGGCCATTCAAAGCTACATCTCTCTTCTCTTCAGCTGCAAGTAGGCAAAGTCAGCACCTCTCACCTGCCCACGTGTCCAGGAAGCATCTACCACAGAGGAAATGGCAGTGCCCAGGTATGATGGGAACTCTTGATGACAGGAGAGCCTGTCCCATTACATCACTGAACAGAAAAGCTCAAAGACAAGACCAAGAGTGAATCTTAGCAGACAGTCAAGAAGGATGAGAAATGAGGGCATCCATAGGCATTTGCTCATCATGAAATTCTGACGCATCACTTAAAATCCAGGGACACATGAATAGAAGCAATAAAAGCTATTTTAATTAAATTTGAGCTATAATTCTGGGTTTCTTGTTTTGTTTTGGTACTTGCATGGTTCAACAGTATATTAGACAAATGTGCATTTGAGAAATCCTGATCAAGGAGGACAAGTTAGAAGAAAAAAAAAAAAAAACCCTGAGTATTCATCTGTCTTCCCACAAAGTCTTCCTGAAGCTATTCTTGCAAAACCTTCTGCCCACTGGCACTGTATGCGTATGATTAACTGCACTTGAGCCCAACAGCTTGCATGTATAGTTAATTTGCTCCAAATTTCCATGCTGCATTATAACCCTAATAATCACTAATAATAGACAAACCCACATTTTATTGAGTAAGTAATTTGAGACATTATGATTTTTATCATGCGAATAGGATCAGGCTGACCAATTTACACTGGGCAGAGGAAGATAAATAACCAGGGAATCAATCTCTCCAGCACAGACTCTGTCTCTTGGCAAAATGATATACATTGATCAGGCAAGAAACCCAGCTCCAGGCCCTGCTAGGCAACAAAGTCAATGAACTTCCATGTTCCAAGCCAAAAGGTCAGGGAAGGTGCATGTTTCCACCCATGACATAATGCAAAAGACAGTGAGGAAGCCTCAGCTTTTGGGAGGGTGTAAGAGAGCGTGGGCTTTGGAGTTCATGGACAGAGTTTCCAACCCCAGCTAGGGCACTCAATCACTGTGTGCATCTGAGCCTCCACCTGTGAATACTTCAGAGACAGGCGGGGGAACGTGGGTGCAGGTTAACCAAGAGCAAGCAGGTGCAGGCACCTGGAACATGGTAGCTAGAGAGTTAATCAGTTTCCCTCCAAAATTTGTGGAACATAAAGAGTAGGATAGAAGGTATATACATTTTACATTTCGCACCCATTTTGCAGAACCAGGGTGAACTTCCCATTCATTTCCACACAAGAAACCACCAAGACTCTTAGAGAGGAGAAAGCAGTTCCCGGGCTCCTCCAGTTTCTCTAAACACGTGTGAGAAAGGACAGAGCAAGCAGAGGTTGAATGTAAGTTATTATCCCTTCTAGGTTTGTCTGAATTTTGCCAGGAAGCTAAAGCAAAAGCGTATGGAATGAAAAAACAAAAGTGTAAAGCATTAAAGCTCAAGCCCTGGATTCCATGAAAGGTCCAGTTTTGCCAGTTTCAAACTGCCTCATGCCCTTGCCATTTGCAGTGATGGCTTCTGTCTTTCTGAGGTGGGATGGCTCTTGGTGGCCTGCTACTGACCCCAGTCACTTGGAATTCTGATCCCGTACTCCCAGAGGCCAACCAGACTTATTCACCCGTCATAGGCTCAGCCCTCCTTGGCCCCCTGCTAAGCAGCTGATGAGTTCTGCGGACTTAATGAGCATGATCCCTGCTCCATCATCCAGGTTCCTAATGAGAAACTGGAACCCACAGGGCTTATGTCTGCCCAGGACAGGACACCGGCAAGGAACCGCAAGGGGCGTGGTGGGTGGAATCCTTATATCAGGGAATGGGCATTCCAGCAAGGAAGGCTTCCTAGAGAGGGTGAGCTCAGAGAGAAGGTGACACACAGAGGCTGGGGGACAAGCGGGAGGGGTGACAGGGAGATGATTAACCTTATGAAGGAAGAAAGCCAAGAATTAACAGACATCACACGAGTGCAAAGAAGATTCCTCTTTTGCATTCGTTTTTATTTTTATTTAAGTTGGGGCAAGACCATGGGGTCAATATCTGTATTGTGTCAGAGACTGCCAATAGGTGTGTTACATTACATGACAACACACGTAATGAATTACATGTATTAGGACATTGCATTCTGGCCATGTTTCTGCTTGGATAAGAGACTGAAGCTCAGAACGGTGAAATGCACTTGTCTGATGCACTTGTCTGCTAGTAACTAGGGATTTCAGGAACCACCTCATTGTCCCCCCACAGCCCAAAACCCATGCTCCATCCATGGATGCGTCCTGCAACCCAGGAGCAACCTCTCCCTTGGGCAAATTGGCTGGGCAACAGCTAGCTAAGTTACTTTCTGTGATCGGAAAAAAATCCCAGTACAACCTTGCTCCTCCCCGAGCTCTCCGGACAAGGACAAAGCACTCAGAAGAAGGTCTAAGAGTGTCAGGTTCCCTGGCTGACAAGTCTAGGGGGATCTCTGTGGTTCTAGTTATCCCAATGATCTGTGACTCTTTTGCAGGGTAGCTGGGGAGGGGTTGATGATGAGGGTGGGAACTAAAGCAAAACTGATCTGTTTTACAGTCATGATTTTCCTGAGAAAAGTGAGAAAGAAATGACAAAAATTATCAACTCAGGCCAGGCCCAGTGGCTGATACCTGTAAGCCCAGCACTTTGTGGGGCCAAGGTAGGTAGATCACCTGAGCTCAGGAGTTCGAGACCAGCCTGGGCAACATAGTGAAGGCTTGTCTCTACCAAAGATGCAAAACAATTATCTGGCCATGGTGGTGCATCCTGTGGTCCCAGCTGCTCATGAGGCTGAGGCAGGAGGATCGCTTGGGCCTGGGAGGCAGAGGTGGCAGTGAGCTGAGATCGCACCACCGCACTCCAGTCTGGGCAACAGAATGAGACCTTGTCTCAAAAAAAAAAAAAAAAATCAACTCAGAAAGAATGAACTGAAATGTACCTGAGATGTGGGACTTGGCTCTTTGAGGTTCAAAGAACTTGGAGGTCATACCAAGGATGAACGCTATCATTTTCCAAGGGCTCTTTTTATGCCAGGATCCATTCCAAGTACATTACTGATGTGAGCCAATCTTCACAGCAACCTATGGGGTAGGAATGATTATTATACCCAGTTTATAGATGGAAACACTGAGGCACAGCAGGGTGATGCTAATTGCCCAAGGGCACACAACTGGTAGTGTAACTGCCACCTTTGATGAAATGTACCAGCATGATCGTATGCATTTACAACACACTACACCCCTCCAGATGTACTCAAGAGAACCCCAGGATGGCATGGAGCCCAGCGTATCAGTCCATGGAATGTGGCTTCCTGGAAGAAGCAACTCCTGACTGGTAGAGATGAGTCAGATGATGAATATCAGACAGACAGAAGAGCACGCAAAAAGGTTCAGAGAAGGGAGATTTCGAGGTGAGAAAACTGAAGTCAGAGCCACTGAAACTAAGACCCCAGGCTCTCCTGCTTCCATCTAGCATCACCCTGCTCCTCCTCATGTTTTCTTAAGAAAGATGGCACAAGGAACAATGGACAGGAGTTACTTTCCGAGGTGCCGGGTCAAGAAGCCTACGGTAGGAAGGCAAAACCCTCGCCAGTGCTGGCATCTGGCAACAGTGACAATGGACACCTCGACCATGGACACAGTCATGGGCAAAAGGATTCTGCTTGGGACCCAACTGTTTCTAATCAGCCTTTACGATGGGCAAATGCGTCGCCTCTGGTTCTGCACAGCTGTGCCCAGGAGGAAGCTGCTCCTCCTGTTCCAGGGCTTGGCTGTTCTGTGACTTCCTATGGGGGAAGGGGGTCGTTTTCGGCCTGGTCCCACTTAGTCCTCAATGAAACTCCCTTACAGATGAGGTGACTTGGCTTCTGCTGGCAGGAGAGGAGGCAATCCAAGGGCGCAGAGAGGTTAATGGCTTATGCACCAAGACAGTCATTCCTGCAAAGTCAGATCGGTATTCTGCAACCCCTGAACAAAACTGCAACGCAAAGTCCTGGGTTCAAAACCGTAACATGAGCATCACCTGCAAAAAGAATTCCCCAGCTACAATAAAACAGTCAGAACTTTCATTTCTTTAATTTTTTTTAATGCAGGAAATCAAGTTCAGTTTATCCATGTTAAATTTAAGAATCCCAACGTAGAGGTTTAACACTAAGTCATATGAATTATAACCTATTAAAACTCCCATTTGTGGCAGACATTAGCTTTGAAAAAAATGATCCTAGGGGCAACTCAATAGATATATGTGGTCATGAAATGCAGATTTGTAAGTTATCCTCTATGTATGCTTTACATCTTTTTAAAAAATGTATTTTTCTGATTTAAAAGTTATTTCTAGGCTGGGCACAGTGGCTCATGCTTGTAATCCCAGCACTTTGGGAGGCTGAGGCAGGTGGGTCACCTGAAGTTAGGAATTCAAGAGCAGTCTGGCCAATATGGTGAAACCCTGTCTCTACTAAAAACACAAAAATTAGTTGGGTGTGGTGGTGGGTGCCTGTAATCCCAGCTACTTGGGAGCCTGAGGCAGGAAAATTGCTTGAATCTGGGAGGCAGACATTGCAGTGAGCTGAGATTGCACCATTGCACTCCAGCCTGTGTGACAAGAGAGAAACTCTGTCTCAAAAAAAATAAAAAGTTAATTCTTTGTCAGAAAACTCTGATAATATATTGTTAAAAATCATAATTAGAACACTCATAAACAATAACATCTCAATAAATTTCCTTCCAGTCTTTTTTTTCTGTGCATGTCTAGGGCATGTTAAAACATATCTTAGTAATTTTTTCCATAATTAGACTCACAGAATTTTTCTTCCTTCGTTTTCCACCTAATGTTGTATCATAAGCATTTTCTTCTTATTTTTCATTAAAATCACTGTTTATACTTTGAAACGCCCTTTTATGTATTTTATCTTCAGGAGACAATTCACTGGATCTTTCTGGGAATAACCACGTGCATGAGGAAAGACAAATATTTGCAAAGGGCCAACAGGGTGTGAGCTGACAAAAAAAAAGTGTGCAGGTGGCCTCTCACCCTGTCCTGGGGTTCACGGGGGGACAGATCCTTTTGAACTGGATCCTGCACTCTCCCAACTGCTCATCTGAATTAATTGTTGAGGAGGGAAGCCGAGAGAATGCTAAAGAGGAATCTGTACAGGGGAACTGGCAGATATTGGAGCCTGGTTGCCATCATGTGTTAACGAGCTTTTTCTGGTTATGTAGGGGAGGAACAGAACCAGAAAAGAAATGCGAGTGTGAGTGCTTTTCTCGGATGGAAAGCCTGTCCTTTGGCTGCAGCTGGCATTTCTACTGGCACAGTCGGCCACCCAGAGAGCAGGCAGGAGCTGGATGGAATGCTGACCTCTGGCAGAAAGATCTCCTGACCTTGGGGATAAAAATGTCTAGATGACCTTGTAGGGGATAAAAACAACTCAACTTCACCAGAAATGCAAACAAAACCAACCTCTCCAATGACATATTTACCTGGCTTGCGATTGTGAGGCCTATTTAATAACCTTTCACTAACAACTAAGGTTGCAGGAGGTTGGGAGGGTGTGGCAACCTGCCCATCCTGCCTCAGCTTCTGGGAGGTAGCAGGGTGCAGTTGTAGACCTTGTAAACACACAGATTTAAATGTGGTCTCTGTCACTCATCAGCAGTGTGACTTTGGGAAGGTGACAGCTGCTGAGTCCTAGACTCCTATGACAACTTCCTTTCCACAGACCCCACAACTTGATGTAACGAACCCCCAGTCTAGTACCCAGCATACAGCATCATCGATAATCACATTCCCCCAACACACCCTCAATCAACTGACCCTAGGAATATCCATTCTTCCTCTCTACAAAAAGACTTGAGAATCAAAACCATTCTGGTTTCACCCATGCCCCAGCACTTTCCAGGCAGGGTAGGAAAAGAAGCATCCCCCAGAGTCAGGAGCAGGAGCGAGAGAGAGAGAACGAACAAATGAATTACTGTTGGCAATTACAGGGCCAAGACTGCTGTCACTTTTCTGATGGTGCTGGCAGTCAAGGCAGCTTTGTGCTCCTCTCCCTTCCTTGAGAGAGATTACAAACTGAAAACCATTGCTGTAAAGCCCAGGCCCCGCCCTGAGTCTGAGGAAGAGCCCTGCATTCTTAACAGAGTGCCTGAGAAGCAGTAACAACAAATACAGTTAATACGTGAGCCATGAGAGACCCATCACTATACCCATATTCCTTTTGTGTGGCTAAATGGAGCCAAGATAACACACTGAGAAATACGTATCTTCAGAACCACTTATTGCCCATCTGAAAGAATCCCTTTGGCACTTCCACTGAATCTGATCCTCTCTTCATGTGTCTAAAATACCTGATGCTAACATCTCTACAGCACAGTTCATCTCTTCTGAAACAGGATACACTCAGAGCCATGATGACAGATATGCAGCATGCCTGTTTACTCTTCCCAATCCTTCGCTCACTGCAGACATCACTAATCAATCCCAGCACTCGTTCAATCAAGTGCAGGTACAGCCTCACAGTCCTTCCAAAAACAGAGCTTCAGAGAGCCACTGTGAATTGAATGGAGTTGGTAAGCCTTTCATAGAAGGACAGATCATTCATCTCTTCTCCCACATTAAGCCAAGAGCTCCGATAATTCAGGCAGAGGAAAGCCCTGACTCTGGCACTTCCTTAGGAGCTGCTCGGAGGAAGCTGCACCATAGGAGGGTTTGTCAAAGGCCTCACATGTCATGAATGATGCAGCAAATGCAGATACTTATATGGAGGTCAACGGGCAATAATTCTATGAGGCAAGAATGGGACTTAAATTACAAAGTTGAACATAAAGGGTACTGTCTAATGAATGCAGGAAGAGTGATGAGTTTTCGATTTTTCAGCCAAAAGAGGTGCCATCTGATGGGCATTATCTGGTGGGAGTCAGGGCAAAAAGTAGGCCCCATGGCATGGTTGACAGAGTGGGGAGAAAGCTGTAGTGGGTATACTGTTTGAGACGCTACTTGAAGAGGGTGAAACCTGACCCAAGGAAATCTCCAATTCCTAAATCCAAGGTATTTCATAGAGAGTGAAAGATAGCCCAGGGTGTGGTGAATGAGAAATGGAGAGAGCAGGAAAACAGAAAGAAAACCACAGAGAGACCACAGAGGTGGACTGTGCTGAGTATGCTGGAAGGAGGAACGGAAAAGATAGATTCTTAAGCCAAGCAAAAAGCCAAGGGATGCTGGTGGCAATGTAGGCATGGCCTTCTAAGATCTTGAGACAGTCTGAGGCAGCTCCTTTAAGAAGCTGAATTCTTGGCTGGGTGTAGTGGCTCACGCCTGTAATCCCATCACTTTGGGAGGCAGAGGCAGGATCCCTGTTCACAGCACCAACTTGGCCACCGTCTAATGGGGTTGGCCTTTTGTTCTTGGAACACCTGAGATCAGGAGTTTGACACCAGCCTGGCCAACATGGCGAAACCCCGTCCCTACTAAAAATACAAACATTAGCCAGGCATGGTGGTGCACACTTGTACTCCCAGCTACTTGGGAGGCTGAGGCAGGAGAATCACTTGAACCCGGGAGACGAGGTTGCAGTGAGCCAAGATCCCACCTACCACACTCCAGCCTGGATGATAGAGTGAGACTCCATCTCAAAAAATTAATAAATAAATAAAATAAGCTGACTCTTTCCCCCAGACACACCTCTACTGCTAATCATAAAATATTAAAGGAGCAGCCGGAGTACACCTTCCACTTATGGGTAAATCACAAACCATTAGCCCTGTTCACAGCACCAACTTTAGTTCACCTCCCTTGGCCACTGTCTAATGGGGTTGGCCTTTTGTTCTTGGTACAATATTCTAGACAGTCTAGAACTCCCCTGGATTTGCCTCCCATTGGAAATCAAAGGGATTAGAGATGGACTGGGTTTCCAGGAGTAGAGCCAGGGCCAATGATTCTGGAAGGTACGTGGTCTTGTTTTCTACGTCTTATTGTGGGCCACTAGCTAGTGTTGCCTAGGGAAATTAAAGTGGCACATGCAAAAATGAAAATACTGACGGTCAAATGATGAGATCACAGATATTTATTTTTTCTTGAAAAAAGTGTATTTATTTGTTTGTTTGTTTCACTTTACTGGATATTAGAGTACAATGTTGAATGTAGGAAATGTTGACAAGTTAAAAGAGTCAGCAATATTATTAACCATTAATGAATTAGAGGACAATGATTTTGCTTCTGATTTATACTTGCCTTTACTGTCTTTCAATAATCCTACTAGAAGATCATTTGCAAAATGTATTTAATGCTATAATTCCATTATCTTTTATTTTTAAAGTAATAATTTAAAAGACCATACTTAGCCTAATACACTACTCGGGAGACTGGAAGGTATGTTTCGTGATACAATGAATAATTCCTTCATGTAATTTATGGCATTCCAAGTAAGCAAGTGCTTTGAGCACGGCAGGTATGCTCTGATCAGAGAAGTATTTTTGTTTTTAAATAATTAAGTGCTTTGAAAAAAAAAAAGAAAGGAAAATGACACAGAAGCATTCAAGATGTTGGATACCAAAAAGATTAATGCCTTTGAGACAATCCAGGAACAGATAATCACTCCACAACAGAATAAATATCTGGGAATTAAGCCCAGGGCATTGGGGAAGCCAGTCTCCTGATCATTCGGTGAGGGGGCAAAATACTAAAGACAGTAGCATGTCTTAACAGAGCCCCCAAAAGATGCAGCTGTTTAAGAAAATTGAGGGCCAGAGTACAAGGCCCAGGCAGTGTATACACCTTGGAGAAAACACCTTTTGCATTCTGATGCTTTGCATACAATTTCATTATTTATGTAATCCTATCAAAACATATACAATGCCCAAATGGATGTCAGGAAAGTTATTGACATTACTAATAATGGTGCTTTTCATTTATAGAGAGTGCCTTTTTCTGAGACAGTGAACTATTTTTACATTGGGCATGAGGCTTTTTAGGAGAATTAATGCTTAAAATATCCCTTCAGTGTAGCATGTGGGAAATGTTATAGATGGAGAAGAAAACAGATTAATATAAAAAATGTCAAGAGTGCATAATAAAAGGCATCCCATTCAGTTCCCTGGCCCATTACCACCAGCCCACACAGACCACGTGGGCACAGCCACAGCCGTGAGCCATAGCCTGTGCTTCCTGACATAACTACTTTCCCCAGGAATGAATCAGGAGTCCCCTGCGTGACCCCTTGGCTGGGCCAGTCAGTGCCACCCAGTTCCAACATCCCTGTGACATGGTCTAGCCAGCCAGCTATGCCTGTTTGATGGTGCGACAGACAGTCCTAACTCCCATGATGCTGAGAATCCAGTATCATAAATAAGTCAGCCACAAAAGAACACATCACACACTGTGTGATTCCACTTATATGAGGTACCAAGAGTAGTCGAATTCATAGACAAAGTAGGGGAGAATGGTGGTTGCCAGGGGCTGGGCTTGGGGAGGTGATGAGGAGCCAGTGTTCTGTGGGTACAGCGTTTCAGTTTTGCACGATGAAAATCATTCTGGAGATGGATGGTCATGATGTTAGCACAACAATATGAATGCCCTTAAAGCCACTCAACTGTCCACTTTAAAATAGTTAACATGATGTTGATAAAGGGGTGGCTACGCATGTGGTAGTGAGGGCCAGGGGAAATCTGGAAAATCCCTGTACCTTCCACTCGATTTTGCTGTGAGCCTAAAACCAGTATAAAAAATAGTTTATTCTGGATAAAGAAAATGTGGTACATCTACACCATGGAATACTATGCAGCCTTAAAAAATAATTATTAGAGTCTATATTATAGAGTCTATTATATATTATGTATATATTATGTATATGTAATATATATAATAGACTCTCTATACATACATATATACATATGTGTGTATATATATATAAATATTTGGTGGGGGCAATAACAAAGGAAAACAGTTTTTATAGACTTTGTTTTACCCTAACAAATATATATATACACATATTTATATATAAATTATCTATACATAATATATATTTTATATATATATTATATATATATTACATCTACACCGTGGAATACTATGCAGCCTTAAAAAATAATGAGATCATGTCCTTTGCAGGAACATGGATGGAGCTGGAGGCCATTATCCTTAGCAAATTAATTCAATAACAGAAAATGCAAATACCATATGTTCTCACTTATAAGTGGGAACTAAATGATGAGAGCACATAGACACAAAGAGGGGAACAAAAGACACTGGGGCCTACCAAAGGGTGGAGGGTGGCAGGAGGGAGAAGAGCAGGAAAAATAACTAATGGGCACTAGGCTTAATACCTGGGTGATGAAATCATCTGTACAACAAACCCCCATCACGCCAGTTTACCTATATAACAAACCTGCACATGGACCCCTGAACTTAAAATAAAATATAAATTTTTTAAAAAAAGAAGAACCCTGGTACTAGGCAATCTAAGGCTGGTTCAGGAGTTCAAGAAAGTTGAAATGTGTGTGTGTGTGTGTATATATATATATATACATATGTAAATAATATACACGCTCTATTACATATATTATATGAATTATATAATTATATTCATTATATATATGTTTTTGCCCCCCAAATTATATATGTATGTATGGAAAGTATATTACATGTATAATATATACTAGACTATTGTGTATATATATTAGCTGTATATGTGTATAGTCTATTATGTATATTATATATGGGTTTATTATAATATATAGAAACCCATATATAATATATACACTCTCAACATAATATGTAACATATTCCCTACATATTAATATATATTACATAGAATATATTATATATTACATAGAATATATTATATATTACATACATTATAATATAATATATAGACTACATATTAGAGTCTACATTATAGAGTCTATTATATATTATGTATATATTATGTATATGTAATATATATAATAGACTCTCTATACATACATATATACATATGTGTATATACATATATATAAATATTTGGTGGGGGCAATGACAAAGGAAAACAGTTTTTATAGACTTTGTTTTACCCTAACAAATATATATATACACATATTTATATATAAATTATCTATACATAATATATATTTTATATATATATAATATATATATTACATACAGAAGGAGGCAGGAGCTGTGTAGAATGTCCCAGGAGAGTCTACCTAATAACAGCCCAAAATAAAAAGCATCCCGTTCAGTTCCCTCTCTTTCTATATATATATACAGATATCTGTATACAGATATCTATATATATAGATATCTATATATATAGATATCTGTATACAGATATCTGTATATAGATATCTATCTATATATATAATATATAATAAGATATATATATCATATATAGATTATATATATTATATAGATATCTATATATAGATTATATATCTTTCTATATATTATATATATATATAGAAAGAAAGAGACAGAGAGAGAGCCTATTAAGCAAAACAAAAAAACTAGAAAAAATACATCCACTATTTAACCATTCAAAAAAGATGGTATTAAATGATAAATTTTAAATTAAGTAAATTTACCTCAATTTTAAAAATAAATAAAGACAAAACAAAGGTAAAAATTCCACATATGCCCAGATCAATCAAGTTTAGCATACACATCCACAGGGGGGTGTAGCTTTTCCCTTCCTTCTAGGCTTTAATGACCACTTTATCTCAAATTCATAAGAATTACATTAACATGGACCCACAAAAATTGAGTCCCTTTCTTCAGCCCACTTGAAGATGTCTAATGCGTTTCACTTTGCAAACCAACTCGAGATAATCCTGAAGAAAAGAAGGAGGCAGGAGCTGTGTAGACTGTCCCAGGACTGCAGTGCCAGGATGGGACAGTGATCAGTACCAAACAGTGCTCCCCAGGGAGTCACCCACCACGTACCTCTCAGCACCCCACACGTGGGCTCTGCAGGGATGGGAAACCCAGATGGGACACTCATCTAATCCCTAAACACCCTCAAGAAGGGGGCGAAGGCTTCCGCATATCATAAGAGTTGGCCTTGACATTTTAAAGCAACCCTAGTGTTTATATAGTTTCCTACTGGATTTTTTTTTTTTTTTTTGAGACAGGGTCTCACTCTGTTGTCCAGGCTGGAGTGCAGTGACTCGATCTCGGCTCACTGCGGCCTCAACCTCCCCAGCCTCGGGTGATTCTCCCATCACAGCCTCTCGAGTGGGTGGGACTACAGGCATGTGCCACCATACCCAGCCAATTTATTTTATTTTTTACTTTTTGTAGAGACAGGGGTCTCACTATGTTCCCTAAGCTGGTCTTAAGCTCCTGGGCTCAAGCGATCCTCCTGCCTCAGCCTCCCAAAGTGCTAGAATTACAGGAATGAGGCACCATGCCCAGCCCTTCCTGGATTCTTCAGAATATCAGTCTGCATTTACACCTAGTTGGCATGGTGTTTGTTTGATAATGGCCACAAACAACCGGAGGGTAGAAGATACTGGTACAAGCAGCGGTGAGCCCAAGATTTCAAGACCCAAGTGCATGATGCTTCAAAGCCAAACAAAGGTTGAACGAAAACAAGGGTGTCTAATCTTTGGAGAAGCCAAACCTTAAATGAGACGGACCAAGACAGCCCTCATATGAGTCGGTACAGCAAGCTGTTAGGGATCACGCCTGGTCTGGTGTCAGTGCCTCTGTGGCAGAGTTTCTGTGGGAACCTTAAGCCATCACTGCTAATGGGATTGCCCGTGCAGATCAAAAGGCATCCTGGAGAACACTTTGGGAAAAAAGGGCCATGAAAAGTATCTGAAGTGCTGGGTAGTCTTGAAAGCAATTTAGAAAAATGCAGCAACTAAATTTGTCAGATTCCTTTTCAGAAGATCTGCGTACGCACTGGAGGAGAGAAACCCTAATGAAGAAGTCATAAAGTAATTATTAAAAAAATTAAAAGAGTAGAATCATAAAAGTTTTCCTAAGTAATACAAAATAATTACAATGTCCTAACAGACATGCATTTTTAACCAATGGCTATGATAACGGAAAATTAGACTTCATTACTTATTCATAAAATTCTGGTGAACAATAAGCTCCATTTGTAACAGTTTTATAAATAGCATCTTTTGGGCAGATGCTATTTTTTTTGGTCATACAATGTCAGAAACCATTCTTTATTTGGACTATGGGGTAAACCAGAGCTCATCAGAGTTCATAGCGGTTGGCTTACCTACCACCAGGATCATCAAGAAATTATAAAACACAACGGCTCTTGGCCCCTATTATACCAGTAAAGTGACCATATGCGTTTATGCTTCCTTTCGATTTTCTATTTGATAGTTAAAACACTGTTGAAGTTTGAAGACAGTAAACAATGTTTGATGAATCTACAGTCTTTATACTAGCGGGAGAGTCCAAAGACCAATAAATCCAGGGTACAATTAATAATTGAGATTCCTGGAAGCTCTAAAAGGAAATATTAAAAATGCAAAATCTTGTTGAAAAGCATAATTAAGCGCATCAATGCCTAAAGTTTAAAGGACAAGCAATTTCTCATTAAAGTTAAAAATGTCAATTTTATATAAGAATATATTACCCTAACTTTCTTTGTGGGGTAGGAGGAGGATATAGAAAAACAGTTTTTATAGACTTCATTTTACCCTAACTTAAAGGAGCATCCTGTTCCATTTCCAAAGTCCTCACTGCCCCAAGATCCTAAAATAGTATAACTTCAGATGAGTAATAGCTAAATAAATTTATCACACATCAGAACCCTTTACTGGTGCACACATGTTTTGACAATGGTGCTGATGGACATGATGGGTTTACTGTGTATGTGGAGGAAATTAACAGGCATGTAGACTGCATACCTTTTTCTTAATGGCTGATGTGCGTCTCTTCCCCATGCCTGCAGCTGAGGATGTAAGAAACATCCAGTTTCCGCGTGAAAACTCAAAGACGTGGAACTGAGTAGGCCCAGCCGTGACGGGGTGGGGCAAAGGTCTCCTGTGCATCTGTACCCAAAGTCCCAGCCTGGGGCCTCCAGAGGTAGGCTCCCTCCTTCATCAATCGATTCTGCTTATCCTGTTGCTATCCTGAGATACCTCAGCTGGCCTGTTTGCCCAAATGGACCATTGAGAAAACATGTTTCCAGGATAATCAACCCTTTGGCAGGTCATCCTCAAATATAATTTGTATTGTGCTTATTTTTCAAAGACATGGAGAGTGTTCTCCACATAGCATAGGTACTAGATATGCTCTTTTCTCCAACTTCAATGTCAGCGGCTATAAATTTATGAACATTTTTTTTTCTAGTGGTTCAGGAAACTGTGAAGTGATCTCTTCCCAGTTTTCAGAATGCTTTTGTGATATAGGTTGGTTTGAAGATTGGAAAACCATTCGCCTCCATCTATGTAAGCAAACCAAATGTAATTATCCAGATAATGTAAAGAAAATAAATTATAAACCTACTCTTGTGGAAAGAAGTTTAGAGAGTAAATTTATTCAATTTGCTTTCCATGGGGGCTTATGTGTAATGTCGAAAGAAACACGCACTGAAGCGTTTTTTCCCCCCAAAACATACCCTAATTCAGGAAAAAAGTATCAGAAAATTTTAGTTAAGCTGGAAAGGGAGGGAAGGAAGGAGAGAGGAGGGAAGAAAGCAAGAAAGGATGGGAGGGAGGGAGAGGAAGAAGGAGGAAAGAAAAATGATAGATTTGCAGCCTACAATTTGTGCTTTTTTATCAACTCTTCAGTAAAATGTCCTAATCAAATGCCACAGATAAGCGCTGTACACTGCCTCATGTTTCTGTGAAAACATAGGTAGAATGTCTGGACTGAATTTAGCTATATTTTGAACATGCCTAACGATACACTCATAGTGTCACCCAACTACATCCAGGGGAACTTTCCATTTGCCAGACACTGGGCCAGGTATTAGGAACACAAAGGAAAATAAAGCAGTCGGGCGTGGTGGCTCACGCCTGTAATCCCAGCACTTTGGGAGGCCAAGGCAGGTGGATCATGAGGTCAGGAGATCGAGACCATCCTGGGTAACACGGTGAAACCCCGTCTCTGCTGAAAATACAAAAATTAGCCAGGCGTCGTGGCAGGTGCCTGTAGTCTCAGCTACTCGGGAGGCAGAGCAGGAGAATGGCGTGAACCCAGGAGGCAGAGCTGGCAGTGAGCTGAGATTGCACCACTGCACTCCAGCCTAGGCGACAGAGCGACACTCCGTCTCAAAAACAAACAAACAACAACAAAAAAGAAAAACAAAGGAAAATAAAGCAAACTCCCTAATTCTACTCAAACACTGAGACATTATCTCATTCCAAGCCTAAGACACGTGCTGTTTCTATGCTATGTTCAGGGGTCTTTAGAAGACACTAGGCAACCACAAAAACCATCCCGAGAAATGCTTCTATATCAAGAGACATCTATATCAAAAAAAGACATCTAAATCAAAAAAGAGACATTCTGTATAAAAGGATGAGTCATTACTTGGGTAGAGTAAGGAGGAGATAAGTATCTCCAAGGTGTTCCACCTTTGCAAAGCTTGGCTTATAACAATGACCGAATTCACGATAGGAAAGGAAGAGATTTTTCAGATTCATATAATTCAGGTCAGAGGTCCAAATGACAGGCTGATGTTATAATCAAAGGCTCTCCAGAACGGGGAATTGGACATTCCAAAATGATGGCAGGCAGAAGTCATTAGTTCTTATTCAGTTGGAGGCTCTTCTTAGTATCAATAAACAGGGTGTAAAATGGGAGGCAGGGAGGCCCAGGATAGCTTACACAAAATGGCCTTGCTCCTTGAAGTAATTATAATAACAATGAAGAATTTTCATTTTGCAATGAAAAGTTCTGCAGAGCTATATTATCTACCAAATGTCACCACTCCACCATCTCTACCTTTTTTTTTTTTTTTGAGATGGAGTCTTTCTCTGTCACCCAGGCTGAAGTGCAGTGGCATGATCACAGCCCACTGCAGCCTCAACCTCCCCAGCTCAGCTGATTATCCCACTTCAGCCTCCTGAGTAGCTGGGACTACAGGCATGTACCACCATGCCCAGCTAATTATTTTATTTTTTGTAGAGATGGGGTCTCACCATGTTGCCAAGGCTGGTCTTGAACTGCTGGGCTCACGTGATCCTCCTGCCTTGACCTCCCAAAGTGCTGGGATTACAGGCATGAGCCACTGTACCTGGACTCCACTGTGTTAACTTTTCTTTATTTACTCAGTATTCAGCAAAAATTCATTAAGAGTCTACCACGTGCCGCCCAGGCGTGGTGGCTCACACCTGTAATCCCAGCACTTTGGGAGGCTGAGGTGGGCAGATCACAAGGTCAGGAGATTGAGACCATCCTGGCTAACATGGTGAAACCCCGTCTCTATTAAAAATACCAAAAAAAAAAAAAAAAATTAGCCGGGCGTGGTGGCAGTCGCCTGTACTCCCAGCTACTTGGGACGCTGAGGCAGGAAAATGGTGTGAACCCGGGAGGCGGAGGTTGCAGTGAGCTGAGATCGCGCCACTGCACTGCAGCCTAGGCGACAGAGGGAGACTCCATCTCAAAAAAAAAAAAAAAAAAAAAGAGTCTACCACATGCCAGGCTCTGTGTTCTCTCCCCTAGAGGCAGGAGAGTGCAGAAAAGCAGGCATGATTCTTTCTAGATAGAGATCATTGTCTGGAGCAGAAAATGGACCCTGATCAATGATCACATGAACAAGTACAGAACTGCAAGCTGATGTGAGAAGGAAGGGGACACAGTTCCCAGAGAGTCCACAGCAAAGGAAGTGACCGTGGCCAGGGGAGTCTGGAAGGTATCTCAGAAGATGTGATGTGTGAGCTGAGATCTGATAACCTAATGAAGGTGAAGGGAGAGCCTCCCCGGCAGAGGATGTGCAAAGGCCCTGTGGCAGGCAGGAGTTAGGAGTTGACCGAGGGTAGGGTGACTAAAGCACAGAGAAGGGAAGTGTCAACAGGGCTGAAAAGGGCCTCTAGGGCATATGAGGGTTTGGGTTGTTCACCTAAAAGGAGTGAGGAAACTTAAAGAAGCGAGTGGAAGGTTAACATGATGCACTTAGTGTTTTGAAAAGGGCAACAGGGGCTGGGCATGGGGACTCATGCCTGTAATCCCAGCATTTTGGGAGGCCAAGACAGGCAGATCGCCTGGGACCAGGAATTTGAGACCAGCCTGCACAACATGGCTAAAACCCATCTCTACTAAAAATCCAAAAACATTAGCTCGGCGTGGTGATAGGCACCTATTATCCCAGCTACTCGGGAGGGTGAGGCAGGAGAATCACTTGAACCCAGGAGGCGGAGGCTGCAGTGAACCAAGATTGTGCCGTTGCACTCCAGCCTAGGCGACAAGAGCAAAACTCCGTCTCAAAAAAAAAAAGCAAGCAAGCAAAGCAAAGCAAAGAAAACGGCAACAGGGGAGATGAAGGATGAAAGGATTATCAGAAAGGCCATGGAGAAAATCATTAAAGGGTATATTAGTTTCCTGCATCTGTGTGGTAGCTTAAAACAATAGAAATTTATTTTCTTAGTATTCTGGAGGCCAGAAGTCTAAAGTCTAGGTGTGAGAAGGCTTAGTTCCTTCTGGGGGCTCTGAGGAGAACCTATTTGTGCCCCTCTCCTGGTATCTGGGGGTGCCAGCAGCCCTCAGTGCTCCCTGGCTTGTGGGGGAATCACTCCGATCTCAGTCTCTACCTTCACACCGCCTTCTCTTCTGTGCCTTCTTCACTTCTGTCTCTGCTGAAAACACCTGTCATTGGATTTAGGGTCCACCCAAGATGACCTCGTTTTGAGATCCTCAACTGAACTTATCTGCAAAGACCCTTTTTCTCAAATGTCTAGGTTCCAGTGAACATATCTTTTGGGGAGCCACCACTAAATCGAACCCAAAGGGCTACTGTCTTAACTCAGGCCTTTATGGACAGCTCCTTCCCAGATAACTGCAAGAGCCTCTCAGCTAATCTCCCTGCCCCAGCCTCAGTGACATTGTCTTTCTGAAACAAGTCCGACACAGGGGAACCGCATTCCCTTGCTCAACAAGCAAAACAAAACAAAACAAAACAAAACAAGCCCACCTTCCTGACTCTTCACTGCTCTTGGGAGTGGAATGGGGAGGGAGGGACTCTCACTCTCCAGCAGGAACACAAGGTCCTCCCCAACTGGGCCTGGCGGTGCTTCATTTACATCAGCTCAGGTCCTAGGATTGAACTCCTGTTGTGTAGGCCTCACATCACTCTGTGTCCCCATCCTCATCCCACACTCACGTGTTTCTTCACCAGCCTGACTCCCATTCCTCTTTAGAAATGTATTTCCAGCGGCCAGGTGTGGTGGCTCACGCCTGTAATCCCAGCACTTTCTGAGGCAGAGGAGAGGATTGCTTGAGGCCAGGATTTTGAGATCAGCTTGGAAAACAAGGTGAGACCCTGTCTCCATGAAAAATTTAAAAATCAGGGCCAGGCATGGTGGCTCATGCCTGTAATCCCAGCACTTTGGGAGGCCGAGGTGGGCAGATCACGAGGTCAGGAGATGAAGACCATCCTGGCTAACATGGTGAAACCCCGTCTCTACTAAAAAAATACAAAAAATTAGCCAGGCATGGTGGTGGGTGCCTGTAGTCCCAGCTACTCGGGAGGCTGAGGCAGGAGAATGGCGTGAACCTGGGAGGCGGAGCTTGCAGTGAGCTGAGATAGCACCACTGCACTCCAGCCTGGGCAACAGAGCAAAACTCCGTCTCAAAACAAAGAAAAAAAAATTTAAAAATCAGCTGGGCACGGTAGCACGCACCTGTAGTCTCAGCTACTGAGGAGGCTAAGGTGGGAGGGTCTCTTCACCTTAGGAGTTTGAGGCTGCAGTGAGCTGTGACTGTGCCACTGCACCACAACCTACGCAGCAGCGTAAGGCCCTGTCCCTAAAAGAATAAATAAATAAGACATAAAATAAAATTCACCCACTTAAAGTGTACAGTTCAGTGGTTTTTAGTATATTTACAAGGTTGTACAACCATCAACACGATCTAATTCTAGACCATTTAACCAACCCCAAAAGAAACCTTGAATGCTTTAGCAGTCATTCTCTAGTCCCCTCTTTCCCAGCCCCCTGCAATCACTAGCTTGCTTTCTGTCTCTTTGGAGGTGCCTATTCTAGGTACTTTGTATACACAGATTCACATGTTAGGTCATCTTTTGCATCTGGTTTCTTTCACTTAATATAATGTTTTTTTTGTTTGTTTTTTGAGATGGAGTCTTGCTGTCATCCAGGCTGGAGTGCAGTGGCACAATCTTGTCTCACTGCAACCTCTGCCTCCTGACTTTAAGTGATTCTCCTGCCTCAGCCTCCCGAGTAGCTGGGATTACAGGCCTGCACCACCATGTCTGGCTAATTTTTTTTTTTTTTGTATTTTTAGTAGAGATGGGGTATCACCATATTTTAGTAGAGATGGGGTATCACCACCAGCCAGGCTGGTCTCGAACTTCTGAGACCTCAGGTGATCTACCTGCCTCAGCCTCCCAAAGTGCTGGGATTACAGGTGTAAGCCACCACGTCCAGCGTAATGTTTGAGGTTCATCCCAGTTGTAGCACAGACCAAAACGTCATTCCTTTTTAACACACACATGTTTGCCTGTGGTGGATGGTCACTGTCCTCTTCAGACCTTAAAGGACGCCCCACTATGAATGCCTAGTCTCCTGGCCAGTAATCAGCCTGGATGTAACCTGAACACTTTGTGATGAACATCCCCAGTCTCAGTCAGCCCCATCCTTTTGTCCTCACAACTCCAGGGTAACACCAAGTAAATCACTCAAGGGAATTAGGCACATTCCTCATCTCCCCCTAGAACTCATACCAAGAGGATGCTGGAAGCTGATCAGAGGTCTATAAAGCACTCTGAATTCAACAGAGACATGCAATGCATAAATGCAAAGGGAGAACAGTAATTCTTTTATTACACAGCTTGACAGCCTTCCAACAAGATGGACTGTTTTCCCATCCAATTGCTTTCAAGCTTTCCATTAGGTCAAGTGTGTGCATATATCTAATGACAGAGCCCCCGGGTCACATTCCCCCTCCTTAAACCAAATACAGACTTGAACATGATTGCTGTTGCTATATTGTGGTTATTGTAGGTATTATTTTTGTTTTTTCAATAAGCCAACAGCAGTGAGTGCTGGCTATATACACAGTACCACGCTAAACTCTATTTACATTATCTTATTTAATCCTCCCCAAACCCTATGCCATAGGTATTATTAGCAGATGCATTTTTCAGCTGAGTAAACTGATGCTCAGGGGAGAGAAGTAACCTGCAGAAAGGTCACAAAGCCAGAAAGTGCAAAGCACAGACTCTATCTGCAGAAGCTGAGCCCTTTCGGTTGCCTTTTCCATCATCCCTGGGTGCTTCTGAGCAAAGCCGCTGACATGTGCCACCTCAGTTCCGGGCTTGGTGGGGGGCCACTGCCTCTTCTTGGCCTCCCCTCCCTCTTGGGCTCCAGCCCCTTACATCAGTGCATATCATTTGGCATAAATCAGCCCCCAATTACATGAATGCCACAACCAGGAACACTTGTAATTAAAACTGGGACTGACATCCTAAAAGTATGTTCCCTTCCCCATTCCTCTTTGTCCTGCAAAGATATTATTGGAAAGAGAATGAGCAATCATCGGGAACATATGCTTTCGGAATATAATGGGACTCAGCTCCTCCGAGAAAAGGCTGTAAAAGGGCACAGAGACAAAATGTAAAGTAGACAGCTTTATTTACTAGCGACTGGGGCATGTCCAAGAAATAACAGATAAGCCAGTAGGCTTGATAACAAGCGGGACTTTTTTTTTTTTTTTTTTTTTTGCCACAGATTGCTGGAGAGTCCTCTTGCCCCCAAAATCTGTCCCCACACAGGCATCAGAGCGAGCTTTTCGCAGCTGCCAATGTGCCCCAAGCACTTGTCATCCCAGCCCATTGGGCGCTGATCCCAGCCTAAAGCTCCATCCCCAGTCTTTGCAACTCTACCTTTTATACCTCCTTCACCAGCAAAAGCAAATTGCTTGGTGCTTTCTGGCCTGTTTCAGGCCTACGTGCCTCTGCACTCATGGTTTCCTCTGCCCAGAGGGTACTTGGCATCCCCATCTCTCTTTGTCTTTGCCTAACCCTCTCCTATTCATGTGTCAAAGCTGGTCAATATCAATCCCTATCATTTATCCAGCACTTACTATGTGCCTGCAGAGAGAACGTCACATGGGTGATTTTAACTCTCAGTGAACTGGGTGATACAGTTGCTGGTGTTGGTCCCAGCTCATCCTGGCTCCAGAAAACCTCCTGCTCCTTTATAACTGGCACTTTTTGTGTGTATGTGTGATTGAACAAGCTACAAGCTAGTGCAGACTCCTTAATCTGAGGGTCTGTGGCTGGAACCCTAGAAAGAGGGGGTGTACACAGATGGCCAAAATGTTACATCTTTATTTTTCACTAACATCTGACTGGAGTTTAGCATTACTGTCATTTAGGCAATGCACTGCGATCGTGTGAGAAGCATCTGTGTGTTTGTCGCAATCGAAATCACAGATATTTTCCTATCACGCGAGAGTCGCAGCTATTTCCAAACATCGTTTTCACCCACTGTTTTGATAATTAGTAGTTAATGGACCGACCATGAGCTGTGTTCTTTAATGGGTTAAGAAGGAAGAACATTTGTTACTAGATCCCATGAGTTAATATTTTGACAACTGTATTTTAATATGATTGGTTTCCTCTGTGATCCCGTGCGTTTTATGTATTCAAAACCATTATTCTGCAAAGGGCACCAAATGCCCAAGGGGTCCGTGACACAAAAACAGGTGATGATTCCCAAAGAAAGCGAGTTTCTTGAGAGTAGAGACAATATCTCGCTAATCTTGCATCCTGCGTGCCTTACCCTAGCACCTTGTAGAGCCCAAATATTCCAAGAATGTCAAACAAATGAAGGCAAAGTGACTGAAAAACTATTTTACTGCATGTAGATTTGCAGAATGGCGTTTCCTTGTCTTTATAAACATATTCACGAATTCATTCATTCAACAAATATATAATGGCCTTGTACTGGCCAAGCACTGGACTAGCATTAAAGATTCCATTTTGAATGAGGTAAATGAACATCTCTTGCTCTCCCTGAAAACTTTTTGAAGCTTGTGTATCCTCTTGGTCTTCCACCCATGCTGAATAACTTGGGGTGACCTATTTAGCTACCCACAATTTGATGTCAAGAATCCCCTTAGCTCCCTGACAATCTAAGCTCATTAACATACTCCCTCACTTAAAAAAAAATCTATAAACAGCAGGCTGCCTGCTTTTTATACTTTTGTGGTAGAATTAAACCATCAAACCTCAAAGTGACCACTTATTTTCAGGGAGATTCCGTAATGGAGAGCACAGAAAAGAATCCACACGACGTGTGGGAAGCTGCATGCGTGTTGACATCAACACCCTTCCCCTTGCATCTGTACAGAGCTTTATCCTACTCACCACACTCTCCCTTCTTTTGTCTGTTGATTTTATTATCACATTGGCCTGAAATGTCCCCTTCCCCATCGCCATCTTTCTACCCAGCAAACTTGTACCATGATATACTAATAAAAAGGATGACAATAATAGCAAACATTTATAGATTGTGTTGTATGTGCTAGCCTGTCTTTTCATACTGTGGTTGGATTACTGTTGCATTTAATCCTCCTAACTCCCCTGGGACAGAGACTATCATGATCCCCATTTTATATATGAAGAAACTGAGCCACAAAGAGGTTAAGTTATCGCTCATGGTGATACAGCTATTATAGCAAGTGGCAGAGCCGGAATTCATAACCACTGGTTGGACTTAAGACTCCATAGTTTTGATCACAAAACCCCTTAAAAAGTCACCTCCCTAAGAAGTCTTCCATGACTGCCCCAGGCACTGTCCTCTCCATCCAGCACTGCGCCTTGCAGCATCCTTATGTCTCTCAATGGGTTAAGTTGCTTTATTATAATTGTTCTGCCTCTCTTTTCTTCCTTCCTCCTTTGACTGTTTCAAAGACAAGCACTCTCCCCAGGGAGAGATCTAGCATGTAGTAGTTGTTCATCAATTGTCCAGTGACTATCCACTGCAACCATGCAGATGACATAAGAAAGGCAGAAGTTATTGCCACATGTCAGATAAGGCATGTTAATGATGAGCTCTTCCCCACAGTGGGGATTAGTAGAGAAGTGAGAGGCTAACTGATCACGGCTGTGTGCTTGGTATGGATGCAGTCACCCAGTGAATTAAGTATATTTACCCCCATTAGAGGGAAAAGAACATTGAGGATCCGAGGGGTTGCTTAACTAGCCTGAAATCACCAGCTAGGTTGAAATGACCAGCTAGAAAAGATTAGCTGGGTTTTGAGTCTGATGCAGAAATTAAACTCAAGCCTTCTACCTTTGCTCTCTTCCCTCTCTGGACCACTAACCAAGACCCAGAGGTCTGCCCCTCAGTGTGCCTGCAACAATTACACCCTTAGAGAGCCCGGGGTTGGAGTCTCCCTTGCTTATCCAGTATGCACATGCAGCTGCTTCCTGAGCTCACAGATACGCAGGATACCAGCTTGCTTGCTTTCTGCTTTTGTTTTTTCCCCTAAAAGAGACGATAGTCATGGGCTACATGACAACTTTCAGTCAATGACAGACTGCATATATGATGGCTGTCCCAAAGATTATAATATCATATTTTTACTGTACTATTTCTATGTTTAGATATGTTGAGATATACACATACCACTGTTACAACTGCCTACAGTACGCAGCCCAATCACACGTTGCATAGCTTTGTAGGCTAAGACCAAGAGGCTAGACCATACAGCCTAAGTGTGTGTGTAGTAGACGGCACCATCTAGGTTTGTGTACGTGCACTCCATGATGTTCCACAATGATGAAACCACCTAACCATGCATTTCTCAGAATTGCATCCCCACTGCTAAGTGACACATTTTGAGTCTGATGTCATTCCAACTTTTTTTTTTCTTTTTTTTTTTTTTTTTTTTTTTTTTTTGAGACAAGGTCGCACTCTGCTGCCCAGGCTAGAAGGCAGTGGTGTGATCTTGCCTCACAGCAACCTCTGCCTCCTAGGTTCAAGCGATCCTCCTTACCTCAGCTTCCGGAATAGCTGAAACTACAGGCATGAGCCACCATGCCTGCCCGGCTAAATTTTTAAAATTTTTTGTAGAGATGGGGTTTTGCCATGTTGCCCAGGCTTGTCTCCAACTCCTGAGCTCAAGCGATCCGCCCACCTTATCCTCCCAAAGTGTTGGGATTACATGGGTGAGCCACCACGCCCAGCCCTAACATTCAATTTGTATATTTCTATCCCCATTATTTGCATAATGAATCATCATCCTTGGGTCTATGGGGAACAAAAATTTCAAAGCACTGTATTTAGCACAGAACCACTTGCCGAAAATAGGAAAGACCCTGGTTTATGGCTCTGCAGAATCAATCACTTTCTGGTTGATTTCATGTGGAGGAGGCGGCCCACATTGATTGGGGTGAGCATGATATGTTTGAAACAATCTCTTTGGCTTTGAAATGGTGGTGTCTTATAGACATGACCTCGATTCTGACAATTATCTATTTAATTGGATCAATACAGACAGCCCACTCCCCCAAACCACTGATTCAATTAATCAGACCATTGTCAAATCCCTTCTCCTCTTGGGTCTGTGTAGACACAGACCAAGTGGCAATTTCTCCCAAGATGGGCACAGAGGTCAATAATCCGCTTTTGGATAAAGTATCTGATTGCTCACAAATTATACAAATCACATTGATTACTGACAAATCATAATGTTTACAGAGCACTATTTGGCTTTGGCTCCAAAGCATGAGTAGGTATTTAATTAACAACTGTCAGATATAATTTACACCATTACAATGACCAGAAAATGGCTGATTGCTGATTTTACATACTAGAACAAATACTCTGCAACTAGCCTTGGTAAAGGCAAAATAACTAGGGACTCAACGATAGACAATAAAATCAAATTTCAGTACCGTGTTTAACCGGAAGATTCTTGAAGGCCATGATACCTCTGCCTCCGATTAGAAATGGAAATCCTTTTGCTCATAGGTCCGAGAAACTCTGTAACTAGTTTTGTTTCCCTTTTTTGCCTTGACTACCAGGAAACTCCAAGCCAAATCTTTAGCCCCAGTACATAACCTTTTTGGATACTGTGGTGTGCAAATGTGTATTTTATTCTATTTCGCCTGCTTTTTACTTTTACATGTGTTTTACTACTTCATTGTATATTAAGGATCTAGCCTGGATGTCAGCAAACTACAGTCCACAGGACAAATCCAGCCCACCAGCCTGTTTATGTACAGCCCACCTGTTCTGGATAATCTGTAATTTGTTATGCAAATAATGGGGGTGGAAATATTCATATCAAAACGTGCCATGACAAAATAACCCATGGCTTTTTTAGACTGGTTTTATGAAAAAAAAAATCAAAAAAATATAATTTCATGACATATGGAATTCAAATTTCAGTGTCTATAAATAAACTTTTATCAGAACACGGCCATGCACATTAATTTATGAATTGTCCATGGCTGTTTTTGCAGTAGAAAGGCAGAAGTGAATTGTGACAGACGTCATAGGGCCTGCAAAGCCTGAAATATATACTCTCTGGTCCTTTATAAAAACAGTTTGCTCATCCGTGCTCTAGCCTACCTGTAATTTCTTTCTTTCTTTTTTTTTTTTTTTTTTTTTTTTTTTTTTTTTGAGATGGATTCTCGCTCTGTTGCCCAGGCTGGAGTGCAGTGAAGCGATCACGGTTCACTGCAAGCTCCGCCTCCCGGGTTCACGCTATTCTCCTGCTTCAGCCTCCCGAGTAGCTGGGACTACAGGTGCCCACCACCATGCCTGGCTAATTTTTTGTATTTTTAGGAGATATGGGGTTTCACTGTGTTAGCCAGGATGGTCTCCAACTTCTGACCTCGTGATCCGCCCGCCTTGGCCTCCCAAAGTGCTGTGATTACAGGCGTGAGCCACTGCGCCCGGCAGCCTACCTGTAACTTCTGTGGACAAGGCAAGAGATGGATGGATAGATAACTAGCTAGAGAACACAGAGGGACATAATATACCCGACCTGGAGTTACACTCAGTGCTCATATTATTCTTCCTAATTAAGCTTTGAAGGTGATACCATCTAGGGCAGGGGCAGTGGCTCACATCCATAATGCCAGCACTTCTCGAGGTCGAGGTGGTCGGATCACCTGAGGTCAGGAGTTCGACCCCAGGTCCTATTTTGGAAAACATAATAAGACGATGAGAAAATACACAGAGGGGCGTTATCGAAACTCAGTTAACACGACGTCAGTCTTCTTTAAAAAGCAGTAGTTGAGGTCATCATCTTCTAAGAAGGACTGGGTGGGCCAGGCGGGGCCTGCAGACTTGGGAAGAGGATAAAAACAGAAACAGGAGTTCCTAGCCAGGCGCGATGGCTCATGCATGTAATCCCAGCACTTTGGGAAGCCGATGCAGGTGGATCACCTGATGTCAGGAGTTTGAGACCAGCCTGAGCAACATGGCAAAACCCCATCTCTACTAAAAACACAAAAATTAGGTGGGCATGGTGGCGTGCGCCTATAATACCAGCTACTCAGGAGTCTGAGGCATGAGAATCGCTTGAACCCAGGAGGCAGAGGTTGCAGTGAGCTGAGATTGCACCACTGCACTCTAGCCCAGGCGACGGAGCGAGACTCTGTCTCAAAAGAAAAGAAAAAGAAAAGGAAAAAAACAAGAAACAGGAGTTGCTGCTCGTGGGCAAGTGGGGAAGAGAGTGAACATGCAATGGGAAGAAGACTGCAGGAGGAGCAACCACCCAACTGTGACAGCATCACCGCATCTCATCAGTGGGAGAAAAGTTAAGCAGCAGTTTCATTCCAAAGGAGAGGAAAGAACCCCTAATGATTTCATTGTACTCATTGGGGTACAAGGTATTACAGAAGCCTTCAGAAGCTGCCAGTAGATCCTTTCTTTCTGAAACATTCAGGGCCTTTTGGAGGTAATCGATAGCTTAAATAGAGGATTACAAAGACAGGTTGGAATTTGAGAACATATAGAGATACAAAGAGAGGTAACCGTAACTAAGTCAGGATCAGGCCAGGCGTGGTGACTTACGTCTGTAATCCCAGCGCTCTGGGAGGCTGAGGCGGGCAGATCACGAGGTCAAGAAATCAAGATCATCCTGGCCAACATGGCGAAATCCTGTCTCTACTAAAAATACTAAAATTAGCTGTGAGTGGTGGCACATGCCTTAGTACCAGCTACTCGGGAGTCTGAGGCAGGACAATCACATGAACCCGGGAGGCGGGGGTTGCAGTGAGCCAAGATCACACCGCTGCACTCCACCTTGGCGACAGAGCGACAGTCTGTCTCAGAAAAATAAATTATTTAATTAAAATAAAAATAAATCAGGATCAGAGACGAAACAGCCCATTTTGGAAAAGATAAACTAATAAGAGAAGGAGAAAATATACGGAGACAGGGACTAGGGACATGACTAATCCCACAGTGGTGTGCTTCCAACTCTGGTTGCAGATATGAATATGGAACCCAACCAGTGACCCTCCTCATGAGTTGAACCAGGACTGTTCCTGGAGGTGGCTTCCCTCCAGGAAGTGACTTCTCATTGGAAGGAAAAGAAATAAAGACGTTATAGTTTATTGAGCACCTACTATGCAGCAGACACTCAGGTTAACTCTTAAATCCTCACCATCACTTGGAAGGAAAATATTGTTACTATTTTGCAAACAAAGGAAAAGTGAGTTCAAGAAAAATCAAAAAGCATGTGGAAGGTCACACGGCTGGAAATCATGGTGGCACTGGAATTCTGTTCATCTCAACTTCATCTGTTCAGCTGAGCTTCCTCTGACCCCATTGTCTCGCTTTTTCCCCTTAGCTAGGCCCAGGAAATCAGGCACCTTCTGTGTTTCCTACACTGTCTTATTCCAGGGCCTAAGACCATACCTAGAACACTGCAGAAACTCAGGAGAAGTACTCCAACCCAATGGCAAATCACAGGCAAATGCACAGTAGTGTCCTGTGGCCCCCGACACATCCAAATTTGAAAGACAGAGGTTCAGGATGACAGCAGGAGAAAGGCCCCTTTCATGTCACACGTAGTCCTTGGATTTCTGCCTTTCCATCTTTGATCCCTCGCAGGTACCTTTGCCCAGTGGATACATCCTTCTCCTACATATCACAGAGCATTCCTAGTCCTTCCTGGGTGCCACCACAGGTATCAGTAAATAAATGCTCATTGAAACAGCTGATGCTCACTAAGTGCTTGTAAAAGAGAATCAGATAATCAGATAAATATAAGTTGAACAAAAGTAGGAAACCAAAAATAGCATAGTAAGTAGCCTTGGAATAGAGCAAAACTAACTCGAATCCACTTACTAGTTGTGTACACTCCAGAAAGTGACTCAATTTCTATGCCTTGGTTCTTTCATCTCTGAAATCAGGGCCGAAATGTCCCCTTTGCTGCAGTGACACATGATTAATAAACTATTCAAAGTCTTAGGCACTGAGTAGCTGCTCAAAAAGCAGTGGCTAGGAGTTGGGTTGTTTTTGCCAAATCTGGGGAATCTTCCAGGTGAAAACATCTCTGGAATTGAAAAATCTTAGAAGGATCTGGAGCAACGGCTGGATTTCCCTGAACTGAATGTAGCAACATTTACATTTTTCATACCACGGAAAATTGAGGGACGATCCAGGAAAACATAGACAGCTTGAGAAAATTTAAAGGTTCCACAGTGTTTTTCCATTCGGGGACAATAGAAAACAGGAAAACATTAATAACATGTCACTGCCCGACTGCCAGCAGAACCACCCCAGGAAAGCATCTTTTGGTATAAATCACCGGGTGGGCATGGTATTCTCCCGTCCCATGCGTCATAACCACCCTAACCACTACTCCCATGACCACCATCTCGGGAAGATGTTGAAAACCTTTCAAACTTGACAAAATCCAGGGCCTTCCTTAAATAGGACCATCCCTTCCCAGAAAAAGATCTTGGTCTCTGCCAGCTCAAAGACCCAGCTCGGGCTAAAGCGACGAAATGCAGACGATTGCTCAGTTCCCCAGCGGCTCTCAGGAATTGACAGTCTCTAAATTACTGCCTGAGAAGCATATCGCATGCCAACTGACAAAAGGAGGAGAGCAAAAAATCCTTACAGGCGGCGGAGCATCCTCTCTTCCTCTCTGGGGAGGAGGTGTTTCTGGTGTTCTTGTCGCTGGACCCGGAAACCAAATGAAAAATATGTGATTACAAACACCTGGGAGGGCGGCAGAGCGAGAATGAAAAGTAGAATAAAGAGGACCCCAACCTTCCCCATGTAGGAGGCAATTGGGCTAAAAAAATAAGAAGAAATGAGACAATAAAAGTAACAAATGAACCTGCAATTGCTTTGCTTCCGGGAGCTCCCATCTGATTTCAGATTGGTTCTCCAAGTCAACTTGGGTAGATTAGTGTATCCACGTGATGCAAACCGACCTCCGAGGAGACCCGGGACCCAGGCAGCACAGGACCTAACCCTTGGTGAGTGGGCTGTCCCGGTGGAAGACAGTACACTGAGCAGTGTCTCTGGCCATCATTGTGTGTGCTTTTGCTGTCCCTGTTGCACACGCCTGAGCTTTGAGTGACTTCATGGGGGGACATGCGTTTTACTCTTAGAAGAGCACACAGAAAAAGAGAAACAAAGAAGGGAAAAAAATAACTCCAGGGAAGATAAAAGAGTTACCAGAACTGAGCAGAGACAAGATAGGGATCGGGGCAGTTCTCCTGGGGTCAGACACATCCCTGTACTACTCACCACTCCCCAGCACAGCCTGCTGGCAGATCAGAGCGCATGAGGACAGGCGTATGCATTTTATTTTTAAAGGCAAGGCATTCACTCTCGACCCTGTGGGAGGATGCACAGAGGAAGGCCTCTTCCTGCACAGTGAGCTAAAGCCCTGGGGCTGTGCGGTGGGCGGCAAGTGGCAGCTTTCAGACCAGGGCAGGGAGATACCCTCAACAGGGCAATTCTGGAGGACCACCAACTTCCTGCTCACTGGTAGCATTTCCTTTTTTTGTGAAACGGAGTCTTGCTCTGTTGCTCAGGCTGACATGCAGTGGCACGATCTCAGCTCACTGCAACCTCCAATCTCCCAGGTTCTTCCTGACCTCAGGCGATCCACCCGCCTCGGCCTCCCAAAGGGCTGGGAATACAGGCATGAGCCACCACACCCAGCCTGCTGGTGGCATTTTCTTTGTGATGCCTTTCTTCAGCCAGGCTTACAAACAGCAGCCCAGTCTGCCACGGGCCATGTTGGTGGGGCAGGAGTCAAAGGATCTGGAAGAAAACAGAAGGCTGCACCGAATACCTGCTGTGTTTCAGGGGCTGGCTGGCCACCAGGGGAGGAAAAAAGGGCACGTATACGTCCTGCTTTGTGGAACTTCCAGCCCTTTCCATAGACTATTCATTCTGCCTGGATATTTGTTCCCTCATTCATTGGTTAATCACAGCCATCTCTCTGCCTTGGAGCTGCACCACTCATTAGAGTAGCCCTCAGCCATATGTGGATCTTCAAATTGATCACAATGATATCAAATTAAAAATTCATATGTCCGTCTGCGCAGTGGCTCTTGTCTGTAATCCCAGTACTTTAGGAGGCTAAGGTGGGCAAATCACTTTTGAGGTCAGGAGTTCGAGACCAGCCTGGCCAATGTGGTGAAACCCCATCTCTACTAAAAATGCAAAAATTAGCTGGGCGTGGTGGCAGACACCTGTAATCTCAGCTACTCGGGAGGCTGAGGTAGGAGAATTACTTGAATCCAGGAAGTGTAGGTTGCAGTGAGTCGAGATTGCACCACTGCACTCTAGCCTAGGTGACAGAGCGAGGCTCCATCTCAAAAAGAAAAATTAAGATGTCATACTAGTTGCATGCCAAGTGCCACACAGCCAGATGTGGCTTGTGGCTTTTATACTGGACAGGGCAGAGATAGAAGACATCCATCACTGCAGAAAGTTCTATTGGACAGCGCGGGCCGAGAGCACTGCAAAAGCCTCCTACCCAGTGTCCACGCTTCCACTGTTGGCTTTGACACTTTATTCTCAACACAGTAGCCAGAGGGATCCCTGAACTATTCAGAAGTGAGGGACAAAACAATAGAGGAAAAAGATAGTTCTAGATAAGGAAGTTGACAGAGGCCAGGCACAGTGGCTCATGCCTGAAATTCCAGTGACTCAGGAGGCTGAGGCGGGAGGATCACTGGAGGCCATGAGTTCAAGACTAGCCTGAAGAACATAGTGAGACCCCATTTCTAAAACACAAAAGAGTTTTTTGTTTTTTTGTTTTTTAAAAAAGGGGGCCGGGCATGGTGGCTCATGCCTGTAATCCCAGCACTTTGGGAGGCCAAAGCAGGTGAATAGCTTGAGCCCAGGAGTTTGAGACCAGCCTCGGCAACACGGCAAAAACTCATCTCTAAAAAATGCAAAAAAAATAGCTGGCTATGGTGGCACATCACAGTAGTCCCAGTTACTTGGGAGGCTGAAGTGGGAGGATCGACTGAGCCCAGGGAGGCTGAGGCTGTGGTGAGCCATCACCATGTCACTGCACTCCAGCCTGGGGGACAGATTAAGACCCTGTCTCAAAAAATAAATAAATAAATAAATAAATAAATAAATAAATAAATAAATAAAATAAAAAATAAAAAAAGGAAGACTATGGGGGATGAAAACCAAATGCAAGGGAATTCTCAGATTCCAGATCGAACACCAACAGAAGTTCCAAAGGGGGCAGGATTGGAGACATGAAAATTTGAATGTAGAGGGCATATTAGATAATACTACGTAATAGTGTTAATTTTCTTAGTGTGGATGTGAAATGGTTGCATAGAAGAATGTCCTTATTCTCAGAAGATGCCTGCTAAGGAATTTCAGGGTGAGCCGTGATGATGTCTGCAACTTTTCAATGGTTCCAAAAAAGTGTGTGTGTGTGTGTGTGTGTGTGTGTGTGTGTGTGTGGATGTGTGAGTGAGTAGATATGTAACCATACATATCATATGTAAAGATACATGTCACATATATAAAGGTATACTTATCATATATTTATATACAGAAGTAAAGATGGTGAGATGTTAGAAATCATCGTAAGCCAGATCGTGCTACTCCTCTACTCAGAGCCTGCCCAAACCTCCCTATTTCTCTCCAAGTAGAAACCAAAGCCATGGCAGGACCTCCGAGGTCCCACACAACATGACCCCGTCTGCCCTCTCGCTCTCTGTTCCCATCTCCCGCACTCCTCACCACACAGGCCACCAGACTGTCACTGAACCCCCACCCCCGCCCCAGTGTGCTCTGCCCTTAGGGCCATGGTTTCCCCTCTGCTGGCAGCATCGGGTCCATGTCCCTGGAAGGTTCCCATCTCTACCCCTTGGTACCCATGGCCAAACCTCCTCTGCCTGGAAGCCTTCCTTGACCACCCAGAGAAACAATCCACTGTCTTCTCCAACTTCTCCGTCTCCTCCTTCCCTGATTTGTTTCATACCACTCCCTGCCTTCTCATATGTTATTTATCATATATTTATTTCATGAATTGTCTGTTTCTTTGCCACACCTCACAGGGCAGGGGCTTTAATCTGGCTTATTCCCTGGGGGATCCCCAGGGCCTGGAGCTGTCCCGCCATCACCTGTGGATTGGTCAGGGATGCCCTGCCCAGTGGCAGGTCCTCCGTGTTCACTTGATTAGCAAACATAGGTCCTTTGAGTCCTGGGGTTCCAGATCTGTCTCTGAAGCTGCCACTGAGTTAAAGGCCCTGGTCCCATCTGTCGCCTGAGGCACCTTCCCTCAGCACACGCCACTCTCTAATGTGAGTGTCTCCCTCGTCTGCTCCTCTCTGAGTCCCCAGCTCCTCACTCTTGTCTGGCACACAGCAGATGCTCGGTAAGCATTTGTGAAAGCCTCCTGGGGAAGCCAGCCTTGTAAATAAACACTTGTTTCATGGGTGGATTATTTTTAAAAAGCAAGAAGTCTAGGCATGAGTAAGGTGGAGTGGGAACAGAGGGACATGGTGGGTGAGCAGCTGGCCAAGGCCTTTGCAAGCATAGCAGCTTGCTCAATTCTAGGCATACTCAAGACCCATTATTCTTCCTTTCGCTTCTGAAGTCCTAGGATACTGAGGTTCAGAGAAGGTCAATGACTTGCCCAAGGTCACACGTTAATAGACAAATTATCAAATTTCTCTCTCAACTTGATAAGTTCCAAAGCTCAGGTCAGGACTCACTCTCTCCAACCACCTTCCCAGATGAGGTCGAAGCCCCCATGATAGGTACAGTCTTGTGTGTCCCCCTCCTCCTTCCCATGTACCATGGTTGCACCATTCCATTTCTTCCTTTGAAAATTTGATGGGTGCCAGGAGCGGTGGCTCACACCTGTAATCCCAGCACTTTGGGAAGCTGAGGTGGGTGGATCACCTGAGGTCAGGAGTTCAAGACAAGGCTGGCCAACATGGGGAAACCTTGTCTTTACCAAAAATACAAACATTAGTCAGGTGTGGTGGCATGTGCCTATGGGCTGAGGCAGGAGAATCGCTTGAACCCAGGAGGCAGAGGTTACTGTGAGCCGAGATCGCACCACTACACTCCAGCCTAGGTGACACAGCGAAAGTCCATCTAAAAAAAAAAAAGAAAATTTGATGATGGGCCTCTAAAGTCACAGAAGCCCCAGTGTCTCCTTTTGCCCACTCCTCTCTTCCCAACCGTAGCACAGTTCCTTGCCCCCAGTTAGAGCTCCATAAGCATTTGTGAAAAAGAGCCACAGCAGTGCAGAGCAGCAGCCCCAGCCACAAAGATTCCAGAAAGCGCCCCTTCATTCATCTGCAAAGAGCAGGAGAAACTTTAAGGCTATAGTGCCCAAACCGTTTGTAACACTCAAGTGAACTGGCATTCACATCATCTTCCTGCTTTCATTAAACAGTTCCACATCACTCACCTAGTGAATGGGCCTTTTTAGCAGGGAAGATGATCATCCATTAAGCCTGGAAGGGCAGGAGGCCTGCGGACACCTCTGCCCCCTCTGCCAGCTCCGTGGATCCCTCTAAATAATACAAGGCTTGTTTGCAATCAAGTTAGAACATGTTTAATGGTGAATAAATCTGATGCTGAATCGGGATAATTGCACTGGCGTCACAGAGCTGACTCAATACCTGGCCAAGGCATCCCATATTTAGAAGGGTGGAGACATTTTTAGCTCGCCTTTGTGTGTGTGCGCTGCTCATTATACACACGTGGCTCCAATTAAAGGCCCTGCCACCTGATCGGGGCCCCCTGGTCTCCGGCTGCAGGTGCACGTTTGTGGGGCTGGAAGACAAGGCCTGGGACAGGTGCTGTGATCTCCCTTTGTTTGCTGAAACCAACAAACAGCAAGGTCAGCACCTTCAGGTGAAGGCCAGGTGCTGGAGGGAGTGAAGGGAGTAGGGAGAGTGACATCAGTATGACCTGGTGTCGGGAGCATGCCCAAGCTCTGTCCTTCCATGGCCTTTGGCATGGTGCATAATGCTTCTAAGTCTCAGTTTCAACATCTGTGAAATGGGGATTTCACAGACTATGGTAGTCAGGATTCAAGATGGCCCCCAAGACTTCCATTTCCTATAGAATCCCCTCTCTTGAGTGTGGGCGGCAACTGTGAATATGATGGGATAATTTGCCCCCCTGAGTGAGTTAGGCTACCAAGCAAAGGGGGAGGAATTTCGCAGATGTCATGGAGGCCTGAACGCAGTTGGTTTTGCATTAATCAAAAGGGATTCAATCCTAAGTGGGACTGATCTAATCGCTAGGCCCTTAAAAGGGGCTGGGCCCTCACTGAAGAGAGTGACTCAGAGCATGGGGGAGCCTCCTTCAGTCTTGAAGAAGCCAACAGTCATGTTGTGAGGTCATCTGTGGATAGGGCCTGAGAGCCTGAGAATAGCCTCTAGGGGCTGCAAGGGGCCCTCAGTCAACAGCCAGCAAGAAAACAAGCACCTCAGTCCTACAGTTACAAGAAAATGAATTCTGTTAATAACCAAGGGCCTCTGATAAGACCCCATCCCTGGCTGACGCTTTGATTTCAGCCTCATGAGACCCTGAGCAGAAGTCCCAGCCTGAACCAGGACTTTTAACCTATGGAGCTATGAGATAACAAATATACTAAATTTGTGGTAATTTCTTACACAGCAAGAGATAGCTAACACAATGAAAGTAACTACCTCCCAAGGTTGTTATGAGGAATCATTTGCATGCACAGTGCTTTGTAAAGGGCTTGTGACACCATGAGTGACTAATAAAGGGCAGAGGTTATGATGATTACTTTCTCTACCATTATTAGTCAATGATAAATATTAAATAGCTTTGGTATCCGAGAAAGAGCTCTCCATTCACATCCTGGTTTTGCCGCTAAGCAGCTATATGATACCGGGTGAGTCACTTGATGAAATCTACTTCTTCATCTGATAACAGTGCTTTCCTTATAACTCTGCAGTGAGGTTTAAGGAGATAATAATTTTAAAGTGCTTAGCTTCTGCAAATTCCCTTTTGCCATATAAAGTAGCATGCCTATGTAGTGGGGATTCGGTTATGGATATTTTGGGTGCTCTTATCCAGCTTGCCCTACAAGGCCTTCATCATCTTTCTCCCGGATCCTTGCAACAGTTACTAACAATCCCCTGGCCTCATCTTCTCCAATACATCCTTTCGAAGGCAGCCTGAGTGATTTCTCTGAGTGTCTCAGGGCCACTGTGTTTGCCATTCCTTTTGCCTGGAACACCTTTCCAGTTCTTCACATCATGAGCCCTTTCCTCATGTTTTAGAGTTTCTCAGGGGCCCTCCCCTGATTACTCTATTTATGTAAGTCCCTCCCTTTGTTATTCTCCAGCAAAGAACCTTTTTTATTTCACCCACACAACTTACACTTACTGTAAAAACTTGACTTTCTCGTTGACTTCTTCAACGCCCTTCACCCTCACTGGAACATAAGTTTTGGAAGTGCAAGGATCTTGTCTGTGTCATTTGCTATTGTGACCTCTCTGCTTGGCATAGCGCCTGGCCTGTGACAAAGTGCCTGTGGAAGGCTGGATAATGGTCCCCTAGAGATACCCCCATCCCACTCACCAGAACCTGTGAATATGTTAGGTTACGCGACAAAGGGAAATGAAGATTGTGGGTGGAACTGACGTTGCTAATCAGCTGATCTTAAAAGAGGAAGATGATTCTGGGTCATCCAGTGGGTGCAAAACTATCACAAAGGTCCTTAAAGCGGAAGAGGGAATCTGAAGAGAGAGCCAGAAGGATGCCAGCATGAGAAAGACTCAGCCAGGTGCTGTTGGCTTTGAAGATGGAGGAAAGGGACCCTGAGTCCATGAAGATGGGCAACCTCTAAGAAACGGAAGACGCAAGGGTACAAGCTGCCCTCTAGGGCCTCCAGAAAAAGCCCAGCCCCACCTACACCTGGATCTTAGCCGAGTGAGACCTGTGTTGGACTCCTGCCTTATGGGACTGTCAGATAATACATTTAGGTTTTTAAGACGGTACATTTGTAATCATTGGTTACAGCAGCAATTGAAAACAAATACAGTGCCTCACAAATGTCTGTTGGATGGAAAATGGAAGGAAAAAAAAAAAGCGTAACTCAGATCAGGGGCTAAAAGCATTCAAGAAATTTTTGTTATCTACAGCTTAGAAACCGAAACTCTAACCTGGCACCTGATGCCCTTGTTAGGCTAACCCCATGCCCCTCCCCAGCCCTGTCTTCATCCTCTGCCGGTGCCATGCAGACACTCTAACCTGCTGAGGCCCCCGGGTCTCTGCACGGCTGTGTGTCCCTGGACTTCCCGCGCTTCACATCTTCTCCTCCATTCCCAGGACAGGTCTCCTCTTTGTGCAACTCATCAAATGCCACTTATCCTTAAAGACTGGGAAGTCTTTCCTGCCGCAGGCCAAACTTGTCACCCCATCTTCTGCTTTCTGTAGTTCAATCTCAGCGCTCATTGTCTTTGTTGCCAGCCACTGCCACCCTCACCCCACTGGACCAGGGACTTCCCTAGCGCAGTGACCATGCCTTGTTGATATGGGTTCACTCAGCGCTGAGCACCAGGCCTAGCACATAAGAGGTGACCGCAAATGGTTGCAGAGAGGGGACTAAACACCTGCCGCCTGTCCCCAGGAATGGCCAGTGGGTAACCAGAGTATGGATGGGTTTCTCCCAGGGACCAGGGCTGCCTTCTGTTCTCATGCAACTTCACCAAGGTTGAGTTTCTCTCTTGGCCTGAGCTATGTTCTACTGGTCACTCTGGAATCCATATATGGTGGCCTGAAAGGGTCCCTAAAATGCATGTCCACCCAGGGCCTCAGAATGTGACCTTATTTGGAAATAGGGTCTTTGCAGATGGACTTAGGTAAGATGTGATTACAGTGAATTAGGGTGGGCTCTAAATCCAAGGACTGGTGTCCTTATAAGAAGAACATTGAAGACATAGAGAGACATGGACAAGGAAGATGGTGGTGAGAAGACAGAGGCAGAGATGGCAATGAGGTGACAACATGCCCCAAACACCAAAGGTTGCCAGGAAATACCTACAGGCCGGGAAGAGGCAAAGAGGACGCCCCCATAGAGTTTTCAGAGAGAGGATGGCCTTGCCGAAACCTCGACTTGCAAATTTGAGCCTCCAAAACTGTGGGAAAATACAGTTCTGCTGACTGAAGCCACCTAGTACGTGGCACGCCTAAGAAACGAATGTGCTATGCCATCATCCTTGGCTACAGCTACCTCATTTCTGTGACTGTGCTTAGCCTGGGGAGTAAATGATTCTAGGAAACTGTGTGTTGCATCTCCTCCCAGGGGTCATCAAGGAACCTTGGACTTTGGCTGGAGATCGGCTCTTGGGAAACTTAGCTGTAGGTGGGTGGAGATGGCCTTACAAATCCTGAGGTCCACAGGCAAACATCAGGCCTGCATTCAAAGCACAAGGCAAGCAAAAGAGAAAGGCCAGACAGAAAGCCACATGGAGACTCAGTTTCCTCTTTCCTGGGGTACACTGAGGACTGACTGCATCCATGTGCCCAGTACAGGGGCTGATCCAAAAACAAGCACATTTGTGCTTTTTCCTCTTCCTTCCCTCTCCCTTCCCCTTTTTCATTTATTAAACTCAAGTGAAAAGAAAACAACAACTCCTCCTTTCTGAAACACAAGAGGGGAGCTCTAAATGCATAAAGGCCAGAATTAAGCTGTGAAATTAACCCCCCCAAAATTACAAATAATAAAATCTCACATAGGTGCACGGCCCCAGCAAGCTGAGGGAAAACCCAAGTGCCTGCTGTGCCTTTTTATTACTTGAGGTATATGGAGTCTCTAATTTAAGGCTAAATATAAAATAAAGCATACACAGCTGGACTTTCAAGTATTTTCAAAACACATTTAATACCTTCCCGTGAAACGCCCAGAATCTGAGCAGGCATCACTTCGCACCAGTATAAACAGGAGTTGGCGTGGACCGAACGTACGGGCTTCAAAAGCATATTTAAGAGGGTTGAACAGGAACCTGCAAGCCAGAGGCCTGAAGGGATCGCAATGCTGACCTGAGCTCACAGTCACACAGTGTCCTTTGCCACACCAGGGCTATAATAGAAACCAGCAAAGCTGGTTGACACGGCCAACACCAACAGGGTCTGCCTCTGACCGCAGCTTTGCCTGCCCCCCACGTACTTTTCGGCTCTGTTCCTCCACTCCAGGGCCAATGGAAAATGAGAAATATCCAAGTCCTCCTGGCAGCCATGAATGGATTCTCTGTTATCCCAGGAATTCTCTTTGGAGGAAGTAGCATTCACGGGTACTGGCTCGCCATGCGGTACTGCCAAGCGTTTTTATTCATTCCAGAATTCCCCGTGCAGCGCCTTCTATTGCTAGATGTGGTTCTGAAGGTGCACAGGGACTCAACAGGGACTAGATCAAACAAAACCAGTGGTCTTCTCTCTTGGAATTGCCTGATGTGGGTAGACGGATGATAAAGAGATAACAGACAAGTATGCAAACAAGATGATGGTCTACAGTATGCAGACAGTAACACCAGAGACTGGGAAGGCATGGTGTGTTGGCCAAGTGACACTTGCAGTAGACCTGAAGGATGAGAAGTACTCAGCATTGCAGAGTACAGGGAACTTTCTTGGCAAAGGGAAGGGCAAAGAGCAAAGGCCCCAGGACAGTGATAAAATCTGCCCATCAATTCGCTTCTCCTCTCATCGAGAGGTGGAGTCTGTGTCCCTTCCCCTTAATCCCAGTGAGCTCAGGACTATACAGTGGTGACTGCCTTCCCCAAAGATGCAGTGGAAGTGACACCCTCTGCCTTCTGAGACTAAGTCAGAAAAGGCCGTGCCACTTCTGCTGTGTAGCTGAAACAGCTGCCCTACAAGAATCCAATCACCCTGAGACCACGGTGCTGGAGCAGCCACGAGCTGAGACCAGCTGAGCCCTCCCTGCCCTGCTAACCTGACAAAGCCCTGGACATGTGACAAAAGCCATCCTAGACTCTCCAAGGCCAGCTCTCCTGCCAACTGGATTCCACTAAATGACCTCCATCAACAGCCACTGCAAGAGGAGACTCAACCAGCCAAACCCTATCCAGAGTCCTGACCCAGAAAATCATGAGATGTAATAAAACTGTTGTCGTTTTACGCCAGTAAATTGAGGGGTACACCTTGTTACTCAGCAATAGATAAGCGGAAGAGGCCTCACGGTGATAATGGGAGGATGAAATGAAACCATATATGTTCTGTTCCCGGTATACAGCAGGATCTCAGCAAATGTTAGATCACGTCCCCGTTCCTCCCATTCCTTGTGACAATAGACTTTGATTGCCTTTCAGTTTCATTGCCTATTTTTATACTATGCTGCATTAAATCATAAATTACAAGCAGCTTATCCATGTCTGATTCTCACTAAGCACTTAGTTTTATTGGGCTCTCAAAGTTAGAGAATGACAAACATGTAAATTGGAGAGGCTTATCTCTGCTCACTGCAAAAGAGGGTTCTGGAAGGAGGTTTTTCAGGGGGAAGAGTGGGGTCTGAATTGTCTTGCTCCTGAAATGTGCTGTGAGGCCCTGTGGCTGGCATGCATTGGCGAGCTGGGTGCATTCACCAGGAAGTTTTTAAATGATTTTCTGAGCGATATCATTTTTCTTTCCTAAACAGCATAGATTTTTGAGCTCTAATGCATTTCTGCATTACGGAGTACAGGCAGTCTCCCTTGACATGTTTCATCATGGAGTTATTTTCCAAATCAGCATCTCGAAGAGGTAGTATAACTTAGTGATTATGAGCATGGGTTTTGGATCCAGACAGGCCTTGGTGTGAACCCTGTCTTTTCCCCTTATAGACAGGGAGAACCCGGGTGAAAACTAAGTGTCAGTTTTCACCTCTGTGAAATGGGAATAGGCACAGTCCCTCTGTCCCAGTTTGCTTGTGAAGATTAAATCAGATCACACAAGTGAAGCACTTAATAAAGGGCCTCATGCAAAGTCAGAGCTCAAAATAACTGATCTGCTGTAATCATCATCATCACTTTAGTTCTGCTATGGCAAGGGTCATCAGGTTTAGCAAAATAAAAAGGCAGGGGCCGGGTGCGGTGGCTCACACCTGTAATCCCAGCACTTTGGGAGGCCAAGGCAGGTGGATCACCTGAGGTCAGGAGTTCGAGAGCAGCCTGGCAACATGTCAAAACCCTGTCTCTACTAAAAATACAAAAACTAGCCGGGCATGGTGGTGTGCACCTGTTATCCCAGCTACTCAGGAGGCTGAGGCAGGAGAATCACTTGAACTTGGAAGGTGGAGGCTGCAGTGAGCTGAGATCACGCCATTGCACTCCAGCCTGGGCAAGAAGAGTGAAACTCCATCTCAAAAAAAAAAAAAAAAAAAAAAAAAAAGGCAGGACACCCAAGGAAATCTAAATTTCAGATAACAAATAATGTGTTAGGAGTACAGCACGTCGATACACTTGCATTAAAACTCATTCATCGTCCAGCTGAGATTCAGGTTTCACTGCCTGCCCTGTTTTCATCCCCAGATTATTATTAGTGTAATTTACCATTACAATAAATTCCAGTTGCCCAGATTTGTGGTTACCCCAGACCCCTAATCACACCCTCTGTCCTCTGCCCCTGATTTTCTTCTATTTAATAAAAGCTTACATCTTTTTTTCTTCCCTCCAGTCTCACTATGGACTGCTGGTAATTAAGATAAGCCAAGAGGTTGCTCTAGAAAGACAAGCTCTGTAACTTTTTCTAAAGCGACACCACTGCAGTTATTACATAAGCACCTCTCTAAAGCAGTCATGAGGTTCACTGCAGAGAGGCTTTCATTTGTACTTTCTCCAACTTCCCACTGCACAAACGCCCCCTTCCTCCACATTTCCCCCTCTCTCCCCTCCCTTCATGCCTGAGGTCTAGCTCAATTTGAAATCTCTCCCCCTGCCACCAGCTCCTTTTTTTTTTCCCACATAATATAGAGTAGTTTATTACATAAGTGATTTATTGCATGCACCTTAATGTATAAGGGGCAAAACTTGTTTAAAATAAATCCAACTGAGAGGATAATCTCTATGGGCAAAATGTACTTCGACTTAATTTCTCTACTGGGTATTACACACTATATAATTGCCTTAAACAGAAGCTGCACGCACAAATTTAGCTTGGCACCAATATCTGGCTTCACAGAACACTCGAGTTACATGCTGGGTTTTGCTACAAATCCTTCGCTCCACCAGAAGAAACTCAACAGCATCCCTTAAAGAAATATGCATCCTGACTCTCCTGCTGAGAATAGGGGGAGGGAGAGCAGCTGATTGTGTGCTGGATTTAGGGGGGCGGGGAGGCCTTTGTCTTGGGAGAGGAGGCAAAGCTGCCAGCCTGTCTCTAACCGGCCTCCGTTCCTCGAGACTGCATCTTCTAGGCCCTTTATTCAAAAGTGCATTCAGCAGCAAATTAAATCGCAGCTCCCTGACTGGCACCTGGATGTGGGATATGTGTTTAATTAAAGTTCATAGTACCTTGCCCTTCTTTCTCCTGCAGATTAATTAATTAATGTATTTATTGACTCCTTCCTGCATTCACTCACTCTGCAAATACTCGCTGAGCTCTTCTTGGACCCCAGGCGGTGGTAGGCCCTAGGAATCTCATAGTTGAACCACACACTATTCCTGCCCACGTCCAGTGGGGCAGATGAGTATTAATTAAATCATCACACAAATAAGTGCAACATGACAAACCATGGCAATGCCATGGAAGAGAGGTCCAGGGTCCTCTGAGAGTCAATGGGGAAGGCTGGAGAACTTCCCAAGAAAGGGGCTTTTAGAGGGTATATTATAGGGTGCCTTAGCTTCCTCTGGCTGCTGTAACAAATTACCCCCAAATTAGTGGCTTAAAACAAATTTATTTTCTGAAGGTCAGAAGGCCACAATGGGTATCACTGTGCTAAAATCAAAGGTCAGCAGGGCTTCGTGCCTTTCTGGAAGTTCTGGGAGAGAATCTCTTTCCTTGCCTCTTCTGGCTTCTAGACGCTGCCTGAATTCCTTGGCTCCTGGACGCTTCCTCCCTCTTTAAAGCTGGTAACATCAGGCCAAGTCCTCTTTACTCAGCCACCTCTCTGATTATGACCCATCTGCCTCTCTTTTCCCCATCTCTGATTCGACTGGGCCTACCCAGATAATCCAGGATGATCTTTCAATCTGAAGATGAGTGAATAGCAACCTTAACTCCATCTGCAACCTTAATTCCCCATCTGCCATGTAACCTCCCATATTTATAGGTTCCATGGAATTAGGAGTAGGGCCTGGACATCTTCGGGGCTCATTACTCTGTCTACCAGAGATGGGATCTAAAGGAAGGAGGAGAATTTGCCAGGCAAAGCTGGAACCTTCTGAGATGAGCTGCCAATGACGTGCCGTGTGAACGCAGCTTCGGAGCCCAGTGAAGGGGTGCAGGGAGATGGTGTTAAATGTGTCTGGACAAAGGAGCAGCAGTCAAATGGTGGGAAGCCTGCTCAGACACATGAAGGATCCTGGTTTTTATCCCAGGAGCCTGAAGAGACCCTTTCGCTATTTCAGCTGGGGAAGAAGATACTGCGTTTTACTAAATCTAAGATCATAGATGCCATTATTTTTCATTTCCCCTAAGGAAAAAAAAATGCTCCCGGTGAAAATATGGCACAATGCTTTCTCATGACGTAGAATTTTCATTTTATAATCATTACAGTAACTCTTTTTAATTTTTTATAAAGTTTTATGTATTTCAAGGGTACAAGTGCCAATTTCTTACACGCATATATGGCGTAGTGGTGAAGTCTGCACTTTTAGTGTATCCATCATCTGAATAGTGAACATGGCACCTAACAGGCAATTTTCCAACCCTCATCCCCCTCCCACTTTCACAAGAACTCTCTTAGACTTAAGTAGGCCTCCATTTTTATCACCAATCACTCTGGTGCATACAATAAATACTATAAAATGTAAGTGAAAAAATAATTAAAGTATTCCTAAAATTTCTTCACATGAAGGGTCTCTCTCCCCTGAATAACATTTTGACTCTGAATCGCTGATGTCTAGATTTCCTCCATGCAGATCATTTTCTGTACCATCAAGAGCATAAGTGATGCAGCTATTCCTTCTTTCTTGAGAAGGAGTTTCGCTCCTGCTGCCCAGGCTGGAGTGCAATGGTGCAATCTCGGCTCACCGCAACTTCCGCCTTCTGGGTTGAAGCGATTCTCCTGCCTCAGCCTCTCGAGTAGCTGGGATTACAGGCATGTGCCACTACGCCTGGCTAATTTTGTATTTTTAGTAGAGACGGGGTTTCTCCATGTTGGTCAGGCTGGTCTCGAACTCCCGACCTCAGATGATCCGCCTGCATTGGCCTCCCAAAGTGCTGGGATTACAGGTATGACCCGCTGCCCCTGGCTGATGCAGCCATCCTTAGAAGAATCCATTAAAAAAAAAAAAAAAGAAGAAGCATCAGCCACTGGCGCTGGGTTCTTGAGCTGGCTCTGCAGTTGTGTTGCGCAAACCTACTTTTGATTTCCACGTCCGGAATATTTCTAGCTCTGCCTGTCTCTCCACTTCACAGCCATTTGGTTCCTAGAAGGTGGAATATTCCGCTGTTACATCTGGGACTTTCCTGGAATCTGTCAACACCCATCCTGCAAGTTTGGTTGCTGGCATTTGGGACATTTATACATGCATAGGCAATAACAAAGTCGGACACCGCCCCTGCCAGGCATAAGGGAACTTTGAGATGTGTTCAGATTTCAGAGACCCTGACATGAAAGAATTTAGAGATGCACCTGAAGGTCAAGGATCAGACTGGCACTTTCAAGAAGTCATTCAATAGAAGCAACGCTTGTTTCCACCTTTCAATGTATAAGTTAAAAACATCAGTTAATAACGATAATGAAAGAGTCCTTCATGCATGCTGAGCACTGTGCTAGCCGCTTACCTACACACATCAAAGTCATCTAATTTTTACTATTACACCTATTGTATATACTAAGAAATTGAGTCTTAACTACATCGATTAACTCCTCTAACAGCTCCCAGATCATAGGTGGTAGAGCCAAGATTTGAACACAGAATGACTTCAGGTGTGGCCAATCCCCTCTGTTTCTATTTCTCTTAGTCCCTCAGTGAAAAAATCTTTAAAACTGACTGTCTTCCAAGTTCCTTCTACAAACACATGTGGAGCATCTTCTGTGAAGGCAGTAGGCTCTGCTCTGGGCCCGAGTACAAAGCGTGAAAACCCACAGACCCTTCACTCAAGAAGCTCAGAGCCCAGTGGAGAAGGGAGAAGAGCAGCCAACACCTTAGATCAGAGAGAATGAACTGATGTGCAGTCCAACATGTCCTGGGTCCCAGCAGAAGAGAAAAACGTCCCCATTTTACTCATGGTGCAGTTTTCTTAAAGAATGTTGGAGGCTAGGCCGGGCGCGATGGCTCATGCCTGTAATCCCAGCACTTTGGGAGGCCGAGGCGGGCGGGATCACCTGAGGTCAGGAGTTCAAGACCACCCTGAACAACAGGGAGAAACCCTGTCTTTACTAAAAACACAAAATTAGCTAGGTATGGTGGCGCATGCCTGTAATCCCAGCTACTCGGGAGGCTGAGGCAGGAGAATCGCTTGAACCCAGGAGGCAGAGATTGCTGTGAGCTGAGATCGCGCCATTGTACTCCAGCCTAGGCAATAAGGGTGAAACTCTGTCTAAAAAAAAAAGAAAGAATGTTGGAAGCTAAACATTAGGCTGCAAAACATTCAGAAATTCCCGGGAAGGCAGCGTGAAATCTGCAGAGAAAATCTATTCCGGTCCCCATCCCATACTTGGTTGACCTTACAATTGCTATCCTCTCTAAAGCCAGCTTGAATATTTCCTTCTAGGGGAATAATACAAAGAAAGAGGGGTAGGAGGGAAAGGAAGGGAGGGGAGGAGAGGGGAGAGACAGGGAGGGAGGAAATAAATACTAGTGCAAATTCACCATACATTAGGTTTCTTGGCATGATCAGTGACACGAGCGTCAATTTTATAGGTACTGTTGTATATACATGCTATTGTTTAGGTGAAAGCCAGAAAGAGCAAAGGGCAATGAAAGTGTAAAAATAAAATAAAAATCTGGAGTAGAAAGCCCAGAGAAAAGGGAGGTCAGGCCCATACAGATATACAGAAATAACAACAAACCTATTTTTTAAAAAATTCTTTTGCGTGTCACCGTGGTAAGAATAGAAACAGACCCAAGCCACGAATCTTCTAGATTTTCCATGCAGTTAAGAGGTACGTTATTTCCAAAGCTGATATAGGTATGGTTTTAAGGAAAGGACCTTATATTATAACATGTCTTGCTGGGACTGCTTATTTTGGCATCACTTAAAATTTTATTTCAGTTTGCTTTGAGGACTCTTGGAGTTAAGCATCCTCTCCTCCTCCTCTTCCCCCGGAAAATAGCACCCCCCTCACCAGGCACACACACGAACCACTCGAACATATGTCTACATTGAAGAGCAGAAGATTGGAAAAGCAGATGGTATGATGCCTTTGGAATCTGACAGCCGCTCTGTGGCAGCACTATCAACTATCAGCAGACAGGACTTGCCAGAGACGCACATTTGAGCGAGGGACTGCCAAGGCGAAAAGATCCGCACCTCGCCCTCCCAGGCGCGGGAGAGGATGCTTGTGTTTGAAAACAAGCAAAATGCTCTTCTCCGGAGCAGGGACTGTGGACGCAGCTCTGCAGCATTTATGGCACATGTGTCGGAGGCCGGGGAGATGTTCTGCAAGCGATGGCTCTATAAACAGTGCCTACTTTGGGTGTTTTCCATACGAGGCAGGTGGGAAGCGGGAAGGGAACAGTTGGGAGAATTGCAGAGCAACCTGTTTTCATGGGCTGTTTACTTTCTGTCACTGTACCTGGCCATATTTGCCATATTGTCCCCACATTTTGGGGGGATGTAGAGCACACTAGAGTCTCCCTGAATGGACATAATCTTAATTCTCATCTAAATACTGTTGTAAACTGACCACCATCTCTCACTGTAATTTTCTCTTCTCTCCCACATTAGTTAGGAGGAATGGAAAGGTGTGGAGAGAGAGGGAAAGGGAGAGAATGAAGCTGATCATTATGAATGCATACCCATGGGTCCGGCCCAGTGCTGAGCACTTTGAATATGCCTCCATTCTTTGCAAACTTTGAGCAAATCATTTTACAGGTGGGGAAGCTGGGGGGCGGGGGTGGGTGCAGAATTCACTCACACTCTTTCTATTTCATCCTTTCTATCTTCTGTCACGGTAGAAAAACATCCACAAGGCAAGATCCATCTTCCAGGGAGCACCCAGCTGAAAAGGGGTCTGGCTCAGCTCTGCCCTTTTCAAGGTTACTTCTTCTATCCACAAGTCTTCAAAAATTTCTAAATGGAGATTTTATTTAAAGAAGATGTGAGTTTCGTTAAAAAAAAAATTAAAAAAAAGAACATTCTACGCCTGAGCTGACTTTCATGGAAGGGGCCACGTTCTGATTTCATTTTGCCAAAATAACTTTTTGGATCTGGATTTGGAATCACCAGTTTCCCTCTTCTTTCAGTGAAATGAAAATGTATTTCATTCAAAGCCACCCTTTAACTCCAAGCTGGCCTCTACTTCCCTGCAACTTACAGCAATCTCATTAATAAATTAATCGAACTGTCACAGAGGTATAAACGCAAAATCGTTTGGAAATGATCCCATTTAAGATCACACAATCTCCAAAACCTACTGCAACATTTTACACTTCCTTCAGGCCACCTCGGGTCTCCTTTACACTTGCAATGATGCCCCTTTCAATTTGCATATAAAAGACAGTAAATTGCAGGGTTCATAAACATTTTTATAGTGATTTATTGAAGACTAGAATGTCACTGCTGTTCTTCACACTTTACCAGTCCTGAGAATCAAATGCTGGCTATATATGTAATCTTGCTGTCCCCATCAACCACATAAGAACAAGCCAGTTTGCGGTTTTGCAGTTTTTTCTCTTTCTCTCTTTCTTTTTCTTTTTCTTTTTTTTTTATAAAGACAGTGGCAACCATATTTATCTTCAGTTAGAAGAATGCTCTCCAAGTTCCAGCTTGGGTTCCATAATTTACAAAGAACTTGGTTTTACCAATCGGCACTGTGAAGAAACCATTCTTTCTTACGGCTGAGGACAGAAAAAGGAAGGCTTTCTTTTCATCTTCCCATTCCATGTCCTACCCCAAAGAACGCAGTCCACAGGCACACTTCTCAGGGATGACCTGTAGGCAGGAGAGGGGAGGGAATTGGGCAAGGGGCAGACTGGCCGCGATGCATCCAGATGCCTCTGTTCACCTTTCCTGCTAAAAGCTTCAGTGCAAGGATTGGGCATGGGCTTTGGAATCACGTATTTGGAAAGAATGCAAGCAGAGAGAAGCTGAGCTTGGAAGATACTTTTGCTACTTCCCAGCCAGCTAAGTCACAAAAAGGAGTGATCAGAGCCAAGACAAACTGTTATTATCTAAGGGCACAGTGAACTCCTCGGCATCCTCCAGACTTTTTACCAGGGGGACTGGGAATCCTTTCTCAGCGCATTGTGCATAATGGGAAAGGAGAGAGGCTGGGAGGAAAAACAAAAAAAAAAAAAAAAAAAGAAGAAGAAGAAGAAGAAAAGAAAGAAAAAAAAAAGGCTTGCACCTCATTTGCCCTTCCAGTGTCCAGAAGGGAGTATTTCTTTCCACCTTTTTCACATTATAATAATGGCTTCACAGCTCCTGAAAAGAGCCCTAGTGCAACGGCAAATGGTGCATGACACGGCGAAACCCTGCTCTTTGTCGTACCAGCTCCGCTCCAAAGAAAGTCCTTCTCTGCCTTCGTTTCCCTGCCATTAACTGAGATGAAATGAGTTTTTTCCCCCTTTTGATTCCACCCCCCACTGTCTATTACAGTGTGACGCGATTGGGCTTCCTGGCCCATTATTTCATAGAGAATTCTTTTATTCTGGTTTGGGAGTTTGCGCCTGCAAGGTTATCTGTGCACAAAGCAACGCCTCGGTCTTCACATTCATTTCTGAAATCTGATCTCATTGATAAGAACAAGACCATTCGCATTGCATTTGTCAGATAAGTACCTCGGTGCCGGAGTCATAATTTTTGTGACTTCAGTCAGGGCTCCCTGTTAAAATACGTGAACCGATAAAAATGCAAGTATTATAAAAATAACCTTTGTATCAAAAGTGTCGTCCTATCTCCTTCTTCTTTCTTTAAAGCACATTACGTCCTTTTTCACATGAGGCACTTCCTCATATTCAGACGTCTATGTCCTGATGTTCATTTCTTAAAAATTATTCTTTAAATGGTACTCCAATGCCACCCTTCAGCACGCTAGGGGAAAAAAAACACACACAGAGAACACAAAACAAGAAGGCCTATAAGGAGAGAATCGATGTGATGCAGTTTGTCTGAAGGGGGTTTTGATTAATTTCCCTCGGATGGTTTATCCAATGTTGACAGGTAACGTTTCTTGATCATAATAAGCAAATGAATCAAATGCAAACATCCTCAGTGGCTAAGCAGAGTCAAAGAACATTTAGGACAGGGGTCCAGGGTACCCTCGTCGTAGCTCCAGGGTTCTCTAGGACAGGGCTGAGCTGTTGGCTTGCCCAGGGAACAATGCCACACTGTTCCCACGGGGGAAGCGGTCACATACACTGGAAATAATGCCTGCACCCAACGGACACGAAAGGAACAGGAGTGACCGACCAGCGGGCTCCGCCGTGGAGAACAGGCGTCTTGGCTTCTTGCAGGTTCCGATGCCATCCAAGCTGCACCACGAAAAGCCACCCCCGGACTCAGGCCATGGAGTCTGGCGAGTGTGTTATATAAATATTAGCACCAGGCAGATTGCTGGAGCCCCTGTGTGTTTCCTGTCCCCCCGTGGCAGCCACATAAAGCCGCCGGTGACAAAACTAAGAGACAGCCATGGGCTCACTCTGGAGCAGCATGCCAAGCCGCACAGCGCAAGGTCCTGTCCCCATCCCTGTTCCGGGCTCCGTACACCCAGGCCCGCAGCTGATAACACTGTAATAGTCCTCCTTTGAGGACTGAGGCTCCTGCGTGCTGATTAGTCATTTATCACACCTGGCAGCCCTGCTTAACTATAATTACTCTTCTCTTATCCAGCCGCACTGTCATGTCCGAGAGGAGAGGCGAGGCAGAGTCCCCAGTTAATGACACATTACCCTCTTGACAAGCACTTAAAGGTTTTATTGTAAATATTCAAGATATAAAACATCTGAGATTCCCTTTTTAATTATAAAAAGCAATTTCAGGGCCTCCCTTCCCCAACCTCCCCCCACCCCCAAATAGTAAAGTTTCGGCGCCGTTATCCTCGGCTTACTGCAAACAAACTGATTTCCCTTTGTCACAGAAACTCATTGCTACAAGTTAACTCAGTATCTCTCTGCAATTATCAGACATATTGCCTATGAAATTGGTAATTTAAACACACATCACATTTCCACAAAAGTTAAATTTCCTCCCCGAAAGAAGGGGAAAATGTGCATTTATATGAAAAATTATATATGAAAAAAAGCCTAAAATGCAGCATAAATAGTCCAGTTTTCCTCATTGGAAAGAGAGGGAGGAAGTCACTGAATAATTTTTTTTTTAAAGATGAGACTCTAATGGAGGCAAAAATTATACGTAGATATATTTTTTCATAAACTAAAAAATTGGAAATTTGCGGGTCGTTAAATCCTGACTGCCTACTTAGAAGGTTTGGGGAGAAAGCCAACTTAGCATTCAGTGACTTTTGAGGCTATTTATGTCCCTCAAGGAGGGCTCAGAGGACACTTTCCTCCGGGAGTCAGGGACCCTGGCAGGCGATTTCCTCTTGCTACCTTCCAGCTAATGCATATGAAGTGATCTTTCTTGTTGGTTAGGCTTGAGGCTTCTGTGGGCCAACTTCCACAACAGACATTAAGATGGGATCATGGGAAGGGATGGGGAGCTGGTACGAATCAAACCTTTCATTCTGAGAGAGAAAAATAAAAACCTACGCAGACGCTCACATCCATACAACACTTGCATACTGGTACATACAACGTAAAATGAGCTCACTGGAGCCAAATTGTTTTTGTTTTGTTTTGTTTTTTTGAGATAGAGTGTCACTCTTTTGCCCAGGCTGGAGTGCAGAGGCGCAATCTGGGTTCACTGCAACCTCTGCCTCCCGGATTCAAGCAATTCTCCTGCCTCAGCCTCCAGAGTAGCTGGGATTGCAGGCACCCACCACCACACCTGGCTAATTTTTTTTTGTATTTTTAGTAGAGACCGGGATTCGCAGAACACTGTACAGGCAGATAAGGGAGTTGGTCTTACAGAAGGGGTGACCAAAGGTCCACAAAGCCTAGAAGAATAGTGACATCGTTGGAGCTCACGGCCCAATGTCCCAAGCAGGCTTCTTTACCTGTGAATGCCTCAAGGACAGGATTACCTTTCACTCATTGCTACATCTTTAGTAACTAGCACATCACAGGTGTGTAGATTCCAAGAATGAACGAATTAATGCATGCATGTGAAAGGAGAGCCTGAAAGTGGGGAGAGGGAGAAGATCCTTCAGGTGAGTTTCCCAACCCCCTGAGTTTCATTTCGCCCCTGCATCCACTAATGAATATGTGTTGAGAATTATTTTGTGGCTGGTATTGTGTTAGGCGGGAACAAAGGAACATTTATGGAGGTGATCGCAAGACCACAGGGCCCCACATGGACAGGAGTCTGAAGCAGTGATGATGGTAATGAACACCGAGATGAAAACTACCAAGATCTCCTGAAAGCTTATGGGAACACGGAAATGTGTTAAGCCCCTCACCTTCCTGTTTCATCTTAACATCACCACGAGGAGGGGTTAACCTTATGGCTTGCGTTGTATAGGAAAGGAAACTGAGGTTCTGAGGGAGTGAAAACAAGTTACCCAAGGGGCCCCACCACTGGTAGGTGGAGAATCTGGCTTTTTTTTTTTTTTTGAGACAAGGTCTTGCTGTGTCTCCCAGTCTGGAGTGCAGTGGTGCAATCATGGCTCACTATAGCCTCAAATTCCCAGGCTCAAGCCATCTTCCCATCTCAGCCTCCTGAGTAGCTGGGACTACAGGTGTGCACCACCACACCCAGCTAATTTTTAATTTTTTTATTATTTATAGAGATGAAGTCTCCTTGTGTTGACCAGGCTGGCCTCAAACTCCTGGGCTCAAGTGATCCTCCCATCTCAGCCTCCCAAAATGCTGGAATTACAGGCGTGAGCCACTGTGCCTGGCTGGGACCTGGATTTAACATGGACTCCAAATTCCAAGCTTGCTGTCTCATTGCCAAAAGTGGGAGGGTGGTAATTTCATCCAAGAAATAGTTCAGGGTGACTCCTAAGCACAGTGGTGAGAATTTCTCCAAATTTCTTCTTTGACTTTGACAAGGGCTGAATGTGCCATCAATGACTTAGTAAGGTACTTTCCTTCACTTTTCCTTCTCCACAACTCTTCTTTGGGAAGCTGAAGGCTGCCATGCTTTGACTTGTCCCCAGAGTGTCCTGCTCTGTTCAAAGGCACTTTATAAATCTAACAAAATGACCAAGATCCAAACAGGCTGTCCTTGCCAGGGTTTTGGTCTGAAGACAAGCTCCCCTGGAGGTCGGTTCTTCTTTCTCAGCATGACACCTCTCTCTTAAGGGAAAAATCACTCATGCTGTGTTCATCACCTGTTTTGTCTCCTTTTAAAAAATGCCAAGTGAACACAGAGACAAATTCAGTCCAGAAAGACTGAGGCAAAGCTTGATTAAGACAGCAGAGGGATCCTGGCAGGTCTGACTGTGCCCTCTTGCCAGACTTCCTTCCTTCCCTGTCTCCCTCCCTCCCTCCTTCCTCCTTCCTTCTTCCTTCTTTCCTCTATGTGCTTCTCCCTCTCTCTTTTTCCTTCCTCCTTTTTCTTCTTTCATTTTACTTTATCACATTCTGGCCTGTTCGCTCTACCATCTTACAACTTGGGTGGTGATGGAATTACCCTGGGGCTTTGGGGGCTCCCCGGTGTAAACAAAGAGCTGTTGTCAGTGTGATGTGCATTTTGGCATTGATAGAATGCAGGCCACAGAGTTTGCAGTAACACAGCTGTTGACCTTTAGTAGCTCCGGACTCTGGAAATCCACTGAAGCTAGACAGCCATTCCCTAGCCCAGAACTAGGTCGTGCAGAGAACAGTTGAGGCTCCTCAGGCTGCGGACAGGGCCCTTCTCAAGGCACAAGGAGGATCTTGCAGAGCCCATGACTTAGAACCAATGCACAGTCAGGCTTCATGGAAAACAGGCAGCAATTACAAAGCATGGGGGGAATGGAGGCCCTTAATCTGAGATGCTGATCAGTTGAGCTCAACCTCTCTCTCTTTTTTTTTTTTTTTTGGTGAGACAAGGTCTCCCTCTGTCACCCAGGCTGGTGTGCAGTGGCAAGGTCATGGCTCACTGCAGCCTAGACTTCCTGGGCTCTAAAGATCCTCCCACTTCAGCCTCCCGAGTAGCTGAGACTACAAGCGTCTGTCACCAAGCCCAGCTAATTTTTGTATTTTTTGTAGAGATGAGGGCTTTGCCGTGTTGCCCAGGCTAGCCTCGAACTCGTGAGTTCAAGCAATTTGCTCGCCCCGGCCTCCCAAAGTGCTAGAATTACAGACATGAGCCACTGTACCTGGAATCCCCCGCCTCTCTTTCCCTCCATCTGTCTCTCTCTCTCTCAATCACACACACACACACACACACACACACACACACACGCTCACACACCACCTCTGTCTCACTTTGCTTCCTCTCACTTCCTCCTGGGCCAGCCCCATTACTCTCAGCATCTCACCGCCCTCTTTGCACACCTGCTCCATTCTCTCTCCTGCTCTGCTTCTGGCTTACTCATGCTCTCTGCTCCCTAACACCCTTCTTGCAAAGGGTCCCAACTGGATGCCCAATTCCTGAATCCACAAGACTGCTCAGTCTCAGTATTTATCCCCAAACACAAGTCTTTTTCTGTGTCTTTCAGTTCACATTTTTGAGAGCTGAACCACACAGGAGTCCACTGCTGGCCCCACTACCTTTGACTGGTGGTGGAGCCATGGGCGCTATGGACAGGGATCCCCAGCCTGCAAGCCAGCATGGGCAGGATGCCTGGATGCAATATTTGTGGTGCTGTTAAGATTCTGCAGGGTGGTTTGACTGCATCAGGGCCATTCTATCTTGGGGATCCAAGGAAGCAAAGATGAGTTCATCAGACATATATATAAGCTAATGTATTTAGCTCTTGATATTGAACTAATCAAACTAAAAAGAAGGCCTTCTAATTGAATTAGAATTCTTAGAACCACCCGAAGAGGAAAGATGGTTAGTGGATGGGGGCATCCAAGATGGAACACTATTCCCAATTACTCACTAACCCTGGGGAGATACAATAAGGGTTCAGCATCTTCAGAACTCTAAATATGCTGATAATTTTAGTAATTAAGGACTCCAAAAAGGGATCATTGTTAGTCCCAAAGCTCTACAAGTTAAATGGCTTACTCTGAATCATCGAACTCAGGATGATTACTTCCTCCTTGTTTTAACAGAGAACTCAGGTTGTACAGGAACTCAGGAATTCTCCTGCCTAGTTCCTGAAGCAAAATGAAACCTTCCAACAAAGCTGAAAAGAAGCACGTGTATCTGCTTTGCCTGACTGCCCACCAGAGCTCGTTTCTCCACTGATCGATTGGGGCTCGCAGCAACATGCTGGCCCCAGGGATGCACACAAGCCACGGCTGAGAAAGGACAGGCTGGGAGTGGGGCACAGACTACAGCCACCGGTCTTTCTCTCTGGGAAGAAACTAACTTGACAGCTATGCAGGAATCTCCCATTTCCCTACCCAAATGCACTTTCCATCCTTCTGTACTGGTCTTCGTGCCTGAAAAAGTTGACCAATATGAACACATCAGTAACTTCCTTTTGCCATCTGGTTTCTAGCAGGGCTTGAACAATGGCAAAGAGTTGAAGGGGCGGGGATGTTTATTCCGCTGGGACCTCTCCTGGGGAGAGGGAGTATTACCAGTGGTAGGCTGAATTCCTCAACCAAAGGTTACAGCTCCTTCCAAGGAGTCTTCTCCATCCTGGCACCTTCAACTGTCTCCAGTATCTGCTCCCTCTCCTTGGCCAAGGATGGTGACAGCCACCCCTATTACTACCTCTGAGAAATTAATTTTCTTTCTTTTTTTTTTTTTTTTATTTTTTTTGAGACAGAGTTTTGCTCTTGTTGCCTGGGCTGGAGTGCAATAGCGTGATCTTGGCTCACTGCAACCTCTGCCTCCCGGGTTCAAGTGATTCTCCAGCCTCAGCCTCCCGAGGAGCTGAGATTACAGATGCCTGTCACCATGCCCAGCTAAGTTTTTGTATTTTTAGTAGAGACGGGGTTTCACCATGTTGGCCAGACTGGTCTCAAACTCCTGACCTCAGGTGATCCACCAGCCTCGGCCTCCCAAACTGCTGGTATTACAGGCGTGACCCACAGCACCAGACCAGAAATTCGCTCTCTTTTATGTTTCCCTACACCTTGACCACCCCCCCTTTATAAAATAGCCCCTTTGTTATTAAAATTTCTTGAAATTACTCAATTTGGGTTTGTTACCTCTTTCCCACTGGGACTACCATGGATACAGAAGGGACATGACGAGACCTGTGGTTTCACCGGAATCATGTTGTAAGCAGCAAAGCCCACAGGGCTGATTCACTGTTTAAACAGCAAGGTGGGAAAGTCCTGCTGGAAATTTTTGGAGAGCACATTTTTTAAAAGTTGACAAGTTCATCAGCCCAAGAAGAAAAGGACACAGAGAGTTTGGGCCGACATATCGCAACTCTCATTAGCGCGAAATGAATTCACGTTACTCTGCCTCTGAACATGGAGGGCCCTGTACAGAAACAAAGACATATGCACCATCATGCAAAAAAGCCACTTGAAACATGAGGGAGCATAGAGGAAAGTCCTTGAAGAGGTCTTTTCCAATTTTTCTCAACCCACATATTTTATAGGAAAGCTTTAAACTCTCACTAAAACAATGGATTAAAAAATGAGAAACCCTCCTTCCAGTTTCACAATCCATTTGTCTCATCCTCTCGAGAGTTGCTAGAAAAAAGAAAAAAGGACAAAATACGTGGCAGGAGCTCCAGCATGAACAAACTTGAAAAATCCTGCCTTTGCTAGGAAAATATTCTTAAATTTTCAAACACATTCCAACCTACCCGATACAAGGTACAAAAAGATCATTGTCAAAACAAAGCAAAACCACTCACATGCCAAAGATCATGGAACCTAAAGCAATCAATAAAGCCAGGACTGAGTTAATAAGCACAGCCTACTTATAAACTGACTCGTCTTTTGGTTTGTGATGCAGGGAGACATTAAATTTCAAAGACCTCCCGTGTGCTTCTGAAAATTACAAATGAGAAATATTGGAGTCCTATACTGCTATCAAAGTGGCAAGTTAGTTCTCCTTAAAAGCTGTACTTAAATAACCATGGCGCTGTGTCCTTTAAGAAAGCCCTAGGATCATTTCCCCAGCCAGCCTCCTCTGATCCCTCTCTGCTCCGTGTGGGTAAGTGCACTGTACCTCCTGACCATGCTCTTGGTGGGACTTTTTGTAGCATGACCTTGAAATACTTTGTTTTACTGAGTCCTTGCAGTCAAAAGGAGTCTCTTGCGCATCCTGAAACTCCCAAGTCAAGCATAATGTGTATTATCAAAAAGATGCCCAAAAATCTCTGTGGAATTAATCTTTGAAAGCTAACAACATCAAAATAATAGTACTTTAAAATCTCTTCTGAAGCTATCAAGAAATGGCAAAGATGTTTCAACATGTGCATCAACCCTGGTCAATTGGTAACAGCCTCCCAGAACACTCTATTAAAGAGAATTCAAGAGTCAGATCCATTCTTGGGAGAAAAACAGAGTACTGATGAATGAGTGATGTCCGCCAGTGACCTGGAATTAAGGAATGATGTCAAGTAGCCTATCGGTTTGTCATTCTTGTTCTTATTTATCCTCACTCTCTGCACAGGTTACTTACATGAAATCCTAAAAAGAAAATCCACTAAAATCCAAAGAGTGGTACAATCAGCACAGCCCCAACCTACTTAGAATACTGTGGGCCTGGAGTCTAAAAATGGAAACCAGTTCATGTCCAAACCAATTGTTCTTCGTGGAGCACAGGGAGGATATTAGGAATATGCCTTCATAAAGCTCTGAGTCAGACTGGTATCCTCTAGGTGACTTTCAAAACTATAGGTCTGGAAGCACCTCTACCTATGGCATCTTTGTAAAACTGATTAACTATTTTCAATAAGTTTTTCTATCATCCCCAGTGGAAAATTGCAAGCGCGCTGCATATGTAAAAATATAAATGTGTGACTCATCTCGCCTAGGGAAATGCTGACAGAACCAGGAATGTATGTGTGCTCCTGACTCCATAAATGTCTCCCGGAGCCCCGGTTCATCTTGACATTCCCACACGCTCCCATGCCATCGTGGACAAGCTTGCATTGCATAAAATTCTGACCCTGGGATGCCCCTCCTCAAGGAAAATTGGAGGTCAGCACAGTGCATTGTTGGCTCTGAGCCATGAACTTTTGACACAGCATCTGCATTTCTCGGCCAGTCAAGGTGTTTGTATGAGAGGGATCCTGGCTGACGGGACTGCAGAAGGCAGCCATTTGGAATGCAGGCATGAGCTGCAACTTCTACACTCCTTCCGGAGTGGTCAGCATTGCAATGTGAGGATCCAGGTAAATTGTCTGTGCCTATTCTTTTTTTCTTTTTCAGATGGAGTCTCACTCTTTTGCCCAGGCTGGAGTGCAGTGGCACGACCTTGGCTCACTGCAACCTCCATCTCTTGGATTCAAGCAATTCTCCTGCCTCAGCCTCCTGAGTAGCTGGGACTACAGGCATGCACCACTATGCACAGCTAATTTTTGTATTTTTAGTAGAGACTGGGTTTCACCATGTTTGTCAGGCTGGTCTGAAACTCCTGACTTCAAGTGATCCTCCCACCTTGGCCTCCCAACGTTCTGGGATTACAGCGTGAGCCACCGCGCCTGGCCCCTATTCTGAATGTAGTGCAGGCGACTTCCACTAGTGACAGGGAGAGATCTGTACTAGCCAGAGATGTGAAGTGATTCATGGCACGGGGACCCTGACACTGCTATTAGCCCTGTGGTGTTGACAAGGCACATTGGAGACAACACAACACCCTGCGTGCCGGTGGCACAGATTTACGGGCTGAACTGCTTCCTCTATTCTGACATAATGCACTGTGACAGAGTGACAGAAGACAGCGTTTGTGCCTGTAAAACCCTCATGATCAACAGGAAATGGAGCTCTCTCCAGAGTTAAGTCCTGGAAGAAATCGCATGCCGATGTCATGGCAGCCTCTGCTGCTGGGGCTAAAGCCATCTGCAATTCAGATGGAATCTGATCCGTTCGGAAACAGTTACAAAGTCCAAAAACTGGGCGGCCAGAGCTTGGCTCCTGACAGAGCGGGGTGGAGGGGGCAAGGGACTCAGCAACACTTGGAGCTGGGCAAGGATCCAATATTTTTTTTTTCCTTTTGCCCAGTATCTGTCCATATCCTCTTAACATGGCAAATGAAATCAGACTTCAACACCAGAACCTTGATGAGCCGATTAACTGAAAAAAGAATCAGTTCTTCCCCTGCACGCTCCATGCACCCTTCTTCCTCGTCTTTCTCCTTTCTGTTACATCCCCTGCACACGTTCCTTACCTGAGCTGCCGGTATCGATCCACAGACACCACAGAGGAAATCACGAAAAGAGGACGAAGAAAGTCTGACCACTTCTAACTAAACGGTATTACAAAAGTATGAAGATTCACAGGATATTTTTGGTAGAAGGTTCCTAAGGGTCAGTTTGTATGTTGTTCCAATCAACCAGTTGAGACAGAAACATTGACTTACTTGAGTAGAAGTATGTCAGTATCTCTCCGAACAAAGTTGATGCCAGAACTCTCTGCTCATGTGAGTCATCCCACAGGGCTAATTCTGGCCTGCTGCCTGTTTTTGTAAATAAAGTTTTATTGGCACACGGCCACACCCATCCATTCACTTACTGTCTACAGCTGCTTTTGCACTACAACAGCAGAGTTGGGTAATTGAAACAGAGACTATATGACCCACAAAGTATAAAATATTAATTTTACGGGCCTCTATAGAAAACATTTGCTGATTCTTGACCTAGAGAGTGCTTTCTTGGAGGTGGGGGACTTGCAATTACCTGATAAAGCTCCTAAGAATTCCAAGCTCTGCCATATAGCAGTCTTGGCAAACATGTACAGGGGTATGTGCCACATGGTTATACCGGACTCAAAGCAAATAAAAGACAAAGAATAGCCCTCTGGCCGGGCGCGATGGCTCATGCCTGTAATGCCAGCACTTTGGGAGGCCAAGGCGGGCAGATCACGAGGTCAGGAGATCGAGACCATCCTGGCTAAGACAGTGAAACCCTGTCTCTACTAAAAATACAAAAAAAATAGCCGGGCATGGTGGCAGGCGCCTGTAGTCCCAGCTACTCGGGAGGCTGAGGCAGGAGAATAGCGTGAACCTGGGATGCAGAGCTTGCAGTCAGCTGAGACTGCGCCACTGCACTCCAGCCTGGGTAACAGAGCAAGACTCCATCTCACAAAAAAAAAAAAAAAAAAAAAAAGAATAGCTCTCATAACAGATGGACTGCTTCACCAGTCCTATCGTTCTGCATTAGTTAAGCTAACTCCACCTGCTGTAGGAGATATGTCTCAAAGTCACAGGGGTTTAACACAATAGAAGTTTATCTCTCACTCCTGAAATGCCTTATTGACCAGAAGGAGATGTGCTCCACGCAGTCATTCAGGGATCAAGACTAGTTTCATCCTGCAGCCGATTCCATTGGCTGGAAGTCACAAGGCCAAATCTAACACCAGGAGAGTCTAGAAAATATAATCTAGTGGTGTGGCAAGGAGAAAAGGGAGACAGGCTGAACATTTAGCCCCACAACTCATTCTGAGATCTTAACGTACCCCATTTCTTCTCCCCTTCCTCTCTTTTCATAGCATGATGGTCTTTCCTATTAGAAAAGGCACACATAACACCTGTTCAGTTTTATGGATAAATACATCATGTATCATCCTTCCCAGGAAAATATCCATCCTATCCAAGGAGAATGCAATGCTCAACTTAAGAAAGAACACCACGGAAGAAGCGTGAGACCAGATACGAGGAGGCCCTGGTTCCTGATTCTACTCTCCCGCCAGCTTCTTGGCCAGACACTTCCTTTCTTCAGCTTAGGTTTTCCCATTCATTTCAGGATAAACAATTTGAGTGTCCGTGGTCTATGTTTCAGCTCTTTCTGATTCTTTGATTCTATGAAGGAATTCCTAACGATGGAGTTTGATGCCTTGGTGGGAAAAAGATGTTTGGATGCTATTCTCAGTGTCAGTCTACAAAAGCAAAACACAAGCCCACTTCCACAAGAAACTCAGACTACAGGAGACCCACAATAAATACTTCACAAAAGAAACAAAGGAATATATTACACTGCAGCCAAAGGAAACCACAGCCCCAAAGACTGCTTCTCCCATTGCAAACAGTTTTATATGCAATCTGCTCAGGGTAATTTTATTATTTCAGGCACTGTTCACAACATCACCACACAGAAATCAAAATTTGATGAAATTAGTTTAGCCATCACAGGAAGGATAAAGAGGGGCTCAGAAGGGTATTCATTTGATAAATAAAATATATTTTAGAAGAGAATATTCTGGTAATCACTATTTATTAATGCAAACTTCTCGAGGGTTTGCAGGATTCAAATGCACATTTTCTCCTCACTAAATAAGCATACATGTTTGAGGAGCCCGGTCTAAAATATTAACAGTCCTCCTGCACCAGAAATATTAGTCCTTCCCTCCTTCTCTGCCTGCTCCTGTCAAGAAGCCATAGAGCATACAATAGCAGCGCCTAGCTAACCATGTAATTGATAACTCCCTACTCTACTCACTGTGGGAATCTGTCAGTTAAAGTCTAAAGATACATACACACCACTATGAAAATGAACTAACACAAGTCTGTCTGCAGACCAGGAAGGGCCTGAATGCAGTCGACATTTCACTATTTAATTGGTTGGGGCCAGCTTACCAGCACACACGTGTATTCTGGCAATGGCACGCTGTACTATGACTCTTTTTGACAGACTTATTTAGTGAAGAGGAGGTATTTTTTTCCCCAGATGATTGCTCAAAATCACGCTTTCAAAGTCAAAGTGATTCAAACTTGCCTGTCTGTATTTTGGAAACACACCAGTTGGAAGGAATGCAAATTCATGTTCCTATTTCTTAGGCGTGTGTGCACGAAAGAGGCTGTTTGGGGTCGTTTCTTTTTATTTTTTTTCTTCTTTTCCTCTGAGCAATGAAGGAGAAGGAATACAAACCCCACGGAGTTTAGCCCATCCCCAGTGAGGCTCAGATGGGCCAAATCCTACAGACAACACGTTTCACCCAGCATAGGTCCAGAGCCCTTAGAGACAGATGTTGAAACTGAGATTCTGCCAGTCAAAACACTGGAGCCTTCAATGTTCTGGGAGGGTCTCTCCAGCAGGACATACAGTTGTAGCATCCAAATCTTCAGGATGCTTGAAGGAGTCTTCTTGCTTTTCGGGGGGCACCTGGCAAAGTGGACACAGGAAGGACTTTGAAATTAGACCATCTTCAGTGTAACTCAGGGAAATGACCTCACTCTGTTGCTCCTCGTCCTTGGAAACGGAGCTGGTTGTATCTACCGTGCAGGGATGTAGAGGGCTTAAATTAAGATGCTCCAAGCTGGGCACAATGTCTCACACCTGTAATCCCAGCACTTTGTGAGGCCAAGGCCGGTGGATCACTCGAAGTCAGCAGTTCAAGACCAGCCTGGCCACCCCATCTCTAACAAAAATACAAAAATTAGCTGGGCATGGTGGCATGTGCCTTTACTCCCAGCTACTTGGGAGGCTGAGGCAGGAGAATCACCTGAACCCGGAAAGTGGAGGTTGCAGTGAGCCCAGATTGTGCCACTGCATGCCAGCCTGGATGACAGAGCAAGACTCCACCTAAAAAAAAAAAAAAATGATGCTTCATATAAACATCATCCTGGATGTGATACGTGCTGCATGGACAGCTGCCCACATTGTCCGTGTCCCTCCCTACTCTGCCCTAAAGAGATCTGCTGGCGTTTTCCCCCCCCACCCAGCATTTTTGGTTATTCCCGTAAAGATCATTAGATGGCTCAGGCATCAGCCAGCGCAGAGAAATCCTAATAAGAGGGCAGAGTTGGGAGATGTGGGCAAAGCCATTTCTGATGCTAACACAGCCAGGACATCATGGAGACCACATGCAGAGTTTAGGAAAGTGCTGCAGTACAACGGTCCTCCCAGCTAGGACACTGGTTCAACACCAAGGCATGGGACTCCACAGGAAGAACTCGAATGAGGCTCCCAGGGGTCTGCAAAGTATGACTGCATGACATACAAAAATGCCCCATGATGACGCAACACAGCGCTTCTTAGCACAGATTTCTACATAAGCCAAGAACTAAACTGTGGGGCCAACCCTGTGACTTTATATCACTCGATCTCAACATTTCTGAAGACAATAAAAACGGAGATACCATCACCTCTACATTTACCCACTGAGTCCAGTCCTACAGGATTACAGAACCATAATCCCTTCCAAGAGAGGACTTTCAAGATAACCCTATCTATTCCTCCTTTCCAGATGATGAAAATAAGCCCTGCAAAATACTTATTCAAAAAGTAAGAAAGGTAGTAGCTAAAGTCTCCTTGGGAGAATGGAGCTGATCCGGGTCCCCTTTCAAGGTCAAAGTTCTGATTGTGATTTGAAATGCCATGTGGGGTTCCTGCAACTATGGAATAATCAGTCATGGTATTATCATTCTTACCATCAGGATACCTACATAGGATCCTGAGAGATGGTAAAAGAAAACGCTTCGTAAAAGACAAAATAAATAAATAAACTATTAGTATTTTAATTGAGACTGGATTGCCAGGCAGTCAATTTAATTAACTGCGGCACAATTAATTGTGAAAATTGAGGTTTGACTGTGATGTTGTCAATTCAAGTGGTATCGTGTAGACTTGGTTACAGCCAAGAGAACTAAAACCATTCCAAGGACATTGTTGGAATAAAATTAGCAGTGCAAGTGTTTACTCAAAATAAAGACATGGAAATCCTGAAGGCAAAGAGCCATCTTTGGCAAACTACCTTAGTTTTTCCATCTGTCAAATGGAGCTCACACAGCCAACTTCACAGCAAAGATTTAAAAACTAGATGCTTATAAAGGTGAAGGATAGGTATGATTCAGCAAGGATTTGGGGTGGGAGTTGGAGGAAAAGGGGGCACACATTGACTGGTTGATTGATTTGAGATGGAGTCTCGCTCTGTTGCCAAGGCTGCAGTGCAGTGGTGCAATCTCAGCTTACTACAACCTTGGCCTTCTGAGTTCAAGTGATTCTCCTGCCTCAGCTTCCCAAGCAGCTGGAAGTACAGGTGCCCACCAACACACCCAGCTAATTTTTTGTATTTTTAGTAGAGATGGGGTTTCACCATGTTAGCCAGGATGGTCTCAATCTCCTGACCTTGTGATCCACCCACCTTGGCCTCCCAAAGTAATGGGATTATAGACGTGAGCCACTGCACCCAGCCACGTTGATTTATTCTATATCACTACCCACACTTACCAATCACACCCTTTGGATAAATGCAGTGCAGTTTTCCTGCTGCTTTCCAAGCTGAGAAGGAAAAACCTGGACCACTGGGGACCTTTATCTTCAGCATCTCATGCCTCAAGCATGGACGGCTACACAGGCTCTGAGAGATGGGTACTGATCATTGTCTTAGAGACATCTGAGTAACAAGATCCTTTCAAGAGCATCGGTAGAAACTCCCATTTGACTCTCCTCTCTGGGTGGAACCTCTGTAGAAACCGTCACAGGAGCCTTAGCCATCGCTAGCTGATTCCAGGGAGTGAGGGCCTTTCACCTGCCTCTAATTCAGTCCTGAGCAAAATCATGCAGTGGCCACCATATCTGAGCACCTCGATGGGGGAGCCTGTCACGTACGTATTCCGAGACAGACATAAACTTCTCTCTTCTTGTTGCTGCTGCTGATGTTAATAACAGAAGCAGTTTTCACTTGGAGCCAAACCAATGCCTAACTAATATGATAGAAAAAAAACTATAAAGGTTAGAAGGAGATGAACTAAAACACAGGCGTTATCTCTGGGAGGTGGGAATGGGGATGGCTTGTTTTACTTCTGTATGTTTTCCAAATGTTCTCTAATAATGTGAATTCTTTTTGTAACGGGGGAAGCCACATGCATGTAGCATAAAACAAGATAAGACCCAAGTGATATTCGAGAGGAAAATATATACTTCCTGTGTCTGTATAGGGAAAAAAAAAAAAAAAGACTGAAATTCTGAGCAGGGAGGACGAAGGAGACCTGGCCGTAAAGGAGAGCAGATGCTGATGAAGGTCGATGCTGGTCCTCATAGCCTAAAATGATTGCACCTGCTTCAAGGTGTAGGGGAGAGTAAAGTGGGGAGGGACATCAAAATGTACCTGAAGAAATAACAAGCGCTGGTGATAAGGTTTGGATCTGTGTCCCCGCCGAAATCTCATGTTGAATTGTAATCCCCAGTGTTGGAGGTGGGGCCTGGTGGGAGGTGACTGAGTCATGAGGATGAACCCTTCATAAATGATTTAGCAGTATCTCCTTGGTGTTGTCCCAGTGAGAGAGTTCTCATGCGATTCGGTGGTTGAAAAGTGTGTAGCGCCTCCCCAGTCGCTCTCTGTTGCTCCTGCTCTGGCGATGTAAGATGTGCCTGCTTCCCCTTTACCTTCTGCCATGATTATAAGTTTCCTGAGGCGCCCCCAGTAGCAGAAGCTTCTATGCTTCCTGTGCAGCCTGCAGAATCATGAGCCAATTAAACCTCTTTTCTTCAGCCATTACCCAGTCTCAGGCATTTCTTTATAGCAGTGCCAGAATAGACTGACAGAGTTGGTGACAGTGTGAGAAACTGGAACCCCTGCACTTCGCTGGTGGGAATGCAACATGGTGCAGCCACTGTGGAAAACGGTTTGATATTTCCCCAAAAAGTTAAAAAGAATTACTGCGTGACCCAGCACTTCCACTCCTAGGTATATACCCAACATAATTAAAAACAGGAACCCAAATACTCATATGCAATTATTCACAGCAGCATGGATTCACAAGAGCAAAAAGGTGGAAATAACCCAAATGCCCATGGATGGATGAATGGGTCAACCAACTGTGGTATCAATATACAGTGGAATACTATTCAGTGATAAAAGGGAATGAAGTACTGATACATGCCACAATGTGGGTCAACCTTGAACACATGATGCTATTGTATGATCCCACTTAAATAAAATATCCCAAATAAGCAAACCTACTGAGACAGAAGGTAGAATGGTAGGGAAGAGGAATGGGTAGTAGCTGCTTAATTGGTACAGACTTTTATTGTGGGGAGATACAAATATTTTGGAAATAGATGCGGTATTTACACACCATTGTGAATGTACTGCTATTGAACTGTCTACTTTGAAATGGTTAATCTTATATTATGTGAATTTCACCTCAATTTTTTAAAAGTAGGGGAAAACAAAAAGCGTCCTTGAAGTTTCCTTGCTTTTATGTGTGTCTGCTGCTTCCCAGATGGGAGCTTGGTGTGAGGCTGGGATGGGAGTGCATGTTTGGGATCCTAGGAAGGGGGTCCTTCAGGACGGTCACAGACTTGCAGGCACCCCCTGCACCCCCTGCCCCTGCTGATGATCCGAGCCCTCTGTCAGAACCTCCTTTCCTTTAAGCACTTCTTTCGAGGCTGAGCTTTCACTGTTTTCCTTCTTCTATCTCCTCTCCCCTTTCATTTTTGTAACAACAAAAATTTTATAGCCCCTCAAAGAAAAAGGAAATTAAGCGACTCCCCCAGACAAGGACACATGCAGAGAGGGCGTCTATGGTGGGATTCTAATAGGGAAAATAAAGTAAAGGACAGGCCTACTGAGCTCATCTCCTTATAGCTTCTGGTGTGTGCTTTGCTTGTGGGGCGAGGACAGAATAAAGAGTGCCACCCCACAAACTTCTATGGTCATAACGAATAAGGCAAATGAACAGGATCTGGAGGATCTCAGGCCTCTGGAGGATCCAAAAGGACTTCTGCTTCCCTGTGGGAGGCCATTTAAATTTAAGAGCTCGAACCTCTCTGACAAACACCATCAGGCCCAGCCTTTGAAGAGCTCTCAGGGCTCTCCTGTCTGAAGAAGTCTTGCCAAAATAAGTGGTTCAAAACAAACACTTGAGTGAATGATATATAGGGTACCAGAGATACCACATATGGGAGTAAAGAGGAAGATATTAGAGCTTGTAGGAAATTGCCTGGAGGCATCAAAAAGGTTCCTGTGTTGACGTGTGCGTGAGCCTCAGTTGAAACCTGATTGTCCCAGGCCAGGGGAAAGCTCTCTGATGAGCTTATACATGCTAGATTCAAAAACATAAAACGAACAAAAAAAGAGGTGTCAAATCTAAGCCAGTTACTTCCTTTCTGATGGCCCTGAGAAAAAGAAAAGGGCATGGGAGGTGGAGTGCGGCGTGCATACTTTGGATGCTATCAAACCTCTGCCCTCCATGTTTGCAACTGAACCAGGCATTAAAGACACTGACACTGTCAGCACTAAGATCTGCCTCATGGAAAAAGTATTTTAAACGGTAGTTGCAGTAAAAAGACCTAGAGTGGGGAAGATAGAAGTAGTATCTGGTGAGCTCCTGGTGGGTCTCAGGCATTTTCTCTTTGGATTATTTTATTTCAGCGTCACATTAATCCAAGAGATGGTCTTATCTTCGCGGGTGTGGATGTTCAGGCTTGGAAACGCAACGCCATGCTTTTCGCAGCTGCAAGATCCCAGGCTGAGACCTAGATCAAGCTATGATGGCAAAGTGCATGCAACTACATCACCCCTCACGTTCTTGCTTAAGCAGAAATTACTTGCTCAGTCAGCCTCCCAGGCTGCCACCATTGCGTGCCATGTGGCTGTTAGTCACAGGCCCACGCACATCACATGCTCCGAATCTGAGACTCTGACCACACAGCCCTGAGTGCTGGGAGTGAGCGAGGACCTGAGGTACCATGAGCAAAAGCAGCTTCATCGGTTCTCATTTCAAAACTACGTAAGAAATAAAGATCAGAAAGAAGTAGGAGTGTTTCACAAGATGCTGGTAAGATTAAAGTGTGCAGGGAGATTTGCAAGGAAAAAAACTTTCATTCATTCATTCATTTGTTCATTCTTTCATCCAAGAAATAATTATCCAGTGCCTACTCTGTGCCAGGAACGGTGCAGGATATTCGAGGATGGACAACAAAGACGTGAGCTTGAAATTGTCATTCGGATGGAATAACAATGCCCTAATGTTGCTGGAGCCCAGAGCGGGGCGCTGGCTAAACGCACCATTGAAAGGACATGGCATCTCCATAAAAAGACTTTGCAAAGGTTTCCAAGCACCGGCAACTAAAAGGCAGGAGGGTATCAGGGGATGGAGGGTGGCAGGGCAAAGGGTGGAAGAGGGGGTGACATGTGGCTGCTGAGAAAGCTGGAAGAGGTTTGGTCCTAATGGCAAGGGTCCTTACGGTTCTAGGAGCCAGAGGTCTTGCCTGTTTCCTCCCACCCTCCAAGGGCCTGGCAGAATTGTCTGAAAGGCTGAATTCCATCATGACCTCCGCTTGCCCAAAGGCCTCAATTGGCTCTGTGTTGCCTATGGACAAAACCCTTCTCTGAGCGGTGTATTCCCAACAGGGGTGACAATACATCCAGGGGTGTTAACATTGGTTTTGAGGGACGACAGTTGGGGAATAAACACTGTTCACCCTTTCATTTACGAGGCATATACCATGTGTATATGGTACATGAACAGGCATTCAGCACATCTGTGGTATTCAGATTTCATGGGCAAAGACCATTAGGAAAGTCGTATCTCAAAAGGCTCCTGGGGGAGGGGGCCATAATGAAAAAAAAAAAAAGGTTGGGGAACCCTCTAGGCCAAGGTTTCTTACCTCCAGTGTTATTTTCATCCAGGACCACGTAAGATTTTGTTGCAAGGGTCTGCCCTGTTCATGTAGGATGTTAACCACTATCCCCGGCCTCTACCCCCAGAAATCAGGAGCACACTATTACCTCATCCTAAGTTATGACAATCAAAAATGTCTCTAGACATTGCCACACCTTCCCTGGGTGCAAAAGTGGTCCCATCTGAGAACCCTTGAACCAGATGAGGCTAATTCGTATAGGTGTTCACTAAGTCATAACTAAGTAAAACATAACAATGTTGACTTTTTAAGGACTGGAGTATCTTTTATTGGTGGCAATCAATTCTGGTCCAGAGTTAAAATGCAGAGTAACAAGGCAAAAGCAGGGGCCCAGCCTTGACAATAGTGAAGGCCTTTTCACATCCAACAACGGTCTCACCAGGAGAGAAGAGGGGCTGGGGAGTCCCTTCCACAAGCCTAGAAATGTCCATCTCCCTTTGGGTCCGGAGAGGCCTCATTAAATTCCGAGGCTGCATCGGTGGACCCTGACTTGCAGCTGAGCATTTCAAGGTCTCCCCGGGCCTCCAGTGGACAGGAAGCTGGGGTAATAAATTGCCTCTGCTTCCCGGCTTAGGTTGTGGGTCTCAGAAGATTACGCCCTAAACATCCCATTCTGAAGGGTGGAGAGCTGGCGGACCCAACACCAGAGACCAAGTGTGGGTCTTGGGGTTTGGCAAAGTGGCAACTCTGTAAACACCATTAGGTAGCCACAGAATAATCTGTCCTCCTCTTCAGGACAGACAGTTGCATCGGGTGACATTTGCTACGTGTAATATTTAGGTTTGTGCTAAATAAAAAACAAAACTGAAATAATTCCCTGCACATTGCACAATATTTAAGGAAATAATACATGGTTTATTAAAGTTGATAACCTTAACAGAGACGGATTCATCACATCATAACTAGGCCAGGTTCTAGAAAACAGAATCCCATTTTGTTGTGGAACTTGAGGCTGAACAATTTACCAAGACTCTTTCCAAGGCTAGTGTATAGCAAGGCAGGTACTAGGGAAGAACCCACGTACTGTTCAATTAAGATGTTTATTGATGTGACACACAAAATTCCCCTGCTTTATTATCTGTACTGGAAGGCGGTTATTCATTTAACTGCTTTGCTTTGTGCTGTGCGGTCATTAGAGACAGTTTTTCTCTAACACAAATCCAAAAGAATCCGTTCTCTGAAGAGTACGCTTGCCTTCTTTTCCCTCCAAAAGTATTAACGAGATTGAATTTTCCTGATATTGTTTGATTTGTGAAATCACACTGCACTTTCAAGCGCAGAAATGAGGAGAGTCCTTTACACTTTTTGAATGCAAGATTTTTTCAGAAAGGTGAAACCATTTAGAAAAGAATTTTAAACATTCAACATAAATGTTGCATGAGTTTTGTGCTAGGGAAAAGAAAGCTGACTAGTAATAAAATCACCTTGAAATAATCGTAGGATAGGTAATGTTAAATTAAATAAACACGCCGAAGAAAAAACCAAAATTCTACACATGCAAATTTTTCCCTAGTTGGAGATAGAAATTTCCGTTTTCCAAGGGAAGCAGGGGCTCTCGGCTCATGAGCCCTGGTGCCCCCACTCCCGAACCCCTGCCCGCATATCAGCACAGAAACTTGTGTCATTAAAAATACCCAGAAATACTTTTCATTTACTTTTTCTCTGGGAACAAATTACTCAAATTGAACTCAAGCTTTAAACTTTCATTTGTTAAAAGAGCACTTTGAAAAACCAGACAAGGCAAAGCAAAGCAAACAAAATAAAACCCTGAAGTTGGTCCTCCTACAGTTTGAGAGACTGAGACAGAAAGAAAAACTGTGCCCCCTGCCCCCAAAAAAAGAAAGCAAAAAGAAAATAAATAAATAAAGGGAGGCTTCGTATTCATCAGACATGTTGTTAGAGATGTTTGAAGAAATCAGCAGATACTTTAAGAACATATGAGAATTCATACTTGGTTGGCTAATTATTGAGTAGCTCTGTTCTCTGTATTGTGCTGTTAAAAGTGGAGATCGTTCTAGAACAGTTCTATTTTTCTCCCTTTTATCACCTTCCCCAGTCTACCCGGCTGTCTCCACTAGGGAACATAAGTACCCAAACGCCAGGATGACAGCCCGGACTTCTGCAAAGCGGCTTAATTACTCATTACGAGATTCCATCAACACAAGCTCCGGTCTGTGGTTTTGTAATAAGGGCCTTTATCTTTCTTAGGATTTCACTCCTTCATAAAGGCGGACGTGGCAGAGATTTCCGCAACCCCACCTTATACGGGAAGGGAATGAGAGGATTTTAATGCATGAATTTGATGTCATTAACAATGCTGACAGCTGTTTAATCCCAGGGGAAACAACAGCTGAGTCCCAACTGCAGGAAAAATAATTAACTCTTCAATGCGATCGGAGGAAGGGATCTTATGAATCAATTACGGGCCTCTTGCCTTACCTGCAGTTTTTGTCAATTACTCAGCCCTTCGGTCGGGAGGCTCCAGCGCTAATAAAATGACAGGCAGCCCTTACAAGGCGGGGAGACGTGTTAAGTTCAGAGGACAGATTTATTAAATGGGTCTGTTCTAAGTTTGCCATTAATTAAAATTAAAAACCATTTTTTATGTTTCCACTGAATCACAGAGAATAATGAACTAAAAGTAAAAGGAAATAATAAAGTGGGAGTCTTGGGTGACCTGAGGTCAGGGAGGAGAAGGCAGCTGAGCTGGAAGGGAAAGAAAAATAGGCTCTGCAGTTGAAACAGAAACAGAGGGTGGGATGTGCAGCGGTATGTACTTTATGACATGTGCCATTCAATGTAAATGGAACATTTACACACCTGCTGATGACGGTAAATTTGCTACTCTTCACCCTCCCTCCCCCAGAGATGGTCAGTGAGCCTCTCTTGGCGGCTTCAGGTTCTTTTATTTTTTTTTTTTTTCACCCCTGCTTGCTGACTTCCTTCCAGTGACTATTTCTACTGCTTTTAATTTGTAAAATATTATAGATATAAATAATGTCTGATTAAGATCCTGCTTTGAAATACACGGCGCTCACTTCACGGCTCCCATCCAATAAAGCCCTCCTGGATCCTTTCCATTCATTTATAATGCGAGACTCTGAGCAGATGTCTTAAGTATTCAATGTTACAAACAGCAACATTACATGAATTTAAATTTGGCTCTTTGTCTGAACGCCCCTCCAAGCACGGCAGCTGATGGCCAGGGAGCCCAGTTTCATCTGGAAATGAAGTTGCTCTGCCACCTGCCCCAAGCTTCCTCCTCCAATGCAGGACGACAGCCTGCTCTTTCCTGAGAGGTCTGGGCTGCTGGGTATACGGGGAGACCTTCCGGCAGATCAGGGTCTTCTAAAGTGACAGGTGGAGCAAGAAGTTTCGGAGTAAACAGCAGGTGGACAAACTCCTACCTCGGCCTGGGAAGAGCTCCAATGCTCCCCGAGTGTGCGCCTGAGGCTCCCGATGGATCCTCATAAAGAGCCTGCAAGGTCTGCACTAATATCCCGATTCTGCTGATGAGGAAACTGAGGTCCCAGGAAGAAAAATGAACTAGCTTTCTCTTGTTAGTGTTCTCTTTAAATGGCATTTAACAGATGTGCATGTGAAAATCCTCAGGTAAAGTTTGGAACCCAACAGCACAAAAAGAAGGCCAGGGCGGCAGAGGGTGGGGATCGGGGTGGGGGGGCGATTTATCAGAGACATGACTCAATGCTTTAACTTGAAAAAAAGGAACCCTAAGGAATATAAGGGATATTGTAACAATAGATTTGGTCCACCCAGTACCCTTCCTTTTTCTTATGCTCTTCTGGGAAGCACACTTTGCTCCATTTGACCCGTCAGGGATCCATTAGAGTGCTCCATTCTCTTTCCATGGCTGTAGATACATGACCTACGACACCTGTTAAACAGCCTATCTCTCTCTTTTTTTTTTTTTTTTTTTTTTTTTTGACACAGAGTCTGTCACCCAGACTGGAGAGCAGTGGCGTGACCTTGGCTCACTGCAACCTCCGCCTCCCGGACTCAACAGATTCTCCCGCCTCAGCCTTCTGAGTAGCTGGGATTACAAGTGCCTGCCACCTAATTTTTGTATTTTTAGTAGAGATGGGATTTCACCATGTTGGCCAGGCTGGTCTCGAACTCCTGACCTCAACAAGTGATCTTCCCGCCTCAGCCTCTCAAAGTGCTGGGATTACAGGTGTAGGCCACCGTGCCCGGCCCTAAAAAGTCTATCTCTTGACCACAGCGATTGCTCAGGAATAAAGCATATGGCTCACACTGGACTAGAATCTTACCTGATATATATATTGATATACATATACATATGTATACATATATATATACACCCTGGGAAACAGAGTGAGGAGCTCTCCTGCTGTTATGAAGCTAGCATGAGAATGGGAATCTGGATTTTCTGGCAGCTGTTTCTCCCACCAGGTAGAGAAAATCTGCTGCAGAAGTAAGCAAAACAGAGACCACCATAGCAAAAGACAGAAGCAAACAAATCATCTGATTATATTTTTGAGCCCCTGGATCCAGCCGTGCCTGAAGCCATCACTCCAAGACTTCCTGGTACATGAACCAACATACTCCCTTTTGCCAAAAGCTGGGTTTAGTTGCCCCCCAAGAATCACGACTAATAAGGAAGAAGGAGGGGAGGTACACACTGTTCTGTGAAAGTTCTACACATGGCTCCTCCTATCTTTTTAAATTATGGCCTCAAATGAATTCTCAGCAAATTTCTCATGATTCTGGCATTACACTATAATCTTTGTTAGCTCTCTGACTTTCCTCATACTGTTCCTTCTACCTTGAATGTCTTACTCTTCCACTTCCATACTTGGTGAGGGTCTATACATTGTTCAAAGCCTAGCTCAAACACAATGCCTTGGGTCGAGTCTCCCCTGGTTTTATTAGGTAGTACCAGGTTCCCCAAATAAACTGTGATCGCTCAAGAGCAAGAGTTGCACCTTTGTCACTGCTGTGCTCTCAACAATAAGGACGATGCTGGGCATGAGGTTATGCTAATTGATGTTATTCAAAAACCATTCACAGTGAACTAGAGAAAGTCCAAATGGAGTTTACACTGTAGTGGGGAAGGGCAGAGAATCAAAGAAAATGATTCGGGCAGGGATAAATCTGAGTCTCTAACTGAGAGCCAACACCGTGCTGTGGTTATCAAAAGAGCTAATGGCTTTCAAAGGGGGCATTAACAGCAGGAGGATGTGTGGGGTAGAGGTGACAGGCCCATTCCACGATGTGCTACTCAGGCCACATCTGGGTTCCTGTCGTGGTCCAGACTTAAATGAGGGCACTTGGGAAATTTGAGCGTTAGACTACTTGAATCCCATCACAGTTTTCATACAATTTTTTAACAGCTTTGTTGAGATATGATTCATATACCATACAATTCACCCATTTAAAGTGTTCAAAGTTTTAGTACAATCAAAGAGTTGTGAAAGAATTTCCACAATCAACTTTACAACATTTTTATTGCTTTAGAAGGAATCCTGCTATCTTTAGCTGTTAATCCCAAATGCCTCCATCCACGCCCCATCCCCAGCCCCTGGCAACCACTCTACTTTCTGTTTCTGCAGATTTGCCTCTTTGGGGTATTTCATGTAAATGAAATCATATAACATAGGGTCCTTTGTGACTGGCTTTTTTGATTAGTACAATGTTTTCAACATGCGAATTTTCCTTTCTTTCTTTTCTTTTCTCTTCTTTATTAAAGCTGCAGGAAACTCCCTTGTTCATAAACAGCACCTTGCATGAAATACAAAAATATGCAACAAAGAAGAGAGGAACTGTTCTAGTTGAAAGAGAGTGGCTGGGTGTGGTGGCTCACACCTGTCATCCCAGCACTTTGGGAGGCTGAGGCGGTTGGATCACTTGAGGTCAGGAGTTTGAGACCAGCCTGGCCAACACGGTGAAACCCTGTCTGTACTAGAAATACAAAATTAGCTGGGCATGGTGGCATGTGCCCCTGTAATCCCAGCTACTCGGGAGGCTGAGGCACGAGAATCCCTTGAACCAGGGAGATGGAGGGTGCAGTGGGCCAAGATAGCACCATTGTATTCCAGCCAGGTGACAGAGAGAGACCCTTCCTCAAAAAGAAAAAAAAAAAAAGAGAGAGAGAGAGAGAGCAGGGTGGCAATCCTAGTGTTATTTTCTTGACTTTGTCCCCTGAGGTAGCAAAGGAGCATGCTAGGGTTTGTGACTGAATTCAGTGCCCAGACCCATAAGACCAGACACAGAAACAGCCAGGGAGTCCCCTGACTGCTCCACTGGCTTCTCCCTCCCACAATTATACGCCAGGTCTCTAATGGAGGAAATAACAAGACAAGGGCCACTGGAGCCTGGTAGCTGAGCCACTCCCCGGGTTCCAGGCAGTCCATCTGGAAATATAAAGTTCTATTTTGTTATACATTTGAAAGTGGAAAAAAGCTGTGCTATTTCAAGTTGTCTTTTTTTTTTTTCTTTAAGAAACTGCCTTCTCCATGAAGAAGTATTATGTGACAAACATTCCAAGTCCCTTCTTATGGTAATACTGCACTTTGCAAATGGCTCGGATCCAATCCAATTGAACATAATAAAATGAAACAATCTGTGCTATCTCCAATAGCTTTAATCTTCACCATGCTAATGATTCCTAAAACCAATGAGCATGGTTTCAAAAAGAAGAAGAAGAAGAGGAAGAAGAAAGAAAAGACACATTCTGCCTCTCCCGATATCAGCCTCCTTGGCAGCTGGGGCTTGTGCTTTTTGTCACCATCATGAACCTCTCAACAGGGTCCTTGGGAAAAGCCTGCCCCATTGCTCTGAGGTCAAAGTTTACATGTGAAACCAACTTATAACAGTCATCATAATGTCCCGTTGCTTGTGATGGTTAACAATGAAACATAATTGCATCCACGATGAAGACTGCCATCTCATTTTGCAAGGTTGGTGAGAACTCCCTAGGGAACAGTTTGGCTACCACCAGGACCTGGTCTCTGGCAATTAGCAATGACAATTTATCTCCATCTACACAAAATGGCCAGGGCTCAGAGCACATGGTTCCTGCCTCGGGTCGGTGGTGACAGTTCCCTGTTGGATTCCTACGGGTAGGACTATGGGGCACAGTTTCTGGATAGTCTGGAAATCGCCCATTCACTCATTCACTTGCATGTATGAATCATGTCCATGTGCTGTGCCATGCAGACCACGCACTGTGCCACGCAGACCACGCGCTGTGCCACGCGGACCACGCGCTGTGCCACACGGACCACGCGCTGTGCCACGCGGACCACGCGCTGTGCCATGCGGACCATGCACTGTGCCATACAGACCACACACTGTGCCATGCAGACCATGCACTGTGCCACAAGGAATGGTAGATTAAACACATACACTTATACATCTTCTTTTAATATAGTGGGGTATGGGCTAAATGAGAAGTATAAACACAGAACTGGGGGTGAGGAAAGGAAGAAAGGCTCCCTGTCTCCCTGTTCCCTCCTCCTCCTGCAGCTACTGATGTGGCCCCGGAGGCTGCAACAGAGTTGATTTATGTGGCATCACTCCCATCCTCTCCCATCCTGCCTCTCCTACTCTTACACACCCCAAAGATTTGGAACTCTGTGCCATCCTCTGCAGTCTCCAGCTTCTGAGTCCTCCTAAGTCAGGTCCTGACCGTTCATGGTGATCCTTCATCCTGTGGGAACCTAACACCCACTAGACTCTCCCAAGCTAAATCTGAATGACACCAGTCTTGGCTGTTTCCTGTATTTCTTTAAAAGTCTACATAGGGGGTATTGGGCATAGTGGCTCACACCTGTAATCCCAGCACTCTGGGAGGCCAAGATGGGTGGATCACCTGGACTCAGGAGTTTGAAACCAGCCTGGAGAACATGGTGAAATCCCCATCTCAGCAGGAAAAAAAAAAAAAAAAAAAAAACCACAAAAATTAACCAGGCATGTTGGTGCATACTTGTGGTCCCAGCAACTCAGGAGGCTGAGGTGGGTGGAAAGCTTGAGCCCGGGAGGCTGCAGTGAGCCATGATCATGCCACTGCACTCCAGCCTGGGTGACAGAGTGAGTCTCAAAAAAAAAAAAAAAAAAAAAAAAAAAGGCCTCGGCAGGCAGGAGTAGTTGCCTCCCAGTTGTTTGGGGCTAGATTCATCCACTTGCAACATGATTTGAATCACGCATTTTCCTCTTTCCTTCCAGGTATCTCTCAGGGCTGATGGGCTTCTCAGAGAGGCAGGTAAACTTGGGAAAACAGGCTGAAACACATATCAGATAACCCAGGGACAGATGCATGACTATGGGGAAAGTTCTAGAAGAGAAAAGAAAGGACAACAATGGACCAAAGGAAGCATTTGAATAGTCTGCATATTCTACAGGCTCTTCTTCCAGTGGAGACAATAATAAATGTTAATAAGAAATAACTCAGTATTTACGAACCCCTTACCATGTACCAGACACAACGCAGACGCTTTTTATCTACAAACTCATTCAATCTCCACTGCAACTCTATGAGGTGGGAACTATTATTTTTCCCATTTCACAAATTTAGTACCCGAGGCCCAAAGCAGTAGGTAATTCTGCCAAAGTAGAACAGTTGGCACATGTGATTTGAATCCAGACCTCCATTTTCAGTGATATCAGCAGACCATGAAAAGAGTTTTGCAATATATTTAAGCTCCTTTAAACAGTGTGCACCCTTTGACTCAGTGATCTTACTTCTGAAAATGTAATCTTAAGAAATAGCTCAATATTATTAATACATACTATATTTATTGATTCAAAACATTCACATGTTACTTTTTAGCCTTACTTATAGTAAGGAAAATTTAGAAACAATCTAAATTTTCACTATTAGGGGAAGAGTTAAAAAAAAAACTACAGTCATAGCCACTAAGTGGAATTTATAGCCATCTTAAAAACGATGTACATGAAAAGCCTATAATATTGTGGAAGGGTATTTTAGTGTTAAGGTCAAAAGCAGAACCAAAACTTCTATAGACAGTATGATTACAAATATGTTTAGATGCCAGGATAGGGGGTGTACAGTAAACGGAAAGAAGCACTGTTTTCCATTTGGTTCCATCTGAAACAGCTATCAGGAAATGATTTGTTTCTGAGCATGTCTGTTATCTCCTCTTAACCTATAGCCTCTTAAACCAGTGCCTTTAGAAAACTCAACCTGACTTTTTTGTTCCTGAGATATTTCACACGGAAAAATAAATTATATCATGGGATTTAATATCTAAGTTGGATAAGTAAAGCTAGGTTCTTTAGCTGATAGGTAAGAAGCCACGCAAAAAAGCTTGGAATCCTCAGAGCTGGTCACACAGTGTATCCAAAATTGATGAGGCACACAGATAGCACCTGGAGATAACTTTTTCCATTCTTGTTCTCAGGTGCAGAACCAAATCACAGCATCTCCTTCCTCCAACTCTACTTTGGAGCAAATTGAGTCCAAATTAGATCACCCATTTCGTCCAATTGTATAAACCACGGCAATACTGCTTGGGAAAATCTAATAGTGTTAATCTAAGAACTGCTCCTGTGCCCACAATAGAATCAAACAAATAATCAATAAGCCTCTAGATATTATAACATCACTGAGTGAAGGACAGAGAAAAGATTGTGTGTGCAGAGGTTGCTGCTTAAATGGGATCAAGTCACAATGCGGGAAGGGCAAAGCCAACACAAAAAAATGACGACGACAGAACTGGGTTGAGTAACATAGTTTATGCCAGAGATGCTAACAGTGCCAGAATCTTCTAGTGGAAAGCATTAGACTGTGTATCTGAATAAGGCGGGCATTTTTTTTTTTTTTTAAGATGGAGTTTTGCTCGTTACCCAGGCTGGAGTGCAATGGTGCCATCTCGGCTCACTGCAACCGCTACTTTCCGGGTTCAAGTGATTCTCCTGCCTCAGCCTCCCAAGTAGCTGGGATTACAAGTGCCTGCCACCATGCCCAGCTAATTTTTTGTATTTACAGTACAGATGGGGTTTCACCATGTTGACCAGGCTAGTCTCGAACTCCTAACCTCAGGTGCTCCACCCACCTCAGCCTCCCAACGTGCTAGGATTATAGGCATGAGCCACCGTGTCTGGCCAAATTTTACTAGTGATTTAAACATCTTGTTCAACCATCAATACTATCTCTGTGGAATTGTTACTATTGTTCCCATGTTACTGATGGAAACATATGAGGTTTAAAGAGCTTAGTTCACTTTCCCTCTTCTCACAGATCCACTGGGCAGTGCCCCAGTATGGACTCTGCCTGGAGGCTCCAGCCCTACATTTCCCTTCAGCACTGCCCTAGCAGAGGTTCTCCATGAGGGCTCCACCCATGCAGCAAACTTTTGCTGGGGCATCCAGGTGTTTCCATATATTTTCTGAAAACTAGGCAGAGGTTCCCAAACCCCAATTCTTGACTTCTGTGCCCCCACACACTCAACACCACATGGAGGCTGCCAAGGCTTGGGGCTTCCACCCTCTGAAGCCACAGCCTGAGCTATACCTTGGCCCCTTTCAGCCATGACTGGAGTGGCTGGGACACAGGGCACCAAGTCCCTAGGCTACACACAGCACAGGGACCCAGGGCTGGGCCCATGAAATCATTTTTTCCTCCTGGGACTTCAGGCCTCTGATAGGAGGGGCTGCTGTGAAAGTCTCTGACATGGCCTGGAGACATTTTCCTCATGGTCTTCGAGATTAACATTAGGTTCCTTGCCACTTACACAAATTTCTGCAGCCAGCTTGAATTTCTCCCCAGAAAATGGGTTTTTCTTTTCTATCGCACAATCAGACTGCAAATTTTCCAAACCTTGATGCTCTGCTTCTTTTATAAAACTGAATGCCTTTAACAGCACCCAAGTCACCTCTTGAATGTTTTGCTGATGAGAAATTTCTTCGGCCAGATACCCTAAATCATCTTTCTCAAGTTCAAAGTTCCACAAATCTCTAGCGCAGGGGCAAAATGCTGCCAGTCTCTTTGTTAAAACATAACAAGAGTCACCTGTGCTCCAATTCCCAACGAGCTCCTCATCTCCATCTGAGACCACCTCAGCCTGGACATTATTGTCCATATTGCTATCAGCATTTTGGGCAAAGCCATTCAACAAGTCTCTAGGAAGCTCCAAACTTTCCCACATTTTCCTGTCTTCTTCTGAGACCTCCCAACGGTTCTAACTTCTTCCTGTTACCCAGTTCCAAAGTCACTTCCACATTTTCAGATATCTTTTCAGCAATGCCCCACTCTACTGGTACCAATTCACTGTATTAGTCCATTTTCACACTGCTGATAAAGACATAACCTGAGACCGGGAAGAAAAAGAGGTTTAATCAGGCTTACAGTTCTACATGGCTGGGGAGGTCTCAGAATCATGGTGGAGGTGAAAGGCACTTCTTACATGGTGGTGGCAAGAGAAAAACTGCAGAAACCCCTGATAAATTCATTGGATCTTATGAAACTTATTCACTTTCATAAGAATAACATGGGAAACACCAGCCCCCATGATTCAATTACCTCTCCCTGGGTCCCTCCCACAACACGTGGGAATTCTGGGAGATACGATTCAAGTTAAGATTTGGGTGGGGACACAGCCAAAGCATATCAGCAAGTCAGTAGCACCTTTAAGGCCCACTTTCTGTATCTTAAAATGGAAAAAACAATATGTGTCTGTGTGTTAAGTGCATAGTGCAATGTCTGGCAGAAAGTCCATACTCAATGCATGTTGGCTCTTAATAGCCTTATCATGACATCACCTTAATTATTTTTAAAAAGCATACCACTAACATAACTAGCATAAGCAAATACTGAACTCTAATTCAGTAATTCAAGGATGACACACCTGCTTAAGTGTTTAGGAGTGAAGCGACTGCTGTCTGCAACTTATTTAGCTTTTTGTTTGTTTATTTGTTTTTGTTTCTGAGACGGGGTATTACTCTGTCGCCCAAGTTGAGTGCAGCAGTGTAGTCACAGTTCACTGCAGCTTCAATCTCCTGTACTCCAGCAATTCTCCTGCCTCAGCTGCCCAAGTAGCTGGGACCACAGGCATACACCACCATGGGCAGCTAATTTTTTTTATTTTTGAAGAGATAAGGCCTCACTATGTTGCCCAGACTGGTCTTCAACTCCCGGACTCAAGGAATCCTCTCACCTCTGCCTCTCAAAATGCTGGTATTACAGGTGTGAGCCACTGCACCTGACCTACAACTTATTTTGAAATGAATCAAGATAGACTGATGGATAGACAAGAGGAATGGTAAATGGATAGAGATGCAAATAGAGGGAAATGTTAATTGTAGAATCTAGGTGGTGCATATCAGAGTACTTACAGTACAATTCTTTCAACTTTTGTGTACGTCTGCAATTTTTCATAATACAAACTGTTGGTAGGATGGCAGTGGCAGAGAAAGAAGAATGACAATAAAGAATGAAATATCGTGGGCAAATCCCACAACCTAATGAGGAGTAAAAGAAGCAAGACAGCAAAGAATGCGTACTGGGTGACTATTTATATGAATTCAGGAACAGAAAACTATGCTGATAGAAATCAGAATAGTGGTTACCTCTTAATGCTGATGGTACTTCTTGCTTAGAAAGGGGAACAGATGAGCCTTCTGAGGTGTTAGAAATGTTCTCTGTCTTGATCTGAGTGGTGTTTACACAGTTGTATAAATAAGTATGAGTTCATTGAACTGTACATTTAATGTGTGTGCACCTTACCGTAGGAATGATACATCTCAAGTTAGATTCTGATGCAAGCAGCTCACATTTTCTGAATGCCCTCCTCTTCCTGTGCCAGGCATTCTTTCTGGGCACTTTCTGATGCATTCACTTGGAAAACCATTTCAGAGAATTGTCTGACAGAATACATTATTTAAGCCTTTAAATGCAATGTGAAGCAATCTCACTTTCTTAGAAAATGACTGTCATCCCTGAGAGTAAGCTTGGCCTACAAGGAAATTATGAATGTGTAAAACTCCTCAGCCTCCTAGCCCTTGTCCAGAGCCTTTGGGCCTTTTCTTGCTTCCTTCACAATCACATTCCTTCTTTTTTTTTTTTTTTAAAAAAAAAAAAAAAAAAAAAAAAGGATGCCTTGCTGACTCCAAATCTCTTCCTTCTGGCACAGAATTCAGCTAATGGGATAGAGAAAAAAGAAGCCACCTCCACATAACATCACACAGAAAGTCATCCACAGGGTGGCTGTCCTCATTAAAGCCTAGGCTTCTCTTCTCTCCTCTGGGAGAGATTCCTGTTCAGATGGCAAGCCTCTCCCTCTTTTTCACCCTAAGACTGTCCCTTTCCAAAGCTCCTTTATGGCCCAACCCACTGGATCATAGGTAGAAGTCACATCCAGACTTGCTCAGGAGCAGCCTGGAAGGAGGTCCTGACAAGAGACAAGGGATCTGTTTAAGGCAACAAAGACTTGGCTGCTGGGTCCATCCCTAATACCTGCCAAATTGTGCTTGATGTAAATCTGAAGGCAATAGGTCTTGGATGCAGTCAATGTGGAACCACAGAATGATTTCTGCAAAATCAACTTCATGGAAGATGTAGCAGAAATAGAGATGCATTAAGATTCAGGACAGCAAGACTACTATGATAACCTGAGGTACTTGTTTAAAAGATAAAGTTCCCCAAGTTCCTCCTCAGACTTACTGAACCAGAAAATCAGGAAGTGATACCCAGAATATGCTTATTTTAACAAGCTCACCTTGGGGATTCTCTTGCACGTGAAGCTGGAAGATCAAAGACTCTTTGTAAAGAGTCCCTTCAGAAGAACAAGCCTTTCATTTATCCCCCCTTACTCACCCATCCATGCACCCACCAACCCACCCATCCATACATCCATCTATGTACCCACCTACCACCCACCATTCCACACACCCACGCATCCATCCATCTACCTATCCATCCATCCATCCATCCATCCACCCATCCATCCATCCATCCATGTATCCCATAGCTATATATCTGCTGAGTGTTATCTTTGTGCCATGCCACAAACTGCAACCTCCTTGATGGTCAAAGACCAAGTTTCCTTACACCAACTAGTTTTACAGAGAACTACATCAATTTAGGCATGTTCAATTATATAATCATCAGTTCATATATAACTATCATGTTTTAAAAACCTTACAGTAATTTCCCTCATTTTTCCTCGTTAATCTGCATAGACCTTTTAACTTCTGATGTCACCATCCCTGCATAAAGGACCCCTGGCTTTTAGGAGACTATGATCTGGAACATAACCATTGAATGCTTGGCTTGAGTCTTTCTTTCAGGGGAACTTGCACCATGAGCTGAGAACACCTGAGTCTCAAGGGCCTGAGGGTCATCATGCCCAGATGTATGGAGCTGATTACTTTTACAGACATCTCATCACAAGTGAGTAAAGATACTCCATGGAGAATACATTATAGATTCTTCTCTTTCCAGAAAGCTAAGATAATTTGGGACCCAAAGCAAGCCCCGTAGGTTCTGAACTTCTTTACTTTTGACATCAAGTCTTCAAAAGAGCTATGTATGTATACAGTAAATAAAGCAACTGAGGCAGAGATTCAGTAAAACAGGATGCTAGTTTAACAAGAAGACAAAAAAAATAAGGTGACTAAATAGAGAACTCCCAAAGCTACATAGGCTCCTTTTGGAACAAGTGCTGTGTACCTCTACTGGAAAGTCATACATCCCAGTAGCTGATGGCACAGGGACCTATTGTCCCTGATGGCTCTCTGTTCCCTCCAGACTGTGAGAACCTTGAAGGTAGAGACAATTTCCTTATTTCTGACCAATGGATCTGTTCCATGCCTGACAGTCATAACTCAATAAATACCTGCTCTCTTGTGGAGATATTTCCTTCTGGGGTAAGAAGGTGACAAAATGAGGCAGTTGTAATCTCCAGTAGATTTAAGCTAAAGCAAATAAATGATTTTCATGAAGTGACAGTCTCCTTTCATATGAAGTATTGAGGATGGTAGAGAGCAAGTCTAGATGGCTGAAGGACAGGTAGTATCAGCCCAGTCACTCAGCAGCAACAAACACGGACTTAGTTTTGAATATACCACAAGCCAAACGTTACGCTAGAAAATATGAAGCCTAGTCCTATCATTTTCTGTCTTTCATAGCTGGAGGTGGGGAGGTCTTTGTCCTATGACCCAAATTAAGGTCATTTTTGGTGTCAGACATTACAAGTCAGGTACTATCTTTTACACCACAACATGGCTTTCTGGAATTAGCTGTTCTTCCTCAGTCTACTCTGCCTCTGAGCCACAGCACAACCCCTTATCCCTCACTCTTTGACAATGACCCTGACCTGTAGCCATTTAGTCTGTCCCACCATGCACCAATACCCACTAACTGGTAGACCTAAAGCACAAATGTCATTGGTATTTCCTTTAGTTAACCAGAAGTCTCTCACCTTATACACACCCTTTATTCTCAACCTTGGTTGCAAATGAGAATTACTTAGGTCATCTAGAAACTCTTGATGCCCAGGCTGTATCCTTATCCAATTAAATCAGACTCTCCAGAAGAAAACCAGGCATCAGGATCTTTTATAGTTCCCCGTATGATTTCCACAGGGTTCAGAACACCGACAGAGGACATCTTTCCCTCACTTGTCTCGGATTCATCAATATGGGCATTTGGTCATGGAAAGGCTCCTAGGCCTTTTGATGTGGTAGTTGCAGGGGGGTCTCATCAGTGTCTGAGCCTGCAGTCTATCCGACAAATTTTGATGAGCTCTTTGATCTTTCACCAAGACACTGGCCTTCCTATCACACTGAGAGTCAATACTACGGGTTCTCACAACCTAGAAGTAGATGGATGGATAGATGGATGAATGGACAGATGAATGGATGAACAGGTGGATGAATGCATGAGTGAATAGATGGATGGACAGATAGATGGATGGCTAACCCTGTGAAGGTTTTTATTATCATACCTGAATTAGCTTGTTAGTGTTATCTTTTCAAATGTTTATGTCCCCTAATGGACGTCAAGTTCCAAAACATGGACATCTCTATCTCTCTTTGCTTTCTCAGGGCCAAGCACAGCACTTGGCTGGCAGCAGATATAGCAACAGGTAAAAAATACATGCCTTTTGAAAAATAAATGAATTAAGTTCAATGCCCTTATTTCTAAGTCTGTACAATATTATTCCAGGAACATAATTTCTCAGTAATGAGAAGAACGAGAACCTTGACGTAGAGATGGCCCATTGATATTTTACTTTCATACTCTACAAGGAAATACCTAGCGGTAAGTTCGGATAAACATTCTAATTGGAAGATGGTCTTACTAATCTCAAGAAAAAGTGGGTAGACAAGCATTTTTAAAAACATTACATTATTTTAATATTAAATGTCTTGCTGTTATAGAACTCCCTTTTTTCACAGATGGGAAACTAAGGCCTAGCAAATAATTTACCTCAGATCTTGAACCCAGAACTCTTATTTTTTAGTCCAAATCTCTCCCCACTAAGCTATGCTCACCCTATGGAGTTGAATGCAACAAACATGTTTTTTTCTTTTGAATCAAAGGAAGAATTTTAAAATTACATAACCTTCCTTCCCCTGTGCCCACTACCCCAACCATGTCCTATTTTCAGATTAAACTATCCAAAGTGGCATTGACGACTTGGTATATTTCATCAAACTAATTGCATCCTGGTGATACCTGCACATACCATGTAATTTATATTTCAGTTGTCTGAGAATACCAAAAGAAAACCAGAGAAACCTTTGTTGTACCACACTTGGTAAAAGGATGGACTCGCATTTCTAGTGGGAGAGAGGGGCAGCACTGTTAAAAAACACTGTTCAGCTTACTTTGGAAACTGCAAGGCACCATAACTTCCCAAATTGGCAAAACTACCTGCTATGGATTGTAGTAAAGTGTGTTTTTAAATTATTTCAGAACCATAAAACCTCTCCATAGAGAGTACTTTGAAAGTGCAAATTAAATATAGAACATCCATGAACTCTATCCATTTTTACAGTAAGTATATATTTCCATGGGGGTTTGTACCATCTTTTTTGTCTAGTTACACTAGTTAATAATGCAGTGAATTTTCAGTAATAGAGTAAATGTTATTTTGATGACACTATTTGATTAAATTAAAGATGACATTAAAAGGACCATTTCAATAAAGAACCGAAATATTCAGAAGTAGCTGGAGCTGAGTGTTTAAGTCAGCTAGTCTGGCGGTCTTAAAAGGACCAAATGGAATTTCCTTCGCCGTGTGAATGATGAGCAAGTTAAGGAACAATAGGACCAAATAATATATCGGAGAATATGAAGGCTCAGATTCCAAGACCCAGGCAATGTTAGTTATTTGAGGCAGGCATACCACGCGCCAGAAAACAGCTCATGTGGCCTTGGGAAAATGTAGAAACGCATTAAATAAAACGAAAGTGAGAGGGCACTGAGATTTGCAGCAAATGTGCTGATGTGGTGACAGTGAATTGAGTTGTTGCACAAACAAAAGAAAGGGCGGATTAGTCATGTGTCCCCCCACGCCCAGCCTCTTCTCTGCAAATTCACAAAGGCACAAGTGGGCCAGCCGCACCAGCGCAGGGACAGCTTTGAGATTAAAACAGGACAAGAGAGTCCTAATTCTTTTGTTAAGGTCTCCGTTCCTATGGTGTTTGCCAAAGAAAAGTTCTTCTCCTAACGGAGAGGTTCACATACATAAATCAAACAACTGCTTGAAAATCCCTTGACTTAAGTTTTTAGAGATAGAATCTGTAGTTTTTAGAGATAGAATCTATCCGAAGAGACATACCTCAGTAACGTGACTGAGTTATGAATCACGGGTATTTCACCAGAAAGAAGACCCGAGATTAAAGGTGTGCAGCAGTAGACATTCTCAGTTCCCACAGAACACCTGTTCTGGTGTCTCAGCCCCAAACACAGGCGACATCCCTATGTCTACAATGAGCCACTGGCTGTTGACAAGTTCAGGCCTGAAGCATTCACATTTGTGGGTGTTTTTACAACTAAAGAGAGACAGGGGGAAAAGAACAATTCAGCTCAAGCTAATATAATTCTTTCTTGTGATCTCAAAACAGCATCATTAGATGCTAAGTTTTCTCAGATAATTATCTGGTCGTCACGCATGTCGGTATCTCAAAATAATTATTTCGTCACACAAAAGGACGGCGGTGTGGTTTGCTGGAAAAGTCGTGTGCCCTGCATTTCAGTAAATATTGCTTCTTTAAGGGCAGATACCTCAGATTGCAACACTCATGGTGTTTTCAACCTTCTGCATATAAAGTGGGAGCGTTTACTATCTTCCCAGTGCAAATCACTTAGACACAAAGGATGATATAGAAAGTCACATGAGGCAAGTCTATTAAATAAAGCATGTGAATAACACACGGAGTCCTCAAGCTGCCAGGAAATTTGTTCTCACCGAAGATACCCACGTACTGGGAGGGACTGCAACTACTCAGAAGTGACAGTAGCAAACTTTCTTTACAAAACATCCTATTTCCCAGAATTTTGAGTGGCTCAAGCCTACATGTTTGAGACACTCTCCTTCACAATTTCCAAAAGTGGGCACAGCATGCCTTCGTGACCTCCTGTTGCCCTCTTTGTTTCCCCTACAGGTCTGAGGCTGGGCTCAGCAGATCCCAAATTTCTTGTTTGTGGCACACTTTTGAAACTCAAAAACACAAAAGGAATTTTTGATGTGTGCACAAAGAGATTAAAAAGTGAAAACAGAGGTATTTTAGGGCAATGAAATTATTCGGTATGATATGATATGATATGACATGATATGATATGATACAATATATGATGTATGATAGATACATGTCATTCCATGTCTGTGAAAACCCACAGAATATATATCACCAACTGTGAACCTAATGAACCTATAGACTTTAGGTGATGATGATGTGTCATTGTAGATTAATCAATTAAAACAAATACAGGCCTAGAGTGGTGGCTCATGCCTGTAATCCCAGCACTTGGGGAGGCCGAGATGGGCGGATCACTTGAGGTCAGGAGTTAGAGACCAGCCTGGCCAACATGGTGAAACTCCGCCTTCACTAAAAATATATATTAAAAAAAAATGAGCTGGGTATGGTGGCATGTGCCTATAATCCCAGCTACTCAGGAGGCTGAGGCAGCAGAATTGCTTGAGCCCTCGAGGTCAAGGCTACAGTGAGCTGAGGTGGTGCCACTGCACTCCAGCCTGGGTGACAGAGCAAGACTCCATCTCAAAACAACAACAAACCCCCAAAACCTAAACAAATACATGGATCTAGTGGGGATGTAGATAGTGAGCCAGGGCTCTGCCGGAGGTATACGGGAACTCTCTGTACTTTCTGCTCAATTTTGGCTCCCCAACTAAAACAGTTCTAAAAAAAAAAGTTTTTTTTGTGTTTTTTTTTGTTTTTTGTTTTTTGTTTTTTTCTAAAGTGAAAAGAAGGCCAGAGGCCAGGCATGGTGGCTCATGCATGTAATCTCAGCACTTTGGGAGGCTGAGGGGGGATGGGAGATCGCTTGAGGCCAGGAATTAGAGACCAGCCTGGGAAACATAGTGAGACCTCATCTTTACAAAAAATAAATTAGCCAGAGGTGGTGATGTACAACCGTAGTCCCAGCTACTCGGGAGGCTGAGGCAGGAGAACTGCTTGAGTTTAGGAGGCTGAGGCTGCCATGATTGGGCCACTGCACTCCATCCAGCCTGGGCAATAGAGCAAGACCCTGTCTCAAAACAAAAAAAACAAAAATAAATTTTAAAAATAAAAAGAAACAAGAAAATAAAAAAAATATAAAAAATAAAGTTAAAAGAGGTTTCATAAAGTAAATATGAATGATTTGCTGGTTTTAAAAAGTGCAGTTATTATCCCTGCAGCCTGGTGTGCTTACACGAGGTGAACTTCGCGCCATCCTAGTTGTGATCCACCCTCACATGCTCCAGTAAAAATAGAATCTCTTTTGGCCCAAGCTCTCTGGGACTCTGAATAACTCACACCTCTCACTTGCCTCAAGTCTGACCTGAGTGCTGCGGCACACCTGACTCATCTCCTCAATGCTCCTCTCAACGGATTTCACTGACGTTGTTGTATGTGCAGCTGTGGAGAATATCTATTTTAGGGCATGAGGGACATGTGGAGGTCCATCTGTGAAGATGCACTGAACATCATTTGAGCACCCACATTGCAGCTCTAGCATATGGCCCTGATCTCTGACCCCTGCAGTCTCTCCTCCAGGTGACCCTAACAGCAAAGTTTCCTTTTCCTGTGGGCCAAAATTCAATATAGTCTTCAACTGTCACTTTCTCTCTGCGGAGTTTCCTGATCAGGAAAGAATACATTCCCAATACTTTGTGGGGGACAATGCAGAAGGATCACTTGAAGCCAGGAGTTTGAGATAAGCCTGGGCAACACAGTGAGGCCCTGTCCCTACAAAAAATTTAAAAATTAGACTGGCATGGTGTCCCGTGCCTGTGGTCTCAGCTACTCAGGAAACTGAGGCAGGAGGATCTCTTGAGTCCAGGAGCTCAAGACTGGAGTGAGCTACAATCATGCCACCGCACTCCAGCCTGAGTGACAGAACGAGACTCTGTCTCAAAAAACATAATAATAACAAATAAATAAATAGAACAAATTGGTCATGTAGCTTTGCTTCCCCATAGCACTTTATATAATTTTTATTATGGCACCCACCACCCCTCACCCTAGACTCCCATTACAGGAATTTATTTATGTGCCTATGCTTCTATATCAAAAAATCATTGAGGTCAGGTCTGTATCTTATTTGTTCTTATTTATGTGTCTGTTTCCAGCCCCTGGCACTGGCTTGGCCTTCGCTGCTGCTCCACAAGTATATAAAGGAAATGGGGCATTTGGGCAGCTCCCTTATTTTTAGCAAGCCACTAGGCTATCAATGCAGATTTTTAGTAAAATATAAAAGTTTCACCATTCATCTATCCATGCATCATTTATCCATCCATCCAACTACTCATTCATCCATGCATCCATTCATCTGTTCATCCACCCAAACATCCATGCATCCATCCAATTATCCAACCATCCAACCATCCATCCCTCCATCCATCCACCTTCTATCCACTCAGCCATGCATCCATTCATCCTTCCACCTATCCATCCACCCACTCACTCAACCATCATCCATCCAATCATCCAACCATACATCCACCCAACCATCCAACCATCCATCCATCCATCCACCCATCCATCTAAAGAATATGCAATCATGCCTACTCTGACAGACATTTTTATGGCAGATCTTAACAATTTAAAAAAGAAAAAGCAAAAGAAAGAAAAGATGACTAGGAACTGAATAAGATATGGTCCTTGCCTTGACATGTGTTGCTATGGAAGAGGAGAAATAACCTATGAAAGCAAAGACCACGTGTTGTTCATCTTTTTGTCTCCTGCAGCATCTTGCACAGGGACTTGGATTCAGCAGCATTTTGTAAATGACTACTGAAGTAATTAATAAAAATAAACGCAATATAAGGCAGCAAGTGAAAAGTGTCAAATAAACTCAAAGCCCAAAAATGCTACAGGAGAGTGGAGAGTGGCTCGATCATGCCCAGCTGCGAACCTCAGGGTAGGTAGAATCTGAGCTGAGACAGAACGTCTGGCTCGACTTTGAAACCAGGTGATGAGAGCAGGCATTCCAGGAAAGAGTTTATCCATTCATGCATGCACTCTCTTCTGTCACTGCCTACCGAAATGCTTGGCACAGAGGTGGACCTCAATAAGAGGTTTTGAAGTACGGTACCCACTGGGCTGAGCTGGGCATTGAGGCAACAGTGGAGGGGACACACTCTCTGCCGTCAATGAGTCCCCTGGGGCAATGACTCTGAAGGAAGCCAACAGTAAACTGGGGGTTAGGAAGACATTATGTAGCCATAAATCAGCAATTTAAACTGCATACATAGAGTGGGGCAGAGGTCCTAAAGGGACTGTTGATGAACAGGTTTCAAATTTGACTAGGTTTGAATTTTGTGTTTGCAATTAGCAGCATCCATTTGCATACAATTAGTGTGCAAAGCCCTTAAAAAGAGTTTGTTCTCTAAAGTAGGTTAAACATGCCCCCCACCCCCCACTATAATTGTGCCTGAGCTATTGGTTTGTTTTAGAAATCTATTATCCTATATAGACCAAGGAGAATCTTTGGCTCAGTCTAGGTCCAAAGGGGAACACTTAGATAGTTATCCTGCCTGGTCAGAACCACGGCTGAACTTCCCAGGGGCTCTAACTTAGGAGGTCAGATTATCAGGAGTGGTCACTGATGATTGAATTTAACAGTCAATTTGGTTGGTATATGGTCAGATTGTCCACCACCACCATGAACAACAACAACTGGAAAAAAAAAAAATCCAGGGAAGCAATAACCACAAATCAGAGAAATGCGTGATTTTTCATGAGCATTGTGTGGTTTTGCTGAAGCCTTTGCTGGCCCATCCATCTTCTGAGCCAGCTTCAGGTTTCCCTTTGATTCCTGTTTCTCTCTGTAGAATTATTCCACAAGCCTGAGCAAGTGCCTCTAAAGCGCAGATTTATTCACGTACTCATTCACTTACTCATTCAATAAACACTTGTTAACAGCTAAGCCTTCTGCTGGGCAGTAGGGATACGTTGGGGAACCGAAACAAACACATGCCCTACGGAGCGTACTGTCAGGTGGGAAAAATAGGAATTAATAAACAAACACAAAAACAGGCCAGGTGTGGTGGCTCATACCTGTAAACCCAGCACTTTGGGAAGCAGAGGTGGACAGATCACTTGAGGCCAAGAGTTCAAGACCAGGCTGGCCAACATGGCAGAAACCCCGTCTCTACTAAAAATACAAAAATTAGCCAGGTGTGCTGGTACATGCCTGTAATCCCAGCTACTCAGGAGGCAGAGGCAGGAGAATCGCCTGAACCTGGGAGGTGGAGGTTGCAGTGAGCTAAGATCGTGCCACTGTACTCCAGCGTGGGGGACAGAGCGAGACTTTTGTCTCAAAAAAAAAAAAAAACTCAAAAAACAAAAAAACAAAAATGTAAAACTGCAGCTCAGTGCATTGCTGCCAAGAGGAAATGCACAGAACTATGAAAACTTATAGAAGGATTTAATGCAGTCATGGAAGGCTTCCTAGAGACAGTGACCACTGAGTTGAAATATAAAGACTGAGTAGAGGCAAAGTAAGGGAGAAACCAGCATGTGCAAAAGCCCTGCTGCAGGAGGGCAACTGCAGGAAGCCAAAAGAGAGGGTAGAGGGTTACAATGATAACAGTGAGAAATGAGACAGGGAAGGTACACGGGGGCTAGGTCACTGGGTCGAGGGATTGTAGGTTATGATTAGGGGTCTGTCTTTACCCTACAGACAGTATAAAATCATTGCTGTGGTTTATCTGAGGGTGGGAAGATTAGAATGGCATACTCACATTTGGGTCTCAAAAAGATCACTTTGCTACAGTTTAAAAATATTATGGAAGGAAACAATGGCCCCTGCTGGATTCCACTGTCCTCTCACCCACATCCATTGAAGAGTGTTGCTATCTGCCTTTGGCATGCTGGTGCCAGGAACTGCCTCTTACTCTGCTCAGACCTTTCCTGCAAGCCACCATCCTGGCTGGCCCCCTTCACAACTGTAAGTATGTGGCTCTCTCTCACCCCTTCCATGGGCCCAGGCCTCTTAACCCCCTCACCTGGTTCCCCGGTACTGGGTAGAACCGCAGTCCTGAATTCCACTGGCAATGATCCTAAAACAAGATTGACATCAAGACTGCCACTGTCTCCTGGGATGGGTATTGATGGAGCAGTATAGCTGCTGTGATGAAGCCCTGTTGTTTTTGTCTTTTTAATACCCATGTCCCCTTTTCCAGCAATAACATGACTTCTTTACTGTGAGGTACTTCATACCTCACAGTCTATATGGTGTGGATCAAGGGGATCCCGCTCCCATGCTCTAAGGTGGTCTTTATTCCAGGTCCAGACAGAAAGACGGTGATTGGCTCAATGATTTACATGTGACCCACTGAGGGCCAATGAGAGTCAGCCGTGGGACTCTTGCTTGAAGCTATAGGAAAGGAGCTTTCTCTCCCACCAATATTCCCTGAGCATTAAGGCTATGGGCGCATGCTGGCCATGTCTGCAAATGAAGTTTACAGAGATGGAAGTACAGCTGAGAGATGCAGAGAAATAGAATTATGACCGCGCCATTTAATCACTTAGATCCAGCCACGCCAGATCCACCCTTAGGCTTCCCAGTTGCCAATCAATCCCCATCTTTGGTCTAAGCAAGTTAGGGCTGTGTTTGTTACTGGCAATGGAAAATAAAAATTCTGTCCTCATCTGGCCTCTTCTCATTGTCCTACAATTGCTGCCACCTACAATGTCTGGCCTGAGATGAAGCTAACAGGGTGGTGAATTAAGAGAGGCGGTTGAGCGGGGCTGGAAAGAACCGGATGTTTATGGCTCCAAAGACTGAAAATCTGGACAATGTTATCCTTGGGCCTTCAGCTACCACACCTCTGCCAAACACCTTGCACTATAATAAGAAGAGACAATCAGAGCCCCTGCTTCAAAAGTCTGGTTTTCCCCAAAGGTGCCAACCTTCAAGTTTTCCAAAGTCCTAGGCATGATGCCAGTAGATCATTCCAGATTTCATTTGAAAACTCCCAATTTTATCACCGTGAGTGTCTAAGAGAAACCATTACTTAGAAGCTTGCAGAAAGTACTGACCCAAGGAAAAAGGATTCCACCTCAAAATTCTTACCCTATTTAATGGAAGTCATTTTTAAGTTCAATCTTTTTTATTATGTTAGAAATCTCCATTTCCTAATACCAGAAACGTGTGTGTGTGTGTGTGTGTGTGTGTGTGTGTATGTGTGTGTGTGTGTTCCTTTAATAGCCAGGGTTTGCTTTGTCTTTCCTCAAATTCAAGTTCACCTGCTGTAACTTAGCTTTCCAACCCAACATCTTTTTCATCAGGAGCTGACAAGGCAAAAAAGCCCCTTCCTCTCAGAACAATGGCATGCCACCATGCTTTTGTAGTAACAAACACTGAAAAGTACTCAACTTCTCCTTTCCTTTCTCCTCAAGGAAATAACCATCGACTGACTAATACCGCCCCACTCCAAAGGCACACACATCATGTCATGCATTTGAGCTAAAGACCGTAATTCAACTGAAAGATTAGGAGGGAATATTGGAAAAGGATGGATTAGACATGGAATCTACAACCTATCAAGAAGGGAAAAGTGAGATCATACTCTCTTTTTGAACCAAAATACAAAAACAAAAACATGTGCAGTATATCATAGTTGAGAACTTGGTCTCTGGTATCATCGCCCAAATTCAAATGGCAGACTAGACCTAGAGCTGCACAGCCTTGGAAAGTCTACAAGCCTCAGTCCTCTCATCTGTCAAATGGGAGTATTATAGCTAGGTTAAATAATGCATGAAAAGTGCTTCACATATCCTTTACCTGGAATACAATAAACAGTAGATAAATACTGCTGCTACTATTAAGAAAGTAGGGCTGAGAGCCATAAAAAGTTACAAAGATGTGGAGTGACATGTCAGAATCTACAACGGAGATTTCTCCCACTAGACAATGTAGGATGCACGCATTGAGGCGTTCAATCCTTCAAGAGGAAAACCTTTTACTTGTTGTGTTTGCCCCGCAAGGTAGATCAGGGACAGCTATGGCACGATGCTCAAAAGAAGCCACACGTATACCTCAAGGCTTTGTCCAGATGGAGTTAACACGAGCCTTGGAGAGGTGGATTAAAAGAACAGAAATGTGTTCATCTGTGAAATTAAAAGTAGTACAGCATGACATACAGCATTATGTGTTGGGGTTGGTCAAAAGCAATAATTAGGCTGAGTATGACTCTGAACACACTCATCATCCCACAAAAGCAATTCTATTGAATGCAGGGAGCTGAGTGTCACGGGAGGGGACAACAGGAAAAAGTCCAGGTTGTAGGAGGAAACATGCTAGATGAGCTGAGGGCTGGTTGAGCCCCACCCTGTGGAAGGCCCCATGACAGTGTATCAGATTTTCTATTGCTGCCACAGCAAATTATCATCCCCTTAAAAAAACGTATCTAGTCACGACGGCACAGTTGCTGTGGGTTGGAAGTCCCAGGCAAAGAGTGGCTCAGGTGGGTTTCCTGTTTCAGGTCTCACAAGGCCACTCACAAGGTGTCAGCCAGCCTGGGCTCTTCTTTGGAGGCTCCAGGAAAGAATCTGCTGCCAAACCTATTCAGGTTATTGGCAGAATTCAGCTCCATGCAGTTGCAGAACTGAGGTCCCCGTTTTCCATGCTATTGTAGGTGGAAGGTCCCTATTTCCTTCTGGCTGTCAGAAAGAGCTAGTTCTTAGCTTCTGAGGGCCGCCCATATTTCTAGCCATGTGCCCCCTCCATCTTCAAAGCCAGTGGCAGTACGTGAAATCCTTCCCTGCTTGCAATCTCTCTGCCTACCCTCTGCCACATCTCTCCGATTCTCTTGTCCACCTTCCCCTTCTGCTTTGAAGGGCTCCTGTGAGAACTCTGATCCATGCTAATCACCCAGGATAACCTTCCTATTCTAAAGTCAGCTGATTAGTTACCTTAATTACATCTGCAAGGTCCCTTTTGTCATGTTACGTAACACCACCATAGGAGTAATGCCAACAGAGGAGATGTCGAGGGCCAAAGTTCTGCCTACCACCAGCCCCAAAAGTGGCTCCCCTGACATAGGGGCTGGAACTGCTGGAACCTCTTTTCGAGTGGGAACCCCCAAGTTTATGCTCTTCAGACAAGCAGGACCACAAGGCATCCAGAGGGATGAGGAGGCAGCAGGCATGAAGCAGAGCTGTCATGGGCACCTACCAATCAGGCAGCAGAGCTGTCTTGGGGTCTGGTGCCTTTCAGGAAACGGGAGGTTCTCAAAAGCAGAAATGCCGCAAGAGACAGACCTCTGGCTCACTCACAAGAAAATGGATTTTTCAGTCTAGCCACCCAGAAAAGATACAAGTTCTGAGATCTGTTAGGTGTGAGTGCTCTATGCAACATCAGGAAGACGCTCTGGAAACTTCTAAAAGGGAGACAAGAAGTTCTTTGGTGAGACAGCAACAGGGGTCCCAAACAGTGACAACAAATAAATAATAGCTAGTGGTGCCACTGTCTGTGGACCAACCTACCACCTGAGATCCAGGTCTTGAGCAAGTCTGCATTTCTAAATGTCCTGACAAACCACGGAGGCAGGTGTTACCTGTCTCATTCTGAGCAACTTAAGGTTCACAGAGGCTGAGTAAGGCAAGATGCTAGCAGCTGCACGGATGGAGTTGAACTCTCTCTGACGGCACAGGCTGCCTTCTTTCCTCTCCACCAGCCCTTCAGGCCTCCATCGTCCCACCCTTCCTCCCTCTGCCTTTGACTTCCTCTAGAATGTCCTTGGACCTCACATCTAAGAAATAATGATTTAATTACTGGTGTTTTTTTCAATGACATAATTAAATATCCACAGCAAGGTAAATCAACCTGAACCTGTTGGAAGGATGCTTACAAGCCACTCTGGGATATTTTATTTTGGAGCTTCTCCTATACATATTTTGGCTTTTATGCATCTAAAATTAGGTTTCCAATTTAGCCCCTGGAGGCAAGAGGTGAAAATGGTTATAAATAGCATCTAGGTGGCACATTCTTTTTGGCTTTTCTGAAGGGGCTAAGTGAGGGGACAAAGCAATTGCTTTATTGAACAATGCAAGCGATTATCCTCCGGCTTATTACGATCGGGGGTTATCTGACCACAGTGTGGCGTGGACAGACACCCCTGCCTTATCAAGGGCCATCCCTGAAAATCTGTAACAGACAGCTCATCAGAGGAAGAGCTTTCCAGCCGAAAGGCTCCCAGCCGACTCTGCATTCACTGAATTTGCCAGCCCTCCCCTGCAAGAAGAAGAGAGCGTTTCCTCACTCCTTTCATCTCAGTTAGCACTCAAAAGCAAGATGCACCTGCGCTGTAATAAATGCAGGGATACAGCTAAGGGGGGGAAGAGAAAAATAACAAATGCAGCTAGGGGCTTAAAAAATGGTGTTTGAAGCTAATGACAGCGTTCCTGCCTTTATTGCTTCAGGCAGAAACAGGGAGTTAAAAATCTAAGTGGCTTGAGAAAATATAACATTTAGCAAACTCATTTGCAGGCCTCCAGTTGGATTATCCTAATTTATTTCATTGTTATGGGGTTTTCTCTTTTGGGTACTTTTTTGATCTATTTTTAATGGAAGACTAATGTGCATTCCTTTTTCCCCCTCTTTTTTTTTTTTCCACAGGGATTTATTGAGCAGTAAGGCTTTTTTTTAAAAAAAGAAACTTTCTTTTTTAACTTACTCCTTTACGGAGGCAGAGACAAGACTGAGGGGGAACAAAGTCCCTCTTCACAATCCATTTAATGCCTGCGTGCGATACCAACTCCTAAAGCTTTATTTCATCTCAATCTTCCAGGAAGGGAAACTATCCTACTGACTCTGAGAAGGTCATCGTGTGATGTCCTCTTGTCCTTGCCACGGCCATTCTTACACCGTGACGCCCTCTTGTCCTTGCTACCGCAGTTCTTACGCCAGAATCTTGTCTTGCACTGAGCTCCCCCGGGGGCTCACTGCCAATTCTGTGGACCACTGCATCCATATGGCCCGCATGACTCTCAACGCTCTGAAAAACAGACGCACCACACAGTTTTCCAGGCCTGCAACATGTCTGCAGAGTGGAGACATGCCATCACTGCATCTCTCCTGTGCCCTAGGATGAAGACAGAAAGAAACTCTGTCTTCCAGGGTGAACTCTGATGTTTCTTCATTGTGTAAATAAGCGGAAAGACTGGTTTGGTCATTTTGTGTGCATCTAGAAACTTCTTGACTATTTCTTTGAAACAGAAAGAGGCCAGGCACGGTGGCTCACACCTTTAATCCTAGCACTCTGGGAGGCCGACGTGAGCAGATCAACTCAGGTCAGGAGTTCAAGACCAGCCTGGCCAACATGGTGAAACCCCGTCTCTACTAAAAATACAAAAAATTAGCTGGGCATGGTGGCGCATCCCTGTAATCCCAGCTACTTGGGAGACTGAGACAGGAGAATCACTGGAGCCGGGAGTTGGAGGCTGCAGTGAGCCGAGATTGCACTGCTGTACTCCATCCTGGGCGACAGAGCAAGACTCAGTCTCGAAAACAAAAACAAAAGAAACAACAAACACAGAAAGAGAAAATAGGCAGAGGTGTCTCGGCATTCTTGTAGGGGGAATTAAAGTAAAATTAACTGGAGGAATTTCCTGAACAACCACCTTATTTAAGAAAGTCCAGTAGATCGTGGTATGTTTCTAGAGCACAGCTTCATTGCGAAGTGCTATGCAGATCAGCGGCTCTTTTGGGTTGCCCGGCAAGCCTGTGAGGAAGGCAGGACAGGTGATTATTAGCCTGAAGAGACGGATGAGAAAATGACTACGTGGTGAGATGAACTGACATGTTCAAGGTCACAAGGGCAGTTAAAGGAAGAGCCAGGACTGGCTCCTTATCCAGTGACTACGAGATGAAGTTCCCTCCATGCTCAACCCATACGAACTAAAGACAGCTTCTGTCTACCAAGAACATAATACACATACCAGATGAGCCCTAAATAAAAACAATTTGCAGGAACCTGGAAAGAAATGAATGAAGCAAGACAATGCAGGGGAGAAAGGGGGGCATACAAGGAAAGTCAAAGAAAAAAAGATGCCAACTTAAAAAAAAATCCTTAGAAATAAAACCAGTAGTCAGATCAAGCAGCGAACATAAGCCAACAAACCAAAAGAGAGAAAAAACCAAAAGACTAAAAGGCCAGCATATTTTGGCAGAAGTGGCCGGGTATATAAACAGTAACAGAAGAGATTTACAAAAATTGGTCAAAACAAAACAAACCCCAAAACTTTTTTAGTTACAGTACAGACTTTCAAACCTGATTTTGATCTTTTTGATACAGAGACTTTAGATGCATTAAAACTAAGGGTGGATTTCACAATTATAAAGACAAGTAGCCTTCTTATTGTAAAGTTTGAGATTATACATTTAAGAAGATCAATCAAATCAAATTGCTCAACTCAAATCGTGCTTGATATTCCATGGAAACTGAAAGAAGAACTGGTGCCACTGTTATTTGGTTTTCATTTGTTCTACATATACAGGCAAAGCTTTTTCTTTCTTTTTCTTTTTCTTTTTTTGACACAGGGTGTCACTCTGTCACCCAGGGTGGACTCCAGAGGTGCGGTCTCGGCTCACTGTAGCCTTGATATCCCAGGCTCCAGCAATCCCCTTACCTCAGCCTCCCAAGTACCTGCGACTACAGGTGTACGCCACCATGCCCAGCTAATGTTCTATATTTTTTGTAGAGATGGGGTTTCACCATGTTGCTCAGGCTGGTCTTGAACTCCTGATCTCAAGTGATCTCCCTGCCTCGGCCTCTGAAAGTGCTGGGATTACAGGTGTGAGCCACTGTGCCTGGCCTTTAGGAAAAGTTTTTCAATTAGAATCTCCCTTCTGTGTTCTGGACCCAGGTGAATTACCAGGGAAGCAGCTATGTGGGAATGTCAAGGAACCTCTCCAATTTCACTTACAGGGCCATGCTCACTTACTTAGATGGGCTAAGGATCAGTGTCATAAGCAGCAGTGCAGTCCTAGGAGGTCTCAAGTTGGCTTTTGCAGGATATTGTGACTTGCATTCCCCACATGCTCGAATCTCCGCAAAAGCAATTGGATGGGTGACCCGCCATTCATTCCAAAGATCCCAGTATGATCTTTGGGAAAGAGTCACTCAATTCAGAGTGCTTACATAGATGTGTACGAAACTCAAGACCACAGCTTGATTCGATACAGCAAGACAAATCAAATATAAATGTTGTTGTATCTTGAGGACCAGTTTTTGTCAGAGAAGATGTTCAGAGTATCATATTGTGATATTTGCCCCCATCACCTGTTTATAATTTGACTCCATTCAACTGATGCAACAAACGTGTCTTGAGCACCTTGAAGATAAGACAGCTCCTATCTTCAAGGAGTTCACAGCATGGTACATAAAACAGACATATAATTCCAATTCAATGTGGTAGAGGCTGAAAGATGTAGATGCTGATAAAGTAGGGGAGAGTTACAATTATGAGAGTCAACTTTTATCTGGAAAGGGAGGGTAGAAGAGATTATCCAGAAGGATGGGATGTGTTGTGCTGAGTCTTGAAAGACAAAAATCAATCAACAACAATCTTATCATAGGCTCAGACAATACCACAGCAAAAAACCCCCAAACAAACAAACAAACAAAACCCAGGAGGAATTCTCAGAAATCAATACGTCCTTGATTTTGTGTTTTTGTTTATTTGTTTTTCTTCAAACGTCCTTTCCTTGATGAGCTTCTAAAATATCTGGTGAAGGACCTGAAAATGAACTCTTCTGACAACAGAAAACCAGGCAATGGAGGCCTTGGGTAGCAGGAATGATGGGTTCCTGTGGCTGCTGCTTCATCTCAGGGACCACATACCACACTTCCAGAAGCTGTGCTCTTTCGGGACATCGGGGAGCCATTTAGTCCACCAAACAGTGATGTGCGGTGGGAAAGATTTCCCCTTCAAATTGTGGGATCCAGAAGGAGTTGCAGGAAGCTTAATGGTCTTGGCAGGGCTACCTTTTACTGCTGGTCCCATCCCTGCAATCGCACACCCTGCTACTTTTCCAGTGTCCTACACTCTTCTGGATTTTTTCAGCTGCGTCCAGGCCATTGACGGGGCCACACAGAGTGGAGCCATCGCCCTCTATTTTGTTTGTTTCCCAGGACTGATCAATGGTGATGTGTCAGAAACTGCAAGAGCAAGGCTGCTCTGATAAAGCTCGATAACCCCATGGCTTGGAAGATCTGATAACTCAGCTGCTCTGCAAGTTTATGTGCCTGGGTCCTCCCTGTTTCTCCCTCTAGGAGTTCTCCAGGTCTGGATGGGTTATCTGGCCTGGGGGAGTGGCGATGCAGTCGGAGGAGATGAACAGTTAGTGAATAAGAGTGTAATCTTGAATGCCAAAGGGTTTGGATCTCGGGTTGCTTTTTACTCGTTTAGCGTACCTCATTCTCCTTATCCAGGAAATGGGCACAATAACGCCTGCCTCCCGGGATCTTTTTTAAGATTAAACAGAAAAAGGAAGAGGTTATTTGTAAAGTGCAAAATGAAATGTACATCATATAGAAAGCACTCAAATGACAACTATTATTTAAGAACCCACCATGTGTTGCCACCTTGATTCGCTGTCTAGCTAAAACTTTATAGCAATTTAAAATAGTTGCCGTCATTGCCCTTATTTAACAAAACAGGAAGCAGAAGCAGGAGAGATAAGCAAAAATAAACGCAGAAAGGCAGGCTTTCATTCAAAGTTGATCTGATACAAATCCAAGACTGCTGCATTATTTACTTGCAAATGAATATCTTATTTCCTTGAGAGAGAGGAGGGGATGGGCAGTCAGCAAAGAAGCAAAGAACATCTCTTTCTAAAGAGCTGTCTTTGACCTAGGACCTGAGCCACGGGATTTGGAATTCATCCCTTCCGGGAAACCAGAGAGAAGTGCATGAACGGATTTCTCAATTTCTTGCTCATGTTTGCCTGCACAATGATGTCTCAAAATATTTCTCCCCTATGTCTTGCGATGACCATCAAGTTCAGTTAGTTAAGTTCAAGGTCCTCATTAGTGCTCATTCCATTCCATTTTCTCTTCATGCCACGTGTGAAAAGTATGTCTCAAACTTTCTGAGATGAAGTACCTTTAAAATGTAACGCTCTCCTTGATTGTCTGAAATAATGTATTCTGGTGGGTTTTTATTAATTCCTTGCTTTACCCCCATCCCACTGCCCAGAGAGCTACGGGAATCAATTTTTCTTCTGTCTTCTTCTTATGATTATTTGGGGCAACAGACTTATCTTCAAACTGCTGTCATACATTTTTACAGTGTGTCCTCAAAACTGCTCCCGAGAGTGCAAAAGAGAGTATCAAATATGCAAGGGGTAGGCTGCGCTAGAGGTTCTTGACTTTTCAATCAGCTTGATGACTTTTAACCCCTTACAAATGAAGAAAAATTCTTCAAGATGGCTTGGCAGCACGAGGAACAACTAGAATTATTTAAGAAGCCTACTACTTTAAAGGGAATTGACTATACCAAACTCTTTAACTATGTCAAGAACACACAAAGACGCACCCACTCTGCTTCTCCATACCAATCACATCCAAGCTACTAGAAAAGGAGGGCGCTTCCGTGTTAGAATCACAGTCATACGTAATTTGAACTTGGGCATACTAAAGAGTAACTACCTATCAGCGGCTAGACCAGGCGAGGTAGAGAGTGGGAAAGAAATGCTCGCCAATACTTCCACCCACTTTATTTCCCAATGACCCACATTCATCTACATTTTCCTACGGAATACAGCACAATGTTTACAGTAAAAAATAAAACCAAAGAACTTAATCAGCGCCGTAATTAAATTAAGGCCTAAATAAGTGGGCAAAAAGAACCACCATGATTACAAAAAAAGAAAAAATAGTAGTAAAAGCACAATCCTTGACTTACATGAAGTACTTCTTTTATTTGATTATGATACCTTTTTTAAAAATATAATTTCATTGTAAGGCGATTAACTGCCTTTTCAAACCTGGGAAAGGAAACCTGAGAATTTCTTCTTTCCTGTGAGTAGGGGGGATGCAAATACAATGTACTGCAGGAATAACAAATGCTCTATTTTCTGAGCACTCTCCTATGATTTATGAAAGGTGTACCTCACTGTGGGAAGATAATGCCATTTGAAATGGTCCATTTCATAACTCTATCCCCCCGTCCCCAGCTTCATACAGGACTACTATGAACTCCTGAATCCAATAATGTTTTCACCCTCTACTGACAAAAAAAAAAAAAGGACTTTGTTCGGAGGAAGGTAATGATGCGCTTACGAGGAGCAACGGCTAACGCTCTGTCTCCAGGGCTTTCTTTGGCAATGGCCACGGAGCTTCCAAGGCGGGGAAACTTGGATAAACAAAATGAAGAAATAATCAACATGCGCGACATCCCTAATGTCCTTTTACTGCTAGTGGCATTAATTATAGCACGGGCCCAATCCTCCAAGCGACCGCAGAACCAAATGTTTTGCCTGAACACGCTCTCCACTACATGATAGATTTATCCTTTGCAACTGGGATATTTCCTATTCATTCATGCACCAGTTCAGTATATCTGCTTGTTAATCTAACTGCAAGAACGCTTTCTAGAAGAGGATTCTTTGCAAGATGTGAGGCAATCAGGGACCAATCATAAACTTCAGTGAAATTCATGGCTGTGAGTCTTTCTGGTCATAACAAGGGAAAAGTGATATATACATCCCAACACCATGCAGGTTCCAGAAGACCCTTATGAAATATGAGTGGGATGGGGTGGGGGGGCAGAAGAAAATTCCTTGGGATCCAAGCAAATGGACAGCATAGACATGAAGAGTGACTGAAAATACATGATCGATACAACTTATTAGAATGAAGCTGTACATTACACCGGGATCAACCTCTTCTCTTGAAAGACTCTAAGGACCAGGATAAGAGGACAATAAGATAACAAACAGGGACTTGACGTCATGAATACTGAAAGGGAAAAAAAAAGTAACCCCGCTGGGTAGATATGCTTTGTGGTCATTCAAAAGGAAAAAAAAAAAAAAAGTTAACCTAAGAAAAGAAAGAAAGACATATGTGCACATGCCTGTTTAGGGATATTTTAACTTCTGTGGAGATTAGAGCATTTGAGAAAACCTATATACCCCCACTCAGGTACTAATGGATTAAGAAGCAGATGGAACACGGGATGTCGATGGAAATGATGTAAAAATGTGACTTCGAAAGAACTCCTAACACCGGATACTCCTCCTGATTCTGGAATTTGCATATTTTGACTTGTATCTAAAAAGCAATTTCAAGGTCAGCTTTGGTAGAGAAACACTGAGCTAAGATGGGAAGTAACCCCATTAAAAATCTACCACTGTTTTGCATATTTATTTTTCTTCTTCTATAGCGAGCAATGACGACTCATAAATCAAAAAATCAGGGTAAACAAATACCACAGAGGTTATTTAATACAAAATATATACTCCGTATTCTATTTCTACACACAAACATTTCTGTTACTCGAATTTATAATGTGTGTAATACAGCATTCATGCTTTAAGAATCTGCATACATTTGCCTAAAGTAGAAAAAATATATTATTGTCCCAAGTCTCGGAAGACCCTGGCCCAAATAAAATGATGACCACCTCAAATGCATTTTTGTATAATGGGATGAAAGTAACGTTTATTTTTAGAAGCTTCAGGCCTGCAGTTTTTGTATGCATATAAAAATAGATTTAAAATTTCCAGTTATGTAGTTTATGGTCTAACCATGAATATTCTATCTGGGTGGGGGCAGTCGAATTGGGTAAACTTGGGCCTTCAACTTGAGCAAAAGCATGTACAAATGTCAAAAACAACGTCCACACGTCTATGCCAAAAAGATCGCCAGACCTATGTCACCTTGATGAAGGATGACGGAAGGGAGGCAGGCTAAAAGGGGAAGTGGAATTTGGAGAACTGAAGTTGTCATTAAAAGGGGCTGGGTTACCCAGAAATGGGGATTTTTCCCAGTAGACTTGGGTACCTACAAAGCCCAAACACTTTCATGTTTCAGGGAACTTCCTTTTGATAATTTTTAATAATTCGATATTTGATCATTGAATAATTTGACCATGTGATAAAATGGCATTCTAAGCCATTTCAGTAGCCATATACAAAAATCAGCCCTCTTTATTTGCCACTTTTGCCAAAAATAAATCTCCTGCTTTATTCATCAGACTAGACTTGAAACAAACTTTTGGCCATTTCTCAAAAAATTAAGTCCACCCTTAAAGGATACATATTTGCCACTGGTGAGCTAATGCCAAAGAAAGAACCAAGAATCAAAAGTAATGCACAAAAAGAAAATTCTAAAAAGTATCCCAGCAATTGTAGAGTCATTGGGCATCATCTGTAAGGGACACACATTACTGAGGATGGCAAACACACCATCCAGGTAGCAGCCTCTCTAGACCAGGTACTGCCTTTCATCCATCTTTAAAGCCCAACACCCAATTCTGTGTCTAGCAGACAGAAGATGCTCCATGAATATACGTTGATGATTATATAAACTGTTCTGGGAGGCATCTGTAATAGCAACATGGACGTGACTTCGAGCCCAAGTCAATGGGCAGAAAATCCAGCGGGGCCACTGTCCTGTCTAAAGCCCTCCTGTGGCTACCCACTCCATTTAGAAATTCCATTTCTTTTTCAAACCTTGGGCTGAAAGGCCACAAAACCTTTCCATCCACATCAGATTTCAATCTAAACCATGTCATTACACTTCATATTCTACCTTTGTATTTTTCAGTTGTGCTAAGCCAGCATTCCCCCTGACTGGGCCTCCCACTCTCCAGTACCCACGTGGCTGGCCCTGGCAGCTCAGCCTTCAGTTTCCTTAAAGACTTTTCTGACTTTCCTGAAATTAGACTGCTCTCCTCGCCAGCCCCTCTCTATCACTTTATCTGGTATAATGGGCCATACCTCACTTCTCTCCTGTATCTTGCTCACTCATTCATTCACTGACTATATGGCTGCACTAGAACAAAGACACTTAGTCTGCCTTCATTGCTATCTCCCCATTAGTTAGTACACAGTAAATGCATAATAAATCCCTGTGGAATAAATGAACAAATGAATGAATAAACTAAAATGCCCAGAGACGACTCTTAATATTTGCCGTATTTAACAAAAACCCACTGTTGCCAGTTGCTAATACCGACGGGACAGGTCAACTCAAACAGGCCCACCGAGACAGCAGCAGGAGATAGAAAACTCATGAAACAGAGCCCTTGCCTTTGAGGGTTTCACTGTCTCACACAAAGGTCCTCAAGCTCTCTGTGTCTGGGCCTCTGCACTTGATAAATATCACCATCCCAGGAAACACTGTCAGTGGTATACACGGGTTCCAACTTGGAGGCCAAGCTCTGAAGGATGGTCCACACCCTAGTTGGAAAAGGTAGGGTCTGGGCAACACTGATCTACTTCCTGTCTTTCCCCACCTCACCTCTAGTTCACGTCCAGGTGTGTGGAAGTCCTGCCTTCATGTATTTCACACTCCTCTCAAAACAGCCATCCTGTGTCTTTCCCAGAGGCCAGGAAGGTCCTGACATTCAGCGCCAGATGTGAGGAGATGAAAAATAAAATCACAGGGTCTGAGTGGTGATCTTAGCCCTGCTGCTGGCTGCCCAGACTTGGGAAAGTGACCTATCTCCCCATAGGACGGTGAGGACAGCAATACCTTAGGCAAGGACTTTGAGAACTAAGTCAGATGAGGAATAAGAAAACACTGAACACAGACCTTGGCACATTAAAAAGTTCTATAGCCACACATGGTGGCACACACCTGTAATCCCAACACTTTGGGAGAGAGAAGCAGGTAGATTGCTTGACCTCAGGAGTTCCAGACCAGCCTGGCCAACATAGTAAAAACAGACCTCTATTTAAAAAGAAACAAAAGTTAGCCAGGCATGGTGGCATGTGCCTGTAGTCCCAGCTACTCAGGAGGCTGAGGCAGGAGAATCGCTTCAACCCAGGAGGCGGAGGTTGCAGTAAGCCGAGGTCATGCCACTACACTCCAGCCTGGGAGACAGAGTGAGACCTTGTCTCATAAATAAATAAATAAATAAATAAATAAATAAATAAATAAAGCTCTATAGCTGGGCACGGTGGCAGATGCCTGTAATCGCAGCACTTTGGGAAGCCAAGCAAGGCAGATCACTTGAACTCAGGAGTTTGAGACCAGCCTGGGCAACACAGTGAAACCCCATCGCTATTAAAAAAAAAAAAAAAAAAAAAAAAAAGTTAATACAAATACAAAGTTCTCTAAAGGTATGTTTAGCACCTCCATAATTTACATAACCATAGAAAACACATACTCAAAGAAAAAGGATGTCTTTGTTAATGCATAATCTGACACCTGTATCAAATTAGCATAATTAAAGATGCAGGTGTATTGGAGAATCAGGGTAAACAGTTGCTTGTATTATTTGGGTCACTTTCAGGTAAATTTGAAATACTATTAAAAGTTGAAAGTTTTCTCTTCTGCTCTGCTCCCCTCTCCAAAAATCCATATGTATGTTCCTCTTGATGGAAATTTGATATATCAACATTTTTTTAAATCTAGGAATTGGAATGATTGCTGAGAAGGAATTACTGAGAAGCTATTTTGAAGTTCCAGTAGTTTAAACCTATATTTCCACTTAATTTTCCAGGACCAGGTTTAGTACATATTGTACCAAACAGTATATGACCGTATTCCCAAATCCAAATGGATTACTAATGGATTAATATGCTTTAAAAAGCATCTTTACAAGATTTAACCATGAAAAACTCCTTGCTTCTCTTGGCTTCCATTTAGCAGGTGACACCCTGTAATACTTCAAGTTAAAGAGTTACAGAAGCCTGGAATTTTATGTGAGCCTGACAGCGATGGATTAAAACCATACTCTAGACATACTTCAAACGGTAGCACTGACTTTTTTTTTACTTAACTCATAGTTGATCCACTGGAGCCATTTTCTGGAAACTGTGATTGCTGAGCTGTTGTCAGAAATCTCTCCTTACCTAGGGTACGTTGCTTTCCAAACCAAGAGGAAAAAGTACAATCAAGACATGTTCCAAAACCCATCCAGCCTGTGGACCTTGCCCAGGGTGTACCAGCCAGAAATTTGAGACGTCCTGGAATTCTGAAATTCTTACCAGAAAGCAGCTTAACTTTACCACTGGCATGAGTTTTAATAGGTTGCCTCAGCTGCTTGCTAGCAAGCACTTATGTACCTATTTATTCACTGAGTAGCTAAGCCTACAGAGAAAAGAGCTCTAGAGAGTAAGAAGTCTTACCCATCCTGGGGAGATCATGCAAAGCTTGGGTTAGTTTTGGGGTCTTCAAAAGGTTCAGAGTCATTCCAGATAAGTCCAGGGAAAACTCGCTTGGGATGGACCACTTGGGACGCAGCCATCTTAAGCTCTGTCCAAGGGTTGAAGGCCCAGGTCAAAGGTACAGAGGGCATACACAGCAAATACCAAAAGTCAACCATTAAACTCACTGCCTTTGCCTATTGCATCTTCTCATCTTGCCTTCTCTATTTCTGTCCATGGACCACCATTCTCCGGTTCCCAGACCAAAACTCATCATTACCTCCTTCTTTCCTTTCAATCACAACCAATTACTTACCCTCCCAACTTATGGCCAGTCTCCACTCTTTCACTCCTACTCTCCAAACCCACTGTGTTGGCAGAACTTCAGCATCCAGCAACTAAAATCCCATCACACCCTTCCAACTTTTTTTTTGGAACCTAGCTGCTGCTGCTGCTGCTTATTTTATTTTATTTTATTTTGAGACAGGGTCTCACTCTGTCACCCAGGCCGAAGTGCAGTGGTGTGATGTGAGCTCACTGCAGCCTCTACCACCTGAGCTGAAGTGATCCTCCCACTTCAGCCTCCCAAGTAGCTGGGGTACAGGCAGGTGCCATCACGCCCAGCTAATTTTTTTTTTTATACTTTAAGTTCTAGGGTACATGTGCACAATGTGCAGCTTTGTTACATAAGTATACATGTGCCATGTCGGTGTGCTGCACCCATTAACTCGTCATTTACATTAGATATATCTCCTAATGCTATCCTTCTCCCCTCCCCCCAGCCCACGACAGGCCCCGGTGTGTGATGTTCCCCTTCCTGTGTCCAAGTGTTCTCATTGTTCAATTCCCACCTATTAGTGAGAACATGCAGTGTTTGGTTTTTTTGTCCTTGTGATAGTTTGCTGAGAATGATGGTTTCCAGCTTCATCCATGTCCCTACAAGAGACATGAACTCATCCTTTTTTTATGGCTGTGTAGTATTCCATGGTGTATATGTGCCACATTTTCTTAATCCAGTCTATCATTGATGAACATCTGAGTTGGTTCCAAGTCTTTGCTATTGTGAATAGTGCCGCAATAAACATACATGTGCATGTGTCTTTATAGCAGCATGATATATAATCCTTTGGGTATATACCCAGTAATGGGATGGCTGGGTCAAATGGTATTTCTAGTTCTAGATCCTTGAGGAATCGCCACAATGTCTTCCACAATGGTTGAACTGGTTTACAGTCCCACCAACAGTGTAAAAGTGTTCCTATTTCTCTACATCCTCTCCAGGACCTGTTTTTTCCTGACTTTTTAATGATCACCATTCTAACTGGTGTGAGATGGTATCTCATTGTGGTTTTGATTTGCATGTCTCTGAGGGCCAGTGATGATGAGCATTTTTTCATGTGTCTGTTGGCTGCATAAATGTCTTCTTTTGAAAAGTGTCTAATGTTTGTATTCTTTGTAGAGATGGGGTTTCACCATGTTGCTCAGGCTGGTCTCAAACTCCTGGGCTCAAGTGATGCACCCGCCTTGGCCTCCCAAAGTGCTGCGATTATAGATGCGAGCCACCATGCCCAGTCTGCTTCTTCTCTTTTAACATCTGCTCTCTATAGGCCTGCATTTAAATCTCTCAGGAACACATTTTTTATCATGTCATTGTCCTTTTAAATCTGCTGTGGCCCCACTGTCAAATAAGAGTTTAAATGCTGGGTTCTGGCACTGAAGATCCTGAAGATCCTCCACAAAGACCCCACATTAGCAAGGCCTGCGTGGTGGTGGGTCATAGGGGAAGAGGGTAGGGTAAAAACAGATGCTAGCTTCTAATCATGTTCTCTGTAAGTTTCTTGGTTTGGTAAGTTGTGTTTCTTTTTTTTTTTTTTTTTTTTTTTGATACAGGGTTTCGCACTGTTGCCCAGGCTGCAGTGCAGTGGCGTGATCACAGTTCACTGCAGCCTTGACCTCCTGGACTCAAGTGATCCTCCTGCTTTAGCCTTCCAAGTAGCTAGGACTACAGGTATGCACCACCACACCTGGCTAAGTTTCTTCTTTTTTTTTTTTTTGAGACGGAGACTTGCTCTGTCGCCCAGGCTAGAGTGCAGTGGTGCGATCTCGGCTCACTGCAAGATCCGCCTCCTGGGTTCACGCCATTCTCCTGCCTCAGCCTCCCGAGTAGCTGGGATTACAGGGATGTGCCACCATGTCAGGCTAATTTCTTTTTCTATTTTTAGTAGAGACGGGGTTTCACCACGTTAGCCAGGATGGTCTCCATCTCCTGACCTTGTGATCTGCCCACCTAGGCCTCCGAAAGTGCTGGGATTACCAGCATGAGCCACCGTGCCCGGCCCCGGCTAAGTTTCTTTAAATTTTTTTGAGAGACGGTGTCTCTATGTGTTGCCTCGGCTAGCCCCAAACTCCTGGCCTCAAGTAATTCTCCCACCTTGGCCTCCCAAAGCACTGGGATTACAGGTGCGAGCCACTTCACCCAGCTATAGTTATGTTTTGATATGGTTTAGCTGTGTCCCCACCCAAATCTCATGTTGAATTGCAACTTGTAACTCCCACAATTCCCAAATGTCGTGGGAGGAAGCTGGTGGGAGGTAATTGAATTACGGGTGCAGGATTTTCCCATGCTGTTCTCGTGATAGTGAATAAGTCTCACGAGATCAGATAGTTTTAAAAAACAGGAGTTTCCCTACACAAGCTCTCCTCTCTTGTCTGCCCCCGTAATTGTGAGGCCTCCCCAGCCACATGGAACTGTAAGTCCAATAAACTTCTTTCTTTTGTAAATTGCCCAGTCTCGGGTATGTCTTTATCAGCAGCATGAAAATGGGCTAATTCATGTCTTAAAGGAGCAGTTCACACTGGCTCCTCCGACGTATCCTAACCTAACCTATTCCACCACCTTGGTCTTCAGAACTGTTATGTCAACATCTTGACTTTTTTTGTTTGTTTGTTTCTTGAGACGGAGTCTCCCTCTGTTGCCCAGGCCAGAGTACAGTGGCACAATCTTGGCTCAACATAACCTCAGCCTCCTGGGTTCGAGCAGTTCTCCTGCCTCAGCCTCCTGAGTAGCTGGGACTACATGCATGTGACACCATGCTCAGCTAATTTTTGTATTTTTAGTAGACACTGGGTTTTGCCAAGTTGGTCAGGCTGGTCTCGAACTCCTGACCTTAGGTGATCCACCCGCCTTGGCCTGCCAAAGTGCTGGGATTACAGGCGTGAGCCACCACGCCAGGCCAACATCTTGCCTTTTAAAAAAGTGTTCAAAGAGTCTCCTATGGGAGATGGTGCTCAGGGGTAGCAACTGATGCTTTCGATTTGCAAGCCTTGCTCCCCCAGTCCAGCCCTCTGTCTCATAGAAACTCTTAACTCAGAGTCTGGGTGAGTCTAATTCCCAAGGTATGGACAGGACGTGGTCTATTGATTCAACACTGATGTTTCAACCAGAGGGCAGGCAGCAAGGTTCAACCTGGACTATGTTCTCCTCCTAAGTGACTTTATGGAACTTAAATCTGTCTTCCAGACAAGGGTGCTGGGCCAGATGACCTCCAAATGCCTCCTTGCTCCTCACCTTGTCTGTTTGTTCTACAGGAGGGGCTTGGGACCAGCCTGAGTCATCTCTCTTCTGGGAAGGTCCCTCCCTACCACTTCCCAGGCCCTGAGCAATGGGCCAGCTCTCTGTGATGTGGATATAGTCTGTTTTAACTCCACCAGGTCCTCCCATGGGGGGAATTCACCCCAGAGGCCGCAGCTGCAGGCTTCTCTTTCAGGGAGGTCAGCAATTCCAGCGCTTGGTCGGCACCTCTTGAAAACGGTGCCAGGAACATTTCGAGGACAGCATTTTCCTTGGCAGGTGTGCCTGCCGGCAGGGCCCACTTCAAGGTTTGCAAGAGCAGGAAAAAGACATCTGGGATCTATCTGTGGCTGTCGGTGTGCACATTTTGAGGGGCAAAGTGAAAAAGAACTCTCTGACGCAGCATGTTCTTATCCAGGCATAGGCTGTCTATACAAAGAAAAACACCAGGGTGGAAAAACGGCCTGAGGGGCACCTGGAATTGTCTCAAGGACTGCGTTAGGTCACTGCCTGGTCAGTACAAGAAGCACTTCTCTGTTTGCGGACAGGACCAGATACCTTCATCCCTTCTGAAGAATTGGATACAATACTTTATGAGGAGCTTAGAAAAAGAGCTACCCCTCCATGTTCGAAGGACTGGGAGTCAAGCCCCTCAGACGTACCAGCAATTCAAGTGGTGTATTAGTTTGTTCTCATGCTGCTAATAAAGACATACCTGAGACTGAGTAATTTATAAAGGAAAGAGGTTTAACGGACTCACAGTTCCACATGGCTGGGAAAGTCTCACAATCACGGCAGAAGGCCAATGTGGAGCAAACACATGTCTTAAATGGCAGCAGGCAAGAGAGTTTGTGCAGGGGAACTGCCCTTTATAAAACCATCAGATCTCATGGGACTTATTCACTATCATAACAACAGCATGGGAAAGACCCACCCCCATGATCCAATTACCTCCCACGATTCAAATCCCTCCCATGTGGCGTGGGGATTATGGGAGCTAAAGTTCAAGATGAGACTTGGGTGGAGACACAGCTAAACCATATCAAGTGGGTACTGCTAACCTGGAATTGCCTTCAAACTTCTGCCCAAGTGTCTTGTCCTCTGTGAACAGTTGGAAAATACTAAACACTTGTCCCTCTGTATTCCAGGCAGATCTGTAGATGACTCCATGACTGCATATTCTGCACTATATTTTACCTAATTACTTTTATATGTGCCTCCTCTATTAGACTATAGGTTTCTCAAGGTCAAGGATCATGTACTCATTGCCTTTGTATCCTCACCTTTCTCCTTCAAGCACATGCCCAGCAATCCTTGCTGAGCTGAACTGGCCCAGCCCAGCAAAATCTGCTGACTATGCAGAGTTGTATATTTCATTTCCAGCTCAAACTTTTATGTGCTGAGGACTTCCCATTCTCCCTCCATCATTCTTCCGTCCTGTTCATTTCCTTAGCAGGGCAGGTACCCTCTCAGCCTTTCAGTCTCCAAAGAGAAGAAGACCTTCTTTGACTACCGTTCAGATTGGGAGTTTCTCTTACCATTCCTAGAGCATGCTGACCTGCGTTCCCATTATCCCTCCCCACACAGCATCTCCAGGGTCTTGTCAGTTTTCCACTATTCCTGAGTGTGGTAACTGTCTACGGATGTGCGTATAGCTCTGTTTTCGTAAGCTCCTTAAGGACAATGATAGGACCTTTTATTTTGCTTTCACTAAAATCTATTAAATTCTTATTTACCATATGCTCATCACTAAGTAAAACATTTCATGTGCATTTCTCATGTGATACTCACATCAGGTGTAGGAGATAGATATTGCTATCCCCATCTTATGGATGAGGAAACTGAGGCTGCTAGTGACATGTCCAGGTTCATAAGGGTACTAGTTAGTGATAGGACCTGGGAACGAACCCAGAACTAATTGACCACAAAGCCCATGTTACATTTAACTGTCATTCTCCTTGTCTTTGTCACCTCAGTGCCTTGCATAGCGACTGACCTATGAACAGCGGGTACTCAGCAAATATGTGTGATGGAAGCATCACAGGTGCCGTGGAACCTTGCCAGGACTTTTCAGTGAGTTCTTCTGCTCAACTTTACTCACTCATTTTTTCATTCTGCTCTTTGTCCTTGATACATTTACTCAATAGGATTAACTGCAATTAACAGGAAACCCAAATAATGGTGCCTTCAAACTGAGTGAAGTTTGTTTAAAAAAAAAAAAAAAAGTCCTTGCCTGGTGCAGCAGCCTATGCCTGTGATCCCAGCACTTTGGGAGGCTGAGGCTGGCGGATCACTTGAGGCTAGGAGTTCAAGACCAGCCTGGGCAACATGGTGAAACCCCGTCTCTACAGAAAAAAAAAAAAAAAAAAAAATTAGCTAGCTGGGTGTGGTGGTGCACACCTGTAGTCCCAGCTACTCAGGAGGCTAAGGTGTGAGGATCGCCTGAGCCCAGGAGGTTGAGGCTGCAGTGAGCCATGAATGTGCCACTGCACTCCAGTCTGGGTGTGGAGGAGACCCTGTCTGAAAAAAAAAATAAAAAAAGAAAGAGAGAAAGGAAGGAAGGAAGGAAGGAAGGAAGGAAGGAAGGAAGGAAGGAAGAAAGGTCCTGAAATAATCCACCCCAGGCTCTGGGGTATGGTGTAATTTTCAGGACCCAAGTTCCTCCCATTTCCATTCACAATATTGTTTCTCTGCCAGACCCCACATCCCAGACGGCAGGAAGGGAAGGAGGAGTGTGAAGAAGGCAAGAAGCTATGCTTCCCCTAAGGACACGCCCAAGAAGTCCATGTGGGACTTCCCTGCCACCCCATTCGCTAGAACTGGGTCACATGGTCACACGGTCACAGAGAGCTAGCTGCAAGGGCAGTTAGCACAGGGAATTTTTATCCTGAACTACCGTGTACCTCTTAGAAAATTCTGCTTCTAAGAAAGAAGGATGGGCTAGATACTGGGTAAAAAGGCAAGGGTCCGTGCACAATCGCATTTCCTGCACCTGAAACCCAGTCTTTCTTGGATTTATGGCATTGCCCCAGGTCAGATTCTGGTCACCTTGGACTGACCCTCTGCAACCTCATCTTTCCATTTTCTTTTCAAAGCTGCCTTCCTAAACGCTCTTCCTGAAATCTTTCCTGAGCTGGCTGCAGCATGCAGTCCACGCGGGTCTTTAGTCGCCATCCCAACCCCAGAAATAGAAGCAGGGCCTGGCAATCTTATCCCGCCCTCCTTGTCCACCAGGCTCAATAAATATTTGGGGAGGAGAATGACTGAAGGTATGGCCATCTCACTCGGATCCCAGATCCCACTCGGATACGGTGCCAGTATTTTTTTTTCCTCTCCTTAGCATTGGAAATAGATTTTTAAGCAGTGTTATATAGCAGTTCCTCTTCAAAATCCTTCTTTCCTATTCTTTAGTAATGTCTTTATAAATCACTGTTATAAAAATAAGGCAAGCAGGAGAAAAAATATGCACTATATAGAAACTGAAAATTCAAGTATTTGCTTTTTATTGGACACTTGAGGCTCTTAAAAAAGAGAACTGCTAGGAAACTTAAATACAAAAAAAAAAATCACTGTATGATAACATAAAAGCCCAACAGAACTGAAGAGTTTATGAAAATAATTCGAATATTTACACTTCAATTTACGGTCTGAAAATCACCCCCAAACCGTGTTCTTATTCTTAAATGGATTTCTTGAGAGAGCGTTAAATACATTTTGATTATTTTGACATGATGTCTACTTGGATGTTCTGTGCAATGATTTGAAGGCAAAAAGGAAATTCTTTAAAAATCTAATGTAACTATATGTGAACGTATATTATATATACAGAAATGTACATTTATATGCATGCATACATGTAAAGTTTAACAAGCATCTCAACTTAAAGGGGCACTTCTGGTTGTTGTTATTGTTAGGGGAAAATACTGTAAATTTAACTCGAAGGAAGCCTACAGTCAAAACACATTATAATTCTCTTGACAGAGAAGCTTGGGTTCAAGTTCATATCTTTTTATCTTCTAAAACTGAGGCTTGCACGATCACTGAAACTGTGTTTTATACACATCACAGAAACACAGCAATGCAGGTCCATAAAAGTGTTGATGAAAGAGAGCCAAATATACCAACTGATCACATTTTCTTTCCTATTATTTTTTTTTCCAGTAAGTCAAAGAAACCCCTTCTCAGAATTTCTTTCATTTCATCTATTTAGAAAGTGTATTTACAACTATTTTAACAGGCCCCCAAAGCATCAAATATCTGTAACGAAAAATCAGTATTCACTTCAGAAGGGGAAAAAATATTCACAACAAGAAAAGTGGGGCCGGGCGCGGTGGCTCACGCCTGTAATCCCAGCACTTTGGGAGGCCGAGGCGGGCAGATCACGAGGTCAGGAGATCGAGACCATCCTGGCTAACACGGTGAAACCCCGTCTCTACTAAAAATACAAAAAATTAGCCGGGCGTGGTAGCGGGCGCCTGTAGTCCCAGCTACTCGGGAGGCTGAGGCAGGAGAATGGCGTGAACCCGGGAGGCGGAGCTTGCAGTGAGCCGAGATCGCGCCACTGCACTCCAGCCTGGGCGACAGAGCGAGACTCCGTCTCAAAAAAAAAAAAAAAAAGAAAAGTGGTAGGGAAAAGCATAGTTCCAAACACTTTATTATTAAACTCATGGGTTTAATGAAAACCAAACATGGAGAATACATTATGTAAATACATACGGACAAAAGGCTTTTGAAGTCCAGGCGACCACAGTATCCAGGATCTGAGAGTATGATATTTTTTTTGTTTGTTTATGCATTCTAGCAAGACTTCATATAACACGCACACACACATACACACACACACAAAAACCCTGAGATTGTTTATTCAGTTTTAAGCACAAATCTCTGCAAACTTAAGCAAAAGGAATGGCTAGGAATATGTAAGTGTCTGGGTAAAAGAATAATTCATTGAACTTCAGTTAGAAACAAAAATAAACAGTAAGAGAAATCCCTACTTAATCTGCCTTCCAAAGAAAGACATTTATTCAAGGATACACAGGCAAATTCCCCCACGCTGGAGCAATGAAACGAAACTAAAAATCAGAAACAAAAGATACAAGCCCAGGCACCAAGTAAGCTCAATAAATAAGTGCTTGATTAAGTCTGATAATTATGCCTTAATTACCTTCCTTCTCTCCAATTTAGATTTAAAGGAAAATACAACTGCAAATAGTTATGTGAACTACATAGGGTTGTAGTGCTGGTACCTACGCAACTTCAGAAATCAAATGACTAACATCCATTTATCAAATATCTATTGAGTGCCTACCTGCAGTCTGGCTCTGGGCTCCGTGCTGAGGCAAGGGGATGAAAAGAGAACTTTTACCCACAGAGAATTTACAAACAAACATGTAGACAGACACATGGTAATAACAGACATAAGAACAGTTATTGATGGTCTGCTCCATCAATACTTACACCAAAACTCAAGGAAATTAAATGACTTGCCTAAGGTCACCAGGATAAACAGTGGACCAAGAGCAGGCTCTGCTGGAGGCCGGTGTCATGTTCTTTCCCTGAAGCTCGGACTAAATGGATAAGTAACAACCAGCCAGGCATTGAAAATCCTGCTCACGAGTACCACATACCTCATTCTCTCCTCAAAACAAGGTCCATTTTATACAGGAGAAAACTCAGGCTGGAGAAACCATCACAGTGACTTTCTCGCAGTCAAGAATGGTGCCTGGGCAGGGCATGGTGGCTCATGCCTATAATTCCAGCAATTTGGGAGGCCAAGGCGGGTGGATGGCTTGAGCTCAAGAGTTTAAAACCAGCCTGGGAAACATGCCAAAACCCCATCTCTACAGAAAATACAAAATTAGGCAGGTGTCATTGCTGGTGCCTGTGCTCCCAGCTACTTAGGAAGCTGAGGTGGGAGGATCACTTGAGCCCAGGAAGTAGAGGCTGCAGTAAGCCTTCATCGCACCAATGTACTCCAGCCTGGGTGACAGAGTGAGACCCCTTCTCAAAAAACGAAAACAAAAACAAAAAAACAAACTGGCACTCAGCTCTCAATACTCACACCCATGGTCTTTCTAGAAATGTAGAAAGACTTTTCTCCATCAAGTCTTTCAAAAGCAAACAACTTTCTCCACAACACCTGAACAAATGATAAAGGTCATACCAGTGTATGCTGCCCAAAGATCAGCACTTGTTGAATGAAAGAACTGACAAACCACTCCCGCATCACAGACCAACAGCAAAGAAGTGTACGTCTGCTTTCTGCAAAATGACTGAAAACAAGTTTTTAAATGGCTGCGACTTCGCCATCCTGCTCCTCCTCAAAGACAAGGATGGAGAAACCATAGACACAAACTCAGAATTTCAGTAACCAAGAGAAATTATAGACAGTTACATTCAAATTGCATGGGCCAGGCTTTATTTTCTTAGGAACTTTTTTTTTTTTTTTTTGAGATAGGGTCTCACTGTCACCCACGCTGAAATGCAATGGCACGAGCATGGCTCACTGCAATCTCCACCTCCTGGGCTCAGGATATCCTCCCACTTTAGCCTCCCAGGTAGCTGAAACCACAAGTGGGCACCACCATGCCTGGCTAAGCTTGTAAATTTTTGAGAGGTAAGGTTTTGCCATGTTACCCAGGCTGGTCTCAAACTCCTGGGCTCAAATGATCCACCCATTTTGGGTCCATCCACTCCCAAAGTGCTGTATTTTCTTAGGGTTCTACAATTGGCTGTAAACCTCTACCAAGAGCAGCAGTTTCTCCTTACCTGTCCTGTCTGTCTCCAGAATTGTTCATAGACTCTACAATTTACACTTAGCTCTCCCCACATCCCTTCCCTTCTCCCTGCCCTCTTGGTTCACAGTCTTTCTGCCCAATCGCATTCATGGTCTGAAACAGTCCCACATTCTACCTTCATTCTGAAGGGAGGCAAGGGTGGGATCAAATGAAAAACCAAGAAATGACCAAATCCTGGTAGGCTAGAACTAGGGCTTCAGCGAGGCTCTTTACCTCTGAGCACTGCTTTCTTATTGGCCAAAGCCTCACCCTGCAAGAACAAACAGCATCTTCACCCTTAGAGAGAAACAAAATATGACCAAAGCTCTGGAAGGTGGAGACTTCCCTTCTCAAATCTTGGCAAAAGATACATGCAAAAACCTGGTTCTCATTGAGGAAAAGAGTTCTGTACAGTTTGACGAAGCAGAAATATATTTTAAAATGTGCATCTCCTCCCTGTAATACTACCCCTTCTGTTTTACAGCAATAGCTCCCTAGTGGAAAGAAGCAGAAAACAACACACATAAGCGAGTTCCTGGTTAAGACGCTGGGAACTTAAAGCAGGACATGTTTGAAATGTGAGGGCATTTTTTAACACCAAGGAAGGTAATTATTCCATGGAACTTCGTGGACATATTTTGCCTGAGAGCTGTCCTTTCAAACAATAACTGAGAAGGGTGGATCTCCCTTTGTTGCCATTTTAGAACTCTGTGTTTATCATCCGGGCAGTTGAGGGGTTATTTTCCTCAATCCCAGTATGCTGCCACCCAGTGGCAGCAATGATCAGCCTTGGTCATGTGGCTTCTACCAGGCTTAGCCAATGAGCACGTTTTCTTTTTGTTTTTGTTTTAAGTCAGGGTTTTACGTTCTCATGCAGTCTGGAGTGCAGTGGCAATATCATTGCTCACTGCAGCCTCGACCTCCCAGGCTCAACCAATCATCCCATCTCAGCCTCCCCAGTAACTGGGACTACAGGCACACACCACCATGCCTGGCTAACTTTTTTATTTTTTGTAGAGACAGGGTTTTGCCATGTTGCCCAGGCTGGTCTTGAACGCCTGAGCTCAACTGATCCTCCCGCCTTGGCCCCCCAAAGTGCTGGAATTACAAGCATGAACCTCCAGGCCTGGCCAAGTATGTTTATTTGAAAAGACAAACATTGAGAGCACACTGTGTGCTAGAGCCTAATAAAGGATATATGCATTTTCACACATATGTTGACACCAACAATCACTAGTAGTCTAAAAGAGATGTCTATAAGGTATTACAGAAATACTTAAACAGAAGACATCATATAGGAAGCTCTACAGAATGACCAGATTATAAACTTATTCAAGGTATTAATGGTTACTCTCCCACACAGAAGCCAACTAATAAATGTTGAATGGATAATCGTGGAGTAAATTAACACTTTCTAAACAGTCAAAAGGACTCTGATATATGTTTTTACCAATACTGGCTTTCTTATCCTCCTAACAACAGTGGAAGGATTTTACAGATAAGGAAACTGGGCTGAAGAGAATCTTGAGTAAATTACTCAAGTACAACCAAGTAGCCTGCAGCGAAGACAAGTTTTAAGTGAGATATTTTAACTCCAAAGCTGGGATTCTTTCCATTCTGCCATTAGTCTGACTTTTAAATAAATATTTGTGGATAGACAAGTTCCATTTTTGATGATGATATGATGGCAGCAAGCTCCATTTTTCAAACAAAGTTTAAAAGCAACCCCACCCCCTAAAAAAGCCTTCCTAATCCTAAAATCTTATAAAACTTGTCTAACCACATTATAAAGTTCTTTTCCAAGACGTCTATGAATTCACAGCTTCAAGACCAAGCTTCAGAGACCTCCCAGCTACCTTCCCCGGTCTACCCAGCCTTCTTTCTGCTTCTCTAACCAGAGCCTTGTCTATGGATTAATAGTTCCTAGCAGCCGGGCACAGCGGCTCATGTCTGTAATCCCAGCACTTTGGGAGGCCAAGGTGGGTGGAATCACGAAATCAGGATATCAAAACCATCCTTGGCTAACACGGTGAAACCCCGTCTCTACTAAAAAAAACAAAACAAAATAAAACAAAAAATTAGCCAGGCGTGGTGGCGGGCACCTGTACTCCCAGCTGCTCGGGAGGCTGAGGCAGGAGAATGGCATGAACCCAGGAGGCGGAGGTTGCAGTGAACCGAGATCGCGCCACTGCACTCCAGCCTGGGCAACAGAGCAAGACTCCGTCTGAAAAAAAAAAAAAAAAAAAAAAACTAACTAAAAACAGTTCCTAGCAATCAACCCAGATCATCACTTGTGAAACTTGTGAATCCTTTTGACATTTCCAAGGCAGATAAAAACTACTTTTTCTTGAAGAATAAAGTTCACACGACTAATTTTTTCCAATAGGAAAAAGCCATATATTATTTGATTCATAGAAGAGTGAAATATCCCCCCACCCGCCAAGAGATTTGTAGAAAAAGCTGCTAACACACTATGAATGGAAAATTTATATATATTATGTATGTAGAATTTCCAAAGCTCTTTTCTGAAAAAGTTGATATTCTGACTCCCAATCCCAAGAAAGAACAAAACAAAATATAAACTAGATATTAGGAAAGGTAGGCTCAAAAAATAGCAGGCTGGACCTGGGACTTATATAGAAGAAAATGACTGCTCTATTTTTAGAATGATCTGAACTAGAAATAATGATGTTGATAATGATGATATTCTGGTGAAATTAAGCCATGGTGGGCAAGGTAGAAGGAGAGGAAGAAAAAGAAAGATGGCCGGGCACAGTGGCTCAAGCCTGTAATCCCAGTGCTTTGGGAGGCCGAGTTACGCAGATCACCTGAGGTTGGGAGTTTGAGACCAGCCTGACCAACATGGAGAAACCCCGTCTCTACTAAAAATACAAAATTAGCCTGGCATGGTGGCACATCCCTGTAATCCCAGCTACTCGCAAGGCTGAGGCAGGAGAATCACTTGAACCCAAGAGGCAGAGGTTGAGGTGGACCAACATTGCGCCATTGCACTCCAGCCTGGGCAATAAGAGCAAAACTCTGTCTCAAAAAAAAAAAAAAGAAAAGAGAAAGAATTATGCCTCCTGAATATGGAATATTTTTATCTAAAGATGTTAGATTTCTAGGCAAATAAAAATTTAGTTTTAAGTTCTTATTTTTAGTATGATTAATAAGCCCTTATTGAAAATAGGCCACATTACTTAGCAATGGTGCCCAGGACTGGGACCCCCAAGCTCCAGTTCCTTTAGTTACTCCTGAGCTTTATGGTTTGAGTGAAACCTGTGAGCCTCAGCTTCCTTCTCTGTAAATGGGAAAGTTGGAATCCTTTCTTATAAAATCCTTTCCAAATTAAAAAACATTCACTGAGGCTGGTGGTCGTGGCTCACGCCTGTAATCCCAGCACTTTGGGAGGCCAAGGTGAGGGGATCACCTAAGGTCAGGAGCTCGAGAGCAGCCTGGGCAACATGGTGAAACCCTGTCTCTACTAAAAATACAAAAATTAGCTGGGTGTTGTTGTGCATGCCTGTAATCCCAGTGACTCAGGAGGCTGAGGCACGAGAATCGCTTGAACCCGGGAGGTAGAAATTGCAGTGAGCCAAGGTCACGCCACTGCACTCCAGCCTGAGCGACAGAATGAGAGACTGTCTCAAAAAAAAAAAAAAAATCACTGAAATATATGCAGAATATATTCCTGAAAAAAAGAGTCTTTGTTTGCTTGGGCACCTCTGATCATACTCTGGAGACTCTTAATGTGATTTAGGATGGGGCCTAACTACACCCATGTAACCTTAGGTTGCAGATGAACCATTCTTAAAGGACCAACAATATTGCTTAGGGTAGGGACACTGTACCACAGTTATCAGTTGACTTGGAGGCTGAGATCAAATATGTGGGCAATCACCCAATCACACCTACGCAACGAAGACCCAATAAATACTCTGAACACAGAGGCTCAGGTGAGTTTCTCTGTCTGACAATATTCCATGCATACTGCCACACATAGATAGTAGAAAAGTATTCTGTCCTGATGTCATGGGTAGAGGACAATAGAAGCTTCACATCTGGTACTTGTCTTGGACTTTGCCCCATTTGTCTCTTCCCCGATCTAATTTTAACCTGTATCCTTTCCCTGTAATAAACTGTAACTGTAAATACAATAGCTTCTGCTAAGTGCCACAAGTCCTTCTAGCAAATATCAGCCATGAGGATGGGTTTGAGGACCACCTCAAACTTGCAGTGGGTGTCAGAGTAAGGACAATCTTGGGCATCATGCCTTCTAACTTGCAGTTACCCCTTACTCCTCACAGTAGCCCATGAGAAGTTTAGACACACACTCTGCTTACTTTAACAGTTAGTACTCAGAAGGAGTTGCCAGGAACCCATTCCTCTCTTACCTCCATGACCTGTAGGTCATCCAGAATCCATGTAACCTCCCTGAGCTCCAGTTTCCTCATCAGTGAAATGAGAATGTGAGTAAGCTGCTCAGTCCCAATGACATCTTTATTATGAGACTTGATTAAGAGAATGACTGTGAAAGGTCTTTGAAAATGGCAATCTCTTTTTCAATTATAGGATATTAAGAGCTGTTGTTACTATGATTTTGCAGCTCAAATGCTTCAGGATTCTATCTACTCTCCTAATTTTACTGTACTCCCCATGACCAGTGAGTCCACCTTTCCATCAGCAGGTGCTGAAATTATGTCAGCTAGAACTTTCATTAGCAAATGGTTTTAGTCAGTGAAAAGTAATGGCAAAATAAATGCGGCATTTTGACGTAGCTGTATCTATTCTGGCACAGTGCGGTTTCGAGGCTAATGTCTTTTCAAACAGCTCTGTTTTGCCTGCAGACTTGAATACCCTCATTACAGTGTTTGAAAAAAAAAGTTCCCTTATGTTTTTTTAAAGAGCGCCATTCTTCAAAAAGATGTCAAGAAGCTCTTTTTTTCCCCCTTGCTACAAGGTGTAATGTAGAGATAAGCACAAAATCTGGTTGGAAATGTGACCTATATTGGACTGGCAAAGCTTAATATCAAGCAAACAGCCAGTGTGGGAGCTGGTTTTGTCCTACCTTGCTGCTGGTATTTGCAGAAAAGTACCACATATTATGTGTGGACAGTGAGAGCAGTTTGAAAGTCAATTACAGTTTTTAAAAATTGGAATCATTTGCTCATCGAGCTCATCAGAGTTTTGAACAAGTCCCTGGCCTTCCTCACAACAGCCAAAGCCAGGTCTTTTGGAAAACATTTTATTTTCATGCTCAGCGTAATAAGAAGAGAAAAGTCGTGTTTTGCAGATGAAATGGTGCTGATAATAAAAAGTAGGTCACACTTTCTCTCTCTGTCTCCATCACTCTTTACTTTCTCTGAAAGACAAAGGAGTGTTTCCAAGACATGAATCAAGCAGGTCAGGTACCTGACCTGGATGTTCTTTGCACTCTGAGTAAAATTAGGAACATTTTCACTCAAAGCTGACATTTAACAAGGGCAGGGAACTTGGAAACAATAACTGCTTTCTACGTGACTGACAAGGAGGGCTGGGTTGGGGATGCAGGCAGCAGTTCCTCCAGTCATTCGGGGTCAGCGAAAATCACAGGTCCAAAGAACCATAGGTGGCTGGGACCTTAGGACTTGGGACAGCAAGACAGAAAACAGTCACAAGGAGGAAAGCATCACATCTGCACCCATGGGAGACAATGTTATTGTGCATTATTATTTACTTCTCCAGCTATGGGGAGATTACACATCCCTGCCCCAGAGTGACCAGGTCACTGTGTTTGGCCAGTGAAATGTCAGGTGTCACGTCCTGGAAGAAACTTTAAGAACTTGTCTTTTCTCTTTCCCCTGGAGTCCTAGAGAGAAGCTGTGCTTTTACTCTGGATCCTGGCATGGAGAAGACCAAGAGCAAGCAGAGCCAGCTCTTGACGGCCCTACAGTGTAGACAAGAACTCAGTCTTTGTTTTTGCAAGCTATGGCATGGTGGGGTCGTTTGTTACTGCGGCAAACCTAGTCTACGCTGACTGATACAATGACCCTCAGTGCTTCCCTTCCAAAAGCATGAGAAGGAGGCAAACCGTAAATAAGCTTACGTGTTTGGTAGTCTATTATTCTAGATCATTTTTTAGCTCAGAAGTGGTCATTAATATATCTATAATCAACTGTACAGACTGGTCTGCAGACGCTTTGGCACACACTGTGTCTCCAGGATCCCCACATAAGAAAATAAAGCCACTTAGTCAGGTGCAGTGGCTCATGCCTGTAATCCCAGCACTCTGGGAGGCCAAGGCGAGTGGATCATGAGGTCACGAGTTCGAGACCAGCTGGGCCAATATGGTAAAACCCCTCTCTCCTAAAAATACAAAAATTAGCCAGGTGTGGTGGTGTGTGCCTGTAATCCCAGCTATTCGGGAGCATGAGGCAGGAGAATCGCTTGATCCCGGGAGGCGGAGGTTGTAGTGAGCTGAGATCGCGCCATTGTGCTCCATCTGGCAGACAGAGCAAGACTCCCTCAAAAAAAAAAAAAACAAAACAAAAAGATAAAAGAAAAAAAAGAGAAGAAAGCCACTTAAGGGGACTGATTGCTGTTAGAAGGTAGTGATGGCATTCTAAGTGATGATCTACCAATGGTGATCCTGTGCTAGACCATGGAGCAAAATACACAAAGACAATTCTAGACTCAACTGCCTGGATGCAAATTCTAGAATCTACCACTTGCCCTCTGCTTGATCCTGGGTGAGTTGTCTGACTTCTCTGAGCCTCTGCTTAGCCATCTATAAAAGTGGGCTAAGAGTGGGGGGGTGTCTCTGCCAGAAAGAACTGTTAAGGGAATTAAATAAATGAATACACATAAGAGAATAGCACAGAGCCCATGCATGTAATAGTTACTCAAAGTATGTTGGTTATTGCGGTCATTGTTCCGTGTGTTGTTTAGTAGGATCTCAAGTGAGTTATTAATTTCAATTGGAAATGAGGAACAGGAACAGCCCCCCTTGGCAGCGGCTGCTATGACTGAACTTAACGAAGTTACACACTACCTGACACCACGACTGTATTTCCACCTGAAAGTTCTTTTTTCTGCCCTGGGTCCAATCAGAAAGGTACTCTTCTTACCACAAGTAACCACAATAACAACTCCTCTGTGTTCTTGGAATAGGTAGCTCAGAAAAGACAAGAGAAAGTGCTCATATTTGGAACGACGGATCATGTGAGACCCCGCAAAGGAAAGAGAGAAGCCAATTTAAGTTCTGTAATATAGAGCTTAGACAAGTAACTTGACTCCTCCGAGCATTAATTCTGGAATTTCTGAAATGGGTATAGTGAGAGAAAATTCCTCCAGGGCCTGAGACTAGAATAAGATAATGGATGCAGTGCTTTCAGGATGGAGCTGATTTCAACATTAACTGTTATTATCATTAGTAATAAAACTAAGAATACAAATCCTGCCAGGAATACACAAAATAGTAACAAGCATTTTGCAGCCTGTCTCGGAAAGAAGAAAAAGTTTTCTTAACAGCCAGCTTCTCTGTGCAGAGACCTCTGAACACATTCATTACAGAGACAAAAGACGTGGGTCCTGAAACCGAGAACAACCAAGTGACAGTCCAGCCCTGCCAGAAAATAAAGGGATAGGACACGACCTAGGTAAGAAGCCAGCCTGGAAAGGAGAGAGGTTTCATGGCCACAAATCAACAAGGACTCCTTAGGAAAAGGAAGAGAGAAACAGGAAATGTATAGAAGATGCCTCTTAGAAGTACAAATATCATGTATCCATTTATTTTTTTCTTATGTTTTATTTTTTAAAATTTTGATAGGGCTTTCTTTCTTTCTTTTATCTTTGAGACAAGGTCTCACTTTGTCACCCAGGCTGGTGCAATCACAGCTCACTGCAGCCTCAACCTCCTGGGCTCAAGTGATCCTCCCACCTCAGCCTCCTATCCTCCCACCTCAGCCTCCTGAGTAGCTGGGACTACAAGCATGCACCACCACGCCTGGCTAATTTTAAAATATTTTGTAGAGGTGGGGTCTCACTGTGTTGCCCAGTCTGGTTTCAAACTCCTGGCCTCAAGTGGCCCTCCTGCCTCAACTTCCCAAAGTGCTAAGATTATGTGTGTGAGCCACCACGCCCAGCCTATATGACAATTTCTTAAACTTTTTTTTGTTTTAAAAAACAAGATCTCACTTAGGATATCAGTATTTCTGATCTAGATGTATTCCTTGTCAGTATCATTTTCATTCCACAATACGGGTTTTTCTCAAACTTTAAAAACTAGCAGATATTTATTAATAGACCTTATGACATATGGTGTTTGGTTCTGGAGGCACTACCAAAAACAGGAGATACAGTCCCTGCCCACGAGTAGTCACAGCCATGTAGGAAAGCAAGAGATATTAAATGGCAAGTTATAAGGGCAATGAGTGGGAAAGTTCAAGTAGAAGGGCTGCAGCTGCAAAAGAATGAAAATATGTTTGATTGTGGCAGTGACAGTGGTTGGGGGTTAGGAATAATTTCCAACAGACCATTTTGTTGACTTCATGAAGTCTTGAATTAAATTTAAGGAAAAAAAAATCAGCCAGCTCTCGGGGTAGGTAGCTACCGAGACTAGATGAACCTTGCTCAGTTCCTACACGAATGCAGGTCAGTGGCTCCCACTGACTAAGGCTGCAACAGGAATTATAAGCATCTAGAGGTATTTAAAGGATGTTTATTTGAGTGTGGGACACCACAGAACCATCCCTCTCTTCTTTTGATAACGAAATTCTGATTTGAGTTAGGGGAACCACGCCTCCTGACTCTCAGTTCGTGAGCTTTGGGAGGTCTGCAGTAACAGCTGTAAGGTAGATCATGTGACCCAAGACTTGCCAGACTTCCAAATCTCCATGGCTACAAAAATTGGTTGAGAGTGGGCATGTTGTCCCAGCCACGTCAGACTAAATTCCAGGAAAAGAGCAAGTCTGGTCTTCTCCTACTATATTGAATCTGGAAAGATGTGGTTTAGAAGAGTCAACATTTGTCATAAGACCCAAGGAGTGAGCTTGTCACAAAATGGTGCCAATGCTGAGAAAAATAAAACCAAGGGATGAAAAGAGGGGAACCAGGTCCTTAAAGTTTAGCCCCTGGGTCAAGCTTTACCTGATCCCCTTACCACACCTATATCTTTCAGTTAATTAAGCCTGTTTGAATGAACATTTCTTCTACTTGCTATCGAAAGGGTTTAACACTGGCAACTTCATACAGCAGAAAATTGAAAACAGTTTTCCTGACCCTGGGTTGTAACAATTGGATAAACTTTCCCAGAATTTATCAGACACTTAGTTTAGAGTTTATCCTAGAAAGAATCACTTTTATTTTGTTTCAAGTCTGAGATATTGTGCCTGGGATGGAATTTTACTAACAGACAGAATGACCATTCATCTTTGCTCGTCTAGGCCAATCCCAATTTATGTCTGTTGTCTTGGTATAATTATTATCAGTATCTCATTTCTCTCTCAGAAGTATTCAAAATCCATTGGATGGTAAATTATAAGGTCACTCTACTGGTAATTCTCCTTTACAAAGCTTTTCCCTTTAGAGCAGAATCTCCCCAAATTCTCTTTAGCGATAATTGTGGCTAATTATACCCAGTGAATAATCTCATCTTGCCAGTCTTCCCATGTTTGACTTTTGGGGGATTAATCATAGCTTTACAGCTGTCGAACGAGCTTCTTGAAAGCATGGTATTATTGTTTTATCTAAAGGAAACCCCTCTGAAACAGGGTCTCCATCCATCATACCCCCTGCAGTAGAAAGCGCTGATTAAAACTTCCTGGCCGGCAAACTTGTTTGTTAACATGTCGCTTCCTCCCTACTGTCAGCATAAGGTCTTCCTTGTGCAGCGTGTTTAGGATTCGGCTGAGAGCATTGTTTTATCAAGATGGGACGGTTATCTGTGCGGGAGTACACTGTGCTGGGAATCTGACCACCTCTGTAAACACAATGATAGCATCGTGTCTGCACACTCAGAGAAGACAATGGTTCCAAATTCCCTTTCCCTAATTAGAGTTCAAAACAATAGGTGGGAAATCTGAGGCCCCACTATCATCTATTGGCCTTCATTTCTGGGCATTGATTGAGCTTGGGGTGTTTTGTGTGTGAAGAAATAGCAAATTAAAATTCAGGCTTCTTCTATTTTTCTTCTTTGAGCGTTCTTCCTGTTATAAAGCTGTGGTGATCAAGATTAAAAATTGGAAGAAGAAGATTTGAGAGTTATAAACACATGTGAACGATACCAAGTTCCTTTTCGAAGTGATTCCAATAAGCAAATGTTTGATCAAGGCAGATGACGGGATGAGAACTGGTGCAATTTTTTTTTTAAATGGCTTTGGAGAGGAATAGACAAGCACTTTCCCCAAACGGTAAGAAACTATCTTCTGAGTCAATGACTGATAACACTGTCTGTTATTTTGCTAATAGGAACCAGCAATGTCACAGTGCAATTTTTCATTTTTTTAAATCTTCAAATGCCCAGTCCCCTGCTAACATTTGGCTCATTGATCTGCATGCGACATTCTGTGTAGGCTCATTGGCCAGCGTCATTAGAGGGACAGTCATTACTAACAATCAAGTCATATTAAGTCGATTTACATTTATGATTGCCCTGTAGAGTAACAATTAAGCTATTTAGATGGAAAAATCTCCCAGCCTCCCGTGAAAGGGGTCTTTTGAATCGCAGACACACAGCATTTACTTCTTATGGAATTGGACCAGCCAAGATAAAGGACAGGTGACCAGATTCTCTGTTTCATGACTGGAATGGTCATGTAAAGGGAACCCTCTTAATCGGTACAACCCAAATGAATCATGATCTGATTTGGGGTGAGTGGTGGTGGAGTGAATGGGGAGGCACATGAAGAAAACTGGAGAGTAATTTTTTAATTGCAGCAGGAGTCCAAGCTGCCACTTGATCTCCATTTAACCAGCCAAGAGGTCTTCCATCTCCTGCTCAGAGCCCTTTCCTGAACTTGTGGATCAGGCTAAGTGATCATTTTCTATGTTTTTGGTGTGAACCACTATCTTACCACCTAATACATGACCCTGGAATTAACTGATTCTCTGTCTCTCCACCAGGCCAGACCACAGCCTGCTCAAGGGCAGGGCCATCTGGTTCCTTTTTTTTTTTTTTTTTTTTTTTCTGAGGCGGAGTCTCGCTCTGTCACCCGGGCGGGAGTGCAGTGGCGCGATCCTGGCTCACTGCAAGCTCCGCCTCCTGGGTTCACGCCATTCTCCTGCCTCAGCCTCCAGAGTAGCTGGGACTACAGGCGCCTGCCAGCATGCCCAGTTAATTTTTTGTATTTTTAGTAGAGACGGGGTTTCACCGTGTTAGCCAGGATAGTCTGGATCTCCTGACCTCGTGATCTGCCCGCCTCCGCCTCCCAAAGTGCTGGGATTACAGGTGTGAGCCGCTGCTCCCGGCCTGGTTTCCCTCTTATACTCACAGTGCCTAAAAGTTCTTGATCCCACACTCTGTACTCAATCCATTTCATTCCACAAAGCATCAATTCCCATTCAGTTAATCACATAAGAAATCTTCTGCATTAAAAAGAAATTTCATGAATCTGGAACTGTTTCAAAGTACAGCGTTCAAGCTGCAAATCCCTCATTCATTCACTCCCTCATTCACTCACCTGCAAATATTTCTGAAGCTCATCCTATATGCCAGGTACTGTTCTAAGTGCTGAAGACATGAGTGGACAGGACAGATGAGGTCCCTGCTCTCTGGCAGCTAATAGTTCATGGGAAGGCAATACTAATAAATTAGCAATGAATGAATGAATAGACGGATGGATAGACAGAAAATATCAGATAGTGATAAGTGCTAGACAGAGAAATAAAATAGAGTTATGGGATAGAGAAATTGTGAGTAGTGACTTTGGACAGGATAGCCAGGAAAGACTCCTGTGAGGTGATATCCTCCCTACATCAGAATGATACTGTCATACTCCATTTCCAAATGCAGTTGTCAAATCTCATTTTCATCTCTGATGATCCTCAGATGGACCAATAATATCAGTGAATTTCCTGGTACAATTTCTTGTCTGGAATAGCAGTATGGGCCACGTGCAGTGGATCATGTCTATAATCCAAGCACTTTGGGAGGCCAAGGCAGGAGGATCACTTGAGGCCAGGACTTTGAGACCAGCCTGGACAACATAGCAAGACCCCGTATCTACAAAAAATACAAAAGTTAGCTGGGCATTGTGGTGCACACTTTAGTCCCAGCTATTCAGGAGGCTACGGTGGGAGGATGGCTTCAGCCTAGGAGTTGGAGGCTGCAGTGAGCTATGATGGCACCATTGCACCCAAGTCTGGGCAACATAGCAAGACCCAGTCACTAAAAAGAAAAAAAAAAAACTGTAGCAGTATGAGCACAGGTATTGGTTGGGGTAATGCTTGCTACTATGATACAGTAAAAGATTTCTCACATCAAGTCCAAAACTAGTTCTGTATTTCTGATCGACAAGTGACTTTGCTCTGGGTGGTGAACTCAGGGACCCTGGCTCTATCCAGCTTGTGTATGGCTTCCAACATCATCATGCTTGTTCACATCAAGACTGCAGGGGAAAGAGCCGTGAGGGTTTTGCAAGACAGGTTTTTACAGGTCAGGTTGAGAAGGGGCCAACGTCTCGTCTTCCAACAGTCCATTGGCCAAGACTCAGGCACATGGCTGCACCTAACAGGCAGAGGCTCAAAAATGCAGTCTAACCATGAACCAGGAAGAGGCAAAAAACGGGCTTGCTGATGTCTTGGGGCCTCTGCTTATGTGAAGCACTAGGCAAACTTGTAACGAGAATTATCTCAAGCCCACTCCCTGCAAGGATGAGGTCTCGGATCTCCTCATATTACCTCAGCGACAGCAACTGCCATGATCGAAATCAAAATCTTTTCTGGCAGGAGGTAGGGCAGGATGTCAGATGTGGGAAGCAAAAGCTAGGGCTGAAATCCAAAGGGTTAATTCATTAAAGAAAAAAACACTCAGACCTGTTGTGCTCTGAGACAACTCGAGAGATGGAAGGCTAATCATCCTTCTGGGATGCCGAGTTCTTTGTGGAGCCCTCAGAATGGACCGTTCGACCCTTCGAGGTTTCTCTTGCTCTGATCTCTTGCTAATGGATAGTGTTTTCCAAGCTGATGGTGTTTTAAAGATACGGCATCTAACCAATGATAATACGTCTGACCTCTTGAGGGAGAACCTTGTATATCTTCCTCTCTCAGCCTCCCTTATTGGCTAATTACATAACTTGACTAGAAGTTGGTTTTAGAGAATCAATTTTACCATTGCCTAATCACAAGTAAAGACCATAAAGTTTTATGAGAGCTGAAGGGACTGCCTTTTACAGAGGGGAACTTAAATGAGAATTAAAGGGGACATTAAATGATAAGAAATGAAATTCTACAAGGTGTTTTCCCCTGACTGCCACACTAAATTACAGTGCTGGGGATATAACCCTGCTGGTTTTGTCTCCAACAAGGCACTCAGGGAAGAGCGGAGGAGCTGGCATTTCTTGATCACCAGCAATGCAATTGACAGATCCCGTGTTAGTGGCTTTGGGTGAAGACGCAGGCAAAAACCCCTTGAGCTGCCATCTACTAATTGTGTGACCCTGGGCAAGTTCTCTGACCCTCAGATTTGTCATGTGCAAAATGCAGATGACAGTCATCACCTCCCAGAGCTGGAAGGATGAAATAAAATAACACACATAAGGTGCATAGCATAGTGCCTGGCACACAGTGAGACTTCAATGAATATATCCTGATTACCTGTGTTAATGATAGGACATGCTTCAAAACAACTGGGGCTTTGTTCAGTTCCTATAAATAAGAGCTAGTATTAATTATGTGCCATAAAGCAGCAACCTGTAATGGCATCATCTCCACTTTATACATGAGGAAGTTGAGGCTCAGAGACACTGGAAAACCTGTCCAAAGAAACAAGACTCATGAAGGCCATAATTGGACTCAGAACCTAGGTAGCTTTGCCCTGGAGGCCAATATACTGGACTACTGTGTATTTTTCTGGGTAAGGTTCACAGACCAGTCTGCCTGTTCATAATTTATCTTCCTTTATAACAAGCAGCATCCATGAGTCTTGCACACACTAAGCTTGAGAATGATAGAAGCTGGGGTGTTTCGTTGAGTTTTTCTTTTTGAGATGGAGTCCTGCTCTGTCACCCAGGCTGGAATGCATCAGCGTGATCTCAGCTCCCTGCAACCTCCGCTTCCCGGGTTCAAGTGATTCTCCTGCCTCAGCCTCCTGAGTAGCTGAGATTACAGGTACGCACCATCACGTCTGGCTAATTTTTGTACTTTTAGTAGAGATGGGGTTTAACCATGTTGGCCAGGCTGGTCTCAAACTCCTGACTTCAAGTGATCTGCCTGTCTCAGCTTCCCAAAGTGTTGGGATTACAGGTGTGAGCCACTGTGCCCGGCCTGGTGTTTCTTACAACATTGCCACTGGGGAGAATTTTCCTAAGAGTCTTATTTCATTCAATTACCAAAAGAATTGTCCATTTCTCTCCTTATATCTCCTTCAACTTCTGAATCTTTCACCATTATCATTTCTAGCACTTTAATGTCTCCACAAAAGTCAGGATCTGGTCAACCCAGGCCATCAAGAAAAAGAAAAGACTGCTTCTCCATGCCTAATAAAACAGCAGGAGGGTACAGTTTACAAATATGTGATTTATGGTAAAGGTCAAGTATGCACTGAAATGGGAACATGTCCCATAGGCAAGCAAGGTAGTTATGACAAAAAACAGATTTGAATGGAAATCACCAAAATTGCTCTGGAAATATTAAATCAAAGATCCTTTTTGATAACTGGAAAGTGGGCTGGTGTGGTGGAGGGCCACCTTCCACTCTGACAAGGGCCTAGGAAGACAAGCAGACTCCTGTCTGAGGTCTGCAACTGGGGAGAACAAGAAGGGAGGCCCTGGGGAGAGCCACACATGGGGATGGAAGTCGACAGGCTGTGGGAAAGCCATTTTTTAATTTTTTTAATTTATTTTTAATTGACAAAAATTGCACATATATATTGTGCACAACACATTATTTTGAAATATGTAAACATGATGGAAAGGCTAAATTGAGCTGATCAACATATGCATAACTTTGCATCTGATATGGTTTGGCTGTGTCCCCACCCAAATCTCATCTTGAATTATAGCTCCCATAATTCCCACGTCATGGGAGGGACCCGGTGAGAGGTAACTGAATCATGGGGATGGGTCTTTGCCATGTTGTTTCTGTGATAGTGAGTAAGTCCCACGAGATCTGATGGTTTTATAAAGGGGAGTTCCCCTGCACAAGTTCTCTTGCCTGCCACCATGTAAGATGTGACTTTGCTCCTTGTTTGCCTTCTGCCATAATGGTGACACCTCCACCGCCATGTGGAATTGTGAGTCCATTAAACCTCTTTCCTTTATAAATTACTCAGTCTTGGGTATGTCTTTCTCAGTAGTATGAGAAAAGACTCATACAGCATCCTTAATTTAAAAAAAAAAAAAAACAAAAGATCCTGATACACTCTGCTAACATGAAACACCACACTGTTCTAATACGGATGAACAAGGTTCTCCTGCAGTGAGGAACAACCCCCATAACACGGTGACTTGATACAGAAAAAGCTTAATTCTTGCACATACTACAAGTCCAGAAAAGGCTGTCAGGGCCCTTGTTAGTCTCAATCAGAGATGCTGGAAGATGGAGGATCCATTTTGTCATGTGAGTCCATGATCATGATGTCAGGAGAAAGCAGGGAATCCACCTGCACTGGCTTGTAAATCTCCCCCTTGAAGTGACAGTTCATGCTTCTTTGGCTAAAGCAAGTCACCTATCTATGCCTGACCAAAAAGGGAGAAAAAGCATCATCCCCAGAAGGACAGACGAGGAATATTTAACAAAGCACAAACGATCACCACATCTACACATGAAAAATGATAATAATAACATAAATATATGACATCTGGGTTGCATGGGCAATTACATCAAATGTAATTATACTTTGCAAAAATTTGATCTTAAATCAAAATATAGGTGGAATTGCATTCTTTTATGTACCAGGGAGAGAAGATGAAACCCCAGAAATATCATTACAATTAGCTTGACATCTTATTTTGCTAAACGGATGCCTAAGGAATAAGCATGCAATGTGCCATTTGCCAAGCAGTATTTATGGATTCCCAGACAGTAACTGGCCCTTTTCTCATATCACTGTTTTCCTGACCCTCTACATTTGGACTAAGTTGACGCATGGAACAACCTCCCTGTTCCATTTAAAATACGATGCATATGGTTTTGCTTAAAGAACAAACTATGTACTCCTGGTAAGAAATATATTAGTGGGATGGACACAGAGGTCAGGGAATGAAAGATTTCTGAAAGGGAACTTTCATCTAAGAGGAGCATCATTTCCAGAAAGCCTCTGTGTCAAATGATGGGTTTCACTCACAGGCCAAAGAGAGGCTGAGGGTTAAAACCATCCAGAAGGCACGTGGGACCTAGAGGAGGCCAACCGTGCACACTTTTCAGGACATGAAATACAGCTCCTGTTTTGACACTTGTGTAATAGCATGGTTGTTCAACCTCCTTGTTTCTGTGGGGTTTATGGTCCATAAAGTTTAATAACAATCTTAACAGCTGAACAGAGAATACATGAGGCTCGAAGGCCACTCTTACCAAAGCGGATCTGGATTCTAAAATTCTTTCCCCCTTGGCATCTCAACATTTACAAGTGCCTGTCTCTTAATGTTGACTGTACAAAATAATCACGTGGCACAAGGAAACATGAACGACTGGCTGTTATTAAAACAGCCTTTGCAAAAATTATAACGGAGAAAATTATGAAGGTGATGGAGATCTGATGTAACTGACTCTATCTTGCTTCTAACCTCCAGGCTGTCTTGTTCAAAGTTGATTTGGTTGTAGGACTAACTAACTTTGAGAGGAACTTAGTTTACGGTTTAACTTTGAAACAAAAGATGATAACAGCCCTTTCCCAAAATAAACAACCTTCCTGCCTGGGGACTAGACTGCCTTTGCAGGACTAACAAATTAGCCACAAGATTAGAAATTAGGGTTTAGGAGTCATGCTGCCGGAGGCTGCAAGATTCTGAACCTCCCCAAATTGCTCCAGGGGATAATGTCACTATGGTAAAACCGAACATCAGTACTTTAGATACTTTGCAGACCCTGCAATTGATGGATCAGCTGGCACCACCCAGGTCAATAAATTGACTCATATGGTCTTGTGGCTCCCACCCAGGAACTGACTCAGTGCAAGAGGCCAGCTTCAACTCCCTGATTCCATCTCAAACCTGACCAATCAATACTCCCCATTCCCTGACCCTCTTCTCACTAAATTCTCCTTAAAAATCTCTATCCCTGAGTTTTGGGGGAGACTTATTTGAGTAATAATAAAACTCTGGTCTCCCACACAGCCAGCTCTGCATGAATTAAACTCTTTTTTTTTTTTCCGAGACAGAGTTTCAGTCTGTCGCCCAGGCTGGAGTGCAGTGGTGTGATCTCGACTCACTGCAGCCTCTGCCTCCCAGGTTCAAGCAGTTCTCCTGCCTCTGCCTCCCGACTAGCTAGGATTACAGGCGCCTACCACTACGCCTGGCTAATATTAGTATCTTTAGTAGGGATGGGGTTTCACCACCTTGGCCAGGATGGTCTCAAACTCCTGACCTCAGTTGAACCACCCTCCTTGGCCTCCCAAAATGCTGGGATTACAGGCATGAGCCACCGTGCCTGGACCTAAACTCTTTCTTTATGGCAATCCCCCTGTCTTGATAAATCGGCTTTGCTTAGGCAGCGGGCAAGGAGAACCCGTTGGGCAATTACACTGGCTCTTAAGTTGTGACACTGCCACACACTTGGCCATAGAATCCTGGTGTAAAACTTTGAGGAAATGAAGATTACAGAGCCTTGTTATCCTGCAATTTGGGAACTATAAACTTTCATACGGTTAGTATGCCAGGGCTTCATCCAAATACCTGGACAAATGAGATAAACTCGAAATTCCTTCCCAAAGCCTGCAAAGCTGTGCACTGATCCCAGCCTCCTCCCCTTTCTCATCTGTTCACTGGGGTCACCAAAGCCCCTTGCAGTTGGTGAATTCATCGACCCTTGACATGCCACGGGCTTTGGAACTTGCTGCTCCCTCGTCTTTGCGGGGCTGGTGAGGATTCCTGGTAGTCCTGTTTCCCTAGGACTGGCTCCATTACATTTCTAGATCTGTTGAAATGGGATCTCCTCAGAGAAACCCTCCTGGCCCCATCTAAGGTAATACTCCCTCTAGTAACTTACCCAACTGTCTTTGCTAAATAGCAGTTATTAAAACTGCCTTTGCAAAAATTGTAAGAGTAAGAAAATTATGACCGTGAAAGAGATCTGATCTAACCTAGCCCCATCTTGCCTTTAACCTTCAGACCGCCCTTAGTCATTCCTGGGCTTGGGCCAAGCTAACTTTGGGGGGATATTTAGTACTTAATTTAAATGATAATGGCCCTACCCCCAAACTAAACTGCCTTTGTAAAGCTAGCAAAAGACCACCAAGTTAGGAGGAGGACAGGAGCCTGAATTCTGCTAAAGAGTGGACATAAACGATTAGCAGCCATTATTCCAGAGGTTACAAGATTTGCAATTTCCCCAATTATTCCTGCAGATAACATCACTTTGTAGAACCTAAGGTTGGCCTTCTGAAATGTCTTTTCCGGCTTTTGCATTTTTGAGGACTGGTAGCCCCATCCCCATTCAACTGGTCCTGTGCCCTGCCCCCCACCCAGAAGCGGATTCAGGGCACAAGGGTTTTACACACCCCTATGATTGCATCCACAGCCCATCAGCAGTACCCATTCTCTTGTCCACAAAACTATCCTTAAAAAAACCCCAGTCTCTGAATTTTCAGGAAAGCTGATTTGAGTAACAATAAAGCTCCAGTCTCCCGTTTAGCTGGCTCTACCAACATTAAACTCTTTCCCTATTGCAATTCCCCTGTCTAGATAAATCGGCTTTATCTGGGCATCAGGCAGAATGAACCCATTGGGCGGTTACGTTATCACCACCTGCCAATAGCTTATTTGCGTAATTATTTCCGTGTTTATTCACAGACACACACACACAACAATGAGAGCACCATGGAGTTAGGAAGCTTGACATATTATTCCTAACTTCACCTACTGCTGGTTTAGAGCAAATGAATAAAACACTGTGGGTGATAAAGGGTCAGAAGACCTTGTCACATGATCAAAAACAATTTCAAGTTAAAGGAACTTTCAGAGCTTAAACTGGGCACATCCATAGAGCTGACAGGATAAGGTCCTTCCCACACCACAACAAAATGCAAACTTTCATCCAACAGTAACCTTTATCATCACTGAAGCTGACTGGCATGGTTTTGCTCTCCTGACTTCTCCAGGTTCTCCCTCTTCCCCTGAAAGATGTATATTTATGCAGTTCTCTTTGGAAGCCGTGGACTACCCTGCAATCGTGGCCTGATTTTGCACAGCACAAGTGAAGAGATGGGGACAAAGACAGAAAACTCCCTGCTGATGACAGGGCTCCTGGGAAGAGAATTTTAGCTTGGGGGAGGGTTGGGGAGGGAAAGTAGGAAGGAGAGGAAATCCTTATCAGGCTATATTTGCATATCAAAGAGCACTTCCAGCCGGGCTTTCTTTGCCCAGTAACAAAGTCATCTTATTCAAGGCCAAGAGGCTTTCCTCTCAAGCTGCCTTGGGCTATGCCTCCTACTTCTTCCTTGTGGAGACAAAACAGCATGGCTATCTCAAGGCCCAGGGAGATAACTCACCACACCAGTGGCTCTCTGCTGCCCCAGATGTCCCTAGATGGCTGAGGTTTCGCTGAGGATTTTGGGTTTACAGACTTCCATGGCATTCCCCTCAGACTCCTCAGTTTACTCAAGGTCCCTAACCAAGAAGACAAAATACTGTAGCCTATGTTATTCATTCATTCATTCATTCATCCATCATTGCATTCATCCCAAAAATACTTATCAAAATATTACTAAGTGGCAAGCATGCAGCTACTTCTCCCTTTTAGCTCTTGGGTCCTTTAATTAATCAACATAGGTGGGAAGGAGCCAAGGATGGCTGGGTGCTCCGACACTAATGACTTTGGGCCACGTTTTGAGGGGGTGGAAACGTGTTTGATGCAACTAGCATTTGAAATCCAGATTCCCCCTTAGCTCATGGTTCTAAGAAGTTGGTTTTAAACTACATTGTATAAATAGGATACTATTCTGCTCACATTTGATCGGCTCATATCATAAAAGGGAGTTCATGGTCCATCCTTTTATTAATGGAAGGATTCTGGCTGGGCCAGGTGGCTCATGCATCTAATCCCAGCACTTTGGAAGGGGCCACAGCTGGAGATTCACGTGCATCTCGGAGTTTGAGTCCGGCCTGGTCAATATGGTGAGACCCCATTTCTACAAAAAATAAAAAATTAACTAGGTGTGGTGGAACATGCCTATGGTCTCCACTACACAGGAGGCTGAGGTGGGAGGATTACTTGCACCCAGGAGGTTGAGTCTGCAGTAAGCCATGATTGGGCCACTTGCACTCCAGCCTGGCTGACAGAGTGAAAGCCTGTCCAAAAAAATAAATAAATAAGAATTCTTCCAAGCGTCCATCAACAGTCACTTGATTTACATTTCTTTCTTTAAAGCAGAATTTTTCTTAGATTTGCTTCATATTGGAAGTAAATATGTGTGGGCTCAATATACAACTGAAATTAGCACGCAATTTTCTTCTCCGCCTCCTCCTCTTCCTCCTCCTCTCCTGAGATTGGCCATCAACCTCATGCTCAGGCCAGCAGCTTGGTGTCCAGGGGTATAACCCCTCATAGAGGGTCAGTTCCAAATCAGAGTCATTGAAGGCCTCATTATGCAATATGTTTTAAGTGACCCCAAGAATACAAGTCTCAGAGACTCACATTTCTAGCTGAAAGCATGAAGTGGAAGGAATGAAAATATATTTTCTGTAGTTATAATAACACTATAGGATGAGGTACTCTATTGGGAGGTAGGATAAGGATGGGAAGACAATTTGGAAAACCAACAGGGGCACCAACTGGGAAAAGGAATGTAATACCAATAAAAGAAAGGTGTGTGTGCTTCTTTAAAAGGAGAAAAAATGGTTATTTTCTTTCCTGCACTTAATTAAGAAATATTCAGTAACATAGAACTAAGTGTTGATAAAAAGAAGGTGCAAAGGCCCGAGAATTTTAGAAAGTACTAAGTGTGACAGATCATAGATAGGGTGACCAGATATCTTGACATACGCCTATTGTCCCAGCATAATTACCTGCTCCCCAACCTCTCTCAAAAAGGTGCCAGTGTGGATGATAAATTATGTGGTCACTGTAATCATAGCACCAACACCTGGGAGGCAGGCTGACCTGGGGAAGGGAGGGTTTACATTTCCAGTGACCATGCCCCACCCAGAAAAGACATTTATGGCCAGGCCGGTGGCTCATGCCTGTAATCCCAGCACTTTGGGAGGCTGGGGCAGGCAGATCACAAGGTCAAGAGAAGAAGACCATCCTGGCCAACATGCTGAAACCCCATCTCTACTAAAAATACAAAAATTAGCTGGGCGCAGTGGTGTGCTCCTCTTGTCCCAGCTACTCAGGACGCTGAGGCAGGAGAATTGCTTGAACCCGGGAGGCAGAGGTTGCAGTGAGCCGAGATCATGCCAGTGCACTCCAGCCTGGCGACAGAGTGAGACTCCGACTAAAAAAAAAAAAAAAAAAAAAAAAGGCATTTATAAGATCATCTAAGTGATGACATCACAAGCACCTGTAACTGCTAACTTCTGCTTTAAAGAAAAACTCTAACAGTTGGACTTTACATCTGTTGCTAGTTTAATAACTGCAAAAGCTCTGCAGTTTTCTTCAGAAAGGTGGACCCTGATCCCTTTTGTACGTGGTGTTCCCTAATTTCAGACACGTTAATAACAGGGTAAAGGTGTTGATGATATATGATTATAGCTTATAGGGCTGCAGCCATTTACTACACACAAGGAGTCTCCATTCATTCGCTGTGTGGCTGGCCCGGAGAAAATGACTTATCCACTCTGTACCTTCAGACCCACCTCTGTAAAGGAGGAATAACAACAGTCCCCTGCCACAGAGTTCTGAGAACTAAATAGAATGTTCCTTTATGAATTATGTTATAAATGGACTGGACTCTCAGCATGATTGAGCTAGAAAGGAACCCACGGGTGACTTTTCTGAGCTCCTGTACTATGCATAATGGATGGCAGCTTGAAGAAGACACGTGCCTAGAGCGAAGTGTCCAGGTGCTTCTCAAAGTGAGGCTGGGGAATAGAATCTGCAGGCAGGGAATCTAAAGCCATTTCACTCTGACTTCTTAGAACCAAACTGAAAGGAAACCCTTAACTTTCCACGCCTAAGTAACAAAAGGAGGAGGGGCTACTCTTTTGCAACCCCTTACCTTTTCTGCAGGGCAGATGGGAAATTGAAAGTACCTCTGAGTGGTTTTGCTTTTTGCAACCAATCAGACGTTTGCATAGGAGTGTAACTTTGTAACTTCACTTCAGCCTCTGATGGGTTGCTGCCCACAACCAATCATACTGACTGGAGGCGGAGTCTTCGTTTGCATAAAAGAGCAACTCTGTAATTTCACTTTAGCCTCTGATTGGTTGCTTTCCAAAACCAATCAGATGTTTGCATAGGAGTGTGATATTTGTAACTTCACTTCAGCCTCTGATTGGTTGCTTTCTGCAACCAATAAGACTGATTGCAGGCCACCACTTCATTTATAAGGGGTGTACCCCAAGTGGCCAATGGGAAACATCTAGGGAGTATTTAGACTCCAGAAGATTCTCTATCCAGGGCCCCTGAGTGGCTGCTTGGGCCGTTCCCACTCTATGGAGTGTAGTTTTGCTTTCAATAAACCTCAGCTTTTGTTGCTTCATTCTTCTCTTGCTTTGTTTGTGCATTTTGTCCAACTATTTCTTCAAAATGCCAAGAACCCGGACACCCTCCGCTGGTAACAAAAGGACTCATCCAGGAATGTGGATCCTCGACTCAGCCGCGACTCCCTTGCAGCTTTACAAGACACTAGGAGGAAGTGTCCTGTCCTTGCTGTCTTTTCCCTTGTATTTTAGATGGGAAGCTAAAACTGGAGGGGGGCAAAAACCAGGCCCACTAAGGCTAAGCCTGAGGACAGGGCAGAGGAAAGCACAACAGATTTACTTTCATTCTTAGAAGACAGTGGATGGAAAAGTGGATTTCCACCAACAAAAGACCTGGCCTTTTTCCCTGAGCAGGAAATACTGAGCTGCTGTGGTCTTGCCCTCCCTGCAGAGCCGGCCTAATGGTTTACCCATGGTAAAAGCGTTGCAGCCAAAGAGAGCAGAAGAGAAAACTGGGAAGCTGGTGTCAGATTTTCTACTCGGGCATATCTTTGGCCTAGGCCCCCGCAGCAGTCACGGGGGAAGGCCTGGAAAGCCGCAGTCTAACAAGATGCCTGACATTGTGAAATGCCTTAACCCTAGCCTTTCATCCACCTCTTAGCCTTGCCTCTCCCGCCCGCCCCGCGTGGCGCTGCTGGATACAAGAGAAAAAGTCACCGTCCCCTTGTCCTTGAGGTAATTAATCAGCGGTGACTCTTTACCCTGGGAATAATATGCCTCAGAACACTTTTCATTCCTGTAATATCAATTATGCTGCAGAGATGCAGTTCTGAAAAAGATACAAAGGCATTTGGTGGGGTTTGGTGGCAAAGTAACCAGGCTAAGTTGTTGACACTACAGCACACAGGATGGTTTCAGACACCACCGGATCAGCTGCAGGCTGCCCGATTCTCCAGAAGAAAAATGTTTCCCTTGCTTCCTGCAGAGGTGGATGTAGATGCTGTCTGCCAGCTCTGAAATCTGCACCATTTCCTTCTCCAAGACGATTTTGCCAGCTCTCAACTCCCGCCAACCCAGTAATTTGTGTTGGTCACTATTTCATCCCCTTCTTCCATTTCCTAAGGCAAATCTGCCACTTAGAAATACACACATAATGGAGTGGGAATGGGATTGATCAGCCCAACAGTGAGGTGCGGAGGGACGCCCCTCACTTGATGTACACTCAGATTTGTAGGAGAGGCCCGTGTGAATTCACGTCATCCCTCCTCTATCCTGGGCAGCGACAGACTTGGATTGTACACCAGTGTTTAGAACACTGACTACCTCGCTAGGCGCAGTGGCTCACGCCTGTAATCCCAGCACTTTGGGAGACCATGGCAGGTGGATCGCTTAAGCACAGGAGTTCAAGACCAGCCTGGGCAACATGAAAAAACCGTGTTACTACAAAAAAATACAAAAACTAACCCAGCGTGGTGGCCCATGCCTGTGGTCCTAGTTACTCAGGAGGCTGAGGTGGGAGGATGACTTGAGTCTGGGAAGCACAGGCTGCAGTGAACCAAGATCCTACCAATGTACTCGAGCCTGGGCAACAGAGGGAGATCCTGTCTCACAGGAAGAAAAAGAGAACACTGACTACCAGCTACTTATGAAAAGAAGGAGCAAAACAGAAAATGAAACAGAAGTGGTTGTGGGGAGAGGGAAAAGAACAGGAAAAAAAGAGAAAGAATTAAAGCCAAAATTCCATCCGAAATATTTCCGTGAAAATATTCTATAATGTGTTGGATATTCTAAAGCTTTCATGACATAGTCTTATTTTCACAAACACATACTTTGTGATCTTTTGTCCTCCCACAAACCTTTGGATGATTGCCAGACTATTGCTTTCAAAGTCTATGTCTTCATTCCTTTATCTCCTTCAGCACCTACTCTCATGGATAGGAAGGAACCCGAACTCTGCATTTTGCCCTATGAAAATGGACTCTGAATCCCAGCTTGAAGGAGAAAGGTAATGACTGGGAGAACCGGAACTTCTAGATGTGTGCAAACTCTGATACAAGGGTTGGGTCTGAAAAGAGAGCAGTGGTCCATTCTGTAGAACATGTTCTTGGAAACTTCAAAATATGAACGCTCATGGAAACTGTGGTACCCTTCTAGAGAGATTAATTAGTGCTCTTCTTGGGAATAGAACATTAAAGAGAATATGGGATGAATCTGTATTGTAGCCATCTCCCACAATATCAACTATCTTTTTCTTTTTTTTTTTTTTCAAAAAAAGGCTCTGATTAAAAGTACAATTTTATTTAATATCCTTCAAATAAAAAAGAGAGGTTATTACGTTAGCATGACCACTATGAATATTCTTGAAAGTGGTACTAGTAGAATTGTTTTTTATGATTCCATTGATTCAAAATGAAAAGTGGCATTTGCCAAACATATGATCTGATGAGTAATAGATTTACAAAGCAACCAAAGAGGAAAGACAGGCTGGAAAGAAAATCTATCTGATTATGACTTTGTGGTTTGTGTACTGGTTACAAATAACCTGAAGGCCACGAAATATCCAAATTGGAACCTCTGCTTAGAAAATTCTTATGTGAATAGGGACCTCTGTGGGTTTCTTGAAAGTTGTGAGGCAGGATCTTCACTGTTTCATGAATCACTTTCCTAACAGAAAGTCTCATTTTTAAGGAAAAATAAAAAACAAATTATTTGGGTGCCCAGCAAATTACATGCACAGTTTTTAATAATATGAGCGTGCATACTTGAGTGACAGCTCATTTGGGCTTAAGGCATAGATTTCAACATGTTCAGTGTATGGAGAAACCAGGCTGGAAACTTTCCCCTTCAGTGTCTGAGCTGACACAAAACAGGAGGAGAAAAGACTTTAATCTCGTCATAAACAAATGTACAGGTCTGCATGAAGGTTTACACCCTACTCTGGCAAAATGATGAACGGTTTGTTACTGACTCCTTCATTTAAAAAAACAGTAATAAAGAAATAAAATAGAGAAGGAGCAGCAACGCTCTCTGCAGGAAAAAAAAAAAAAAAAAAAAAAGTCAGGAGGGCTTGTATATTGCACATCTCCGTTTTGGTAGCCCAAGGAGGGAATATAAGCTTAAAGTCCTGAATTTAACAAACCTAATTATCAAGGCTTAATTAGTACCAAGGGTACAGCTTCATGGAACACCTGCAGACTTAATTTATGTCCTGACAGAGAGGAACAAGTGTTAATGGGCTGTATTTATGTTAATACCTGAACCTTAGGAGCCAGTGGAACAAAACAGACCACGCGCTAGTTTTCCAAGCTACAACACAAATATAAAAGATTTTCGTCTTAATGCTGCTTTGCACACAATTCTTCAGGGATCACAGAGATCTCCTTAAACTTTTAAAACTAAAAAGTGGAATATGAAGAAGTAGAGCCGTTCTGGGTATCTGTAAAAGTCTTACAAGATCAACTCACCAACTAGTCATCATATCTTTTATTTAAAATTGACAATGGCGGATGTGGCCAATGTTCCCGTTGTTCAGGATGAGTGTTTCTCAGGACGCTGAAATATAAACCCACTGTTTCCACAGATGCTGTAATATTAAAATAATAACTAACATTTATGGAGAACTCACTGTGTATCAGTCATTGTATTAAGCTCTTCGTACACATTTTCCAGTTACAGATAAAGGAAAGTGACATACGGGGTAAATAAACAGGCCAGGTTTCTAGGAAGTTCAAAGATTTGGAGTTAGGTTTCCGGAACAAATCCTTTTAACCAATGAGCTAAACTCCCTCTAATATGCAGATAGTAAGAATAAGAAAAATATAAAACATATATATATGAACACATTTATAAAAGAACTCTCAGCAAACTAGAAATAAATTCAAACTCCTTAATCTAATGAAGTATAGGTACAGAAAACATACAACTAGCATCACATATAATAGAGAAGTCCTGAATAAAGCAATGATGTCTGTCTCAAAACCTCTGTTCAACACTGTCCTACAGGCTATAGCCAGTGCATTAAAACAAGAAAAAGAAACAAAAGCCATAAAAATTGGAGAAGAAGTAAAACTATATTCAGAGATGTAGAGAATTCTACAGAATCTATTTAACAAAAAGGAAAAGGTGAATAAATAAATTTTAAGATCACAGGATATGAGAGCAGTTTGCTAGAATCAACTGTATTTCTATATATTAGAAACAAACAGTTGGAAAAAAGAAATTTTATAATGCCATTTACAATAGCATAAAAAAATCAAATGTGTAAGAGTTAATTTAACAAAAAAGTATAAGACCTCCACATTCAAAATCATCAAATATCACTGAAATGTTTATAAATAAAGAAGCCTTAAATAAATGGAGAGATGCATGCTCATGGATGGTAACGCTTAACACTTTCAGGATTTTGATCCTCCTCAAATTGATCAAGAGATTCAATACCAAAGCAAATAAACTCCCAGCAAGGCTTTTTAAAAGAAATGGAGAAGCTGATCAGGAAATATATATGTAAAAGGAAAGTATCTAAACTAACCCAAACAATCTTGAAATAAAGAACAAAGTTTGAATCCTTATTATTACCTAGCTTCCAGGCAATCGAGCAGTAAGTATAAGAAAAAAAATTAGATCAATGGAGTACAACAGTCTAGAAATACACCCACACATATATAGTCAACTGATTTTTGACAAAGATGCCAAGGAAATTGAATAGCGCGAGGATTAGTCTTTGAACAAATAGTGCTAGAACAATTGGAGAGTCTTATGGAGAGAAAAATAAACCTCTACCATTACCTCACACCATATACAAAAATTAATTTGAGATGGAACATAGATCTGAATGTAAAGATTGAAGTTATGGAGTGTCTAGAAGAAAACATAGGAAAATATTTTTGTGACCTGGTGATTGGTAAAGGTTCTTAGAACAAGAAAGCACTACACAAATGAAAAAGATAAATTGGACACTATCAGTATTTATAACTTCTGCTTTTCAAAAGACACCATTAAGGAATAAATAGACAAGACAAAGGAGAAAATTCACAGTACATATGAAAAAAAAAGAATGTATCCAAAATATATATAGAATTCCTATAATTCAATATTAAAAAGACTATCTAATTTTTAGAAAATGGCCAATACATAAACAAGCAGTTCACAGAAAGAAAATATATGAACGGCCAATGAGTTCATAAAAAGAGGCATTAGTCACTAGGAAAATGCAAAATAAAACTAGCAAGAGATAGCGTTTCTCACCCACAAAAAGGCTATAATTAAAAAGACTGAAATTACAAAGTGCTGATGAGGATGTGAAGCAACATAAACTCTTACACACTTCTAGCGGGGGGTTAAAATGATACAATTACTTTAGACAACTGTTTGGCAGCATTCTTACAAGTTAAACACTAAGAGTCAATAATTTCACACCTAGGTATTTATCAAAAATACATAAAAACATAAGGGCATAAAAACATGTATACAGGATTTATGAATATTCGTGGTAGCTTTATTCATAATAGCCAACAAATATAAACAACCCAATGCTCATCAACAGGTGCACAGATAAGCGAATTGTGGTGTATTTTCACCACAGGATACTATCCAGCATTGAAAAAGAGAACCCCTAATACACCCATCAACATGGATGAATCACAAAAACATTATGTGAATCATTAAGCAGAAGACGACACATACAAAGCAGTAGGTATGATTTCTATTAAATGAAGTTCTAGAACAGGTAAAACAAAGTTACAATGATTGAAACAAGAATGCTTGTTTCTGGGAATAAAAGGATTTATTGGAAAGGAGAATGAGATACTTACCGACGTGATGGGAATGTTCTTGTTTTTGTTTTTTTGGTTTTTTTTTTTTTTTTTTTTTTTTTTAAAGACAGTCTCACTGTCACCCAGGCTAGAGTGCAGCAGTGCCATCTTGGCTCACTGCAACCTCTGCCTCCCAGGCGATACTCAAGCCTCAGCCACCAGAGTAGCTACGGTTACAGGCATATGTCACAATGGCCAGCTATTTTTTTCTTTTTTTTTTTCTTTTTTTTGTATTTTTAGTGGAGGCGGGGTTTCACCCTGTTGCCCAGACTGATCTCAAACTCCTGGCCTCAAGTGGTCCACCCTCCTCAGCCTCCCAACATGCTGCGATTACAAGCATGATCCACTGAACCTGGCCCTGGAATGTTCTATATCTTAACTGGGGTGGTGGATCCATGATTATGTACACGTATACATTTTTCAAAATCCAGAGAACTGTATATTTAAAATATGCTAATTTTATAGAACATAAATTATGTAAATTATGTCTCAATAATATATGTATATGTATGCATATACATTTTCTCTCTCTCTCACACACACACACACTTCTGTGAAGAGAATTATTCCACAGGCCCAATTTTATATTAGTAAAACAGACCTTACTTTTGAGTGCTACAATCCAATCGACAAAAATGCTTGAAAAGGTTAAGATTATTTATGAAAATGTTTACTAATTACTATCTGAGTACATCAAGCTTTGTGGAAAGAGAGTAGGCTTCAGTGTCATATGTCCCAGGTCATTATGATGCGTTTGCTTCTCATTAGCTATGTGACCTTATGCAAGTTAATGATCAGCCTCAGACGGTTTTTGACGGAAGGGGTAGGGGAAGCAACGCTGGCCTCACAAGTTTGCGGTGTGGCTTCAGTGTGCTAACGGATGTAGAATACACGATTCAGGGCCCCAGGTTTTGTTATTACCATCAGTGGTCCCAGCCCGTTTTTGATAACTTTGTAAACACCAAGTGGTTTTGGGAAGCCAGTCATTCTACAATCCTTTTCCCAAATTTTTGTCTCTGAAAATGACTAAGCAAATTTACAAAAACAATTGGAAACAACTTGGTGACTTTTTTTTTTTTTCAAATGGGTAAGTGCATTCCGGATATAATTATGTTTAAAACATGATTCAGCACACTTTATTTCTTCTGAAGTATTTCTATTTCCTTCTTTTATAAAACCTACTATTTCTATCTTATTTTTAAAGATCAATTGCCTGCATGTTTTCAGAGCCCTTTCAGAAATATCTTTGGTTATTACTCATCTGTGAAAAGGAAATTTAAACAAAGTTTGAGAACTGTTCATTTCTCAAAAAAGACAGTGGAATTGAGTATCTGTTTCCTGGGATGTTAAGTCAGCGTCAAGACCAAATTCATGAGATTGTTTTCCAAAGAGAAGACAGGAGTAATACGAAAGAATGACTGAGGTTTCATGAACTGTATCAGCTTCCTGGCATGAGAGCACTCGACTTTATATAGTCGGATACTGTGAGTCAGTTGACATTGTTCTTAAGAAAACTTGTTTTTGTTAGCATCTCAGAATTTGCCAGAGCCATATTACATTTAAGTCTTGCGTTCCTCAATCAATTTGACCAATGAACTTTTTGAAGATCAATGGGCAAGATAATAGTAGTAGAAGGAAAACACCAATGATAGTTATTTCTCATTTGGGGTCAGCATTGCCAAGCTGCTCAGGGTTTCCATGGCATCATTTCCAAACCCTCCTATTAAATTCTAAAGGAGAATAGATCTTTGCCTGTGGACAGTGTAAATTTGACAACAAATACAGGGTTGATAGACTGGTGGAATAGAAAAACACAAGAAGCTACGGGATGGAAGCTAGGCCATCGTCACCACTGCCATGGGGCAGAACAGAAAGAAGCATGATGTTTTGACCCCACAGAGGAGACAACACTCAAATCCTCTTCAGTGAACGGCTGTGTTTCTAGGGTACTGGGAATGAGAAAGGAAGATGTTGTATGCACAGAAACTTAAGTTATTTTCTTAATGCATAATTAAGAAAAGAAAAGAAACCCACAGAAAAGTGAGGCAAACCCACTGATAAACAGGCAGGTTCTATTTCTGTTAACTGGGTAAGCCCAGATTCTTTAAAAGTGATTTTAAAGCCGTTGATGCTATCAACTTTGAAATGTGGTTTGAAAAAGCGGATATTACACTTTAGCATATGCCTAATAACTGCCCTCACCATGGAAACATTGAAGGCAGAAACCATTGTGTTTGTTTTCCTAATCGTACTACCAAGATAAGACATAGAGTTCTCGTAAACCGGTGCCCGGCGGCATGATGGGATCTCCAGCTTCTGTACACCTAGTTGTGGAGGTGGATCCTGGGTGGATCCATTGGAACTATCGTAATAAGAATTAGTCCCGTCATCAGATAATTTCTGATTGAAAATTCCGAGAACTGAGTTATGCACAGTGCTCAGTTAGTCACTGTTTTTCTCATAATAGCCGCATTGTGGAAAACTGAAGCCGGTCTTGGGGTCTCAAGGTCAACTTCATATGATAAACATCTTCAAGGCATGATTTTAGTCCCGTCTTCTTTCCCAATCTTGTTTAATTGCAACGTGGCCTTCCATGCTATTCTCTCTATTGTTTCCACAGCCTCTCTCCACCTTGAGACACACACAAGCAGGCTGGGTAGGTATAAGTACCACCTTGCTCCCTCGACACATTAATCAATTTGTTTCATGGAATAAAAAAGAAGACAACCATCTCCAGTTGAAAATTAGAATCAGGCTGGATTACAGCTGCAGCAATGAACTAGGTAGAGCAGAAAGCCAAACTCAAGCCTGTGTTTCCAACCAGTAGAGAGGCTGACTACAAACAATAATTTAGACAAAAAATAGTCTAGGACTTTATGATCTACATGCTTAAGCATCACTGAACATTACTAACTTTGAAGTTCAATATTATACTTGGAGGTGTATCCTTTGCTGTGCTGGAGAGAAGCAAAGAACCAGGCTTGAGTCTAAAATATTCCCATTAACCCAATAACACAACAATTAGATGTGTGTGTATGTGTTGTATAACTCTTTAAAACTAAACGATCAAGGCTAACTATGGAAATAAAAGTGAACATTAACAATTGCCACAGTACACTTGCCTGTAGCTCCAGCTATTCAGGAGGCTGAGGTGGGAGGATTGCTTGAGCCCAGGAGGTCAAGGCTGCAGTGAGCCATGACTACACTATTGCACTCCTTCCTGGGCAAGAAAGCAAGACCCTGTCTCAAAATATAATAATAATAATAATAATAATAATAATAAAAGCCTCAATAAAAGACATTACTCTATGGTAATCAGGGATACCTGGTACTCAAATACATCACAGACACAATATCTGCTCAGCTGGTAACAAATCTGTCAAGGAAAATATTGCATATCAACTCAAAAGATGCATCTAGAAAATCTTGTGTTCTAGCTTGCTAGAAAACAAAAGATACTGTGTGAGTGTGATTTCCTCTTACCTCTGTGAAGCAAAAGTGTGATCGATGAAGGTGAGAGGGGCAGGGAAAGACAGAGAAAGGCACGTAATGTATGACAGACATTTTCTGGAACAAGGGGAAGCTAATGAGTTCACAGAAGTGCTAGAAGGGCCCCTGGAAAATACCAGGGAACCTCAGACAAAAGAGTCTCCCAGGCAAGGAAGAAAACAACAATACATGAAATATTGGCTGCAACATTTAAGCAAAAATTAAAATGGCAGCCATGTGGGCAGAAGTGGAAGGAGCTGAGTCTGAGAGAGGAGTGGGTGGAGGAGGAAGTGTCTTAGGCAGTGACCTCACCCTTCTCTATTTCAGGCACTTGTTCTAGCCTGGAGATGGTTTCCTAAGTAGCAACAGAAAAATAAAAGAAAAGAGAAGTCAATCCAAACTATTTAAACATAAAGAAAATATACTGAATGGGGGAGCCTGGTATGACAGCCTCTTGGATTCAAACCATGTGAGAGGGGACAGGCGAAAGGACTGGTATTTTTCGAGGCCTGACTCTGTGCTTACTGTGGCACTGGGAGGTTGGCAGATAAAAAAGAAGAATGTCTTCCCTTATTTCAGGCATAAGATGGTCAAGAGGGGCATCCCCACTTTTTTTTTTTTCTAGCTATAGTCATTCCATCTCATAGTCGTGTGTCTTTGTGACCCTGTCAGCCTGGAGAGCCTCCTTTTCTGTGTGGGTAACTACAGTTTACTCAGCAGGGTGGAGATGGAAACTCCTGACTCCAGTGCTCCTCTGACCTCACGGTCTGCTTTGAGGACCCCTGCTCTGCTACCAGAGAAGCTGGGCTTCCTGCTGTCGCTCTTGAAGGAAGGAATCCAAGGCATTACTGTTAAGCTACCTGTGAGTGCTTAAGGACAGAAAAGACCCTTCATTGCCCTTTGTAACCAAGCCTAGGACTTGGCGTAGGAGATACCAATGAATGAAGCCAACATGCTCAAACAGCAGAGTTCCTTAATCCAATTGGATCAGCAGCCCTTGGCCTAACTGCAGGTTGGTCCAAATCGTGGCTAACAAAACTCTACAACAGAGGTTAGAAAGTTGTGGGATGCCATCAACAGGACACCGGCTCCTATAGTATCACAATCACCTGCCCAAAAGACAATGGATCCTCACCTAGCCCAATGCTGGCCTAATTGTTTTGCTTTTGGCAGGTGACCTTGTGTTTCACACACGCAGAATCTCAGTAGATAACACAGGTAAAAGTGGAGCTGCTTTGGATAAAATGTGGAGGAAGAACGCTCTGAACAAGAATGTTGTCGTCCAGCTCCCACTTCTTGACATGTGTTCTGGACAGCGGGGGTGACCTGTCCATGACCACCGTTCCAACTAGAGGTAGAACCAGGCCTAGAACGTCTCTTGCACCAACATGAAAGGATGTTTCCCTCATTAGAGTATTAATTTCTCGAAGGCATCTCATCAGCCATCCTGTGACCCCAGAGTCCAGGAACGCACACAGGTGCAGAAGCCATTTGATTTTAGCATGTGGTTCATTTTTTTTTATTTTAGCATGTGGTTCATCGAGTACCTCTTGCCTCTTGAGATTAAAGAGGAGCTAGGGTTGCTAATGGTTGACTTCCTCTTCTTCTTTCCAATCCTTGAATTTCGTATGCAATTTCTTAGATTCCGCTGGTCTCACTGCCAGTAGAAAATTAGTATGAAACAGAAAACATGGTTTGGCAAGTGACAATGTTTAGCGAGAAACAGAAGACATTCACTAAGCAAGGAAAAAAACCCATTTTATCAGACACACTTTTTACTTTATTATAGGCCTGGAGTTTTAAAACACTATTACTGACAGCTTAAATATCCTAGGTTATGATTTCTCAAGCTAGGGAAGACCTCCCCGACCTACACTGACCATATCAAAGAACTGAAGCAAACTCCGGAAAACCAACTCTGCTCCTTCATTTGTTAGAGTTGATGAAGTATAACTGGTCATTATTTAAAGTTTAATTTTTTTTTCCTTTGCCTTCATATATGAAATTTCTCACTGGGACATTTCAGTGCTCTTAGAAGAATACCCAGCAGTGGATTCGAAATCATTTGTCATCTTTCAAGATCTGAGACTCTTTCTTGACCAATTTAGAAAAGAAGGATGTTAGAGCAAACAGACAGCTTAGCTGCTAATGACGGGCAATAGTTCAATATTTTATGCCACCTTGAAAAAGTTGCAGTAACTGAAGGTGTTCTCACATTAATTCTTTGCATCAATTATCGACAGAGAATTTAATTTAAAGGCAACTAGTCAGTAACCTAGGGGTAGTGTTTTAAATAATTTATAATTGCTGCATGGGTGTAATCATATTGCTATTGATTACCATCCAGTCACTTCTACAGGTCCAGCAGGTCTTATGCTAATTACTTTTAGTGAGATCACCTTTTTAACTCTGTATTCCCTGGTAACAGGAACTCATTATAAAAATAACTTAATGAAGCGCAATCGTTTAGAGTCCTTACAGAAAGGAGGGAAGGGAGGAGGGTGAACTTAGGAGAAAGCCAGGAGTTGAAAGCACTAGGCTGAGATTTACAGATCAACAATCCTAAACCTGAAATTACATATTGTTATTCAAATATCAGATGGGACTGAGACAAAAGAGGTGAAAAACAGGGTATATGAAAGAAGGGGCAGGCAGAAAAAAGAGAACTAAAGGAAGATTTAAACAATTTCAGTTTTGAGAAAAATTATCTGAATTTCACTTTATTCATTCATCCAGGATCACTTTTTATTCACTATGAAACAGACTAGCCATCATATTGAGGGATTTAGGAAAGGCAACCTGTGATTTACTAAAAATTTGTCAGAATGAGGCCCACTGTATGCTTCCTTTTATATCCTCAAACAGTGTGAGCCAAAGACAGGTTTGTTCCCCCTGATGAAAGGAGATTGATTCAGTTATTAAGTGGTGCAGGAATGTACCTAAAGTCTTTATAATAATAGCTATGAACGCATTTTACTAAATATTGACAAAACATGCTCGAAACCCATGATTTCCTGTATACTGTTACCTTGAACAAGGCTAAGGCTGGCATTTAGATAAAAAACAGAAAGTGAATGAGGAAGTCATCAGTAAATAATAGTATAGGTGGCCCATAGACAAGGCACGCTCAGATGCTGGTCTAGGGAAAGACTGGCTGTGGAAAATACTGGCTGAGTGAGCAGACCACATGTAGACACTATCACTCTTCTCTCTCTTAATTTGTTCCCCTGGCAAAAAGAGAGCAACTACAAAGGTTGCCAAGGTGGCAGGAAGTGAAGACATCAGCACCATTTCAGGGAAGCCAGGAGGCTTGCCCAGTTCAGACAGCAACTTGTGGACAAGCCCTCCTGACTGGGGCTGGGGGAACAGTCTCAGAAGGCCCAGATAGGGTGGGAGGGATGTCCATTAAGAACATGAGGATTAAGAATGATGGAGGTCAAATTTAAGAATGATGGAGGTCAAATTTAAGAATGATGGAGGTCAAATTTAAGAATGATGGAGAGGCAAGAGGTCAAATAAGAATATGAAAATGGGGCTTTTATTTATTGATGTTTCTTTTTATTTATTTTCAGAACTTCCATTTTTAAGCAATTGCATTTCAAGAATAGATGTGCCTCATTTACAAAATCTATGTGTCAGTGTGTATATGTGCTTCAAAACTGTTATGACATTGATGTTGTTTAGGAAAAAATGTGTGTATGTGTATGTGTGTACATGTGTGTGTATGTGTATTTCCCTAGGAGCAATTATGTAATAAATGCAATGTTTTTGTGCCACTTGGTTTCAAACTTCAGAAAATTCCTAACATTTAGGAGAAAGAGAAAAAAAAACAGAGATTCATTTTCTGAAAGAAGAGACATAAGATGGTACACATCTAATTTAATACCAACAATTTGGGTGACTTATAAACAGTGGGAGTTTACATTAATAGAAAATTCATCATAAACTATGGACTTTCTCCAGATACAGCAAACGTAACCCTTGTTCTGAAGATGAGGACAACAGTATCTTTAAACCTCGGGTGGCAGCTGTTGTGATCGAGGCGGAACAAAACAAAATAGGGAACTATATCGCACAAGTTAAAATGGGGGGAAAATACCTGCAGAAATTGTCACCTGCCCACACTGAGAGTTTGCTCACAAATATTCTCACTTAAACCTAGTGAAAAGGAAACAACAAATTTCTAGCTTATTCCATTTCCCCTGGGCACGCTTAGTACTTTCAAGCTTGGCTCGGTTTTCTCCTAGTGGAGACCAGTGGACACAGGCCAATACTTATGGCTGTCGTATAGCACTAAAATACATTATATTTGAAGCTGCAACAGTCTAGCATCAACCGCCAAGGGCAAGAATGATCACTCTGAGACACATCAAGTCGGCTCGCGTTTCATTGCAGACTCTTAGATGGGGGACCCAGTTTGCAGGGTTTAGGCTGCTGATCCATAGTATAAATCGGGGCGGGGGGTGGGGGAGGGACAAAGATCTTCTTAAAAAGCCAGATAGAAAGCATTTGACTATGCACCATTGCAGTGTGAAAATAATTAGATATGAACAATATATAAATGAATGAGTGGAGCTGTATTTTAATAAAATTTTACTTAAGGAAACAGAAAATGACTGTCATTTGCCAATCCCTGGTACGAATCCTTATCATCTTATTATTAAGCCGTATTCCTGAAGGGTGGGACACAGAGTCGACTCCACAGGGCAGGCAGTGAAGCTGACCTCTGAGTTGAATTCAAAGAGAGACATCTTCTTGTAAAAGGGAAGAAGTCAGCCGGGATGGGATAAATGGTCAGTTTCTAGGGGGAGCTGGAGGTGGTGAGGAGGACTGACCAGGGAAGCTTTCTAAGGGCATCAGGGGGAGATTATGGGGCTTGGGGAAAAAGGAGAAGCTTGAAATTGCCACTGTGAGGAATGGAAGAGAAATTAGATCGAGTAAACAGAAATACTGCTGGGCAGTCTTGAGACATAGTTGAGACTATGAATTAAAAAGAAAAAAAAAATCAATATCCTCTTAGAACTGTACCAACAGTGACAAAGGTCATAGAACTAACCCTGGGCTATTTTAGGGGAATGTATTTCGTTGTCTAGTCTGTGTCTAGAGATGAGCAAAGGGATTCTACATCCAGCCACAAGAGCATCTCAGAAGACTCCTAGTGGCAACATAAAAATAAGTTCTGGCTCGGTCAGCAGGGACACATTTAAGTCCTCATTAGAATGACAGCTGTCTCCATCCTCAAAACTAACAAACAAAAGCCGTCTTTGAGTTCTGGAAGACAGGGAAGCTGGGATCCTGAGAAAGGCTTTCTGCCTAGAGCTGTCAGTTAGCACCAGCTAATAGCACCTAGTGGACCTCAGGATGTGAGAAACTAAATCCCTAGACAACTACAAAAAGAATAGGAGTAACACCTGGAACAACAGGGACCCAAGGGCCAAGGGAGCTGCCTCTGGGCAGGTACCTGGGATTTCAGTTCTGAGAAGGAAACAACAAATCAAGGAAAGCTTTCTCCTCACTGTAATCACACTAGCCCAAAGTGGGTTCTCAAGTCACTTTCAGAAGGGAGAAGCAAAGCACAAAGCCCCCAGTTGCCCAACACCTTGGGTAGGGTTAAACATTTTATGCAGGAATCAGCATCTTTAAGGAGCTCACCTTTTAAAAGGAGCCAGCTTTTTGTTGTAAATGGCACTGACACTACAACAAGAAAGTTGATTTCACAAAGATGATTCATTAAGAAATAAAATATTCATGGCTGACAGCTTGAAGGATCGCCATACAGTTATATTCTAATGCACCTGTCCTCTCTGACAAGTCCAATGTGGGATGTCATGTCGCCAAAGTTTTATTTAGAAATTGTTTGTCAGAGTGAGCTTTCTAATGTGAATGAAAAATTCATCCCCTCATTAAGAAGATTTTACATGAAATGTCTAGGATTTTCAATGAACACCAGGACATGAACCAATTACTGTTAAACACTTAAAGAGACAGAGTCCTAAGCTCACTCAGCAAAACTCTTAATTGCACAAATGTGGAGAAAATTCAACATCCCGAAAGGCAAATGGGAATTTTGATTTGGAAATCTTCTTTTGTTTTGTCACATCTGGAAAACCACTATCTTTAAAAGACCTGGGGGAATTCAAATGCACTATTTTATGGAATCCACATATATCTTATCTGACCCTTTTGTACTTACACATTGGCTGATGGATTTTGGCATTTTCAGCCACTTGTTCAACTCCCGAAGAAAATGATTCAAGTGTTTTGGAAGGGTGTTGAGGTGTCTGTAGTCATTTCTTGTGTGTGTGTGTGTGTGTGTGTGTGTGTGTGTGTGTGTGTGTGTGTGTGTTTTATATACTTTGTTGCCTTCATTGCCTTCCCACCTTACTTTCATAATTTGTGTAAATATCAAACAGGTGCCTTGGAAGCGAATGCACTGAATAATTCCAAAACGTGGGGAGTTGGGAGAGAGGGGAAAGAAAAGCTACAACAGATTAAAATAGAGTTGGGCTGCATAGAGAGTCAGGAGAAATCCACAGGGGAATTGCTGGTATAATGAAATAGCATTTTACAGTCATGACAATGGATTAAGTTGACATTGAGACTCTTTTTTGACATACAGTCTAGTTCAGTTTAACTTACGGGAGAAAATAGTTCCCAAACCTAGCCCTAGACTAGGTATACACACACACACACACACACACACACACACACACACACACACACACACACACACACACCACACACACACACATATAGCCAGACTGTCACTTCATCACTTCCAATTTCAGAAAAGGTTTGAGACTGACAATATGAAAACTCAAATTTCTCCTCCTTAAACCCAGCAGACCCTATAAACTTTAAGAATTTTATATTCACTTTCATAGGATAGAAGCTTTGGTGAACTAGTTCGAGGAAAAAGTAGCCTTGCCCCTGTATCTGTGCATCACAATCCCATAAGACTCTAACAAAGCTTTCCAAGAAGGAAGGACTCTGAATAAGCTTTTTACCATACAGCTGTTGCAGGTGGAACCAGAATTTCATAGCCTTTCCTTGTGCTTTAATTATAGCTGCCTCTGCAGTTTCTTTTAGACATATTCTTTCTCTATATGTTTTTCTTTTCATTTACATTTATTTCTCCCTTCATATATATATTTTACATATATATATATATATATGTTTTTCTTTGTAATATTTTATATAGTTTCTGGAAAGCAATTGGACAATACATATCAATGTGTACCAAGTGTCTTAAAACAGTTTAGATGTGAGATGAAATTCTAGACATCTATCTTAAAACTTCTCTGAAGATCAGATACGGAATTTTGTACAGAGATGTTCAATGATGTGTTATTTAAAATTGGGAGCAAATGTCCAAAAGAAGAGGAAATGTTCTTTTGTGAAGCCACCATTCAAAATTACATTTAGGATTTATTTCTCATATAATTAATATTGAGTAAATAAAGTAGAATACAGAATGCACAAAATGTACTCAGAGATTCATGAGGCAAAAAGTAAATGCTTTTTTTTTTTAAAGAAAAAATACCAAATGTGTACAATGGGTATGGGTATACTTTAAAAAAAAAAAAGTACAGTCAGGCGCAGTGGTTCATGCCTGTAATCCGAGCACTTTGGGAGGCCGAGGAGGGTGGATCACTTAAGGTCAGGACTTCAAGACCTGCCTGGCCAACATGGTGACACCCCGTCTCTACTAAATATACAAAAATTAGCCTGGTGTGGTGGCGAGCACCTGTAATCCCAGCTACTCAGGATGCTGAGGTGGGAGAATTGCTTGAACTTGGGAGGCAGAGGTTGCAGCAAGCCAAGATGGTGCTACTGCACTCCAGCCTGGGCAACAGAGCAAAACTCTGTCTCAAAAAAAAAAAAAAAAAATTCCATCCCCATCCCTGTACGTGGATGTGATTAAAACTCAACTCTAAACTGAGTCAAATTCTACACACTGCATATTTATACAGCAGGTAAGCCAGCTGTTCTTTAATATATAGACTTAAGTAAGAAGGGGGAAGAATCCGATCCTTCTATTAGGTAAATCAAACTATCAGTTAAAAAAAAAACTTTCCCCCTTCATCTTCTGCCATTCGTGAGATATTAATGTATTGAGTTATCCCTATGGAAACTGCAAAAACTATTTACATAAATTCTCCAGTCTACCAAATTGCAACTTGCTCAAATAAATCAGAGACTGAGGCTCTAGTTTCTCTGAATTTTGGTTAGCAGAACTCTATGTTGGAAATCACATCCAACACATTTCTCACAATCTGCCCATAATTAGTTTCACTGGGAAAACTGTGAAGAACTATTTTGCTGCTTTTAAATTCATAATTTTGGTTCAAGAGCCCAGAATAAGATGTTTAGACAGAGTGAAAACTATTTTCTAACAAATCAATATTAATTTATCTGACTGTTGTGGTCTCAGGAGCCAAAAAGTGTTCTTGTACTGAGCTGACAGGAAAGATTTTATACTGACCAAATGTTATTCAAATATTTATAAGACTGGATAATTTAGTAAAGAAAATACAGATGGAAGAAGGCAAGAGTATTTTTTTTTTCAGTGTTCCTTCTGCATTTACAAATGACAAGACCTATTAAAAAAAAAAAAAAAAAGTAGAGAGTGATTGGTAGTCCCCCGCAACCATGAGGGAGCTCGTAGAAGGGCTGGCCATTTAGCCCACTCCACAAACTAACAGAGATGTTATTTCAGAAGTTGCCAGTGACACTCTCACCACTGAACCTGGGGTGCCATGTTGGTTAAGAACGAAACACTGCACAGTGGAAGAAACAACTGCCCAGTGACACAGCTGAGGGCTAGATGGCTTGGTGGGGTCTCAGAGGGTATGCATTAATGACTGGGTAACATGAATTGATGGGAAAAGCAGAAGAATAAATGGAATGCATTGATTGTGCTTTATATTATTATTATTTCCTTTAATTCTCTCAACAACTGTCAGATATGATTTTGTATTTGTCCATGAACTTTTTGTTAGAGTAAAATATACATGCAAAAAAATTCACAAAACATACATGTGTCATTAAATGAATTTTCATAAACTGAACACACCCAGTAGCTTGAACAAGCAACAGAACATTAGCAACATGACGGAGGACACTTCATGCTCCCATCCATCCTCTACCCTGACTTCTAATAGGAATAGTTTGCTTTTTAGTCAACTCATTGTAACTATAATCACATAGGATACATTCCTCTGTATCTTCCTCCTTTCTCTCAACATCATCTCTGTAAGATAAATCCACATTGTTGAATTTAGTTCTAAGTCATTCATTCTTGTTGGTGAGTAGTCTCCTCTTGTGTGGATTTATTACAACTTATTTATCCATTCCACCACTGATAGATATCTGGGTGGTTTACCAGATGTCTTGAGTAATCATGAATAATGATTCAGTGTGTTATAATGAATAATGCTGCTAAACACACTCTTGTACTTGTCTTTTGGCAAATGTATGAGCACATTTTGACCAGTCATAGTCTTAAAAATGGTCTTTTGTTTTTTTTTTTTTTTTTTTTGGAGACAGGGTCTCACTCTGTCACCCAAGCTGGAGTGCAGGGACCTAATCACAGCTCACTGTAGCCTTGACCTCCCTGGGCTCAGGTGATCCTCCTGCTTCAGCCTCCCGAGTAACTAGGACTACAGGCATACGCCACTATGCCTGACTAATATTTTTGTAGAGACAGGGTTTCACCATGTTGGCCCAGCTGGTCTTGAACTCCCGGGCTCAAGCAATCTGCCTGCCTCGGCCTCCCAAAGTGCTGGAATTACAGGCATGAGCCACCACGCCTGGCCAGAAGTGAAATTTCTAGGGGATCAGATATACTTATATTTGATCCTATGTAAATCAAGTCTTCCAAAATGGTTATACCAACTGATGTTACTATCATAAAGAGGTTTTCTTTCCCTTTAAATTATCTTTTTAGTTTAGAATATTAGTATTACAGGAAACTTACAAACAGAGTACACAGAGTTCCTCCACGCTGTTTATTGTCTTTCCCCTAATGTCAACATCTCACATGACCATGGTACGCTTATTGCATTACTTTTTTTTTCTTTTTTTTTTTTGAGACAGAGTCTTGCTCTGTTGCCCAGGCTGGAGTACAGTAGCATGATCTCAACTCACTGCAACCTCCATCTCCTGGATTCAAGCAATTCTCCTGCTTCAGCCTCCTGAGTAGCTGGGATTACAGGTGGGCACCACCACACTCAGGTAATTTTTGTATTTTTAGTAGAGATGGGGTTTTGCCATGTTCGCCAGGCTGGTCTCGAACTCCTGACCTCAAGTGATCAGCTTGCCTCAGCCTCCCGCAATGCTGGGATTTCGGGCATAAGCCACCATGCCCAGCCCATGGTATGCTTATGAAAATGGTATGTTACTATTAAGTAAATGACAGACTGTATTTAGGATTTCACGAGTTTCCCACTACAGTCCTTTTTCTGATTCAGGGTCTAATCCAGGATGTCACCGGATGGCATTTAGGGTTTCATCTCTACGTTACTGCGTTACTGATGAGAGAGAGGGTCCAGATGGGTTCAGGAGCTTGCTGAAGTTCACAAAGCTTAAGAGGGGAGGCTACTTTAATTTCCACAACAACCACAATCACAACTTTTATCACTGTTTTCTGAGTTATTTTGTGCCTAGGCATGTGTGGTGGCATCCAAAAGGTGATCAATTCTTCCTGAATATCTACCCTTTTCTGGACCCTGGGCCCACTCAAATGAAAGGCGAACCGCTAAGGTGCTTCCTGTCCTCAAGCCTTCAATTTAGTTGCAGTTCCTTGTGTCGGGAGCAGCCAAAGAAACATGTCACTCACAGTTCTGTGGCTTCTCCCTCAGCCTACGACATCGCTGGTGCCGGTTCCTGGAAGACAGGCTATGCTCTGTTCCAGTTTGTGTCACTCGACCAAGCAGACACTCAGGAAGTCTTTGCTAAATGCATTAATGCCCTTTTTTTTTTTTTTAAATGGTGGCATTGTAAAAACTTTATATTTAAGATGTATAACCGGGTGCGGTGGCTCATGCCTGTAATCCCAGAATTTTAAGAGGCTGAAGCGGGTGGATCACTTGAGGTCAGAAATACAAGGCCAGCCTGGCCAGCAAGGTGAAACCCCTGTCTCTACTAAAAATACAAAAGTTAGCTGGGCACGGTAGCACATACCTGTAATCCCAGCTACTCGGGAGGCTACTCGGGAGGCGAGGAGAGAGGATCACTTGAACCTGGGAGAAGGAGGGTGCAGTGAGCTGAGATCCCACCAATGCACGCCAGCCTGGGTGACAGAGTGAGACCCCATCTCAATTAAAAAAAAAAAAAAAGATGTATGGTGTGTTAACAGAACCTTCTCCAGCTGTAGTGGAGCTTAGGATGATTTAATGGGAGGCACAGGTAATAAAATAGAGGATGGAAGATAATCCTGGCTCTGTCAGATTGCTGTGCTATTTTGGGCAAGTCGCTTAACTTCTCTGAACCTGTTTTCCAGGAACAATGAAATGATGATACAAATACTGTCCTGGCTCCCTAGGTATAATTGTCAAAGACTTTGAAAACTATAACATACTATACACATGTTAGAAAGTATTGGCTTTATGACACTTATTCTTAATAATTAAAAATAAGTCACAAAACGGAGAAAACTATTTATTGTCAGTTCTTTGTTTTTGTTTTGTAAATGGACTCTTGCTCTGTCACCCAGGCTGGAATGTAGTGGTGTGATCTCGGCTCGCTGCAACCTCCGTCTCCCGGGCTCAAGCAATTATCCTGCCTCAGCCTTCAGAGTAGCTGGGATTACAGGCATGCGCCACCACACCCACCTAATTTTTGTATTTTTAGTAGTAAAGATGAGGTTTCACCATGTTGGCCAGGATTATCTCAAACTCCTGACCTCAAGTGATCCACCTACCTCGGCCTACCAAAGTGCTGGGATTACAGGCATGAGCCACCGTGCCTGGACTGTCAGTTCTTCTAATTCGAGAAGAAAATGCCTATATCCATAAAATCACTATAGAAACCAACTGAGCAGAAGAACCATTTTGGCGTAGACAAGCCAGAAAGAAAATCATTGATCATTCTATTACTTCTTAAGTGATTAATGGTGAGCCAACCTATCATGTACAAATATTGTCTATCTGTATTTAACACAATGGAGCTAAGAAGAATGTAATACAAAGCAACACAGATACCTTACATCAAGTCACAATTACTCTTGATCTTAAAGCTAGACAGCAATTGCCTTGAGGTTAGAGACTATTCCAGCAAGGATCCTGGCAAATAGTTGGCCCTCCGAAATTGTTTGTTGAATATTTAATTTTCTAGTCTAAATGCATTGGAAACTTTTATTCTCTGATTTTCCTTGAAAATATATTTTGGAGAAAACCTGTATATTAGTTTCCTAGAAGTTCTGGTCTGCAAGAAAAACTTAACTAAATTAGACTAACATTTTTCAGATTTTGCCTGGGCAGCAGTAACTATGTAGACAAAATTTTACCAGGGCCAGGCACAGTGGCTCATGCCTGTAACCCTAGCACTTTGGGAGGCTGAGGCACGTGAATCGCTTGAGCCCAGGAGTTTTGAGACCAGCCTGGGCAACATGGCAAAATCCCATCTGTACCAAAAAATACAACAACAACAAAAATTGGGCAGGCATGGTGGTGTGCCCCTGTGGTCCCAGCTCCCTTGGGAGGCTGAGGTAGGAGGATCACTTGCGCCCAGGAGGCAAAGGTTGCAGTGAGCCGTGATCCTGCCACCACACTCCAGCCTGGCAACAGGGCGAGACTTTGTCTCAAAAAAAAAAAAAAAAAAGAAAAAAAATTACCAGAAGCTTTAGGGGACCGAAAGATAGACTCATAATGAAAAAAAAAAGTGCTTGGAAAACAGGAGTCAGGGTCTTATACCTACGTCTGACCTGATCTGATATCATAGACAAGAAGGCAGAGCATTTCTCTGAATCGTGAACTGATCCCAACTTAGAAACATACTCCCATGTTGGGAAAACACATTGTCTTTCCATTTGATACAGTTAGTTCTTTGAAACCATCTTCTCCCAAAGGTAGTGTTGTCAAAAAATAGTCACTCACACTTATGTGAACTCTCAGATGGACCGCCAGCAAGA